>NC_000001.11:1997183-2702781 GCF_000001405.40 Homo sapiens | reverse complement strand
GAATTCTGTTCCAGGCTGTCGGATGCTCACCTGGAGGTGAGGATGCCATTCCATGCGGTCAGATGCTCACCTGGGGGTGTGGGTGCTGCTCCAGGCTGTCGGATGCTCACCTGGAAGTGAGGATGACATTCCATGCGGTCAGATACTCCCCTGGGGGTGTGGGTGCTGCTCCAGGCTGTCAGATGCTCACCTGGGGGTGTGGGTGCTGCTCCAGGCTGTCAGATGCTCGCCTGGGGGTGTGGGTGCGGTTCCAGGCTGTCAGATGCTCACCTGGAGGTGAGGATGCCATTCAATGTGGTCAGATGCTCACCTGGGGGAGTGGATGCTGTTCCAGGCTGTCAGATGCTCACCTGGGGGTGTGGGTGCTACTCCAGGCTGTCAGATACTCACCTGGGAGTGTGGGTGCTGCTCCAGGCTGTCAGATGCTCACCTGGGGGTGTGGGCGCTGCTCCAGGCTGTAAGATGCTCACCTGGGGGTGTGGGCGCTGCTCCAGGCTGTCAGATGCTCACCTGGGGGTGTGGGTGTTGCTCCAGGCTGTCAGATTCTCGCCAGCGGGTGTGGGTGCTGTTCCAGGCTGTCATATGCTCATCTGCCAGTAGGGGTGCTGTTTTATGCTGCCAGATGCCCACCTCGGGGTGAGGGTGCTGTTCTAGGTTGTCAGATGCTCCCCTGGGGGTGAGAGTGCTGTTCCTTGCTTTCAGATGCTTACTGGGAGGCCTGGGGTTCTGTTCCAGGCTATCAGATGTTCACCTGGAAGCAGTGGGGGGGTTTCCAGGCTGTCAGATGCTCACGTGTGGGTAGAGGGTGCTTTCCCAGGCTGTCAAATGCCCACCTGGGGGCAGTAGTCTTGTTCCATGCTGTCAGATTTTTGCCTGGGTGCGGGGTGCTGTTTCAGGCTGTCATATTCTCACCTGAAGGTGGAGGGTGCTGTTTCAGGCTGTCAGATGCTCACCTGGGGGTGCAGGGTGCTGTTTTATGCTGTCAGATTCTCACCTGGAAGAGTGGGGTTCTGTTCCAGGTTGTCAGATCCTCACCTGGGGCTTGAGAATTCTGTTCCAGGCTGTCCGATGCTCACCTGGAGGTGAGGATGACATTCCATGTGGTCACATGCTCACCTGGGGGTGTGGGTGCTGCTTCAGGCTGTCAGATGGTCACCTGGGGCTGTAGATGCTGTTCCAGGTTGCCAGATGCTCACCTGGGGGTGTGGGTGCTGACCCAGGCTGTCAGATCTCACCTGGGGGTATGGGTGCAGCTCCAGGATGTCAGCTACTCAACTGGGGGTGTGGGTGCTGCTCCAGGCTGTCAGATGCTAACCTGGGATTGTGGGCGCCTGCTCCAGGCTGTCAGATGCCCACCTGGGGGTGTGGGCGCTGCTCCACGCTGTCAGATGCTCACCTGGGGGTGTGGGCGCTGCTCCAGGCTGTCAGATGCTCACCTCGGTGTGTGGGCGCTGCTCCAGGCTGTCAGATGCTCACCTGGGGGTGTGGGTGCTGCTCCAGGCAGTCAGATGCTCACCTGGGGGTGTGGGTGCTGCTCCAGGCTGCCAGATGCTCACCTGGGGGTGTGGACGCTGCTCCGGGCTGTCAGATGCTCACCTGGGGCTGTGGGCGCCGCCCCAGGCTGTCAGATGCTCACCTGGGGGTGTGGGTGCTGCTCCCGGCTGTCAGATGCTCGCCCGGGGGTGTGGGCGCTGCTCCAGGCTGTCACATGCTCACCTGGGGGTGTGGGCGCTGCTCCAGGCTGTCAGATGCTCGCCTAAGGTTGTGTGTGCTGCTCCAGGCTGTCAGATGCTCGCCTGGGGGTGTGGGTGCTGTTCCAGGCTGTCATATGCTCATCTGCCAGTAGGGGTGCTGTTTTATGCTGCCAGATGCCCACCTCGGGGTGAAGGTGCTGTTCTAGGTTGTCAGACGCTCCCCTGGGGTCGAGAGTGCTGTTCCGTGCTTTCAGATGCTTACTTGGAGGCCTGGGGTTCTGTTCCAGGCTATCAGATGTTCATCTGGAAGCAGTGGGGTGTTTCCAGGCTGTCAGATGCTCACGTGTGGGTGGAGGGTGCTTTCCCAGGTTGTCAAATGCTCACCTGGGAGCAGTGGTCTTGTTCCATGCTGTCAGATTTTTGCCTGGGGTGTGGGGTGCTGTTTCAGGCTGTCATATTCTCACCTGAAGGTGAAGGGTGCTGTTTCAGGCTGTCAGATGCTCACCTGGGGGTGCAGGGTGCTGTTTTAATGTTGTCAGATTCTCACCTGGAAGAGTGGGGTTCTGTTCCAGGTTGTCAGATCCTCACCTGGGGTTTGAGAATTCTGTTCCAGGCTGTCGGATGCTCACCTGGGGGTGTAGGTGCTGCTCCAGGCTGTCGGATGCTCGCCTAGGGGTGTGGGTGCTGCTCCAGGCTGTCAGATACTCACCTGGGGTTGTGGGCGCTGCTCCAGGCTGTCGGATGCTCACCTGCGGGAGTGGGTGCTGCCCCAGACTGTCGGATGCTCACCTGGGGGTGTGGGTGCTGCTCCAGGCTATCGCATCCTCGCCTGGGCGTGTGGGTGCTGCTCCAGGCTGTCAGATGCTCACCCTGGGGGGGTCGGCGCTGCTCCAGGCTGTCGGATGCTCACCTGGGGGAGTATGTGATGCTCCAGGATGTCCGATGCTCACCTGGGGTGAGGATGCTGCTCCAGGCTCTCGGATGCTCACCTGGGACTGTGGGTGCTGCTCCAGGTGGTCATATGCTCACCTCTGGGTGTGGGCGCTGCTCCAGGCTATCAGATGCTCACCTGGGGGTGTGGACGCTGCTCCAGGCTGTCAGATGCTCACCTTGGGGTGTGAGCATTTCTCCAGGCTGTCAGATGCTTACCTGGGTGTGTGGGAGCTGCTCCAGGCTGTCAGATGCTCAACTGCGGGTATGGGTGCTGCTCCAGGCTGTCAGATGCTCATCTAGGGGTGTGGGCGCTGCTCCAGGCTGTCGGATGCTCACCTGGGGGAGTATGTGATGCTCGAGGATGTCCGATGCTCACCTGGGGTGTGGGTGCTGCTCCAGGCTGTCGGATGCTCAAATGGGGGTGTGGGTGCTGCTCCAGGCTGTCAGATGCTCACCTGGAGGTGTGGGCGCTGCTCCAGGCTGTCAGATGCTCACCTTGGGGTTTGGGCGCTTCACCAGGCTGTCAGATGCTGACCTGGGTGTGTGGGTGCTGCTCCAGGCTGTCAGATGCTCACCTGGGGGTGTGGGTGCTGCTCCAGGCTGTCAGATGCTCACCTGGGGATGTGGGTGGTGTTCCAGGCTGTCAGATTCTCGCCTGGGTGTGTGGGTGCTGCTCCAGGCTGTCAGATGCTCGCCTGTGGGTGCGGGGTGATGTTCCAGGCTGTCAGATACTCACCTTGGGGTGTGGGGTGCTGTTCCAGGCTGTCAGATGCTCACCTGCGGGTGTGCGGTGCTGTTCCAGGCTGTCAGATGCTCGCCTGGAGTTGTGGCTGCTGCTCCATGCGGTCAGATGCTCGCCTGGGGGTGTGGGTGCTGCTCCATGACTTCAGATGCTCGCCTTGGGGTATGGGTGCTGCTCCGGGCGGTCAGATGCTCACCTGGGGGTGTGGGTGCTGCTCCAGGTTGTCAGATGCTCACCTTGGGCTGTGGGTGCTGCTCCACACTATCAGATGCTAACCTGGGGGTGTGGGCACTGCTCCAGGCTGTCAGATGCTCACTTGGGTGTGTGGGCGCTGCTCCGGACTCTCCGATGCTCACCTGTGGTTGTGGGTGCTTCTCCAGACCATCAGATGCTCACCTGGTGGTGTGGGTGCCTTTCCAGGCTGTCAGATGCTCACCTGGGGGGGCAGGGTGATGTTCCAGGCTGTCAGATGCTCACCTGAGGGTGCAGGATACTACTCCAGGCTGTCAGATGCTCACCTGGGGGTGTGGGTGCTGCTCCAGGATGTCAGATGCTCGCCTGGGAGTGTGGGTACTGTTGCAGGCTGTGAGATGCTCACCTGTGGGTGTGGGGTGCTGCTCCACGATGTCGGATGTTCACCTGGGGGTGTGGGTCCTGCTCCAGGCTGTCGGATGCAAGCCTGGGGTTGTTGGTGCTGCTCCAGGCTGTCGAATGCTCACCTGGGGGTGTGGGTGCTGTTCCAGGCTGGCGGATGCTGGCCTGGCGGTGTGGGTGCTGTTCCAGGCTGTCCGATGCTCGTCTGGGAGTGTGGGTGCTGTTCCAGGCTGTCAGATGCTCATCTGGGGGTGTGGGTGCTGCTCCAGGCTGCCCGATGCTCACCTGGGGGTGTGGGGTGCTGCTTCAGGCTGTCAGATGCTCGCCTGGGAGTGTGGGTGCTGATCCAGGCTGTCACATGCCCACCTGGGGGTGTGGGTGCTGCTCCAGGCTGTCGGATACTCACCTGGGTGTGTGGGGTGCTGCTCCAGGCTGTCCGATGCTCGCCTGTGGGTGTGGGTGCTGTTCCAGGACGTCAGATGCTCGCCTGGGGGTGTGGGTGCTGTTCCAGGCTGTCACGTGCGCACCGGGGGTGCAGGGTTCTGTTTCAGGCTGTCAGATGCTTACCTGGGGGTGTGGGTGCTGTTACATGCTGTCAGATGCTCGCCTGGGGGTGTGGGTGCTGTTCTAGGCTGTCAGAGGCTCACCTGAGCGTGTGGGTGCTGTTCCAGTCTGTCAGATGCTCACCTGGGGGTGTGGGTTCTGCTCCAGGCTGTCGGATGTTCACCTGGGGGTGTGGGTGCTGTTCCAGGCTGTCAGATGCTCAACTGGCGGTGTGCGTGCTGCTCCAGCCCGTCAGAGGCTAACCTGGAGGTGTGGGTGCTGTTCCAGGATATAAGATGCTCACCTGGGGGTGTGGGTGATGTTCCAGGCGGTCAGCTGCTCACCTGGGGGTGTGGGTGCTGTTCCAGGTTGTCAGATGCTCACCTGTTGGTGTGGGTGCTGCTTCAGGCTGTCAGATGCTCACCTGGAGTGTGGGTGCTGCTCCAGGCTGTCTGATCCTCACCCGGGGGTGCAGGGTGCTGTTCCAGGCTGTCAGATGCTCGCCTGGGGGTGTGGTTGCTCTTCCAGGCTGTCAGATGCTCACCTGGGGGTGTGGGTGCTGCTCCAGGCTGTCGGATGCTCACCTGGAGGTGAGGATGCCATTCCATGCGGTCAGATGCTCACCTGGGGGTATGGGTGCTGCTCCAGGCTGTCGGATGCTCACCTGGGGTTGTGGGAGCTGTTTCAGGATGTCGGATGCTCACCTGGGGGTGTGGGTGCGGTTCCAGGCCATCAGATGCTCGCCTGGGTGTGTGGGTGCTGTTCCAGGCTGTCATGTGCGCACCTGGGGGTGCAGGGAGCTGTTCCAGGCTGTCAGATGCTCATCTGGGCGTATGGGTGCTGTTCCAGGCTGTCAGATGCTCTCCTTGGGGTGCAGGGTGCTGTTCCACGCTGTCAGATGCTCATCTGGGCGTATGGGTGCTGTTCCAGGTTGTCAGATGCTCGCCTGGGGGTGTGTGTGCTGTTCCAGGGTGTCAGATGCTCGCCTGGGGGTGTGTGTGCTGTTCCAGGGTGTCACTTGCTCACCTGGGGGTGCAGGGTGCTGTTCCAGGCTGTCAGATGCTCACCTGGGGATGTGGGTGCTGCTCCAGGATGTCAGATGCTCACCTGGGTGTGTGGGTGCTGTTCCACGCTGTCACGTGCGCACCTGGGGGTGCAGGGTGCTGTTCCAGGCTGTCAGATGCTCACCTGGGGGTGTGGGTGCTGTTACATGCTGTCAGATGCTCGCCTGGGGGTGTGGGTGCTGTTCCAGGCGGTCAGATCCTCACCTGGGGGTGTGCGCGCTGTTCCAGGCTGTCAGATGCTCTCCTGGGGGTGCAGGGTGCTGTTCCAGGCTGTCAGAGGCTCACCTGTGGTTGTGGGTGCTGCTCCAGACCATCAGATGCGCATCTGGGGGTGTGGGTGCTGCTCCAGGCTGTCGGATGCTCGCCGGAAGGTGTGGGTGCTGCTCCGTGGGTTCAGATGCTCGCCTGTGGGTGTGGGTACTGTTACAGGCTGTCAGATGCTCACCTATGGGTGTGGGGTGCTGCTCCACGATGTCGGATGTTCACCTAGGGGTGTGGGTCCTGCTCCAGGCTGTCGGATGCTCACCTGGGGGTGTGGGTGCTGTTCCAGGCTGGCGGATGCTCGCCTGGCGATGTGGGTGCTGCTCCAGGCTGTCCTATGCTCGTCTGGGAGTGTGGGTGCTGTTCCAGGCTGTCAGATGCTCACCTGGGGGTGTGGGTGCTGATCCAGGCTGTCCGATGCTCACCTGGGGGTGTGGGGTGCTGCTCCAGGCTGTCAGATGCTCGCCTGGGAGTGTGGGTGCAGATCCAGGCTGTCACATGCTCACCTGGGGGTGTGGGTGCTGCTCCAGGCTGTCGGATGCTCCCCTGGGGGTGTAGGGTGCTGCTCCAGGCTGTCCGATCCTCGCCTGGGGGTGTGGGTGCTGTTCCAGGCTGTCACGTGCACACCTGGGGGTGCAGGGTGCTGTTCCAGGCTGTCAGATGCTTACCTGGGGGTGTGGGTGCTGTTACATGCAGTCAGATGCTCTCCTGGGGGTGTGGGTGTTGTTCCAGGCTGTCACGTGCACACCTGGGGGTGCAGGGTGCTGTTCCAGGCTGTCAGATGCTTACCTGGGGGTGTGGGTGCTGTTACATGCAGTCAGATGCTCGCCTGGGGGTGTGGGTCCTGTTCCAGGCTGTCAGATGCTCACCTGGGGGTGCGCGTGCTGTTCCAGGCTGTCAGAGGCTCACCTGGGCGTGTGGGTGCTGTTCCAGTCTGTCAGATGCTCACCTGGGGGTGTGGGTTCTGTTCCAGGCTATCAGATGCTCAACTGTGGGTGTGGGTACTGCTCCAGACCATCAGATGCTCACCTGGAGGTGTGGGTGCCGACCCAGGCTGTCAGATGCTCGCCTCGGGGTGTGGGTTCTGCTCCAGGCTGTCGGATGTTCACCTGGGGGTGTGGATGCTGTTCCAGGCTGTCAGATGCTCAACTGGGGGTGTGCGTGCTGCTCCAGCCTGTCAGATGCTCACCTGGGGGTGTGGGTGCTGTTCCAGGATTTCAGCTGCTCACCTGGGGGTGTGGGTGCTGTTCCAGGCTGTCAGATGCTCACCTGGGGGTGTGGGTGCTGTTCCAGGCGGTCAGATGCTCACCTGTTGGTGTGGGTGCTGCTTCAGGCTGTCAGATGCTCACCTGGAGTGTGGGTGCTGCTCCAGGCTGTCTGATCCTCACCCTGGGGTGCAGGATGCTGTTCCAGGCTGTCAGATACTCGCCTGGGGGTGTGGTTGCTCTTCCAGGCTGTCAGATGCTCACCTGGGGGTGTGGGTGCTACTCCAGGCTGTCGGATGCTCACCTGGAGGTGAGGATGCCATTCCATGCGATCAGATGCTCACCTGGGGGTATGGGTGCTGCTCCAGGCTGTCGGATGCTCACCTGGGGGTGTGGGAGCTGTTTCAGGATGTCGGATGCTCACCTGGGCGTCTGGGTGCAGTTCCAGGCCATCAGATGCTCGCCTGGGTGTGTGGGTGCTGTTGCAGGCTGTCAGGTGCGCACCTGGGGGTGCAGGGACCTATTCCAGGCTGTCAGATGCTCATCTGGGCGTATGGGTGCTGTTCCATGCTGTCAGATGCTCTCCTGGGGGTGCAGGGTGCTGTTCCACGCTGTCAGATGCTCATCTTGGCGTATGGGTGCTGTTCCAGGTTGTCAGATGCTCGCCTGGGGGTGTGTGTGCTGTTTCAGTGTGTCAGATGCTCACCTGGGGGTGCAGGGTGCTGTTCCAGGCTGTCAGATCCTCACCTGGGGGTGCAGGGTGCTGCTCCAGGCTGTCAGATGCTCACCTGGGGGTGTGGGTGCTGCTCAAGGATGTCAGGTGCTCGCGTGAGTGTGTGGGTGCTGTTCCAGGCTGTCGGATGCTCACCTGTGGTTGTGGGTGCTGCTCCAGACCATCAGATGCTCACCTGGGGGTGTGGGTGTCGTTCCAGGCTGTCAGATGCTCGCCTGGGTGTGTGGGTGCTGCTCCAGGCTGTCGGATGCTCACCTGTGGGTTTGGGGTGCTGCTCCACGATGTCAGATGCTCACCTGTGGTTGTGGGTGCTGCTCCAGGGTGTCCAATGGTCACCTGGCGGTGTGTGTGCTGTTCCAGGCCGTCAGATGCTCGCCGGGAGGTGTGGGTGCTGCTCCGTGGTTTCAGATGCTCGCCTGTGGGTGTGGGTACTGTTCCAGGCTGTCAGATGCTCACCTGTGGGTGTGGGGTGCTACTCCACGATGTCGGATGTTCACCTGGGGGTGTGGGTCCTGCTCCAGGCTGTCGGATGCACGCCTGGGGTTGTGGGTGCTGCTCCAGGCTGTCGAATGCTCACCTGGGGGTGTGGGTGCTTTTCCAGGCTGGCGGATGCTCGCCTGGCAGTGTGGGTGCTGCTCCAGGCTGTCCGATGCTCGTCTGGGAGTGTGGGTGCTGTTCCAGGCTGTCAGATGCTCATCAGGGGGTGTGGGTGCTGCTCCAGGCTGTCCGATGCTCACCTGGGGGTGTGGGGTGCTGCTCCAGGCTGTCAGATGCTCGCCTGGGGGTGTGGGTGCTGATCCAGGCTGTCACATGCTCACCTGGGGGTGTGGGTGCCGTTCCAGGCCGTCAGATGCTCGCCTGGGGGTGTGTGTGCTGTTCCAGGCTGTCACGTGCGCACCTGGGGGTGCAGGGTGCTGTTCCAGGCTGTCAGATGCTCACCTGGGTGTGTGGGTGCTGTTACGTGCTGTGAGATGCTCGCCTGGGGGTGTGGGTGCTGTTCCAGGCGGTCAGATGCTCACCTGGGTGTGTGCGTGCTGTTCCAGGCTGTCAGATGCTCCCCTGGGGGTGCAGGGTGCTGTTCGAGGCTGTCACAGGCTCAGCTGGGCATGTGGGTGCTGTTCCAGTCTGTCAGATGCTCACCTGGGGGTGTGGGTTCTGTTCCAGGCTGTCAGATGCTCACCTGTGGGTGTGGGTGCTGCTCCAGACCATCACATGCGCACCTGGGGGTGTGGGTGCTGCTCCAGGCTGTCGGATGCTCGCCTGGAGGTGTGGGTGCTGCTCCTTGCGTTCAGATGCTTGCCTGGGGGTGTGGGTGCTCCTCCACGCTGTCAGATGCTCACCTGGGGGTGTGGGCACTGCTCCAGGCTGTCAGATGCTCGCCTGGGGGTGTGGGCGCTGCTCCAGACTCTCCGATGTTCACCTGTGGTTATGCGTGCTGCTCCAGACCATCAGATGCTCACCTGGGGGTGTGGGTGCCGTTCCAGGCTGTCAGATGCTCGCCTGGGGGTGTGGGTGCTTCTCCAGGCTGTCGGATGCTCACTTGGGGGTGCAGGGTGCTGTTCCAGGCTGTCAGATGCTCACCTGGGGGTGTGGGTGCTGATACATGCAGTCAGATGCTCGCCTGTGGGTGTGGGTGCTGTTCCCGGCTGTCACATGCTCACCTGGGGGTGTGCGTGCTGTTCCAGGCTGTCAGAGGCTCACCTGGGCATGGGGGTGCAGTTCCAGTCTGTCAGATGCTCACCTGGGGGTGTGGGTTCTGTTCCAGGCTGTCAGATGCTCACCTGTGGGTGTGGGTTCTGCTCCAGACCATCAGATGCGCACCTGGGGGTGTGGGTGCGGACCCAGGCTGTCAGATGCTCGCCTGGGGGTGTGGGTTCTGCTCCAGGCTGTCAGATGCTCACCTGAGGGTGTGGGTGCTGCTCCAGGCTGTCGGATGCTCGCCTGGGGTTGTGGGTGCTGCTCTGTGCGTACAGATACTCGCCTGGGAGTGTGGGTGCTGCTCCAGGTTGTCAGATGCTCACCTTGGTCTGTGGGTGCTGCTCCATGGTGTCAGATGCTCACCTGGGGGTGTGGGCACTGCTCCAGGCTGTCAGATGCTCGCCCTGCAGTGTGGGCGCTGCTCCAGACTCTCCGATGCTCACCTGTGGTTGTGGGTGATGCTCCAGACCATCAGATGCTCACCTAGGGGTGTGGGTGCCGTTCCAGGCTGTCAGATGCTCGCTTGTGGGTGTGTGTGCTGCTCCAGGCTGTGGGATGCTCACCTGGGGGTGCAGGGTGCTGTTCCAGGCTCTCAGATGCTCACCTGGGGTGTGGGTGCTGCTCCAGGCTGTCAGAAGCTCACCTGTGGGTGTGGGGTGCTGCTCCACGATGTCAGATGCTCACCTGGGGGTGTGGGTGCTGTTCCAGGCAGTCAGATGCTCACATGGGGGTGTGGGTGCTGTTCCAGGCCGTCCGATGCTCGCCTGGGGGTGTGGGTGCTGATCCAAGCTGTCACGTGCACACCTGGGGGTGCAGGCTGCTGTTCCAGGCTGTCAGATGCTCACCTGGGGGTGTGGGTGCTGCTCCAGGCAGTCAGATGCTCACCTGGGGGTGTGGGTGCTGCTCCAGGCTGCCAGATGCTCACCTGGGGGTGTGGACGCTGCTCCAGGCTGTCAGATGCTCACCTCGGTGTGTGGGCGCTGCTCCAGGCTGTCAGATGCTCACTGGGGGTGTGCCTGCTGCTCCAGGCTGTCAGATGCTCACCTGAGGGTGTGGGTGCTGCTCCAGGCTGTCGGATGCTCGCCTGGGGATGTGGGTGCTGCTCCAGGGTGTCCAATGCTCACCTGGCGGTGTGTGTGCTGTTCCAGGCCGTCAGATGCTCGCCTGGGGTTGTGGGTGCCGACCCAGGCTGTCAGATGCTCGCCTGGGGGTGTGGGTTCTGCTCCAGGCTGTCGGATGTTCACCTGGGGGTGTGGGTGCTGTTCCAGGCTGTCAGATGCTCACCTGGGGGTGTGGGTGCTGATACATGCTGTCAGATGCTCGCCTGGGGGTGTGGGAGCTGTTCCAGTCTGTCAGATGCTCACCTGGGGTTGTGCGTGGTGTTCCAGACTGTCAGATGCTCACCTGGGTGTGCAGGTTGCTGCTCCTGGCTGTCGGATGCTCACCTCTGGGTGTGGGGGCTGCTCCAGACCATCACATGCACACCTGGGGGTGTGGGTGCTGCTCCAGGCTGTCGGATGCTCGCCTGGGGGTGTGGGTGCTGCTATTTGCGTTCAGATGCTTGCCTGGGAATGTGGGTGCTGCTCCAGGCTGTCCAATGCTCACCTGGGGATGTGGGTGCTGTTGCAGGCCGTCAGATGCTCACCTGGGGGTGTCGGTGCTGTTCCAGGCTGTCACGTGCGCACCTGGGGGTGCAGGGTGCTGTTCCAGGCTGTCAGGGTCTCACCTGGGCATGTGGGTGCTGTTCCAGTCTGTCAGATGCTCACCTGGGGGTGTGGGTTCTGTTCCAGACTCTCCGATGCTCACCTGTGGTTTTGGGTGCTGCTCCAGACCATCAGATGCTCACATGGGGGTGTGGGTGCTGCTCCAGGTTGTCAGATGCTCGCCTGCAGGTGTGGGTGCTGCTCCAGGCTGTCGCATGCTCACCTGGGTGTGCAGTTTGCTGTTCCAGGCTGTCAGATGCTCACCTGGGGGTGTGGGTGCTGCTCCAGGCTGTCGGATGCTCGCCTGGGGTTGTGGGTGCTGCTCCAGGCTGTCGGATTCTCACCTGGGGGTGTGGGTGCTGTTGCAGGCTGTCAGATGCTCACCTGGGCGTGTGGGTGCTGTTCCAGGCCGTCAGATGCTCACCTGGGGAAGCAGGGTGCTGTTCCAGTCTGTCAGATACTCCCCTGGCGGTGTGGGTTCTGTTCCAGGCTGTCAGATGCTCACCTGAAGGTGTGGGTGCTGCTCCAAAGCATCAGATGCTCACCTGGGTTTGTGGGTGCTGACCGAGGCTGTCAGATGCTCGCCTGTTGGTGTGGGTTCCGCTCCAGGCTGCCGGATGCTCTCCTAGGGGTGTGGGTGCTGTTCCAGTCTGTCAGATGCTCACCTGGAGGTGTGGGTTCTGTTCCAGGCTGTCAGATGCTCACCTGGGGGTGTGGGTGCTGCTCCAGGCTGTCAGATGCTCACCTGGAGGTGTGGGTTCTGTTCCAGGCTGTCAGATGCTCACCTGGGGGTGTGGGTGCTGCTCCAGGCTGTCAGATGCTCGCATGGTGGTGTGGTTGCTGTTCCAGGCTGTCAGATGCTCACCTGAGGGTGTGGGTGCTGCTCCAGGCTATCGCATGCTCACCCGGGGATGTGGGGTGCTCTTCCAGGCTGTCAGATTCTCACCTGGGGGTGTGGGTGCTGTTCCAGCCTCTCAGATGCTCACCTGGGGTTGTCAGTGTTGCTCCAGGATGTCAGATGCTCCCCTGGGGGTGTGGGTGCTGCTCCATGCGGTCAGATGCTCCCCTGGGGGTGTGGGTGCTGCTCCGGGCTGTCAGATTCTCATCTGTGCGTGCGGGTGATGCTGCGGGCTTTCAGATGCTCACCTGTGGTTGTGGGTGCTGTTCCAGGCTGTCAGATGCTCGCCTGGGGTTCTGGGTTCTGCTCCGTTGGGTCAGATGCTCGCCTGGGGGTGTGGGTGCTGCTCCATGAGTTCAGATGCTCGCCTGGGGGTATGGGTGCTGCTCTGGGAGGTCAAATGCTCACCTGGAGGTGTGGGTGCTGCTCCAGGCTGTCGGATGCTCACCTGGGTGTGCAGGGTGCTGTTCCAGGCTGTCAGATCCTCACCTGGGGTGTGGGTGCTGCTCCAGGCTGTCAGATGCTCACCTGTGGGTGTGGGGTGCTGCTCCACGATGTCAGATGCTCACCTTGGGGTGTGGGTGCTGTTCCAGGCAGTCAGATACTCACCTGGGGGTGTGGGTGCTGTTCCAGGCCGTCAGATGCTCGCCTGGCGGTGTGGGTGCTGTTCCAGGCTATCACATGCGCACCTGGGGGTGCAGGCTGCTGTTCCAGGCTGTCAGATGCTCACCTGGGGGTGTGGGTGCTGTTACATGCTGTCAGATGCTCGCCTGGGGGTGCGGGGTGCTGTTCCAAGCTGTGAGATGCTCACCTGGGGGTTTGCGTGCTGTTCCAGGCTGTCAGATGCTCACCTGGGGGTGCAGGGTGCTGTTCCAGGCTGTCAGAGGCTCACCTGGGCATGTGGGTGCTGTTCCAGTCTGTCAGATGCTCACCTGAGGGTGGGGTTTCTGTTCCAGGCTGTCAGATGCTCACCTGTGGGTGTGGGTGCTGCTCCAGACCATCACATGCGCACCTGGGGGTGTGGCTGCTGCTCCAGGCTGTCGGATGCTCGCCTTGGGGTGTGGGTGCTGCTCCGTGAGTTCAGATGCTCGCCTGGGGGTATGGGTGCTGCTCCAGGTTGTCAGATGCTCACCTTGGGCTATGGGTTCTGAACCATGCTGTCAGATGCTCACCTGGGGCTCTGGGCACTGCTCCAGGCTGTCAGATGCTCGCCTGGGGGTGTGGGCGCTGCTCCAGACTCTCCGATGCTCACCTGGAGGTGAGGATGCCATTCCATGCGGTCAGATGCTCACCTGGGGGTATGGGTGCTGCTCCAGGCTGTCGGATGCTCACCAGGGGGTGTGGGAGCTGTTTCAGGATGTGGGATGCTCACCTGGGGGTGTGGGAGCTGTTTCAGGATGTCGGATGCTCACCTCGGTCTGTGGGTGCGTTTCCAGGCCGTCAGATGCTCGCCTGGGTGTGTGGGTGCTGTTCCAGGCTGTCATGTGCGCACCTGAGGGTGCAGGGAGCTGTTCCAGGCTGTCAGATGCTCATCTGGGCGTATGGGTGCTGTTCCAGGCTGTCAGATGCTCTCCTGGGGGTGCAGGGTGCTGTTCCACGCTGTCAGATGCTCATCTGGGCGTATGGGTGCTGTTCCAGGTTGTCAGATGCTCGCCTGGGGGTGTGTGTGCAGTTCCAGGGTGTCAGATGCTCGCCTGGGGGTGTGTGTGCTGTTCCAGGGTGTCCGATGCTCACCTGGGGGTGCAGGGTGCTGTTCCAGGCTGTCAGATGCTCACCTGGGGATGTGGGTGCTGCTCCAGGCTGTCAGATGCTCACCTGGGTGTGTGGGTGCTGTTCCACGCTGTCACGTGCGCACCTGGGGGTGCAGGGTGCTGTTCCAGGCTGTCAGATGCTCACCTGGGGGTATGGGTGCTGTTACATGCTGTCAGATGCTCGCCTGGGGATGTGGGTGCTGTTCCAGGCGGTCAGATCCTCACCTGGGGGTGTGCCCGCTGTTCCAGGCTGTCAGATGCTCTCCTGGGGGTGCAGGGTGCTGTTCCAGGCTGTCAGAGGCTCACCTGTGGTTGTGGGTGCTACTCCAGACCATCAGATGCGCACCTGGGGGTGTGGGTGCTGCTCCAGGCTGTCGGATGCGCGCCGGAAGGTGTGGGTGCTGCTCCGTGGGTTCAGGTGCTCGCCTGTGGGTGTGGGTACTGTTACAGGCTGTCAGATGCTCACCTGTGGGTGTGGGGTGCTGCTCCACAATGTCGGATGTTCACCTAGGGGTGTGGGTCCTGCTCCAGGCTGTCGGATGCTCACCTGGGGGTGTGGGTGCTGTTCCAGGCTGTCAGATGCTCACCTGGGCGTGTGGGTGCTGCTCCAGGCTGTCCGATGCTCACCTGGGGGTGTGGGGTTCTGCTCCAGGCTGTCAGATGCTCGCCTGGGAGTGTGGGTGCTGATCCAGGCTGTCACATGCTCCCCTGGGGGTGTGGGTGCTGCTCCAGGCTGTCGGATGCTCCCCTGGGGGTGTGGGGTGCTGCTCCAGGCTGTCCGATGCTCGCCTGGGGGTGTGGGTGCCCTTCCAGGCCGTCAGATGCTCGCCTGGGGGTGTGGGTGCTGTTCCAGGCTGTCACGTGCGCACCTGGGGGTGCAGGGTGCTGTTCCAGGCTGTCAGATGCTTACCTGGGGGTGTGGGTGCTGTTACATGCAGTCAGATGCTCGCCTGGGGGTGTGGGTCCTGTTCCAGGCTGTCAGATGCTCTCCTGGGGGTGCGCGTGCTGTTCCAGGCTGTCAGAGGCTCACCTGGGCGTGTGGGTGCTGTTCCAGTCTGTCAGATGCTCACCTGGGGATGTGGGTTCTGTTCCAGGCTGTCAGATGCTCAACTGTGGGTGTGGGTAATGCTCCAGACCATCAGATGCTCACCTGGAGGTGTGGGTGCCGACCCAGGCTGTCAGATGCTCGCCTCAGGGTGTGGGTTCTGCTCCAGGCTGTCGGATGTTCACCTGGGGGTGTGGGTGCTGTTCCCGGCTGTCAGATGCTCAACTGGGGGTGTGCGTGCTGCTCCAGCCTGTCAGATGCTCACCTGGGGGTGTGGGTGCTGTTCCAGGATATCAGCTGCTCACCTGGGGGTGTGGGTGCTGTTCCAGGCTGTCAGATCGTCACCTGGCGGTGCAGCGTGCTGCTCCATGCTGTCAGATGCTCACCTGGGGGTGTGGGTGCTGCTCAAGGATGTCAGATGCTCGCCTGAGTGTGTGGGTGCTGTTCCAGGCTGTCGGATGCTCACCTGTGGTTGTGGGTGCTGCTCCAGACCATCAGATGCTCACCTGGGGGTGTGGGTGCCGTTCCAGGCTGTCAGATGCTCGCCTGGGGGTGGGGGTGCTGCTCCAGGCTGTCGGATGCTCACCTGTGGGTTTGGGGTGCTGTTCCACGATGTCAGATGCTCACCTGTGGTTGTGGGTGCTGCTCCAGACCATCAGATGCGCACCTGGGGGTGTGGGTGCTGCTCCAGGCTGTCGGATGCTCGCCGGGAGGTGTGGGTGCTGCTCCGTGGGTTCAGATGCTCGCCTGTGTGTGTGGGTACTGTTCCAGGCTGTCAGATGCTCACCTGTGGGTGTGGGGTGCTACTCCACGATGTCGGATGTTCACCTGGGGGTGTGGGTCCTGCTCCAGGCTGTCGGATGCACGCCTGGGGTTGTGGGTGCTGCTCCAGGCTGTCGAATGCTCACCTGGGGGTGTGGGTGCTTTTCCAGGCTGGCGGATGCTCGCCTGGCAGTGTGGGTGCTGCTCCAGGCTGTCCGATGCTCGTCTGGGAGTGTGGGTGCTGTTCCAGGCTGTCAGATGCTCATCAGGGGGTGTGGGTGCTGCTCCAGGCTGTCCGATGCTCACCTGGGGGTGTGGGGTGCTGCTCCAGGCTGTCAGATGCTCGCCTGGGGGTGTGGGTGCTGATCCAGGCTGTCACATGCTCACCTGGGGGTGTGGGTGCCGTTCCAGGCTGTCAGATGCTCGCCTGGGGGTGTGTGTGCTGTTCCAGGCTGTCACGTGCGCACCTGGGGGTGCAGGGTGCTGTTCCAGGCTGTCAGATGCTCACCTGGGTGTGTGGGTGCTGTTACATGCTGTCAGATGCTCGCCTGGGGGTGTGTGTGCTGTTCCAGGCGGTCAGATGCTCACCTGGGTGTGTGCGTGCTGTTCCAGGCTGTCAGATGCTCCCCTGGGGGTGCAGGGTGCTGTTCGAGGCTGTCACAGGCTCAGCTGGGCATGTGGGTGCTGTTCCAGTCTGTCAGATGCTCACCTGGGGGTGTGGGTTCTGTTCCAGGCTGTCAGATGCTCACCTGTGGGTGTGGGTGCTGCTCCAGACCATCACATGCGCACCTGGGGGTGTGGGTGCTGCTCCAGGCTGTCGGATGCTCGCCTGGAGGTGTGGGTGCTGCTCCGTGCGTTCAGATGCTCGCCTGGGGGTGTGGGTGCTCCTCCACGCTGTCAGATGCTCACCTGGGGGTGTGGGCACTGCTCCAGGCTGTCAGATGCTCGCCTGGGGGTGTGGGCGCTGCTCCAGACTCTCCGATGTTCACCTGTGGTTATGCGTGCTGCTCCAGACCATCAGATGCTCACCTGCGGGTGTGGGTGCCGTTCCAGGCTGTCAGATGCTCGCCTGGGGGTGTGGGTGCTTCTCCAGGCTGTCGGATGCTCACTTGGGGGTGCAGGGTGCTGTTCCAGGCTGTCAGATGCTCACCTGGGGGTGTGGGTGCTGATACATGCAGTCAGATGCTCGCCTGTGGGTGTGGGTGCTGTTCCCGGCTGTCACATGCTCACCTGGGGGTGTGCGTGCTGTTCCAGGCTGTCAGATGCTCACCTGGGGGTGCAGGGTGCTGTTCCAGGCTGTCAGAGGCTCACCTGGGCATGGGGGTGCCGTTCCAGTCTGTCAGATGCTCACCTGGGGGTGTGGGTTCTGTTCCAGGCTGTCAGATGCTCACCTGTGGGTGTGGGTTCTGCTCCAGACCATCAGATGCGCACCTGGGGGTGTGGGTGCGGACCCAGGCTGTCAGATGCTCGCCTGGGGGTGTGGGTTCTGCTCCAGGCTGTCAGATGCTCACCTGAGGGTGTGGGTGCTGCTCCAGGCTGTCGGATGCTCGCCTGGGGGTGTGGGTGCTGCTCTGTGCGTACAGATACTCGCCTGGGAGTGTGGGTGCTGCTCCAGGTTGTCAGATGCTCACCTTGGTCTGTGGGTGCTGCTCCATGGTGTCAGATGCTCACCTGGGGGTGTGGGCACTGCTCCAGGCTGTCAGATGCTCGCCCTGCAGTGTGGGCGCTGCTCCAGACTCTCCGATGCTCACCTGTGGTTGTGGGTGATGCTCCAGAACATCAGATGCTCACCTAGGGGTGTGGGTGCCGTTCCAGGCTGTCAGATGCTCGCTTGTGGGTGTGTGTGCTGCTCCAGGCTGTGGGATGCTCACCTGGGGGTGCAGGGTGCTGTTCCAGGCTCTCAGATGCTCACCTGGGGTGTGGGTGCTGCTCCACGATGTCAGATGCTCACCTGGGGGTGTGGGTGCTGTTCCAGGCAGTCAGATGCTCACGTGGGGTTGTGGGTGCTGTTCCAGGCCGTCCGATGCTCGCCTGGGGGTGTGGGTGCTGATCCAAGCTGTCACGTGCACACCTGGGGGTGCAGGCTGCTGTTCCAGGCTGTCAGATGCTCACCTGTGGGTGTGGGTGCTGTTACATGCTGTCAGATGCTCGCCTGGGGGTATGGGTGCTGTTCTAAGCTGTCAGATGCTCGTCTGGGGGTGTGGGTGGTGCTCCAGGCTGTCGGATGCTCACCTGGGTGTGCAGGGTGCTGTTCCAGGCTGTCAGATGCTCACCTGGGGTGTGGGTGCTGCTCCAGGCTGTCAGATGCTCACCTGTGGGTGTGGGGTGCTGCTGCACGATGTCAGATGCTCACCTGGGGGTGTGGGTGCTGTTCCAGGCCGTCAGATGCTCACCTGGGGTTTTTGGTGCTGTTCCAGGCTGTCGGATGCTCGCCTGGGGGTGTGGTTGCCGTTCCAGGCTGTCAGATGCTCACCTGGGCGTGTGGGTGCTGCTCCAGGCTGTCGGATGCTCACCTGGAGGTGAGGATGCCATTCCATGCGGTCAGATGCTCACCTGGGGGTATGGGTGTTGCTCCAGGCTATCGGATGCTCACCTGGGGTTGTGGGAGCTGTTTCAGGATGTCGGATGCTCACCTGGGGGTGTGGGTGCCGTTCCAGGCCATCAGATGCTCGCCTGGGTGTGTGGGTGCTGTTGCAGGCCGTCAGATGCTCACCTGGGGGTGCAGGGTGGTGTTCCAGTCTGTCAGATGCTCACCTGGGGGTGTGGATTCTGTTCCAGGCTGTCAGATGCTCACCTGTGGGTGTGGGTGCTGCTGCAAACCATCAGATGCTCACTTGGGGGTGTGGGTGCCGACCCAGGCTGTCATATGCTTGCCTGTGGGCGTGGGTTCCGCTCCAGGCTGCCGGATGCTCTCCTGGGGCTGTGCGTGCTGTTCCAGGCTGTCAGATGCTCACCTGGGGGTGTGAGTGTTGCTCCAGGCTGTCAGATGCTCGCCTGTGGGTGTGGTTGCTGTTCCAGTCTGTCAGATGCTCACCTGAGGGTGTGGGTGCTGCTCCAGGCTATCGGATGCTCACCTGGGGATGTGGGTGCTGTTCCAGGCTGTCAAATGCTCACCTGGGGCTGCAGGGTGCTGTTCCAGGCTGTCAGATGCTCACCTGGGGGTGCAGGATGCTGCTCCAGGCTGTCAGATGCTCAACTGTGGGTGTGGGTACTGCTCCAGACCATCAGATGCTCACCTGGAGGTGTGGGTGCCGACCCAGGCTGTCAGATGCTCGCCTCGGGGTGTGGGTTCTGCTCCAGGCTGTCGGATGTTCACCTGGGGGTGTGGGTGCTGTTCCCGGCTGTCAGATGCTCAACTGGGGGTGTGCGTGCTGCTCCAGCCTGTCAGATGCTCACCTGGGGGTGTGGGTGCTGTTCCAGGATATCAGCTGCTCACCTGGGGGTGTGGGTGCTGTTCCAGGCTGTCAGATCGTCACCTGGGGGTGCAGCGTGCTGCTCCAGGCTGTCAGATGCTCACCTGGGGGTGTGGGTGCTGCTGAAGGATGTCAGATGCTCGCCTGAGTGTGTGGGTGCTGTTCCAGGCTGTCGGATGCTCACCTGTGGTTGTGGGTGCTGCTCCAGACCATCAGATGCTCACCTGGTGGTGTGGGTGCCGTTCCAGGCTGTCAGATGCTCGCCTGGTGGTGTGGGTGCTGCTCCAGGCTGTCGGATGCTCACCTGGGGGTGAAGGGTGGTGTTCCAGGCTATCGGATGCTCACCTGGGCGTGTGGGTGCTGTTCCAAGCCATCAGATGCTCACCTGGGGGTGCAGGGTGGTGTTCCAGTCTGTCAGATGCTCACCTGGGGGTGTGGATTCTGTTCCAGGCTGTCAGATGCTCACCTGTGGGTGTGGGTGCTGCTGCAAACCATCAGATGCTCACTTGGGGGTGTGGGTGCCGACCCAGGCTCTCAGATGCTCGCCTGTGGCCGTGGGTTCCGCTCCAGGCTGCCGGATGCTCTCCTGGGGCTGTGCGTGCTGTTCCAGGCTGTCAAATGCTCACCTGGGGGTGTGGATGCTGCTCCAGGCTGTCAGATGCTCGCCTGGGGGTGTGGCTGCGGTTCCAGGCTGTCTGATGCTCACCTGTGGGTGTGGGTGCTGCTCCAGACCATCAGATGCGCAACTGGGGGTGAGGATGCCATGCGATGCGGTCAGATGCTCACCTGGGGGTGTGGGTGCTGTTCCAGGCTGTCAGATGCTCACCTGGGGGTGCAGGGTGCTGTTCCAGGCTGTCAGATGCTCATCTGGGCGTATGGGTGCTGTTCCAGGTTGTCAGATGCTCGCCTGGGGGTGTGTGTGCTGTTCCAGGCTGTCAGATGCTCACCTGGGGGGGCAGCGTGCTGTTCCAGGCTGTCAGATGATCACCTGGGTGTGTGGGTGCTGCTCCAGGCTGTCAGTTGCTCACCTGGGTGTGTGGGTGCTGCTCCAGGCTGTCGGATGCTCGCCTGGGGGTGTGGGTGCTGCTCCGTGTGTTCAGATGCTCGCCTGGGGGCGTGGGTGCTGCTCCAGGTTGTCAGATGCTCACCTTGGGCTGTGGGTGCTGCTCCACGCTGTCAGATGCTCACCTGGGGGTGTGGGCACTGCTCCAGGCTGTCAGATGCTCGCCTGGGTGTGTGGGCACTGCTCCTGACTCTCCGATGCTCACCTGTGGTTGTGGGTGCTGCTCCAGATCATCAGATGCTCACCTGGGGGTGTGGGTGCTGCTCCAGGTTGTCAGATGCTCACCATGGGCTATGGGTGCTGCTCCCTGTTGTCAGATGCTCACCTGGAGGTGTGGTCACTGCTCCGGGCTGTCAGATGCTCGCGTGGGGCTGTGGGCGCTGCTCCAGACTCTACGATGCTCACCTGTGGTTGTGGGTGCTGCTCCAGACAATCAGATGCTCACTTGGGGTTGTGGGTGCTGCTCCAGGTTATCGGATGCTGGCCTGGGAGTGGTGGGTGCTGCTCCAGGCTGTCGGATGCTCACCTGGGGGTGCAGGGTGCTGTTCCAGGCTGTCAGATGCTCACCTGGGGGTGTGGGTGCTGCTCCAGGCTGTCAGATGCTCACCTGTGGGTGTGGGGTGCTGCTCCACAATGTCAGATGCTCACCTGTGGGTATGGGTGTTGTTCCAGGCTGTCTGATGCTCACCTGGGGGTGTGGGTGCTGTTCCAGGCCGTCAGATGCTCGCCTTGGGGTGTTGGTGCTGTTCCAGGCTGTCACATGCGCACCTGGTGGTGCAGGCTGTTGTTCCAGGCTGTCAGATGCTCACCTGGGCGTGTGGGTTCTGTTCCAGGCTGTCAGATGCTCACCTGTGGGTGTCGGTGTTGCCGCAAACCATCAGATGCTCACCTGGGGGTGTGGGTGCCGACCCAGGCTCTCAGATGCTCGCCTGTGGCCGTGGGTTCCGCTCCAGGCTGCCGGATGCTCTCCTGGGGGTGTGAGTGCTGTTCCAGGCTGTCAAATGCTCACCTGGGGGTGTGGATGCTGCTCCAGGCTGTCAGGTGCTCGCTGGGGGTGTGGCTGCGGTTCCAGGCTGTCTGATGCTCACCTGTGGGTGTGGATGCTGCTCCAGACCATCAGATGCGCAACTGGGGGTGAGGATGCCATGCGATGCGGTCAGATGCTCACCTGGGGGTGTGGGTGCTGTTCCAGGCTGTCAGATGCTCACCTGGGGGTGCAGGGTGCTGTTCCAGGCTGTCAGATGCTCATCTGGGCGTATGGGTGCTGTTCCAGGTTGTCAGATGCTCGCCTGGGGGTGTGTGTGCTGTTCCAGGCTGTCAGATGCTCACCTGGGGGGGCAGCGTGCTGTTCCAGGCTGTCAGATGATCACCTGGGTGTGTGGGTGCTGCTCCAGGCTGTCAGTTGCTCACCTGGGTGTGTGGGTGCTGCTCCAGGCTGTCGGATGCTCGCCTGGGGGTGTGGGTGCTGCTCCGTGTGTTCAGATGCTCGCCTGTGGGCGTGGGTGCTGCTCCAGGTTGTCAGATGCTCACCTTGGGCTGTGGGTGCTGCTCCACGCTGTCAGATGCTCACCTGGGGGTGTGGGCACTGCTCTAGGCTGTCAGATGCTCGCCTGGGTGTGTGGGCACTGCTCCTGACTCTCCGATGCTCACCTGTGGTTGTGGGTGCTGCTCCAGATCATCAGATGCTCACCTGGGGGTGTGGGTGCTGCTCCAGGTTGTCAGATGCTCACCATGGGCTATGGGTGCTGCTCCCTGTTGTCAGATGCTCACCTGGAGGTGTGGTCACTGCTCCGGGCTGTCAGATGCTCGCGTGGGGCTGTGGGCGCTGCTCCAGACTCTACGATGCTCACCTGTGGTTGTGGGTGCTGCTCCAGACAATCAGATGCTCACTTGGGGTTGTGGGTGCTACTCCAGGTTATCGGATGCTGGCCTGGGAGTGGTGGGTGCTGCTCCAGGCTGTCGGATGCTCACCTGGGGGTGCAGGGTGCTGTTCCAGGCTGTCAGATGCTCACCTGGGGGTGTGGGTGCTGCTCCAGGCTGTCAGATGCTCACCTGTGGGTGTGGGGTGCGGCTCCACGATGTCAGATGCTCACCTGGGGGTGTGGGTGCTGTTCCAGGCCGTCAGATGCTCACCTGGGGGTGTGGGTGCCGACCCAGGCTGTCAGATGCTCGCCTGTTGGTGTGGGTTCTGCTGCAGGCTGCCGGATGCTCTCCTGGGGGTGTGGGTGCTGCTCCATGCGGTCAGATGCTCCCCTGGGGGTGTGGGTGCTGCTCTGGGCTGTCAGATTCTCACTTGTGCTTGTGGGTGCTACTGCGGGCTGTCAGATGCTCACCTGGAGTTCTGGGTGCTGTTTCATGCTGTCAGATGCTCGCCTGGGTTTGTGGGTGCTGCTCCGTTCGGTCAGATGCTCGCCTGGGGGTGTGGGTGCTGCTCCATGAGTTCAGATGCTCGCCTGGGGGTACTGGTGCTGCTCCGGGAGGTCAGATGCTCACCTCGGGGTGTGGGTGCTGCTCCAGGTTGTCAGATGCTCACCTTGGGCTATGGGTGCTGCTCCATGCTGTCAGATGCTCACCTGGGTGTTTGGGCACTGCTCCAGGCTGTCAGATGCTCGCCTGGGGTTGTGGGCGCTGCTCCAGACTCTCTGATGTTCACCTGTGGTTGTGGGTGCTGCTCCAGACCATCAGATGCTCAACTGGGGGTGTGGGTGCTGCTCCAGGCTGTCGGATGCTCACCTGGGTGTGCAGGGTGCTGTTCCAGGCTGTCAGAGACTCACCTGAGGGTGTGGGTGCAGCTCCAGGCTGTCAGATGCTCACCTGTGCGTGTGGGGTTATGCTCCACGAAGTCAGATGCTCAACTGTGGGTGTGGGTGCTGCTCCAGGTTGTCGGTTGCCCGCCTGGGGTTGTGGGTGCTGCTCCAGGCTGTCCAATGCTCACCTGGGGGTGTGGGTGCTGTTCCAGGCCGTCAGATGCTCGCCTGTGGGTGTCGGTGCTGTTCCAGGCTGTCACGGGCGCACCTGGGGGTGCAGGCTGCTGTTACAGGCTGTCAGAGGCTCACCTGGGCATGTGGGTGCTGTTCCAGTCTGTCACATGCTCACCTGGGGGTGTGGGTTCTGTTCCAGGCTGTCAGATGCTCACCTGTTGGTGTGGGTGCTGCTCCAGACCATCAGATGCGCACCTGCGTGTGTGGTTGCCGACCCAGGCTGTCAGATGCTCGCCTGGGGGTGTGGGTGCTCTTCCAGGCTGTCACATGCTCACCTGGGGGTGTGGGTGCTGCTCCAGGCTGTCGGATGCTCACCTGGGGGTGTGGGGTGCTGCTCCAGGCTGTCCGATGCTCGCCTGGGGGTGTGGGTGCCGTTCCAGGCCGTCAGATGCTCGCCTTGGGGTGTGGGTGCTCTTCCAGGCTGTCACGTGCGCACCTGGGGGTGCAGGGTGCTGTTGCAGGCTGTCAGATGCTCACCTGGGGGTGTGGGTGCTGTTACATGCTGTCAGATGCTCACCTGTGGGTGTGGGTGCTGTTCCAGGCTGTCAGATGCTCACCTGGGGTTGCGCGTGCTGTTCCAGGCTGTCAGAGGCTCACCTGGGCGTGTGGGTGCTGTTCCAGTCTGTCAGATGCTTACCTGAGGGTATGGTTGCTGTTCCAGGCTGTCAGATGCTCACCCGGTGATGTGGGGTGCTCTTCCAGGCTGTCAGATTCTCACCTGGGGTTGTGGGTGCTGTTCCAGGCTCTCAGATGCTCACCTGGGGTTGTCGGTGCTGCTCCAGGATGTCAGATGCTCCCCTGGGGGTGTGGGTGCTGCTACGGGCTGTCAGATTCTCACCTGTGCGTGTGGTTGCTGCTGCGGGCTGTCAGATGCTCACCTGGGGTTGTGGGTGCTGTTCCAGGCTGTCAGATGCTCGCATGGGGTTGTGGGTGCTGCTCTGTTCGGTCAGATGCTCGCCTGGGGGCGTGGGTGCTGCTCCATGGGTTCAGATGCTCGCCTGGAGGTATGGGTCCTGCTCCGGGAGGTCAGATGCTCACCTCGGGGTGTGGGTGCTGCTCCAGGTTGTCAGATGCTCACCTTGGGTTGTGGGTGCTGCTCCAGACTCTCCGATGCTCACCTGTGGTTGTGTGTGATGCTCCAGAACATCAGATTCTCACCTGGGGGTGTGGGTGCTGTTCCAGGCTGTCAGATGCTCACCTGTGGGTGTGGGGTGCTGCTCGACGATGTCAGAGGCTCACCTGGGGATGTGGGTGCTGTTCCAGGCTGTCAGATGCTCACCTGGGGGTGTGGGTGCTGCTCCAGGCTGTCAGATGCTCACCTGTGGGTGTGGGGTGCTGCTCCACGATGTCAGATGCTCACCTGGGGGTGTGGGCACTGCTCCAGGCTGTCAGATGCTCGCCTGGGTGTGTGGGCACTGCTCCTGACTCTCCGATGCTCACCTGTGGTTGTGGGTGCTGCTCCAGACCATCAGATGCTCACCTGGGTGTGTGGGTGCTGCTCCAGGTTGTCAGGTGCTCACCATGGGCTATGGGTGCTGCTCCCTGTTGTCAGATGCTCACCTCGGGGTGTGGGCACTGCTCCGGGCTGTCAGATGCTCGCCTGTGGCTGTGGGCGCTGCTCCAGACTCTACGATGCTCACCTGTGGTTGTGGGTGCTGCTCCAGACAATCAGATGCTCACTTGGGGTTGTGGGTGCTGCTCCAGGTCATCGGATGCTCGCCTGGGAGTGTGGTTGCTGCTCCAGGCTGTCGGATGCTCACCTGGGGGTGCAGGGTGCTGCTCCAGGCTGTCAGATGCTCGCCTGGGGGTGTGGCTGCGGTTCCAGGCTGTCTGATGCTCACCTGTGGGTGTGGGTGCTGCTCCAGACCATCAGATGCGCAACTGGGTGTGAGGATGCCATGTGATGCGGTCAGATGCTCACCTGGGGGTGTGGGTGCTGTTCCAGGCTGTCAGATGCTCACCTGGGGGTGCAGGGTGCTGTTCCAGGCTGTCAGATGCTCATCTGGGCGTATGGGTGCTGTTCCAGGCTGTCAGATGCTCGCCTGGGGGTGTGTGTGCTGTTCCAGGCTGTCAGATGCTCACCTGGGGGGGCAGCGTGCTGTTCCAGGCTGTCAGATGATCACCTGGGTGTGTGGGTGCTGCTCCAGGCTGTCAGTTGCTCACCTGGGTGTGTGGGTGCTGCTCCAGGCTGTCGGATGCTCGCCTGGGGGTGTGGGTGCTGCTCCGTGTGTTCAGATGCTCGCCTGGGGGCGTGGGTGCTGCTCCAGGTTGTCAGATGCTCACCTTGGGCTGTGGGTGCTGCTCCACGCTGTCAGATGCTCACCTGGGGGTGTGGGCACTGCTCCAGGCTGTCAGATGCTCGCCTGGGTGTGTGGGCACTGCTCCTGACTCTCCGATGCTCACCTGTGGTTGTGGGTGCTGCTCCAGATCATCAGATGCTCACCTGGGGGTGTGGGTGCTGCTCCAGGTTGTCAGATGCTCACCATGGGCTATGGGTGCTGCTCCCTGTTGTCAGATGCTCACCTGGAGGTGTGGTCACTGCTCCGGGCTGTCAGATGCTCGCGTGGGGCTGTGGGCGCTGCTCCAGACTCTACGATGCTCACCTGTGGTTGTGGGTGCTGCTCCAGACAATCAGATGCTCACTTGGGGTTGTGGGTGCTGCTCCAGGTTATCGGATGCTGGCCTGGGAGTGGTGGGTGCTGCTCCAGGCTGTCGGATGCTCACCTGGGGGTGCAGGGTGCTGTTCCATGCTGTCAGATGCTCACCTGGGGGTGTGGGTGCTGCTCCAGGCTGTCAGATGCTCACCTGTGGGTGTGGGGTGCGGCTCCACGATGTCAGATGCTCACCTGGGGGTGTGGGTGCTGTTCCAGGCCGTCAGATGCTCACCTGGTGGTGTGGGTGCCGACCCAGGCTGTCAGATGCTCGCCTGTTGGTGTGGGTTCTGCTGCAGGCTGCCGGATGCTCTCCTGGGGGTGTGGGTGCTGCTCCATGCGGTCAGATGCTCCCCTGGGGGTGTGGGTGCTGCTCTGGGCTGTCAGATTCTCACTTGTGCTTGTGGGTGCTACTGCGGGCTGTCAGATGCTCACCTGGAGTTCTGGGTGCTGTTTCATGCTGTCAGATGCTCGCCTGGGTTTGTGGGTGCTGCTCCGTTCGGTCAGATGCTCGCCTGGGGGTGTGGGTGCTGCTCCATGAGTTCAGATGCTCGCCTGGGGGTACTGGTGCTGCTCCGGGAGGTCAGATGCTCACCTCGGGGTGTGGGTGCTGCTCCAGGTTGTCAGATGCTCACCTTGGGCTATGGGTGCTGCTCCATGCTGTCAGATGCTCACCTGGGTGTTTGGGCACTGCTCCAGGCTGTCAGATGCTCGCCTGGGGTTGTGGGCGCTGCTCCAGACTCTCTGATGTTCACCTGTGGTTGTGGGTGCTGCTCCAGACCATCAGATGCTCAACTGGGGGTGTGGGTGCTGCTCCAGGCTGTCGGATGCTCACCTGGGTGTGCAGGGTGCTGTTCCAGGCTGTCAGAGACTCACCTGAGGGTGTGGGTGCAGCTCCAGGCTGTCAGATGCTCACCTGTGCGTGTGGGGTTATGCTCCACGAAGTCAGATGCTCAACTGTGGGTGTGGGTGCTGCTCCAGGTTGTCGGTTGCCCGCCTGGGGTTGTGGGTGCTGCTCCAGGCTGTCCAATGCTCACCTGGGGGTGTGGGTGCTGTTCCAGGCCGTCAGATGCTCGCCTGTGGGTGTCGGTGCTGTTCCAGGCTGTCACGGGCGCACCTGGGGGTGCAGGCTGCTGTTACAGGCTGTCAGAGGCTCACCTGGGCATGTGGGTGCTGTTCCAGTCTGTCACATGCTCACCTGGGGGTGTGGGTTCTGTTCCAGGCTGTCAGATGCTCACCTGTTGGTGTGGGTGCTGCTCCAGACCATCAGATGCGCACCTGCGTGTGTGGTTGCCGACCCAGGCTGTCAGATGCTCGCCTGGGGGTGTGGGTGCTCTTCCAGGCTGTCACATGCTCACCTGGGGGTGTGGGTGCTGCTCCAGGCTGTCGGATGCTCACCTGGGGGTGTGGGGTGCTGCTCCAGGCTGTCCGATGCTCGCCTGGGGTTGTGGGTGCCGTTCCAGGCCGTCAGATGCTCGCCTTGGGGTGTGGGTGCTCTTCCAGGCTGTCACGTGCGCACCTGGGGGTGCAGGGTGCTGTTGCAGGCTGTCAGATGCTCACCTGGGAGTGTGGGTGCTGTTACATGCTGTCAGATGCTCACCTGTGGGTGTGGGTGCTGTTCCAGGCTGTCAGATGCTCACCTGGGGTTGCGCGTGCTGTTCCAGGCTGTCAGAGGCTCACCTGGGCGTGTGGGTGCTGTTCCAGTCTGTCAGATGCTTACCTGAGGGTATGGTTGCTGTTCCAGGCTGTCAGATGCTCACCCGGTGATGTGGGGTGCTCTTCCAGGCTGTCAGATTCTCACCTGGGGTTGTGGGTGCTGTTCCAGGCTCTCAGATGCTCACCTGGGGTTGTCGGTGCTGCTCCAGGATGTCAGATGCTCCCCTGGGGGTGTGGGTGCTGCTACGGGCTGTCAGATTCTCACCTGGGGGTGTGGGCACTGCTCCAGGCTGTCAGATGCTCGCCTGGGTGTGTGGGCACTGCTCCTGACTCTCCGATGCTCACCTGTGGTTGTGGGTGCTGCTCCAGACCATCAGATGCTCACCTGGGTGTGTGGGTGCTGCTCCAGGTTGTCAGGTGCTCACCATGGGCTATGGGTGCTGCTCCCTGTTGTCAGATGCTCACCTCGGGGTGTGGGCACTGCTCCGGGCTGTCAGATGCTCGCCTGTGGCTGTGGGCGCTGCTCCAGACTCTACGATGCTCACCTGTGGTTGTGGGTGCTGCTCCAGACAATCAGATGCTCACTTGGGGTTGTGGGTGCTGCTCCAGGTCATCGGATGCTCGCCTGGGAGTGTGGTTGCTGCTCCAGGCTGTCGGATGCTCACCTGGGGGTGCAGGGTGCTGTTCCAGGCTGTCAGATGCTCACCTGGGGGTGTGGGTGCTGCTCCAGGCTGTCAGATGCTCACCTGTGGGTGTGGGGTGCTGCTCCACGATGTCAGATGCTCACCTGGGGGTGTGGGTGCTGTTCCAGGCCGTCAGATGCTCACCTGGGGGTGTGGGTGCCGACCCAGGCTGTCAGATGCTCGCCTGTTGGTGTGGGTTCTGCTGCAGGCTGCCGGATGCTCTCCTGGGGGTGTGGGTGCTGTTCCAGGCTATCAGATGCTCGCCTGGGGGTGTGGGTGCTGTTCCAGGCTGTCAGATGCTCACCTCGGGGTGCGCGTGCTGTTCCAAGCTGTCAGAGGCACACCTGGGCCTGTGGGTGCTGTTCCAGTCTGTCAGGTGCTCACCTGGGGGAGTGGGTGCTGTTCCAGGCTGTCAGATGCTCACCCGGGGATATGGGGTGCTCTTCCAGGCTGTCAGATTCTCACCTGGGGGTGCGGGAGCTTTTCCAGGCTCTCAGATGCTCACCTGGTGTTGTCGGTGCAGCTCCAGGATTTCAGATGCTCCCCTGGGGGTGTGGGTGCTGCTCCATGCGGTCAGATGCTCCCCTGGGGGTGTGGGTGCTGCTCCGGGCTGTCAGATTCTCACCTGTGCGTGTGGGTGCTGCTGCGGGCTGTCAGATGCTCACCTGGGGTTGTGGGTGCTGTTAAAGGCTGTCAGATGCTCGCCTGGGATTGTGGGTGCTGCTCCGTTCGGTCAGATGCTCGCCTGGGGGCGTGTGTGCTGCTCCATGGGTTCAGATGCTCGCCTGGAGGTATGGGTCCTGCTCCGGGAGGACAGATGCTCACCTCGAGGTGTGGGTGCTGCTCCAGGTTGTCAGATGCTCACCTTGGGATGTTGGTGCTGCTCCAGACTCTCCGATGCTCACCTGTGGTTGTGTGTGATGCTCCAGACAATCAGATTCTCACCTGGGGGTGTGGGTGCTGTTCCAGGCTGTCAGATGCTCACCTGGGGGTGTGGGTGCTGCTCCAGGCTGTCAGATGCTCACCTGTGGGTGTGGGGTGCTGCTCCACGATGTCAGATGCTCACCTGTGGGTATGGGTGTTGTTCCAGGCTGTCTGATGCTCACCTGGGGGTGTGGGTGCTGTTCCAGGCCGTCAGATGCTCGCCTGGGGGTGTTGGTGCTGTTCCAGGCTGTCACATGCGCACCTGGTGGTGCAGGCTGTTGTTCCAGGCTGTCAGATGCTCACCTGGGCGTGTGGGTTCTGTTCCAGGCTGTCAGATGCTCACCTGTGGGTGTCAGTGTTGCCGCAAACCATCAGATGCTCACCTGGGGGTGTGGGTGCCGACCCAGGCCCTCAGATGCTCGCCTGTGGCCGTGGGTTCCGCTCCAGGCTGCCGGATGCTCTCCTGGGGGTGTGAGTGCTGTTCCAGGCTGTCAAATGCTCACCTGGGGGTGTGGATGCTGCTCCAGGCTGTCAGATGCTCGCCTGGGGGTGTGGCTGCGGTTCCAGGCTGTCTGATGCTCACCTGTGGGTGTGGGTGCTGCTCCAGACCATCAGATGCGCAACTGGGGGTGAGGATGCCATGTGATGCGGTCAGATGCTCACCTGGGGGTGTGGGTGCTGTTCCAGGCTGTCAGATGCTCACCTGGGGGTGCAGGGTGCTGTTCCAGGCTGTCAGATGCTCATCTGGGCGTATGGGTGCTGTTCCAGGTTGTCAGATGCTCGCCTGGGGGTGTGTGTGCTGTTCCAGGCTGTCAGATGCTCACCTGGGGGGGCAGCGTGCTGTTCCAGGCTGTCAGATGATCACCTGGGTGTGTGGGTGCTGCTCCAGGCTGTCAGTTGCTCACCTGGGTGTGTGGGTGCTGCTCCAGGCTGTCGGATGCTCGCCTGGGGGTGTGGGTGCTGCTCCGTGTGTTCAGATGCTCGCCTGGGGGCGTGGGTGCTGCTCCAGGTTGTCAGATGCTCACCTTGGGCTGTGGGTGCTGCTCCACGCTGTCAGATGCTCACCTGGGGGTGTGGGCACTGCTCCAGGCTGTCAGATGCTCGCCTGGGTGTGTGGGCACTGCTCCTGACTCTCCGATGCTCACCTGTGGTTGTGGGTGCTGCTCCAGATCATCAGATGCTCACCTGGGGGTGTGGGTGCTGCTCCAGGTTGTCAGATGCTCACCATGGGCTATGGGTGCTGCTCCCTGTTGTCAGATGCTCACCTGGAGGTGTGGTCACTGCTCCGGGCTGTCAGATGCTCGTGTGGGGCTGTGGGCGCTGCTCCAGACTCTACGATGCTCACCTGTGGTTGTGGGTGCTGCTCCAGACAATCAGATGCTCACTTGGGGTTGTGGGTGCTGCTCCAGGTTATCGGATGCTGGCCTGGGAGTGGTGGGTGCTGCTCCAGGCTGTCGGATGCTCACCTGGGGGTGCAGGGTGCTGTTCCAGGCTGTCAGATGCTCACCTGGGGGTGTGGGTGCTGCTCCAGGCTGTCAGATGCTCACCTGTGGGTGTGGGGTGCGGCTCCACGATGTCAGATGCTCACCTGGGGGTGTGGGTGCTGTTCCAGGCCGTCAGATGCTCACCTGGGGGTGTGGGTGCCGACCCAGGCTGTCAGATGCTCGCCTGTTGGTGTGGGTTCTGCTGCAGGCTGCCGGATGCTCTCCTGGGGGTGTGGGTGCTGCTCCATGCGGTCAGATGCTCCCCTGGGGGTGTGGGTGCTGCTCTGGGCTGTCAGATTCTCACTTGTGCTTGTGGGTGCTACTGCGGGCTGTCAGATGCTCACCTGGAGTTCTGGGTGCTGTTTCATGCTGTCAGATGCTCGCCTGGGGTTGTGGGTGCTGCTCCGTTCGGTCAGATGCTCGCCTGGGGGTGTGGGTGCTGCTCCATGAGTTCAGATGCTCGCCTGGGGGTACTGGTGCTGCTCCGGGAGGTCAGATGCTCACCTCGGTGTGTGGGTGCTGCTTCAGGTTGTCAGATGCTCACCTTGGGCTATGGGTGCTGCTCCATGCTGTCAGATGCTCACCTGGGTGTTTGGGCACTGCTCCAGGCTGTCAGATGCTCGCCTGGGGTTGTGGGCGCTGCTCCAGACTCTCTGATGTTCACCTGTGGTTGTGGGTGCTGCTCCAGACCATCAGATGCTCAACTGGGGGTGTGGGTGCTGCTCCAGGCTGTCGGATGCTCACCTGGGTGTGCAGGGTGCTGTTCCAGGCTGTCAGAGACTCACCTGAGGGTGTGGGTGCAGCTCCAGGCTGTCAGATGCTCACCTGTGCGTGTGGGGTTATGCTCCACGAAGTCAGATGCTCAACTGTGGGTGTGGGTGCTGCTCCAGGTTGTCGGTTGCCCGCCTGGGGTTGTGGGTGCTGCTCCAGGCTGTCCAATGCTCACCTGGGGGTGTGGGTGCTGTTCCAGGCCGTCAGATGCTCGCCTGTGGGTGTCGGTGCTGTTCCAGGCTGTCACGGGCGCACCTGGGGGTGCAGGCTGCTGTTACAGGCTGTCAGAGGCTCACCTGGGCATGTGGGTGCTGTTCCAGTCTGTCACATGCTCACCTGGGGGTGTGGGTTCTGTTCCAGGCTGTCAGATGCTCACCTGTTGGTGTGGGTGCTGCTCCAGACCATCAGATGCGCACCTGCGTGTGTGGTTGCCGACCCAGGCTGTCAGATGCTCGCCTGGGGGTGTGGGTGCTCTTCCAGGCTGTCACATGCTCACCTGGGGGTGTGGGTGCTGCTCCAGGCTGTCGGATGCTCACCTGGGGGTGTGGGGTGCTGCTCCAGGCTGTCCGATGCTCGCCTGGGGGTGTGGGTGCCGTTCCAGGCCGTCAGATGCTCGCCTTGGGGTGTGGGTGCTCTTCCAGGCTGTCACGTGCGCACCTGGGGGTGCAGGGTGCTGTTGCAGGCTGTCAGATGCTCACCTGGGGGTGTGGGTGCTGTTACATGCTGTCAGATGCTCACCTGTGGGTGTGGGTGCTGTTCCAGGCTGTCAGATGCTCACCTGGGGTTGCGCGTGCTGTTCCAGGCTGTCAGAGGCTCACCTGGGCGTGTGGGTGCTGTTCCAGTCTGTCAGATGCTTACCTGAGGGTATGGTTGCTGTTCCAGGCTGTCAGATGCTCACCCGGTGATGTGGGGTGCTCTTCCAGGCTGTCAGATTCTCACCTGGGGTTGTGGGTGCTGTTCCAGGCTCTCAGATGCTCACCTGGGGTTGTCGGTGCTGCTCCAGGATGTCAGATGCTCCCCTGGGGGTGTGGGTGCTGCTACGGGCTGTCAGATTCTCACCTGTGCGTGTGGTTGCTGCTGCGGGCTGTCAGATGCTCACCTGGGGTTGTGGGTGCTGTTCCAGGCTGTCAGATGCTCGCATGGGGTTGTGGGTGCTGCTCTGTTCGGTCAGATGCTCGCCTGGGGGCGTGGGTGCTGCTCCATGGGTTCAGATGCTCGCCTGGAGGTATGGGTCCTGCTCCGGGAGGTCAGATGCTCACCTCGGGGTGTGGGTGCTGCTCCAGGTTGTCAGATGCTCACCTTGGGTTGTGGGTGCTGCTCCAGACTCTCCGATGCTCACCTGTGGTTGTGTGTGATGCTCCAGAACATCAGATTCTCACCTGGGGGTGTGGGTGCTGTTCCAGGCTGTCAGATGCTCACCTGTGGGTGTGGGGTGCTGCTCGACGATGTCAGAGGCTCACCTGGGGATGTGGGTGCTGTTCCAGGCTGTCAGATGCTCACCTGGGGGTGTGGGTGCTGCTCCAGGCTGTCAGATGCTCACCTGTGGGTGTGGGGTGCTGCTCCACGATGTCAGATGCTCACCTGGGGGTGTGGGCACTGCTCCAGGCTGTCAGATGCTCGCCTGGGTGTGTGGGCACTGCTCCTGACTCTCCGATGCTCACCTGTGGTTGTGGGTGCTGCTCCAGACCATCAGATGCTCACCTGGGTGTGTGGGTGCTGCTCCAGGTTGTCAGGTGCTCACCATGGGCTATGGGTGCTGCTCCCTGTTGTCAGATGCTCACCTCGGGGTGTGGGCACTGCTCCGGGCTGTCAGATGCTCGCCTGTGGCTGTGGGCGCTGCTCCAGACTCTACGATGCTCACCTGTGGTTGTGGGTGCTGCTCCAGACAATCAGATGCTCACTTGGGGTTGTGGGTGCTGCTCCAGGTCATCGGATGCTCGCCTGGGAGTGTGGTTGCTGCTCCAGGCTGTCGGATGCTCACCTGGGGGTGCAGGGTGCTGTTCCAGGCTGTCAGATGCTCACCTGGGGGTGTGGGTGCTGCTCCAGGCTGTCAGATGCTCACCTGTGGGTGTGGGGTGCTGCTCCACGATGTCAGATGCTCACCTGGGGGTGTGGGTGCTGTTCCAGGCCGTCAGATGCTCACCTGGGGGTGTGGGTGCCGACCCAGGCTGTCAGATGCTCGCCTGTTGGTGTGGGTTCTGCTGCAGGCTGCCGGATGCTCTCCTGGGGGTGTGGGTGCTGTTCCAGGCTATCAGATGCTCGCCTGGGGGTGTGGGTGCTGTTCCAGGCTGTCAGATGCTCACCTCGGGGTGCGCGTGCTGTTCCAAGCTGTCAGAGGCACACCTGGGCCTGTGGGTGCTGTTCCAGTCTGTCAGGTGCTCACCTGGGGGAGTGGGTGCTGTTCCAGGCTGTCAGATGCTCACCCGGGGATATGGGGTGCTCTTCCAGGCTGTCAGATTCTCACCTGGGGGTGCGGGAGCTGTTCCAGGCTCTCAGATGCTCACCTGGTGTTGTCGGTGCAGCTCCAGGATTTCAGATGCTCCCCTGGGGGTGTGGGTGCTGCTCCATGCGGTCAGATGCTCCCCTGGGGGTGTGGGTGCTGCTCCGGGCTGTCAGATTCTCACCTGTGCGTGTGGGTGCTGCTGCGGGCTGTCAGATGCTCACCTGGGGTTGTGGGTGCTGTTAAAGGCTGTCAGATGCTCGCCTGGGATTGTGGGTGCTGCTCCGTTCGGTCAGATGCTCGCCTGGGGGCGTGTGTGCTGCTCCATGGGTTCAGATGCTCGCCTGGAGGTATGGGTCCTGCTCCGGGAGGACAGATGCTCACCTCGAGGTGTGGGTGCTGCTCCAGGTTGTCAGATGCTCACCTTGGGATGTTGGTGCTGCTCCAGACTCTCCGATGCTCACCTGTGGTTGTGTGTGATGCTCCAGACAATCAGATTCTCACCTGGGGGTGTGGGTGCTGTTCCAGGCTGTCAGATGCTCACCTGGGGGTGTGGGTGCTGCTCCAGGCTGTCAGATGCTCACCTGTGGGTGTGGGGTGCTGCTCCACGATGTCAGATGCTCACCTGTGGGTATGGGTGTTGTTCCAGGCTGTCTGATGCTCACCTGGGGGTGTGGGTGCTGTTCCAGGCCGTCAGATGCTCGCCTGGGGGTGTTGGTGCTGTTCCAGGCTGTCACATGCGCACCTGGTGGTGCAGGCTGTTGTTCCAGGCTGTCAGATGCTCACCTGGGCGTGTGGGTTCTGTTCCAGGCTGTCAGATGCTCACCTGTGGGTGTCGGTGTTGCCGCAAACCATCAGATGCTCACCTGGGGGTGTGGGTGCCGACCCAGGCTCTCAGATGCTCGCCTGTGGCCGTGGGTTCCGCTCCAGGCTGCCGGATGCTCTCCTGGGGGTGTGAGTGCTGTTCCAGGCTGTCAAATGCTCACCTGGGGGTGTGGATGCTGCTCCAGGCTGTCAGATGCTCGCCTGGGGGTGTGGCTGCGGTTCCAGGCTGTCTGATGCTCACCTGTGGGTGTGGGTGCTGCTCCAGACCATCAGATGCGCAACTGGGGGTGAGGATGCCATGTGATGCGGACAGATGCTCACCTGGGGGTGTGGGTGCTGTTCCAGGCTGTCAGATGCTCACCTGGGGGTGCAGGGTGCTGTTCCAGGCTGTCAGATGCTCATCTGGGCGTATGGGTGCTGTTCCAGGTTGTCAGATGCTCGCCTGGGGGTGTGTGTGCTGTTCCAGGCTGTCAGATGCTCACCTGGGGGGGCAGCGTGCTGTACCAGGCTGTCAGATGATCACCTGGGTGTGTGGGTGCTGCTCCAGGCTGTCAGTTGCTCACCTGGGTGTGTGGGTGCTGCTCCAGGCTGTCGGATGCTCGCCTGGGGGTGTGGGTGCTGTTCCAGGCTGTCAGAGGCTCACCTGGGCGTGTGGGTGCTGTTCCAGTCTGTCAGATGCTTACCTGAGGGTATGGTTGCTGTTCCAGGCTGTCAGATGCTCACCCGGTGATGTGGGGTGCTCTTCCAGGCTGTCAGATTCTCACCTGGGGTTGTGGGTGCTGTTCCAGGCTCTCAGATGCTCACCTGGGGTTGTCGGTGCTGCTCCAGGATGTCAGATGCTCCCCTGGGGGTGTGGGTGCTGCTACGGGCTGTCAGATTCTCACCTGTGCGTGTGGTTGCTGCTGCGGGCTGTCAGATGCTCACCTGGGGTTGTGGGTGCTGTTCCAGGCTGACAGATGCTCGCATGGGGTTGTGGGTGCTGCTCTGTTCGGTCAGATGCTCGCCTGGGGGCGTGGGTGCTGCTCCATGGGTTCAGATGCTCGCCTGGAGGTATGGGTCCTGCTCCGGGAGGTCAGATGCTCACCTCGGGGTGTGGGTGCTGCTCCAGGTTGTCAGATGCTCACCTTGGGCTATGGGTGCTGCTCCATGCTGTCAGATGCTCACCTGGGTGTTTGGGCACTGCTCCAGGCTGTCAGATGCTCGCCTGGGGTTGTGGGCGTTGCTCCAGACTCTCTGATGTTCACCTGTGGTTGTGGGTGCTGCTCCAGACCATCAGTTGCTCAACTGGGGGTGTGGGTGCTGCTCCAGGCTGTCGGATGCTCACCTGGGTGTGCAGGGTGCTGTTCCAGGCTGTCAGAGACTCACCTGAGGGTGTGGGTGCAGCTCCAGGCTGTCAGATGCTCACCTGTGCGTGTGGGGTTATGCTCCACGAAGTCAGATGCTCAACTGTGGGTGTGGGTGCTGCTCCAGGTTGTCGGTTGCCCGCCTGGGGTTGTGGGTGCTGCTCCAGGCTGTCCAATGCTCACCTGGGGGTGTGGGTGCTGTTCCAGGCCGTCAGATGCTCGCCTGTGGGTGTCGGTGCTGTTCCAGGCTGTCACGGGCGCACCTGGGGGTGCAGGCTGCTGTTACAGGCTGTCAGAGGCTCACCTGGGCATGTGGGTGCTGTTCCAGTCTGTCACATGCTCACCTGGGGGTGTGGGTTCTGTTCCAGGCTGTCAGATGCTCACCTGTTGGTGTGGGTGCTGCTCCAGACCATCAGATGCGCACCTGCGTGTGTGGTTGCCGACCCAGGCTGTCAGATGCTCGCCTGGGGGTGTGGGTGCTCTTCCAGGCTGTCACATGCTCACCTGGGGGTGTGGGTGCTGCTCCAGGCTGTCGGATGCTCACCTGGGGGTGTGGGGTGCTGCTCCAGGCTGTCCGATGCTCGCCTGGGGGTGTGGGTGCCGTTCCAGGCCGTCAGATGCTCGCCTTGGGGTGTGGGTGCTCTTCCAGGCTGTCACGTGCGCACCTGGGGGTGCAGGGTGCTGTTGCAGGCTGTCAGATGCTCACCTGGGGGTGTGGGTGCTGTTACATGCTGTCAGATGCTCACCTGTGGGTGTGGGTGCTGTTCCAGGCTGTCAGATGCTCACCTGGGTTTGCGCGTGCTGTTCCAGGCTGTCAGAGGCTCACCTGGGCGTGTGGGTGCTGTTCCAGTCTGTCAGATGCTTACCTGAGGGTATGGTTGCTGTTCCAGGCTGTCAGATGCTCACCCGGTGATGTGGGGTGCTCTTCCAGGCTGTCAGATTCTCACCTGGGGTTGTGGGTGCTGTTCCAGGCTCTCATATGCTCACCTGGGGTTGTCGGTGCTGCTCCAGGATGTCAGATGCTCCCCTGGGGGTGTGGGTGCTGCTACGGGCTGTCAGATTCTCACCTGTGCGTGTGGTTGCTGCTGCGGGCTGTCAGATGCTCACCTGGGGTTGTGGGTGCTGTTCCAGGCTGTCAGATGCTCGCATGGGGTTGTGGGTGCTGCTCTGTTCGGTCAGATGCTCGCCTGGGGGCGTGGGTGCTGCTCCATGGGTTCAGATGCTCGCCTGGAGGTATGGGTCCTGCTCCGGGAGGTCAGATGCTCACCTCGGGGTGTGGGTGCTGCTCCAGGTTGTCAGATGCTCACCTTGGGTTGTGGGTGCTGCTCCAGACTCTCCGATGCTCACCTGTGGTTGTGTGTGATGCTCCAGAACATCAGATTCTCACCTGGGGGTGTGGGTGCTGTTCCAGGCTGTCAGATGCTCACCTGTGGGTGTGGGGTGCTGCTCGACGATGTCAGAGGCTCACCTGGGGATGTGGGTGCTGTTCCAGGCTGTCAGATGCTCACCTGGGGGTGTGGGTGCTGCTCCAGGCTGTCAGATGCTCACCTGTGGGTGTGGGGTGCTGCTCCACGATGTCAGATGCTCACCTGGGGGTGTGGGCACTGCTCCAGGCTGTCAGATGCTCGCCTGGGTGTGTGGGCACTGCTCCTGACTCTCCGATGCTCACCTGTGGTTGTGGGTGCTGCTCCAGACCATCAGATGCTCACCTGGGTGTGTGGGTGCTGCTCCAGGTTGTCAGGTGCTCACCATGGGCTATGGGTGCTGCTCCCTGTTGTCAGATGCTCACCTCGGGGTGTGGGCACTGCTCCGGGCTGTCAGATGCTCGCCTGTGGCTGTGGGCGCTGCTCCAGACTCTACGATGCTCACCTGTGGTTGTGGGTGCTGCTCCAGACAATCAGATGCTCACTTGGGGTTGTGGGTGCTGCTCCAGGTCATCGGATGCTCGCCTGGGAGTGTGGTTGCTGCTCCAGGCTGTCGGATGCTCACCTGGGGGTGCAGGGTGCTGTTCCAGGCTGTCAGATGCTCACCTGGGGGTGTGGGTGCTGCTCCAGGCTGTCAGATGCTCACCTGTGGGTGTGGGGTGCTGCTCCACGATGTCAGATGCTCACCTGGGGGTGTGGGTGCTGTTCCAGGCCGTCAGATGCTCACCTGGGGGTGTGGGTGCCGACCCAGGCTGTCAGATGCTCGCCTGTTGGTGTGGGTTCTGCTGCAGGCTGCCGGATGCTCTCCTGGGGGTGTGGGTGCTGTTCCAGGCTATCAGATGCTCGCCTGGGGGTGTGGGTGCTGTTCCAGGCTGTCAGATGCTCACCTCGGGGTGCGCGTGCTGTTCCAAGCTGTCAGAGGCACACCTGGGCCTGTGGGTGCTGTTCCAGTCTGTCAGGTGCTCACCTGGGGGAGTGGGTGCTGTTCCAGGCTGTCAGATGCTCACCCGGGGATATGGGGTGCTCTTCCAGGCTGTCAGATTCTCACCTGGGGGTGCGGGAGCTGTTCCAGGCTCTCAGATGCTCACCTGGTGTTGTCGGTGCAGCTCCAGGATTTCAGATGCTCCCCTGGGGGTGTGGGTGCTGCTCCATGCGGTCAGATGCTCCCCTGGGGGTGTGGGTGCTGCTCCGGGCTGTCAGATTCTCACCTGTGCGTGTGGGTGCTGCTGCGGGCTGTCAGATGCTCACCTGGGGTTGTGGGTGCTGTTAAAGGCTGTCAGATGCTCGCCTGGGATTGTGGGTGCTGCTCCGTTCGGTCAGATGCTCGCCTGGGGGCGTGTGTGCTGCTCCATGGGTTCAGATGCTCGCCTGGAGGTATGGGTCCTGCTCCGGGAGGACAGATGCTCACCTCGAGGTGTGGGTGCTGCTCCAGGTTGTCAGATGCTCACCTTGGGATGTTGGTGCTGCTCCAGACTCTCCGATGCTCACCTGTGGTTGTGTGTGATGCTCCAGACAATCAGATTCTCACCTGGGGGTGTGGGTGCTGTTCCAGGCTGTCAGATGCTCACCTGGGGGTGTGGGTGCTGCTCCAGGCTGTCAGATGCTCACCTGTGGGTGTGGGGTGCTGCTCCACGATGTCAGATGCTCACCTGTGGGTATGGGTGTTGTTCCAGGCTGTCTGATGCTCACCTGGGGGTGTGGGTGCTGTTCCAGGCCGTCAGATGCTCGCCTGGGGGTGTTGGTGCTGTTCCAGGCTGTCACATGCGCACCTGGTGGTGCAGGCTGTTGTTCCAGGCTGTCAGATGCTCACCTGGGCGTGTGGGTTCTGTTCCAGGCTGTCAGATGCTCACCTGTGGGTGTCGGTGTTGCCGCAAACCATCAGATGCTCACCTGGGGGTGTGGGTGCCGACCCAGGCTCTCAGATGCTCGCCTGTGGCCGTGGGTTCCGCTCCAGGCTGCCGGATGCTCTCCTGGGGGTGTGAGTGCTGTTCCAGGCTGTCAAATGCTCACCTGGGGGTGTGGATGCTGCTCCAGGCTGTCAGATGCTCGCCTGGGGGTGTGGCTGCGGTTCCAGGCTGTCTGATGCTCACCTGTGGGTGTGGGTGCTGCTCCAGACCATCAGATGCGCAACTGGGGGTGAGGATGCCATGTGATGCGGACAGATGCTCACCTGGGGGTGTGGGTGCTGTTCCAGGCTGTCAGATGCTCACCTGGGGGTGCAGGGTGCTGTTCCAGGCTGTCAGATGCTCATCTGGGCGTATGGGTGCTGTTCCAGGTTGTCAGATGCTCGCCTGGGGGTGTGTGTGCTGTTCCAGGCTGTCAGATGCTCACCTGGGGGGGCAGCGTGCTGTACCAGGCTGTCAGATGATCACCTGGGTGTGTGGGTGCTGCTCCAGGCTGTCAGTTGCTCACCTGGGTGTGTGGGTGCTGCTCCAGGCTGTCGGATGCTCGCCTGGGGGTGTGGGTGCTGTTCCAGGCTGTCAGAGGCTCACCTGGGCGTGTGGGTGCTGTTCCAGTCTGTCAGATGCTTACCTGAGGGTATGGTTGCTGTTCCAGGCTGTCAGATGCTCACCCGGTGATGTGGGGTGCTCTTCCAGGCTGTCAGATTCTCACCTGGGGTTGTGGGTGCTGTTCCAGGCTCTCAGATGCTCACCTGGGGTTGTCGGTGCTGCTCCAGGATGTCAGATGCTCCCCTGGGGGTGTGGGTGCTGCTACGGGCTGTCAGATTCTCACCTGTGCGTGTGGTTGCTGCTGCGGGCTGTCAGATGCTCACCTGGGGTTGTGGGTGCTGTTCCAGGCTGACAGATGCTCGCATGGGGTTGTGGGTGCTGCTCTGTTCGGTCAGATGCTCGCCTGGGGGCGTGGGTGCTGCTCCATGGGTTCAGATGCTCGCCTGGAGGTATGGGTCCTGCTCCGGGAGGTCAGATGCTCACCTCGGGGTGTGGGTGCTGCTCCAGGTTGTCAGATGCTCACCTTGGGCTATGGGTGCTGCTCCATGCTGTCAGATGCTCACCTGGGTGTTTGGGCACTGCTCCAGGCTGTCAGATGCTCGCCTGGGGTTGTGGGCGCTGCTCCAGACTCTCTGATGTTCACCTGTGGTTGTGGGTGCTGCTCCAGACCATCAGTTGCTCAACTGGGGGTGTGGGTGCTGCTCCAGGCTGTCGGATGCTCACCTGGGTGTGCAGGGTGCTGTTCCAGGCTGTCAGAGACTCACCTGAGGGTGTGGGTGCAGCTCCAGGCTGTCAGATGCTCACCTGTGCGTGTGGGGTTATGCTCCACGAAGTCAGATGCTCAACTGTGGGTGTGGGTGCTGCTCCAGGTTGTCGGTTGCCCGCCTGGGGTTGTGGGTGCTGCTCCAGGCTGTCCAATGCTCACCTGGGGGTGTGGGTGCTGTTCCAGGCCGTCAGATGCTCGCCTGTGGGTGTCGGTGCTGTTCCAGGCTGTCACGGGCGCACCTGGGGGTGCAGGCTGCTGTTACAGGCTGTCAGAGGCTCACCTGGGCATGTGGGTGCTGTTCCAGTCTGTCACATGCTCACCTGGGGGTGTGGGTTCTGTTCCAGGCTGTCAGATGCTCACCTGTTGGTGTGGGTGCTGCTCCAGACCATCAGATGCGCACCTGCGTGTGTGGTTGCCGACCCAGGCTGTCAGATGCTCGCCTGGGGGTGTGGGTGCTCTTCCAGGCTGTCACATGCTCACCTGGGGGTGTGGGTGCTGCTCCAGGCTGTCGGATGCTCACCTGGGGGTGTGGGGTGCTACTCCAGGCTGTCCGATGCTCGCCTGGGGGTGTGGGTGCCGTTCCAGGCCGTCAGATGCTCGCCTTGGGGTGTGGGTGCTCTTCCAGGCTGTCACGTGCGCACCTGGGGGTGCAGGGTGCTGTTGCAGGCTGTCAGATGCTCACCTGGGGGTGTGGGTGCTGTTACATGCTGTCAGATGCTCACCTGTGGGTGTGGGTGCTGTTCCAGGCTGTCAGATGCTCACCTGGGGTTGCGCGTGCTGTTCCAGGCTGTCAGAGGCTCACCTGGGCGTGTGGGTGCTGTTCCAGTCTGTCAGATGCTTACCTGAGGGTATGGTTGCTGTTCCAGGCTGTCAGATGCTCACCCGGTGATGTGGGGTGCTCTTCCAGGCTGTCAGATTCTCACCTGGGGTTGTGGGTGCTGTTCCAGGCTCTCAGATGCTCACCTGGGGTTGTCGGTGCTGCTCCAGGATGTCAGATGCTCCCCTGGGGGTGTGGGTGCTGCTACGGGCTGTCAGATTCTCACCTGTGCGTGTGGTTGCTGCTGCGGGCTGTCAGATGCTCACCTGGGGTTGTGGGTGCTGTTCCAGGCTGTCAGATGCTCGCATGGGGTTGTGGGTGCTGCTCTGTTCGGTCAGATGCTCGCCTGGGGGCGTGGGTGCTGCTCCATGGGTTCAGATGCTCGCCTGGAGGTATGGGTCCTGCTCCGGGAGGTCAGATGCTCACCTCGGGGTGTGGGTGCTGCTCCAGGTTGTCAGATGCTCACCTTGGGTTGTGGGTGCTGCTCCAGACTCTCCGATGCTCACCTGTGGTTGTGTGTGATGCTCCAGAACATCAGATTCTCACCTGGGGGTGTGGGTGCTGTTCCAGGCTGTCAGATGCTCACCTGTGGGTGTGGGGTGCTGCTCGACGATGTCAGAGGCTCACCTGGGGATGTGGGTGCTGTTCCAGGCTGTCAGATGCTCACCTGGGGGTGTGGGTGCTGCTCCAGTCTGTCAGATGCTCACCTGTGGGTGTGGGGTGCTGCTCCACGATGTCAGATGCTCACCTGGGGGTGTGGGCACTGCTCCAGGCTGTCAGATGCTCGCCTGGGTGTGTGGGCACTGCTCCTGACTCTCCGATGCTCACCTCTGGTTGTGGGTGCTGCTCCAGACCATCAGATGCTCACCTGGGTGTGTGGGTGCTGCTCCAGGTTGTCAGGTGCTCACCATGGGCTATGGGTGCTGCTCCCTGTTGTCAGATGCTCACCTCGGTGTGTGGGCACTGCTCCGGGCTGTCAGATGCTCGCCTGTGGCTGTGGGCGCTGCTCCAGACTCTACGATGCTCACCTGTGGTTGTGGGTGCTGCTCCAGACAATCAGATGCTCACTTGGGGTTGTGGGTGCTGCTCCAGGTCATCGGATGCTCGCCTGGGAGTGTGGTTGCTGCTCCAGGCTGTCGGATGCTCACCTGGGGGTGCAGGGTGCTGTTCCAGGCTGTCAGATGCTCACCTGGGGGTGTGGGTGCTGCTCCAGGCTGTCAGATGCTCACCTGTGGGTGTGGGGTGCTGCTCCACGATGTCAGATGCTCACCTGGGGGTGTGGGTGCTGTTCCAGGCCATCAGATGCCCACCTGGGGGTGTGGGTGCCGACCCAGGCTGTCAGATGCTCGCCTGTTGGTGTGGGTTCTGCTGCAGGCTGCCGGATGCTCTCCTGGGGGTGTGGGTGCTGTTCCAGGCTATCAGATGCTCGCCTGGGGGTGTGGGTGCTGTTCCAGGCTGTCAGATGCTCACCTGGGGGTGCGCGTGCTGTTCCAAGCTGTCAGAGGCACACCTGGGCCTGTGGGTGCTGTTCCAGTCTGTCAGGTGCTCACCTGGGGGAGTGGGTGCTGTTCCAGGCTGTCAGATGCTCACCCGGGGATATGGGGTGCTCTTCCAGGCTGTCAGATTCTCACCTGGGGGTGCGGGAGCTGTTCCAGGCTCTCAGATGCTCACCTGTTGTTGTCGGTGCAGCTCCAGGATTTCAGATGCTCCCCTGGGGGTGTGGGTGCTGCTCCATGCGGTCAGATGCTCCCCTGGGGGTGTGGGTGCTGCTCCGGGCTGTCAGATTCTCACCTGTGCGTGTGGGTGCTGCTGCGGGCTGTCAGATGCTCACCTGGGGTTGTGGGTGCTGTTAAAGGCTGTCAGATGCTCGCCTGGGATTGTGGGTGCTGCTCCGTTCGGTCAGATGCTCGCCTGGGGGCGTGTGTGCTGCTCCATGGGTTCAGATGCTCGCCTGGAGGTATGGGTCCTGCTCCGGGAGGACAGATGCTCACCTCGAGGTGTGGGTGCTGCTCCAGGTTGTCAGATGCTCACCTTGGGATGTTGGTGCTGCTCCAGACTCTCCGATGCTCACCTGTGGTTGTGTGTGATGCTCCAGACAATCAGATTCTCACCTGGGGGTGTGGGTGCTGTTCCAGGCTGTCAGATGCTCACCTGGGGGTGTGGGTGCTGCTCCAGGCTGTCAGATGCTCACCTGTGGGTGTGGGGTGCTGCTCCACGATGTCAGATGCTCACCTGTGGGTATGGGTGTTGTTCCAGGCTGTCTGATGCTCACCTGGGGGTGTGGGTGCTGTTCCAGGCCGTCAGATGCTCGCCTGGGGGTGTTGGTGCTGTTCCAGGCTGTCACATGCGCACCTGGTGGTGCAGGCTGTTGTTCCAGGCTGTCAGATGCTCACCTGGGCGTGTGGGTTCTGTTCCAGGCTGTCAGATGCTCACCTGTGGGTGTCGGTGTTGCCGCAAACCATCAGATGCTCACCTGGGGGTGTGGGTGCCGACCCAGGCTCTCAGATGCTCGCCTGTGGCCGTGGGTTCCGCTCCAGGCTGCCGGATGCTCTCCTGGGGGTGTGAGTGCTGTTCCAGGCTGTCAAATGCTCACCTGGGGGTGTGGATGCTGCTCCAGGCTGTCAGATGCTCGCCTGGGGGTGTGGCTGCGGTTCCAGGCTGTCTGATGCTCACCTGTGGGTGTGGGTGCTGCTCCAGACCATCAGATGCGCAACTGGGGGTGAGGATGCCATGTGATGCGGTCAGATGCTCACCTGGGGGTGTGGGTGCTGTTCCAGGCTGTCAGATGCTCACCTGGGGGTGCAGGGTGCTGTTCCAGGCTGTCAGATGCTCATCTGGGCGTATGGGTGCTGTTCCAGGTTGTCAGATGCTCGCCTGGGGGTGTGTGTGCTGTTCCAGGCTGTCAGATGCTCACCTGGGGGGGCAGCGTGCTGTTCCAGGCTGTCAGATGATCACCTGGGTGTGTGGGTGCTGCTCCAGGCTGTCAGTTGCTCACCTGGGTGTGTGGGTGCTGCTCCAGGCTGTCGGATGCTCGCCTGGGGGTTTGGGTGCTGCTCCGTGTGTTCAGATGCTCGCCTGGGGGCGTGGGTGCTGCTCCAGGTTGTCAGATGCTCACCTTGGGCTGTGGGTGCTGCTCCACGCTGTCAGATGCTCACCTGGGGGTGTGGGCACTGCTCCAGGCTGTCAGATGCTCGCCTGGGTGTGTGGGCACTGCTCCTGACTCTCCGATGCTCACCTGTGGTTGTGGGTGCTGCTCCAGATCATCAGATGCTCACCTGGGGGTGTGGGTGCTGCTCCAGGTTGTCAGATGCTCACCATGGGCTATGGGTGCTGCTCCCTGTTGTCAGATGCTCACCGGGAGGTGTGGTCACTGCTCCGGGCTGTCAGATGCTCGCGTGGGGCTGTGGGCGCTGCTCCAGACTCTACGATGCTCACCTGTGGTTGTGGGTGCTGCTCCAGACAATCAGATGCTCACTTGGGGTTGTGGGTGCTGCTCCAGGTTATCGGATGCTGGCCTGGGAGTGGTGGGTGCTGCTCCAGGCTGTCGGATGCTCACCTGGGGGTGCAGGGTGCTGTTCCAGGCTGTCAGATGCTCACCTGGGGGTGTGGGTGCTGCTCCAGGCTGTCAGATGCTCACCTGTGGGTGTGGGGTGCGGCTCCACGATGTCAGATGCTCACCTGGGGGTGTGGGTGCTGTTCCAGGCCGTCAGATGCTCACCTGAGGGTGTGGGTGCCGACCCAGGCTGTCAGATGCTCGCCTGTTGGTGTGGGTTCTGCTGCAGGCTGCCGGATGCTCTCCTGGGGGTGTGGGTGCTGCTCCATGCGGTCAGATGCTCCCCTGGGGGTGTGGGTGCTGCTCTGGGCTGTCAGATTCTCACTTGTGCTTGTGGGTGCTACTGCGGGCTGTCAGATGCTCACCTGGAGTTCTGGGTGCTGTTTCATGCTGTCAGATGCTCGCCTGGGGTTGTGGGTGCTGCTCCGTTCGGTCAGATGCTCGCCTGGGGGCGTGGGTGCTGCTCCATGAGTTCAGATGCTCGCCTGGGGGTACTGGTACTGCTCCGGGAGGTCAGATGCTCACCTCGGGGTGTGGGTGCTGCTCCAAGTTGTCAGATGCTCACCTTGGGCTATGGGTGCTGCTCCATGCTGTCAGATGCTCACCTGGGTGTTTGGGCACGGCTCCAGGCTGTCAGATGCTCGCCTGGGGTTGTGGGCGCTGCTCCAGACTCTCTGATGTTCACCTGTGGTTGTGGGTGCTGCTCCAGACCATCAGATGCTCAACTGGGGGTGTGGGTGCTGCTCCAGGCTGTCGGATGCTCACCTGGGTGTGCAGGGTGCTGTTCCAGGCTGTCAGAGACTCACCTGAGGGTGTGGGTGCAGCTCCAGGCTGTCAGATGCTCACCTGTGCGTGTGGGGTTATGCTCCACGAAGTCAGATGCTCAACTGTGGGTGTGGGTGCTGCTCCAGGTTGTCGGTTGCCCGCCTGGGGTTGTGGGTGCTGCTCCAGGCTGTCCAATGCTCACCTGGGGGTGTGGGTGCTGTTCCAGGCCGTCAGATGCTCGCCTGTGGGTGTCGGTGCTGTTCCAGGCTGTCACGGGCGCACCTGGGGGTGCAGGCTGCTGTTACAGGCTGTCAGAGGCTCACCTGGGCATGTGGGTGCTGTTCCAGTCTGTCACATGCTCACCTGGGGGTGTGGGTTCTGTTCCAGGCTGTCAGATGCTCACCTGTTGGTGTGGGTGCTGCTCCAGACCATCAGATGCGCACCTGCGTGTGTGGTTGCCGACCCAGGCTGTCAGATGCTCGCCTGGGGGTGTGGGTGCTCTTCCAGGCTGTCACATGCTCACCTGGGGGTGTGGGTGCTGCTCCAGGCTGTCGGATGCTCACCTGGGGGTGTGGGGTGCTACTCCAGGCTGTCCGATGCTCGCCTGGGGGTGTGGGTGCCGTTCCAGGCCGTCAGATGCTCGCCTTGGGGTGTGGGTGCTCTTCCAGGCTGTCACGTGCGCACCTGGGGGTGCAGGGTGCTGTTGCAGGCTGTCAGATGCTCACCTGGGGGTGTGGGTGCTGTTACATGCTGTCAGATGCTCACCTGTGGGTGTGGGTGCTGTTCCAGGCTGTCAGATGCTCACCTGGGGGTGTGAGTGCTGTTGCATGCTGTCAGATGCTCGCCTGGGGGTGTGGGTGCTCTTCCAGGCTTTCAGATGCTCACCTGGGTGTGTGTGTGCTGTTCCAGGCTGTCAGATGCTCACCTGGGTGTGCAGGGTGCTGTTCCAGGCTGTCAGAGGCTCACCTGGGCATGTGGGTGCTGTTCCAGTCTGTCAGATGCTCACCTGGGGCTGTGGGTTCTGTTCCAGGCTCTCAGATGCTCACCTCTGTGTGTGGGTGCTGCTCCAGACCATCAGATGCGCACCTGGGGGTGTGGGTGCTGCTCCAGGCTGTCGGATGCTCGCCGGGAGGTGTGGGTGCTGCTCCGTGCGTTCAGATGCTCGCCTGGGGGTGTGGGTGCTGCTCCTGGTTGTCAGATGCTCACCTTGGGCTGTGGGTGCTGCTCCACGCTGTCAGATGCTCACCTGGGGGTTTGGGCACTGCTCCAGGCTGTCAGATGCTCGCCTGGGGGTGTGGGCGCTGCTCCAGACTCTCCGATGTTCACCTGTGGTTGTGGGTGCTGCTCCAGACCATCAGATGCTCACCTGGGTGTGTGGGTGCCGTTCCAGGCTGTCAGATGCTCGCGTGGGGGTGTGGGTGCTGCTCCAGGCTTTTGGATGCTCACCTGGGGGTGCAGGGTGCTGTTCCAGGCTGTCAGATGCTCACCTGGGGGTGTGGTTGCTGCTCCAGGCTGTCAGATGCTCACTTGGGGGTGCAGCGTGCTGTTCCAGGCTGTCAGATGCTAACCTGGGGTTGTGAGAGCTGTTGCAGGCTGTCAGATGCTCACTGGGGGTGTGCGTGCTGCTCCAGCCTGTCAGATGCTCACCTGGGGGTGTGGGTGCTGTTCCAGGATATCAGATGCTCACCTGGGGGTGTGGGTGCTGCTCCAGGCTGTCGGATGCTCACCTGGGGGTGTCGGTGCTGTTCCAGGCTGTTGGATGCTCACCTGGGGGTGTGGTTGCTGCTCCAGGCTGTCAGGTGCTCACTTGGGGGTGCAGCGTGCTGTTCCGGGCTGTCAGATGCTCACCTGGGGTTGTGAGAGCTGTTGCAGGCTGTCAGATGCTCACTGGGGGTGTGCGTGCTGCTCCAGCCTGTCAGATGCTCACCTGGGGGTGTGGGTGCTGTTCCAGGATATCAGATGCTCACCTGGGGGTGTGGGTGCTGCTCCAGGCTGTCGGATGCTCACCTGGGGGTGTCGGTGCTGTTCCAGGCTGTTGGATGCTCACCTGGGGGTGTGGTTGCTGCTCCAGGCTGTCAGGTGCTCACTTGGGGGTGCAGCGTGCTGTTCCGGGCTGTCAGATGCTCACCTGGGGTTGTGAGAGCTGTTCCAGGCTGTCAGATGCTCACCTGGGGGTGTGGGTGCTGTTCCAGGCTGTCAGATGCTCACCTGTTGGTGTGGGTGCTGCTTCAGGCTGTCAGATGCTCACCTGGAGTGTGGGTGCTGCTCCAGGCTGTCTGATCCTCACTCGCGGGTGCAGGGTTCTGTTCCAGGCTGTCAGATGCTTGCCTGGGGGTGTGGTTGCTGTTCCAGGCTGTCAGATGCTCGCCCCGGGGTGTGGTTGCTGTTCCAGGCTGTCAGATGCTCACCTAGGGGTGTGGGTGCTGCTCCAGGCTGTCCGATGCTCACCTGGAGGTGAGGATGCCATTCCTTGCGGTCAGATACTCACCTGGGGGTGTGGGTGCTGCTCCAGGCTGTCGGATGCTCACCTGGGGGTGTGGGAGCTGTTTCAGGATGTCGGATGCTCACCTGGGGGTGTGGGTGCCGTTCCAGGCCGTCAGATGCTCGCCTGGGGGTGTGGATGCTGTTCCAGGCTGTCAGGTGCGCACCTGGGGGTGCAGGGTGCTTTTCCAGGCCGTCTGATTCTCATCTGGGCGTATGGGTGCTGTTCCAGGCTGTCAGATGCTCGCCTGGGTGTGTGGGTGCTGTTCCAGACTGTCAGATGCTCACCTGGGGGTGCAGGGTCCTGTTCCAGGCTGTCAGATGCTCATCTGAGCGTATGGGTGCTGTTCCAGACTGTCAGATGCTCACCTGGGGGTGCAGGGTGCTTTTCCAGGCTGTCAGATGCTCACCTGGTGGTGTGGGTGCTGCTCCAGGCTGTCAGATGCTCACCTGGGTGTGTGGGTGCTGCTCCAGGCTGTCGGATGCTCGCCTGGGGGTGTGGGTGCTGCTCCGTGCGTTCAGATGCTCGCCTGGGGGTGTGGGTGCTGCTCCAGGTTGTCAGATGCTCACCTTGGGCTGTGGGTGCTGCTCCACGCTGTCAGATGCTCACCTGGTGGTGTGGGCACTGCTCCAGGCTGTCAGATGCTCGCCTGGGGGTGTGGGCACTGCTCCAGACTCTCCGATGCTCACCTGTGGTTGTGGGTGCTGCTCCAGACCATCAGATGCTCACCTGGGGGTGTGGGTGCTGCTCCAGGCTGTCGGATGCTCACCTGTGGGTGTGGGTGCTGCTCCAGACCATCAGATGCTCACCTTGGGCTGTGGGTGCTGCTCCATGCTGTCAGATGCTCACCTGGGGGTGTGGGCACTGCTCCAGGCTGTCAGATGCTCGCCTGGGGGTGTGGGCGCTGCTCCAGACTCTCCGATGCTCACTTGTGGTTGTGGGTGCTGCTCCAGACCATCAGATGCTCACCTGGGGGTGTGGGTGCTGTTCCAGGCTGTCAGATGCTCGCCTGGGGGTGTGGATGCTGCTCCAGGCTGTCAGATGCTCACTTGTGGGTGTAGGGTGCTGCTCCACGATGTCAGATGCTCACCTGCGGGTGTGGGTGCTATTCCTGGCCGTCAGATACTCACCTGGGGGTGTGGGTGCTGTTCCAGGCCATCAGATGCTCGCCTGGGGGTGTGGGTGCTGTTCCAGGCTGTCACGTGCACACCTGGGGGTGCAGGCTGGTGTTCCAGGCTGTCAGATGCTCACCTGGGGGTGTGGGTGCTGTTACATGCTGTCAGATGCTCGCCTGGGGGTGTGGGTGCTGTTCCAGGCTGTCAGATGCTCACCTGGGGGTGTGTGTGCTGTTCCAGGCTGTCAGATGCTCACCTGGGGGTGCAGGGTGCTGTTCCAGGTTGTCAGAGGCTCACCTGGGCATGTGGGTGCTGTTCCAGTCTGTCAGATGTTCACCTGGGGGTGTGGGTTCTGTTCCAGGCTGTCAGATGCTCACCTGTGGGTGTGGGTGCTGCTCCAGACCATCAGATGCGCACCTGGGGGTGTGGGTGCTGCTCCAGGCTGTCGGATGCTCCCCTAGGGGTTTTGGTGCTGCTCCGTGCGTTCAGATACTCGCCTGGGGGTGTGGTTGCTGCTCCAGGTTGTCAGATGCTCACCTTGGGCTGTGGGTGCTGCTCCACGCTGTCACATGCTCACCTGGGGGTGTGGGCACTGCTCCAGGCTGTCAGATGCTCGCCTGGGGGTGTGGGCGCTGCTCCAGACTCTCCGATGCTCACCTTTGGTTGTGGGTGCTGCTCCAGACCATCAGATGCTCACCTGGGGGTGTGGGTGCCATTCCAGGCTGTCAGATGCTCGTCTGGGGGTGTGGTTGCTGCTCCAGGCTGTCGGATGCTCACCTGGGGGTGCAGGGTGCTGTTCCAGTCTGTCAGATGCTCACCTGGGGGTGTGGGTGCTCCTCCAGGCTGTCAGATGCTCACCTGTGGGTGTGGGCTGCTGCTCCACGATGTCAGGTTCTCACCTGGGGGTGTGGATGCTGCTCCAGGCTGTCGGATGCTCGCCTGGGCTTCTGGGTGCTGCTCCAGGCTGTCCAATGCTCACCTGGGGGTGTGGGTGCTGCTCCAGGCTTTCCAATGCTCGCCTGGAGGTGTGGGTGCTGTTGCAGGCCGTCAGATGCTCGCCTGGGGGTGTGGGTTCTGCTCCAGGCTGTCGGATGCTCACCTGGGGGTGTGGGTGCTGTTCCAGGCTGTCAGATGCTCACTGGGGGTGTGCGTGCTGCTCCAGGCTGTCAGATGCTCACCTGGGGGTGTGCGTGCTGTTCCAGGATATCAGATGCTCACCTGGGGGTGTGGGTGCTGCTCCAGGCTGTCGGATGCTCACCTGGGGGTGTGGGTGCTGTTCCAGGCTGTCGGATGCTCACCTGGGGGTGTGGGTGCTGTTCCAGGCCGTCAGATGCTCACTTGGGGGTGCAGGGTGCTGTTCCAGTCTGTCAGATGCTCACCTGGGGGTGTGGGTTGTGTTCCAGGCTGTCGGATGCTCACCTGGGGGTGCAGGGTGCTGTTCCAGTCTGTCAGATGCTCACCTGGGGGTGTGGGTGCTCCTCCAGGCTGTCAGATGCTCACCTGTGGGTGTGGGCTGCTGCTCCACGATGTCAGGTGCTCACCTGGGGTATGGATGCTGCTCCAGACCATCAGATGCTCACTTAGAGGTGGAAGGTGCTGCTTCAGGCTGTCAGATGCTCCCCTGAGTGCAGGGTGCCAACTTAGTTTCTCAGCTGCTCACCCAAAATCGTGAGTTGTTGTTTGAGTCCATCAGAGGCTCACCTAATTGGTGGTACCGTTCCAGGCTGTCCGATGATCACCTGGTGGTGGAGGGTGTTTTTCCGGCTGTCAGATGCTCATCTGAGGGTGGAGGGTGCTGTTCTAGGTTGTCAGATAATCACCTGAAGGTTGGAGAGGGGTGGTGCTGTAGGGTTTCAGATGCTCACCTGGGTGTGGGGGTGACTTCCCAGGCTGTCAGATGCCCTCCTGGTATGCAGGGTGATGTTCCAAGCTGTCAGATACTCACCAGGGGGTGTGGGGTGCTGTTCCAGGCTCTCAGACACTCAGCTGAAGATTGAAGTGCTGATCCAGGCTGTCAGATTCTCACCTAAGTGTGGTGGTGCCATTCTAGGCTGTCAGATGCTCACCTGGGTGTGTGGGGTGGCGTCCTTGGCTGTCAGATGCTTACCTGCGTGTGTGGGGTTGTGTTTCGGATTGTCACAAGTTCACCTGGGGCTGGAGAATGCTGCTCCAGTCTGTCCCATACTCATCTATGGGTTTGGGTGCCATTCAATGCTGTCAGATGCTCACCTGCCGGTGTGGAGTTCTATTCCAGGTTGTCAGATCCTCACCTGGGATTGGAGAATGCTGTTTCAGGCTGTCACACATTCACCTCGGGGTGTGAGTGCCGTTCCAGGCAGTCAGATGCTCACCTTGGCCTGTGAGGTGCAGTTTTAGGCTGTGAAGTGCTCACCTGGTGCTGGAGGGTACTGTCCCAGGCTGCAAAGTTGCTCACCTGGGGGTTTGGGGTGCCGTTCCAGGCTTTCTGATGCTTACCTGGGGGTGTGACATACCGTTCTAGGCTGTCAGATGCCCCCCCGAAGGCGTGGAGTGCTGTTTCAGGCTATCAGATGCTTATTGGGGGTTTGGGGTGCCATTTGGATGGTGTGATGCTCACCTGGGGGGTTGGGGTGTCATTTAGGGCTGTCAGATGCTCACCTGGGGGTGTGGGTGCTGTTGCAGCCTGTCAGCTGCTCACCTGTGGTGTGGGTCTGGTTTCAGGCTGTCAGAGGCTCACCTGGGGGTGTCAAGTGCTGTTTCCTGCTGTCAGATGCTCACCTTGCATGGGGGAGAGCTGATCCAGGGTTTCAGATGCTCACCTGGGGGTCAGGGTGACATTCTACGTTGTCAGAGTCTCATCTGTGGGTGTGAGGTGCTGTTCCCGACTGTCAGATGCTCACCTGGGGGTGTGGGGTGCTGTTGCAGGCTCTCAGACACTCACCTGAAGGTCGAAGTGCTGATCCAGGCTGTCAGATTCTCACCTCAGGGTAGTAGTGCCATTCTTGGCTATCAGATGATCCCCTGGGGGTGGAGGGTGCTGTTTTCGGCTATCACATGCTCACCTGGGGTAGTGGGGTCCTGTTCCAGATTGTCACAAGCTCACCTGGGGTTGGAGAATGCTGTTCCAGGCTGTCACACACTCACCTGTGGGTGTGAGGTGCTGTTCCAGGCTGTCAGATGCTCACCTGGGGATGTAGAGTGCCATTCCAGGCTGTCAGATGCTCACCTGAGGGTGTAGAGTGCCATTCCAGGCTGTCAGATGCTCACCTGAGGGTGTGGGGTGCCATTCCAGGCTGTCAGAAGCTCACCTGGGGATGTAGAGTGCCATTCCAGGCTGTCAGATGCTCACCTGAGGGTGTAGAGTGCCATTCCAGGCTGTCAGAAGCTCACCTGAGGGTGTAGAGTGCCATTCCAGGCTGTCAGAAGCTCACCTGAGGGTGTAGAGTACCATTCCAGGCTGTCAGATGTTCACCTGGGGATGCAGAGTGCCATTCCAGGCTGTCAGAGGCTCACCTGGGGATGCAGAGTGCCATTCCAGGCTGTCAGATGCTCACCTGGGGATGCAGAGTGCCATTCCAGGCTGTCAGAAGCTCACTTGGGGATGCAGAGTGCCATTCCAGGCTGTCAGATGCTCACCTGGGGATGCAGAGTGCCATTCCAGGCTGTCAGAAGCTCACTTGGGGATGCAGAGTGCCATTCCAGGCTGTCAGATGCTCACCTGAGGGTGTGAGGTGCCATTTAAAACTGTCAGATGATCAGCCAGGTGCGATGACTCGTGCTTGTAATCCCAGCACTTTGGGAGGCCGAGGTGGGTGGATCACCAGGAGTTCAAGACCAGCCTGGTCAACATGGTGAAACCCCGTCTCTACTAAAAATACAAAAATCAGCCTGTAGTCGCAGCTACTCAGGAGGCTGAGGCAGGAGAATCGATTAAACCTGGGGGCGGTGGTTGCAGTGAGCCAAGATCGCACCACTGGCCTGTAGCCTGGGCGACAGAGAGAGACTCCATCTCAAAATAAAACAAAACCATCAGATGCTCACCTGAACATGAAGGGTGCTGTTCCAGGCTGTCAAATGCTCACCTTGGGGTGGTGAGTGCTGCTGGAGGGTTTCAGATGCTCACCTGGGTATGGGCACTGCTGTTCCAGGCTGTCAGGTGCTCACCTGAAGGTTTGAGCGTTGATCCAGGCATTCAGATTCTCACCTAACTGGGGGGTGCCGTTCTAGGCTGTCAGATGCTTATGTGGGTTGTCATTCCTGGCTGTCAAATGATCACCTAAGGGTGGAGGGTGCTGTTTTAGGCTGTCAGATGCTCACCTGGGGTTGTGGGGTCCTGTTCCAGATTGTCACAAGCTCACCTGGGGTTGGAGAATGCTGTTCTAGGCTGTCACACACTCATCTGTGGGTGTGGATACCGTTCCAGGCTGTAAGACACTCACCTGGGGGTGTGGGGTGCTGTTTCAGGCTGGAAGATGCTCACCTGGGGGTGGAAGGTGCCGTTCCAGGCTGTAAGATTTTCACCTGTTGGTTGGGGGTGGTGCTATAGGGTTTCAGATGCTCAACTGGGTGTGGGGGTGCATTCCCAGGCTGTCAGATACTCACCTGGGGGTGTGGGGTGCTGTTCCAGGCTGTAAGATGCTCCCCTAGGTGTGTGGGGTGCCATCCTTGGCTGTCAGATGCTCAGCTGGGTGTGTAGGGTTCTGTTTTGGATTGTCGCAAGTTCACCTGGGGCTGGAGAATGCTGCTCCAGTCTGTCCCACACTCACCTGTGAGTGTGGGTGCCATTCCAGGCTGTCAGATGTTCACCTGTGCTCACCTGGGAGTGTGCGGTGCTGTTCCAGGCTGTCAGATGCTCACCTGTGGGTGTGGGGTTCTATTCCAGGCTGTAAGATGCTCCCCTGGGGTGTGGGGTGCTGTTCCAGGCTGTAAGATGCTCCCCTGGGGTGTGGGGTGCTGTTCCAGGCTGTCAGATGCTCACCTGGGGATGTGGGTGCCATTCCAGGCTCCTGACAGCTGTATAAACTGGATATAATGCATGAGCAAATGTTTCCAGGCACCAAACAACAGGCAGCAAAGAGCTGTGACCTGAGAGACAGGAGGCCGCAGAGAGGCTTTTCTGAACATCTTGGGCATTCAGTTGAGACCCCAGAAAGGCCACACCCTAAAATTAAGATTGTACTTTAGGACTAAGTTCAAAAACGAATCCTCCCCTAGCAAAGTACAAGATAAAGCCTGGCAGGGCCAAAATGATCCACCAGTAATCTACCTGCCCCCCAGAGTGAAATCAGCCCCCTTGCAGGACAGCACCACAGCCCTGTCTACCACATGCCAGACACAGAGCCCAGCGCAAAACCAAGAACTGCTAGGCACACAGAGAACCAGGGAAATGGGACCCGTAATAAGAGAAGAAGTACTTCATAGAAACAGACCCTGAGATGGCTTAGAGGTTTGGAATTTACACACAGGGGCTTTTAAAAGCAGTGACATAAACATGTAAAAGAAATGTTTGCTAGAATGAGTGAGCTTGATGGAGAATCCTAGCAGAGGAATATGAAAAAAAAAAAACAGTAATAATCAAGTGGAGATCCTAGATCTGAAACGCAGCATATCTGGAATTAAAAACTTACTAGGCAGGCACAACAGCAGATTGGAAACTGCCAAAGCAGGATTAGTGAACTCAAGTATAGACCAAAGAAAATTATCCAATCTAAGGAAATTATCCAATCTAAGGAAAAGCAGGGAAAACAAAAAACAAAAAACAAAACTCTGTTTCAAACGATGAGAGCTGAGCTGAGCATCATGGCTCACACCTGTAATTCCAGTACTTTGGGAGGGCGAAGTGGCAGCATCACTTGAGCCCAGGAGTTTGAGACCAGCCTGGGCGACAGAGTGAGACTCCCTCTCAAAATAAAAGAAAGAAAAAAAAATTTTCTAGAAGAGATGGAGTCTCACTCTGTCACCTAGGCTGGAGTGCAGTGCCACAATCTCAGCTCACCGCAACCTCCACCTCCTGGGATCAACCAATTCTCCTGCCTTAGCCTCCTGAGTAGCTGGGACTACAGGCACCCACCACTATGCCTGGCTAAGTTTTGTATTTTTATTGTATTTTTAGTAGAGACGGGGTTTCACCATGTTGGCCAGGATGGTCTCGATCTCCTGACCTCTGGATCTGCCCACCTCAGCCTCCCAACATGCTGGGATTACAGGCGTGAGCCACTGCACCTGGCCTCTAAAAAACTTTTAAAAATTAAAAAAATAAATGAAGAAACCTTCAGTGACCGGTGGGACAATTTCAGGCCATCTAGCATACATGTGATTGGACTCCCAGAGAATACGGAGAATGAATGGGACAAATATACACAGGTATTTGAAGAAATAACAGCAGAAAAATTCCCAAGAAGCTCAACAAATCCCAAGAGGAAAAATAGAAAGAGAACCACCCCTAAGAAGGCACATCTTGGTCAAGTTCCTGAAAAAAAAAGATAAAGAGAACATCTTAAAAGCAACCAGAGGGGTGAACAAATGACATACAACAACACGAATGACAGCAGATTTGTCCCAGAAACAATGGAACCCAGAAGACAATGGGACAGCACCTTTAAGGCACTAAAAGAAAAAAGTACCAAGCCAGAATTATCCATCTTGTTAAAATGTCCTTCAGAAACGAGGGTGACATTAAAGACCCGTTAGACAAATGGAAGCTGAGAGATTCGTCATCAGTGAATGACACCACAGCAGATCCTGAGGGAAGGTGGTGAAATTGAAGAGAACTGATGCCTGATAGAAATTCTCTGCTGGAAGAAATGAAAAGCATCTGCAAATACAAAATGATGTATTTATTTCTTCTTTTAATTTCTTTGAACAAAGCTATCTAAATTAAAAACAGGCCAGGTGTGGTAGCTCACACCTGTAATGCCAGTACTTTGGGAGGCCAAGGTGGGAGGATGGCTTGAGACCAGAAGTTCCATACCAGCCTGGGCAATATATCAAGACCCCATTTGTACAAAAAGATTTTAAAATGAGCTGGGTGTGGTGGCATGTGCCTGTGGTCCCAGCTACTCCGGAGGCAGAAGTGGGAGGATCACTTAAGCCCAGGAGCTCAAGGTTGCAGTGAACCAAGATCATGCCACTGCACTCCAGCCTGGGCAACAGACAGAGACCCTGTCTCAAAATATATATATAATTAATTCACTTGAAATAATGCACTATGTGAGGAAATGCATCGCTCAGTGTAGGACAACGATAACACAAAGTATGGGAATAATGGAATTTACTGCTGTGGGGATCTCACATATTAGGTAAAGTGGCCCCATATTAACTGTACATAGACTGTGGTAGGGTGCTCACCTGGGAGCTGGGGGCTTGTTCATAGCTGTAAGGCTACGTATTGTAATCCACAAGGCAATTGCTAGAAAGATAATATAAAGAGGCATAGTTAGGGCCAGGCGCGGTATTGTGCACCAGATGGGCTGGGCACCCTCCTTCCACTGCTTCTGGGAGTTACGGGAGAGCAGTAACTGGGCTTTCTACCCTTCCGGCGTCCCCAAGACCACAGGCACTGGGAGCAGCACCCGGATACCCAAGGAGCTCCAGCGTCCCCCACTGTGAGGTGACAGATGCCCCTGTGGGGAGGGACAGGCGTGGAGGGAGCCAGCTACAAGCTGGGAGAGCGAGGGACCCAGGGAGGGCTCACAGACCGCAGGCAGCCTCAGGAGATGGAAATTAGCAGCGTTTGGCCTCAGAAAAGGGGTTCTGAGCCTGACAACTTTCAGAGTCAAGGTCAGTGAGCTGAGTCCCCTCAAATGCTAACCAGAATCAGGAGGGATGGTAGGAGGCTGCAGCCACAGAGAAGCAGGAAGGGGCAGGAAGCTGGGTGTTCAGACCCTCTAGGACCCCAGGGAGAAGATCAGGGAATGAGAAAGACAGAGCCAGTCCTCCTACTCTGACCCTCTGCCCAGTTTCTCTACTTAGGACAACTCTGCACCCGCCCGCCCTCCCTCCTTGCAGGAAGCCGTGGACGACATCGTCTCTGCTCTGAAGCTCGGCCCCGGGACTGTGGTCCCTGAGCTCCGCTCTCTGAAGCCGGAAGCCCAGGCCCTCATCACACAGGGCCTCTACTCCCACTGCCGGGCCCTTCTGAGCCAGCTGCCAGACACTGGGGCCCCTCTCGAGGACAAGGACACCCAGGGCCTCCTTGCTGTGGGGGAGGCGCTGATCAAAATCGACTCAGGGCAACCGCACTGGCACCTCCTCCTGGCAGACATTCTCATGGCACAGGGTATGCGGCGGCCCCAAGGTGGGAAACACGGGGTCTGGGCTTCTGTCCCCGCTCCTCTGACCTCTGTATCCTGTTCTGTAAAAATGGAAGAAAGAGACCCGGACCACAACAGCTTCCAAGGTCCCTTCCACCCCAAATCCCATGACCTCTGGCCCTGCTCCCTGTGTGAGGCCTGGCGTTCAAAAGGCTCTCCTCTGCTTTACCCGGGTGGCTCTTTGCTTGCAATGGAGGAGAAACCGAGGGGTGATCTTGGTCTTTGAAAGGTCTTGGACCCTCAGCCCCCTCATTCATCCATGCACCTCCAGTCGTTGTTTCTCGGGCACCCACGGGATGGCAGGCCCTGTTCCAGGAGGAACTGTCAGAAGCCCCATGGGCCGACATGCAGGCCCTTCCCGCGGATTTCCACATCCCCCTGGTGATGTGGAAACCACTTCACCACTAATTCCAAAGGGGAGCTCTCTCTGCAGTCTGCATTTGCCCACCAAGGGCTTCAGGGGCCCCAGGGCTGCTCCCCACATGCCACTCTGCGCCAGCAGGCCCAGAGTTTGCCTCTAGTTGCCCGGGAGAGAAAGCAGCCCCTTGTAGTGCCCACGGTGTGGTAGCTCAGCATCATGGAGTGGGGTCAGAGGTGAGTCCCTGTGACCTGCCTGGAATCACGGTGCACCTCTGCTCCCAGCTCCTTCTTCCTGGGCTGAGCCATCATCAGCTCCCCGCAAGCCAGCACAGGGCAGGGAAGGAGCGGCCAGCGAGTCTCAGCTCTCTCGCACCTCTGCCCAACCCCACACACTGACTGTCCCTCCTGAATCCCTGACAGGCAGCTACGAGGAAGCTGGCACCCACCTGGAAAAAGCCCTGCACCGTGCCCCAACGTCAGAGGCAGCCCGGGCCCGGCTGGGCCTGCTCCAGCTCAAGAAGGGAGACGTGCCAGGGGCTGCAAGGGACCTGCAGAGCCTGGCCGAGGTGGATGCCCCGGATCTCAGCTGCCTGCTGCATCTCCTGGAGGCCTCGGAGCGGCAGAGCCTTGCCCAGGTGCCCAAAGAACCCCACAGATCTCCCACCCCAACCTTCCCCAGCACACAGGCATGAGACCCCCGGGCCCACCACTGGGGCAGCCTTTCTTCACTCTCTGCGGTTGGGTTGATTTCAGTTAGGTTTGGGGTGGGGTGGGAGGCACCCACTTCTGGCCCAGGAAGACGGTCTCTGGCCACCTTAGCCCTACAACCCCACCGACCTCTCAGCCTCTTTGTATGGGAAGTATAAGCCACAGGTGACTTGGGTGCAAGAGAGGGAAGAGGACCTTGCCCTCAGGGCCAGACTGAGCCAGCCAGGGGCACCTTGCCCGGCAGGAAGCCCACCCCAAACCCATGGCAGGCCGGGAGAAGGCACGTGGGGACAAGGCAGGCTGGGAGGCCAAGAGCACAGCAGGCTTTGGGGTCCCAGAGGCAGAACTACACCCCAGTGGGGCCTGGGCAGGATTTCACCTCCTTAATGCTTCCTGACACCAGCGGGTTCTAGCACTCCGGGGCCACTTAGGAAAACAGAAACCACACTAGGAAGAACAGGGAGCTCATGGCGGAGTCGGGGCTACACCAGTGTAAGGGGCAGTTCGGTGCTGCAGAGGGGGCGCCGCTGCCCCCCCCGAGCTGAAGAGCAACGCTGAGATTGGGTTATCGGGACCTAGAGGAGGCGGCCGGGCTGGGCGGGGTGGGGTCTCAGAGCTCCCAGAGGGACTGGGCGTTTCCAAGCCAGGAGGAGGGGTCTGTGCTGGGGTCTTCGAGGTGGGAGCAGGGCCTGGCAGGGGGCGGGAAGCCTGGCTGGGGCCATGGTCCCGGAGCCCAGAGGAGGCGGCTAGATGGGGTCTCCTGAACGGGGGTCACCGAGCCCGGAGGCGGGGCTGGACGCGGGTCTCCGAGGCTGCAGAATACGGCTGGGCTGCGGCGCCAGGAGGCGGCTCCCGGCACAGGCAAGAATCTGCAGGACGCGAAATGGTTGCCTGGAGACGGGGACCCACCCGGAAATGAGCCAACAGTGGTTTCGCCCCGCTTCCTGCGCCCCGCCCCTCGGCAGGCGGCCCCCTCCGGGTGGCACTGCGCCTGCGCGGCCCGAGCCGCGGGCTCAGGGGAGTCTGGGGTCGGATTGAGCGCCCTTCCCCACTGGGGCGGCCTGGGGGCTCCCGGGGTCCGACAGCTGCTCGGGGCCTCGCCCTCCTGCTGCCATGGACCCGGCCCAAATGTGCGGGTCCTGCGCGGGCCGAGGCTTCACTACCACCCCGGGCCGTGAACTACGGGTCGGGGTCAGGTGCCTCCGCCCGGAGAGGGGCGGTCCCGCGGGCCGCACCGCAGGCGAGGGACGGGGTTTCGAGCCCCTGCCCTGCTCAGCGCCGCTCACAGCTGGCAGAAGAGGCCACACTGTGCCCTGCGGGAGCCCAGCAGCAAAGCCGGGGCCGTGGGACCCCCTCGCTCCCTGCACGGACCCCGGGCGTGGGCCTCGGCTTCGCCCCGTGCGGCCAAGCCTGGCGGGGTCCTGGGTGCGCTGCGCCCCCCGGGGGAGGTAGCGTCGAGGACCGCCGGGCTGCTGGAAGAGAGGCAGCGCCAGCGAGAAAGGCGGGGCCTGCACCTTGGCGTGTTCCTCAGGCAGCGGGGAACCCCTGCAGATTCTTGAGCGGAGGAGGAGCCCAGCGAGGCGAGCGGATTTCTGGTCGTGGTTGACTCTGTGAAAAAACTGGGTCAGAGATGAGGCGATTGGGCCTGGGTGGGCTCAGGAAAGTGCCCGGGAGGAGTGGGGGGGGCAGGCAGGCCTGGCCAGCAGCAGCCCACAGCACAGGCTGTGCCCTCCGTCCAGCAGCCCCAGGGAGAGGGGCTAGGGTGCACGTGCTCAGAGGCCTGGAGCAGCCTTCAGAAGGTGGGCAGAGTGGAAGGGCTGGGCAGCAGCCCCCTCAGAGGGCCCGATGGAGAGGTGACTTGGCCCAGAGGGACCGAGGGAGGAGGCCGGTGTGGTCACCCAGTCAAGGGAACCTGGGCCCAGCCGGTGGGGCGGTAGGGCTGCCAGGAGGGGACCATGAGGAGGTAAATCCAGGTCCCTGATCCGAGGCCCAGGGAGAAGAGCAGTGGGCAAGGATGCCAGGCCTTGGGCCAAGGGTCGGAACAGCACTTTGGCAGGTTCCAGGGCAGTGGGAATTGCAGGGAGGGGTCCTCTACCCTGGGTCCCCCTTCCTGCCCTTGCCCATGGTCAGCCAGCCCCTCCAGAAGCAGCGGGCAGCTCCTGTGCAGCCCAGGGCCCCGCCATCCCCAGGGAGCCAGCAGAAGCTGGCTGTGCAGAGGACCTCTGCAGGGCAGGGGCGGCCGGGCTTTTGGGGCTGACCCCACTCTCCCTGCCTCTCTCTGTGTCCTCTGTGCAGGCGGCGGCCCAGGAAGCCGGCACCCTCCTGGACGCAGGGCAACCCAGGCAGGCGCTGGGCTACTGTTCGCTGTCTGTCCTGGCCAGTGGCAGCAGTGCCTGTCACCTGCGTCTGCGGGCCACCTGCCTGGCCGAGTTGCAGGAGTTTGGCCGGGCCCTTAGGGACCTGGACCATGTGCTCCAGGAGGCGCTGGGGGATGGTGACCTCCCAAGGCGGGCAGAGGACTTCTGCCGTCAGGGTCGCCTGCTGCTGAGCCTGGGGGATGAGGCGGCGGCCGCAGGGGCCTTTGCCCAGGCCCTGAAGCTGGCGCCCTCCTTGGCCCAGAACAGCCTGTGCAGGCAGCCAGGCCGGGCCCCCACTGCACGCATGTTCCTTCTCCGCGGGCAGTGCTGCCTGGAGGAGCAGCGTCACGCAGAGGCCTGGACGGCGGTAGAGAGCGGCCTCCTGGTGGACCCCGACCACCGTGGCCTGAAGAGACTGAAGGCCAGAATCCGGAGGGAGGCATCCTCAGGCTGCTGGCTACAGTGACTGGGCCTGACCCTCTCCCAGCCCTAATCACGGGGCCACCCTAGCATCTGCACCTGATGTCCAGGCCCAGGGGTGTACCCAGCTCCCTAAATCGGGGAGGTACCTGCCCTGCCCTCTCCACACCCCCTTCCCAGCCCTCCCCACACACCCCTTCCCAACCCTCCCCACAACCCCCCTTCCCAACCCTCCCCACAGCCCCCCTTCCCACCCTCCCCACACACCCCTTCCCAGCCCTCCCCCTTCCCAGCCCTCCCCACACCACCTTCCCAGCCCTCCCCATACCTCCCTTCCCAGCCCTCCCCATACCTCCCTTCCCAGCCCTCCCCACACCCCCCTTCCCTGCCCTCCCCACACCCCGCTTCCCTGCCCCAGCATGAGTCAGTGTTGGACAGCCAGCCTCACACCTCTGCCTTGGGAAGGACAGGGGACAGCTTCCTACTTGCATGAAGGGACCATCCTAGAAGCTTCACAGTCCCTTCTACCACCAGCAACCTGGTCCCTGCAGTTGGGGCCCTCTTGGCCCACACCTGGGGCTCAGACCTTGAAGAAGCAGCCCCAGGTCTCGTCCCTGGCCTGGGATCCTACAGGTTGGACAGGTTTGAGGCCAGACTCCTGGGGCCCTTGGGGAGATGGTACCAGCCCCAGAAGCCCCTCCCTGGGTGTGAAGCTGCGTTTTGCTTGGACCCTGAGCCTTGGGCCAGCCTCCAGTAGAGCCTGAGCCCTCTCCAGAGACAGAGCTCCCAAATGGGCCCAGCCAGCCCATACCCCAAGCTGACCTTTCAGGGTGCTTTCATGGGGGCCCTTCATCGAGAATCCAGTGTGCTGGGGGTAAACTTCCTCCCTCCTCCACAGGCCCCTCCCTTCCAAGCAGAGGGACCACCGAGGGGCCCTGATGAGCACAGTCCCCAGGCTCCCACCAGACCTGTCTCCCGAAGCTGCTGGGAGGTATCAGTGCTTCCACAGAGCGAGAGAACAGCTTGTTCTTATACGTGCGTTAAATGTCCCCAGGCCTTGCAGCTGCCAGTGAGCTTGGGGACTTCTGGGTGGGGCAGAGGCAGCCAGCCTTTGCCCATCACTGTGAGTGTCACAGACTGAGGCCTCAGCCCGGGGCTTTCTCTCATGGCCATGGGCGAGAGACATGCTGGGTGAGCTGACTCGGTGCAAAACGTGCCCCCAAGCCCTGCCTGACTTCACCCTGGGGAGACAGGGCCACGACCCCCCCTCCTGGCTTCTCTCTCCTCCTGGGCACTTGCATTTGTCCCATTTCTGTCCCCTTCTCTGCCGCTTCCTTCCATGGTCTTGAACCCACAGATAGACCCCCTGCCTCTCCACCCACTTCGCTTCTGGGATCATCTGACGAACCCCAGTCCAGGGGGTCAGGCAGGGAGGGGCCCTATTCCTCGCCCTGCATGGAAGTGGGGCCCCCAGGCGGCAGGTGCAGGGCTGGGTAGCCCCCCTCCTCCTCAGGCCTCACCCACTCCTCAACCCCCATGCACCTTCATCAGCTGGCACCGCCTATGTGTCTCTGGCCACAGGGGTCTGGGTAAAGGGTCAGTGCCTCCCACCTTGAGTACCTCGGGGATGGGCAGCCCACAGTGGGAGAGGGCCCTGACAGGGACCTTCAGCCCCGCTCCTCGCCTTCCCCGCTCGGAATCTTCACGCAGTCCCCCTCTTCCGGGGTTCCCCAGCGCAGGCACCAATTTGATCCATCTTCCGCCTGCCAGCTCCCCATCCACCCTTCCCTCCCTGTCTTCACCCGTGTGCTCAAGGACTCAACAAACACCTGTCAGCAGCCCAAGAGCTAAGTTCAGGGACACGCAAGTTCCTCGGGTCAGGTGGGCCAGTCGGCACTGAGGCAGAGGAGGCAAGGGCTGGTCCAGAGAGCCTGGTCACAGCAGAAGGGCCTGCTCCAATGTCGGGGCCAGGTGGAGGCAGTGGGGAGGCGTCCCCTAGGGGTGCCCTTCCCCACCACGTTCCCTGCTCCTACCGTCCTCCTCGCCTGGGATGTCCTGCCCCATCCATCCGTGCAAGGCTGAGTGTAGATGCCAGCCCCGCTGAGGCTCCTCCTGGACCTCAGGATCGCTGTGTTTCTCCCCCACCAGGGGGCTGCCCCCTCTACCACCAGCTCACCCAGCAGGTATCTCTCATCAGCCTTTGGCCTGGCTCCTTGCTGGGCTCTGAATGTCTGCATTCCCCCAAACTTTATGTGTTGCGATCCTAACCCCCAAGGTTATGGTATCAGAAGTGGGGCTTTTGGGAGATGACCAGGGGTGGAACCTCATGAGTGGGATTAGTGTCCTTATAAAAGAGACCCCAGAGTTCTCCCAAGCCCCTCCACCATGTGGAGACCCAGTGAGAAGCTGTCTGTGAACCAGGAAGGGATCCTCACTAGAGAGCGAGCTGGCACCTTCATCTTGGGCTTCCAGCCTCCAGAACTGTGAGAAATAAGTATCTGTTGATGAACCACCTGTCTCTGCTATTCTGTTGGGGCAGTCCAGATAGACAAAGACATGCCCGTTCCCGCGGCCCACCACCTCTGCCCTGAGCACAGTGGGTGAGTCTCGGTTCCCCTTATCCCATCCCTGCTGGGGTCCAGCCCTGGCTTTTCCTGAGGTAGTTTCTCCAGGACCAAGCAGACACCCACAACCAGCAGCCCTTAAGGCATGGACGCACTCGTCCCTGAGGCCTGGGTGTCCCGCCTGGAGGGGCATGTCCACAGCTGCTCTGGGTCCTGACGCTCCAGGAGCTCACGCTGTCTGCAGATCCACCACTTCCCTGGGCAGTCCCCGGCCTGCGTCTTCCTCAGTGCTCAGCTGGAGGTGGAGAGAAATCAGGCTGGGACGGAGGGTGGCCCTTGCTTTGCACGATTCCTGCCTCGACGTTACACCAGGGACATTCCAGCATCTCCCCTTCATTAACTGTAGACCGCCAGCAAATCCAGATTTCATTCAACCAAGTAAACTGGTAGAGTCATTTCCAGCAGCTAATGTGAGCTAGCGCATTAAATTCAGAATCTCTAGTAAGTGTACCTGCATCAATAAAGCCAAGCCGGTCCAGCTGCATTAATACCCTACCCTCCATTCCCACACGGTTCCCAGGTCTCCGTGTGTGAATTTGTAACATCTTACGAGCATTTTGGTGTGAAAGTGGTTCCTTCCTGAGTCAGGCTTTGTACTTGACCCTTCCCCTCCCTGGGAGTACACTGAGGTTCTAGAGGCAACAGGGTGGCTATGGTGGTTAAATAAAATGAGCATCATTTCTAGGCACCTGGCCAGGTAAGCTTATCACAGCATTTTCAAGCAGAACAAAAAAAATAAATAAAGGCTACTCTCAGATCTTGGAGGACAAGCTGCTTCCCCTGGAAGGAGAGGCTCAGAGAACCAGGGGGTTCACAATTCTCAGCTTCATCTGAGCCCAACCAGACATCCCCATGCCAAGCTTCAGCATCCAGTTCCTTCCCACTCAGTGCCCACGTTTCAGTAGTGAGGCTGTGAGTGTGAGCCACACAGCAGTCACACAACTCAGAGTTAAACTGTGCATCCGAGTTGTAGCAGCAGCAGCCCCGAGGCTCTCAGGAACAAGGGACTCTTCCATGGCCATGGCAGTCCTGATTCTCTGTCTATGACTTAAACTGAGTTTAGAGACCTGAACGTGTGGTTCCTTCCTGTTAGTGCTGCTGGACACTCAGGGGACCCCCCACAGCCCTCGTGGTTGTGGTCATCCTCGTGGCCGTGACAGCCTCACACAGCAGCACGTGGGTTCCCGAGGCCCTCAATTCTGCTGGTGCCTCACAGCCAGCATGGGGGATGGCTTGGTTAACTGTGAAGCTCCCCCAACAACACTGTGGGCCAACAGCCTCCCCTTCCCACTGGCCAGGAGATCGGCCTGCAGCCCAGCCCAAGCAACAACCACACTAACCTAATCCCCGGACCCCACCTTTTGATAGTGACAGGAGGCAGACAAATCCTAGGCAGACAGGGACAGGTTCCCAGTGAAACCCCACCTCCGAGCCAAAGACAGTTTAAAGCCTGAAAGCCAAGCTACAAATTAAATCCTCAGCCTGGATTGAGAACCCATCTTCCCATTTGGCTGCTTTCCTCTGATTGATCCCCACCCTTCACCTATTTTACATGTACCTATCTTTTCCTAATTCATTTTCTACACTGGCATGCCCACCTTTGAGTGGTACCTTTGTTTAAGCCTTTTTTGCATAATCAGAAGCCAATCAGCATGCACTCCCCCATTCTGAGCCCATAAATGCCCCGGACCCAGCCACACTAGGAGAGAAACCACCTGACTTCAGGTCGGGAACCACCCGTGCATCCCCTCTCTGCTGAGAGCTGTTCCGTCTCTCAATAAAATTCTTCTCTGCCCTTCTCACACTTCGATTGGCAGCATCTCCTCATTCTTCTTGGACACGGGACAAGAACTTGGGAACTGCCATACATGGGTACAAGCTATAACACAAGCAGGCTGGAACATGCCCAGCCCAGCCACAGGCTGAGCTGGTGAACAGCCAGGTGTGGCCCAGGCAGGCTGAGTGGGTGGGCCACCTCCTGCGGCAGGTAGCATGGCCAAGAGAGGCCTGGGGAGGGGGGGTGTCAGCAGCCAGAGGTACCTGGCTGGCAAAGTGACCAAAGAGGTACCTGACTGTGTCACTTTGAGGGCCTGTCTCTGGGGACCCCCTCCTAGTATGAATTTATGTATCAGTTGGGGTCTACTTGGGAGATGGAAACCACAACAGTGATTCTAATAGCATGAATTTAATGTGCAGAATTTTTCATTAGTTCTGGGTAAAAACAGCTCTAGGGAATCATGGAGGTTGCAACCACAAAATTCAGAGAGGTGACCTGGCTGGCGACACTGGTGATAATGGTCACCTGCCATGCAGCCTTTCAGCTCAGGTGGGCACACTCCTCTGCCCCTGCCCACTTCCTCTCCCAGGTGAATCTTGACCACACCTGTGCCTGGCACTGTGCACACATTCTCTGTTGTTCAACTCTGCGATCAATCTGGAAAAAAAAGAAAAAAAAAAAACCTTTTTAGGAGAGTAAAAGGAAAATAAATCTTGGGGCCCCAAAATCACTAAGCCAAAGGGAAAAGTCAAGCTGGGAACTGCTTAGGGCAAGCCTGCCTCCAATTCCATTCAAAGTCATTCCCCCGCTCGCTGAGATAGATGCATATCTGATTGCCTTCTTTGGAAAGGCTCATCAGAAACTCAAAAGAATGTAACTCTATCTTACATGTGTTGATTGATGTCTCATATCTCCCTAAAATGTATAAAACCAAGCTGTCCTCTGACCACCTTGGGCACATGTCAGGACCTCCTGAGGCTGTGTCACAGGTGTGCATCCTTAATTTTGGCAAAATAAACTTCCCAAATTGGCTGAGACCTGTCTCAGATTTTTGGAATTCACAAGTGAGGAGGCAGAGGCTCCAGCTACTGGGGATGGGCTGGTGGCTCAATGACACAGATTTTGGGGCAGCGGGACCACTGGGCCCCTTCCCTCCTGCCCTGGATACCCAGGGCCTGACTTCAGGAGGCAGCTGACAAGGAAGGTGGGGACCCCAGAGGCCCGGCTGTCGTCCCAGCAGCCGGAAAGAGGCTCACCCAGAAATGCTGGTGAGCCTCTTCTGACCTGTGCATCTTCTCTAAGTGGGGCACCTCATTCCTGCCCAGAGCGTAGCTGGGCAGACCTGAGGGAGAGGCCCTGCTCCCAATGGGCAGAGGAAATGCCCGTTGGGCACGTCTGGGGTGCACCAAAGCACAGGACCTGCCACCAGTAGCCTGGCCTGAGAGTGTGGGGCAGTCACAGGCAGGCGTCTCCAGGGCCTGAGGGCAGCCCCCAAGGCAGGGTGGACACGGCAACCTGGGTGAGGGCAGCCCCACAGCAGTGTGGACAAAGGCTAGTGCCCTCAAGGCCCACCCTGGCCCCAGGGCTGCTGCAGGAAGCACTTCCCTGACCCCCGTCCCACCTGCCTCCTTGGACCCCTGAGCTGGGGCTGCTCCTTGGATCTCCACATCCCACAGCAACCCAGAGAGTAGGAGGGGCAGGGAACACCCATTTTCCCCCAATCTCCCTAGGAGATGGGATTAATGTCCACCTCCGGGGTGCTGGGCTCTGGCTATGCGGGTGTCTGGGGGGACAATCCATGCAGGTATTTGCGGGGGATGGTCTGTGCGGGTGTCTGGGGGGATGGTCTGTGTGGGTGTCTGGGGGGACAGTTTATTCTGTGTAGGTTGTCTGGGGGGACAGTCTGTGTGGGTGTTTGGGGGCATGGTCTATGTGGGTGTTGGGATGGTCTGTGCGGGTGTCTGGGGGGACAGTCTGTGTGGGTGTTTGGGGGCATGGTCTATGTGGGTGTTGGGGGGATGGTCTGTGTGGGTGTTTGGGGGGCCAGTCTGTGTGAGTGTTTGGGGGCATGGTCTATGTGGGTGTTGGGATGGTCTGTGTGGGTGTTTGGGGGGACAGTCTGTGTGGGTGTTTGGGGGCATGGTCTGTGTGGGTGTTGGGGGGATGGTCTGTGTAGGTATCTGGGGGGACAGTTTATTCTGTGTAGGTTGTCTGGGGGGATGGTCTGTGCGGGTGTCTGGGGGGATGGTCTGTGTGGGTGTCTGGGGGGATGGTCTGTGTGGGTGTCTGGGGGGATGGTCTGTGTGGGTGTCTGGGGGGACGGTCTGTGCGGGTGTCTGGGGAGAGAGTCATCTGTGCAGGTGTTTGGGGCGGCTGGGTTGCACTGCCCTGGGCACCTGCAAATCTGTGAGTGTCCAGTGACCGGGGTAGGTCTCGGGGTCTGCAGCCTCCTTGGCCTTTAGCCTCCTTTCCCAGTTTCTCTTGTCTGGCAGGTGCCAGGCTAGGACCCAAGCCTCCTGCTGTCACCTAGAAGTAGGGAGAACCTGGGAATAAGGGGTCCCAAGTTTGGCAGCCCAGGTCACCAGGTGGCCTTGGGCCAGGCTGGGGGCTGCTGGGCTGGACAGGCCTGGGGTTCGGGAAGGAGGAGCATGCACAGGGCCAGCCTTGGGGAGTCGGTTCAGAGTCCAGGGAGCCCCTGCTGAGAGTAGGCCAGGCCCCTGCATCTGTTTCTCCCTCTGTGGATTTGTACCTTAGAGACAAGAACACTGTGACATCCAGAAAGGGCCTGCTGGCACCAGGGCTGTCGGGCAGGTGGGCTCGGAAAGGCTCTGGCCTCTCCCCATAGCAGGAGCCTCCAGCCAGGCTGGACCCTGGCCCACTCCCAGCTCCCCAGAAAGGGCGGTCCCAGCTTCCTGCTTGGCTGGCCTTGACATTGTTTCCATTTGGGCCAGCAACCCAGGCAGCCTGAGGCCAGACTGCAGCTCCTGGGCTGGTTGCTGGGCGTGATGGCAGGGGGCTGCTAGGACAGCCAGCGGGCCCCAGGGAGAGACTTCCCGGGCTCAGGGTGGTGTCTGGGATCTGATCCCAGCCTGGCTGCAGCTCGAAGCCTTTCTCCTCCCAGGGCCTGGCCAACCTAAAGGGCCATAGACAAAGCTTCCAACAGCACTCAGCGTGGGAGACCTGGCCGGGGCGGCCGTGAGGAGCAGTTTGCCGTGGGACCCCTAGCTCTGTGGCCCAGCCCTGCCCAGATGCCCTGACACATGCCCAAGGCCTGGGCAGGAGGACTCGTTCTGGGGATTCTGAAACAGAAGCTAGAAACCTCATCAGGCCTGGAGAATCAGACAGAGACTGCTCTGCCCAGAACCCCCGTCCGCAAGCAGGGCTGGGTGCAGGGCTCACACTCTGATCACTGCGAACCCTTCAGAAGCCACAGAGCCCTTCTGCCAGCTCCCCGGCCAGGGCTGCCCACCCTCTGTAGCTTGAGGTCTGAACCTCATGAGTTTTCTGTGGGCAGAGGGAAGCAGCCAAACCCAGGCTAGTATCTCTGGGTGGGACCCTCCTGGCAGCCAGCGCCCACCCCCTTCAGGACCACCCCTTCCCCTTGCACCTTGGCAAGATCCCCAGAACCCACCATCCTCCTTGGAGATTGAAGAGAAAGAACACCCAGGGTGGGGCCTTTGTAACCCCCCACCGGGTGGTTAGGGGCAGAGCAGAGGGTGTGGAGTAGGACAAGGGCCTGACCTTCCTCCCAGCAGCCCCTGGGGCCCCTTTGGACTGAAAGGTCAGGAGACAGAAGCAAGGAAGGAGGGCGGCTTGGGAGGCGGGGCCAGAGGCCCTGAGAAGGGCACCCATGAGGCAGGGCAGCCCGGGTGCCAAGAAGCTGCCCTCAGCCCCTCCCCCCATGCCACACCCCCAGTGGAACCTCCTGACTGTGAGCAGGAGTCACCGCCTCCAGGGAGCCCATGCCTGCATCACAAAGGAGGCCCAGAAGCCTTCAGGCAGCCTCAACTCAGCCCCAAGCCACTGCTCTCCCATCCCAGTCCCTGGAAATCCACCCACTTGGCCCAGCTCACCCCAACTCCAACCCACTGGGACCCAGTCTCCAGGGGCCTGACTGTGGGCGGCAGCCACTCCTGAGTGAGCAAAGGTGAGTTGTGCTGAAGGAAGGTACCCGGCCTGCTTTCCTGGGCCTTGAAACCCTCTCCAGGCCCTCTCCTGGGCCTTGAAACCCTCTCCAGGCGCTCAGCCCCTTTCTCAGGAGGCTGGGCAGGGCGTCCTGTGTGCAGTCTCGCCTGTGCCAGGGCAGGCAGCCCCCTCTGGCATACGGTTTATCTTACCCAAAGGACCCGCTGTCCCCCATCTGTAGTAACCTGGAGAGGCCACGAGTGTCCCCAGGGAGCCGCAGTGCCTTCGCCTCAGCAGACACTCCACACCTGCCCCGGGTACTTGGCTCAATTTGAAGGTGTTTATTTTGTGTGTGCCGTGGGGCACATGGAGCCGTCTGTGGATACCTGCAGGACAGAATGAATTCAGGACGCAGGAGCAGATTCATTAATTCTGACCAAAGAAAGAAGTTCGTGGAAGCTGAGCTCAGACTTGTCCAAATGATTGATCCATTCATTCATCATTCATTCATTCATTCACCCAACAGATAATGACCGAGGTCTCTGGGGTGGGGGTGCCAGTCTAGGTGAAGCGGCCCCCACAGAGGGTGCCCCTGCCCGTGGAGCTGACGTTCCCAGGGGGCTGCAGAAGTATCGAGGAGATGTGGAGGTGGAGCTGGGAGTCCCTGGAGAGACACAGAGCAGGGGAGGGGCTGGGGCTCCCCGAGTTGAACCCGAGGCCGAGCCAAGGAAGGCCCCACTGGGAAGGGGAGCTTGGCAGGAATCTGGGAGGCCTGCCTGGGTGGGTGGGGAGGGTGGGGGGAGAAACCTGGTGGGCCTGCCTGAGGGTAAGGGGAGGGCATAGTGAGAGGGGAGGAGGGCCAAAGAGGGTCCTGACATCAGGGCAAGGCCCGGCTCTTCCTCCAAGGGTTTGGCTACCAGGGGCCAGGGAGTGACGGCCTCTGATTCTAGTTACAGGCCCCTGGGCCCCTGTGGTGGGGATCAGTGGGTGAGACAGACCCCTCAGGGGGAGGTGATTGGTGGGGCCTGGAACAGGCAGCGAGTGGCAGGAATGAGAAAGGGTCCGACTGAGATGGGCTTGGAGGCTGAGGACTGGCGCGGGGTGTGGACGCAGGCAAGGGAGGCAGATGGCTCCAAAGTCCAGCTTCAGCCAGTGGCGGGATAGGGGTGTCTAGGGGCACAGCAGAGGGCGTCAAAGGAAGCATCTGAGGGTGTGTGGATGCATGAACGCTGCGGTTCACAGAGCCAGGGACTGAGAGAGGTGGCTGAGGGGACAGGAAGGGAGGAGCGAGGGACCTGGAGGAGAGGAGTGAGGTCCAGGTCCCCGTCCCCGCTCCTCACACAGCCAGAGGTCAGGGATCTCTGGAGGAGTCGCTGAAATGAGCTGGCCCAGCCACCTTTGCAGGGTGTTGCCCAGACAGGCTAAGGGACATCTAGGATCTCCCAGGGAGTCAGGGACAGAACTCAGGCAAAGTCCACAGCAGGGGGGCGGTGGGGTACAGGGGGGCGGAAGCACATTTAGCCCAGGTGCTGGCAGTCTCAGCAGCCAGTCCCTGACCCACCCACAGGCAGGACTGGGCCTGGCTTCCTTTCGCTGCTCCCACATTATCCGCCCTGCCTGGTACAGGGCTAAGCTGGGGCTCAGCACAGCAGGTGTGTGATTGCGTGTGACGACTGAAAGTGCTGGAAGGCCAAAGCACCCAGCCGCTTCCCTAGGACCGGGCAACTTCCCAGCAGGGCTCCGAGTGCCAGCGAGGGATGTGCACATCCATGCATGTGCTCACATATGTGCACACACACACAGACATGCACAGCCACACACCAGAGCACACGCACACACGTGCACACCCACACACACAATCATGCACATGCACATGAGCGCACACGCACAGGTGCACAATCACAGTCACACACGTGCACACACGAGCGTACACGCACACACGTGCATATCCACGCACACAATCATGCACATGCACACACAAGAGCACACGCACACAATGCACAGTCACACACATGCACACACGAGAGTACACGCACACAGGTGCATATCCACGCACATAATCATGCACACGCACACACGAGAGGACACACGTGCACACTCAGGCACACACGTGCATATCCACATAATGCACATGCACACATGAGAGCACACGCACACGTGCACAATCACACAGTCACACACGTGCACACACGAGTGTACACGCACACACGTGCATATCCGCACACATAATCATGCACACGCACACACGCGAGCACAGGCACACACGTGCAGTCACACACATGCACACACGAGGACACACACGTGCACACTCACTCACAGTCACACACATGCACACATGAGCGTAGACAGTGCATATCCACGCAATCATGCACACGCACACACGAGAGCACACGCACACACGTGCACACACACACATGCACACACCAGAGCGCACACACACGTTCACGCTCATGCAGTCATGCACATGCACACACCAGAACATGTGCACACGTGTGTGTACACGATCATACATCAGAACATATGCACACACGCACAGTCATACACATGCACACGCCCAACTACATGCACACACTCATTTGCACACATGTGTACACTCAGGTTCACACTCCCACACATACACGCACACTGGAGCACGCAGACTTGGGAGCCTCCTGAGTCCAGTGTCCTGTGCCCCAACCCTTCCTGCCCAGCTCCCTGTCCTGCCTACAGCAGCAGCCTGTGCCCAGCCGTGTGTGTCTTCAAGTGCTGCCCACTGCCCTGCTGGCTCCAGAAGGTGTCCCCTCCATAGTAACAGGGTCAGGGGACGACCAGAGCTGCACACCAGCCAGGTGGCTGCCAGGGTTGAGACTCAAGCCTGCCTGGCCCTGCAGATCCCTTCCTGGCCCACGTAGTCACCGCCTGTGTGGGTACCTACTGTTCTGGTGTCGCCCATCACTGGCTTCTGGGCTTCAACAGGAAAGGTGGGCTGGGAGCCCAGAAGCCCAAGTGGCCTCCCCGACAGCGTCCCTGACCTAGCGCTCAGGCCCACAGCTCCAAGACAACCAGCATGAGCAGCCCAGGGGGGGGGCTCCACTACAGGAGTCCCTTGACAGCACAGGAGCTGAGCCTCCTGGGTCCAGCTTGCGACCCCAAGCTGGGAGCATCCCAGTCCTAGAACCTCCATGCACTCAGAGATTCCGGCCCAGGGGTAGTGTGGAAAGTCCCGGGACCCAGTCACCCAGGGTTGTGAGCTTGGAGAGGGAGACGGGAAGAGTGTTCCAAAGGCACCCAGCGCCCGCTCCCAGCCAGCATCCGGCCCTTCCAGCCTCGGGCCGGGCTCGGGGAGCTCCACGCCCCTCTCCCCTCTCCCCTGCCCTGGGCCTGCAGGTTCCTCCGCGGTGCTCTCCCGTCCAGAGCCCTGCTGATGGGGAAGTCCGAAGGCCCAGTGGGGATGGTGGAGAGCGCCGGCCGTGCAGGGCAGAAGCGCCCGGGGTTCCTGGAGGGGGGGCTGCTGCTGCTGCTGCTGCTGGTGACCGCTGCCCTGGTGGCCTTGGGTGTCCTCTACGCCGACCGCAGAGGTGAGTGCGGGTGCCCCGCCCCCGCCTGTCCCCGTGCCCGCTCTCCGCGCTCGCCCCGCTGCACCTGCTGCAGGGTCCGCCTGCCCCCAGCCCGAGCCCGCCCGTCAGATGGGGCAGGTGGGTCTGCACTGGGCACCCAGGGGCTCCCGGGGCCGAGCTGCGGACTCAGAGGCGGCGGGAGGGGCACTGACCTGCAGGGAGCCCGCGGTCCCTTCCAGAAAGCTCTGCCCCGGCCCCGACTCCCGCGCGCTGCTTCTGCAGCTCCGCACCCGCCCGCCTCCGCCTCCGCCTCCGCCTCCGCCGGACTCCCGGAGGGTGGGGGGCGCAGACCCGTCGCCCGCCCCTCCGCCCACCCCCTCCCTGCCTGGCCGCGCAGCCCCGGCTGGGGACCACCGGCGTCCGTGTCCCTCCCGCCGCCCGGGCTCACCTGGCTGCCTCACTCCCCCGCTGCCATCCTGCGGAGAGACCTGAGGGTCCTGCCGCCCCCGCCCCGCTCAAGGCCGGGTCAGGTCACGGGACCACGGCGGGAAGGGGCCAGTCTGGGGTCCCACGGAGACAAAGGCGTGGCCAGGGCTGCTCGCTGGAACCTCGGGCTGTCCCGGGAACACTCCCCCCGCCCCCGGCTGTCCCGGGAACACTCCCCCCGCCCCCACGCCGGCCCCTCCCTTGATCTCCCCTCTTGGTTCAGGGGCTCCCAGGCACCCGTAGACCTGGTCACCTTCCAGCCGCCCCTGCCAGCCCCTCCGCAGGCACAGCCCTGGTCCCTCTGAGACCGGGCAGCGCGCACACATCGGGGAGCAATGCTCACCCCCGGGGCAGGTGCGTAGGGCGCTCCCACCGTGGCAGGCACCGGACTCAGAGCTCATGGCGGACCTCGCACCCCAGGTCCAACAATGGGGCGCCTCAGCCTGTGTTACTAGAATGCCCCCTCATGTCTGGAGCCCTGCGCACTGCCTGGGACCATCCCTCCACCCCTGCGGGAGGCTGTGTCTGTGAAGCAGAAGTGGGTGCTGCCTGTGGATGTGCAGGGCGTCCCGGCCCGGGGCTGCATGGCTGGCCACTGTACAGTGTGGCTGCTGCCCAGACCGCAGCCCCTGGCCCTCTAGGGTCTCCCCTGGGACAGAGGGGTCCTGCGACCTCCATGGGCGGTGGGCAGTGGGGGAGGGAAAGGCTCACTCACACTGAGGAACCCAGAGCCCAAGGGAAGCTCTGTTCAGAGCCTGCTGGGCTCAAAACACCTGCTTTCCAGGCTTTCATAAAACAAGGCTGACCCCACACACACCCCCAGCTGTGGGGTAGGAGGAGGCCTCTCTTCTTCTGGGTCGTGCCAAAGGGCCTGAGCCCACCCATCCCAGAGAGACCCTCCCTGCCCAGCCAGGTGCCTCGGGAGTGCCCCACGGTGCCATGGATCTCAGCAAAGCCTGCCTCCACCCACTCCAGTGTGGAAACGGGCCCTGGACCCCCTCCCTCCAGGGCGGCAGAGCCCTCTGTTCCCCGTCAAGACCCCCCACCAGGAATGACCCCACAGCTGACCTTGGCCTCAGTCCAGGATTGTTTGTGGAAGGTTTTCTAAGCAGTTATTATCATTTATTTCTGTGTATTTTCTCATTTCCATTATGACTTTTTCATTGACTTATAAGTCATTTAGAAATTTTTTTAATTTCCAGACATGAGTTTTTAGTTACTTTTTTAAAATTATTGATTTCTAACTTAACTGTGTTGTCAGAAACCATGGTTTATGCCATTATTTATGTGGTTCTTTCTTTGATATTTGCTGGGCTTGCTTTGGGGCTAACACTTGATCGATTTTATAAATAAGCCCTGTGTGCTGCGGAATAGGCTCAATCACCAAATGCTGAGTGATGGTGTCTATCTACATCCACTAGATCAATCAAGTCTTCTACATATTGGCTCTTTTTCCATTCTCTTGATCTCAAAAGAATGAAAGATTTGGAAAGATCAAGAAAATGATTTCTTAAAATCATGTACTGAAGTGTGTATGCTAAAATCTTGCACTAAAGAATCACCCGTTCTTGTAGTTACATCAAATCTTACCTAATTTACCTATTTAAGGCGATATTACTATGTGAACGCAAATTTAGGTATGAATTATAAAATTAGTTTCATAAATTTAATATTGTAGTAAGATACACATATGAAGTTAATATATCTTTCACTTCGTGAAACTGTGTAGTCACCGTTTCTGACTTAACAAGGCTTTTTGCCTTAAATCCTGTTGAGCCTGACATGAGTACTAGCTACTCAGCATTTGCTGTGTCTATTTTTTCCATTCTTTTTCTTTGAAACTTTTCATCTCCTTAGCTTTAGATGTGTCTCTTTCAATCGTGTATGGCTGGATTGGGGGTTTGTCTATCTTTTAATTGGAGGATTTTGTTGGTTTATAATTACCAGGACAACTAAAATGTATGTGTTTCCTATTGTGTTGTTTTGTGTGTCTCATTCGTTTTTTTCTCTTTTCTTGCCTTGTTTTGGATCAACCTATCATTATTTCCTCTATTTTCCCTCAACTAACTTGGAAGTTTTGTATTTCTATCTTTTCGACAGTTATCTTAGATTTTTTTGTTTTAATTATTTTTAAAGTTATAAACTTTCTTTTATAAAATCAAATGTTTTTACAAAAATGACAGTGAGAAATACAGTCTCATGTCCATCCTAGAATTCTACTCCTCCAAAACAACTGTATTCATTTTCTAGTACAGGGGTTGGCAAACTATGGCCCATAGGCCAAATCTGGCCCCTTGCTTCTTTTTGTATATAAAGTTTTATTGGAACACAGCCAGACCCATTCATTTATGTATCATCTATGGCTACTTTCCTGCTAGGACAGCAAAGTTGAACAGGTGAGATGAAGCATGTATGTGGCCCACAAAGCCTCAAATATTTACATCTGGCTTTTTACAGAAGTCCAACCCCAAGACTGGAGTGCCCCTCGTGTATAAACCTGGTCTGTGAACCCTTCTCTCTTTATCGTACAGTTTAGATCATGAGGAGGCATTATCAGATTGTGGCTAGCACCCAGGCTCACAGTTTTTGACCACTCAGAAAGCTCAATCCACATACCTCTTCCCCAAATTTCTTTGTCACCAATTTTCCAATCATACTTCTTCCAAGTCCCTGACCATCCAGCCAAACCATTGGCTACAGCCCATGAATCGGTACATAATCGCATCGCACATCTGGCCTCTTCTCCTTCCAAGCAAAGTGCACAACAAGGTACGCTGCTTGAAGTTCTGCCCACTGGGAAGATTTCCCTTCACCGCTGTCCTTCATGGATGTCCTGGAAAGGGGCTATAGTGCTGCAGCTGTCCACTTGTGGGTGGTGCCTTCATATCATGCAGAACCATCTGTGAATCAGGCCCTAGTCTTCTCTTCCTCTGTCCACTGGTCATAGGGAACTCCCCATGAGGCTATCGGTGCAGGCTGGAGGAGAGAAGGCAGGGTGGGAGGAGTGAAGACCATGGGCATTTGAGCCACTTCCTCATGTAACTTACTTGTGCCTTCAGGACTTGCTTGAGCCCGATCTTGTATATACCACTTCCATTTGATGATGGAATGCCGCTGTGCATGACCCACTTTATGGCTAGATGGGTCAGAAAGCACCCAGTTCATGATAGGAAGTTCAGGTCGCATGGTGACTTGGTGATCCGTAGTCAAACGTTCACTTTCCACCAAAGCCCAGTAACGGGCCAAGAGCTGTCTCAAAAGGAGAGCAGTTAACTGCAGAAGATAGCAGGGCCCCGCTCCAAAATCCTAGAGGGCTCCGCTGTGATTCACCCACAGGGGCCTGCCAAAGGCTCCAAACAGCATCCCTATCTATCTGCCACTGACACTCCAGGCACCGTTGGATCTGCTGGGTCATACAGCCCAAGTGGCAGAGCAGCTTGCCCAGCAGCCTGGACCTGTTGCAGAGCCTGCTCCTGTTCTGGACCCCGCTCGACACTGGCAGCCTTTTGGATCACTTGATAAATGGGCTGAAGTAACTCGCCCAGATGAGGAGTGTGCTGCCTCCAGAATCCAAACAGGCCCACTAGGCCCGAGACACCTTGTCTCAGATGAAACTTTGGACTCGGAATTTTGAGTTAATGCCGGAATGAGTTCAGACTTTGGGGGACTGTTGGGAAGGCATGATTGGTTTCAAAATGTGAGAAGGACATGAGATTTGGGAGGGGCTGGGGGCAGAATGATATAGTTTGGCTCTGCGTCCCCACCCAATCTCATGTCAAATTGTAATCCTCATGTGTCAGGGGAGAGGCCTGGTGGGATGTGATTGGATCATGGGAGTGGATTTCCCTCTTGCAGTTCTCGTGATAGTGAGTGAGTTCTCACGAGATCTGGTTGTTTGAAAGTGTGCAGCTCCTCCCCCTTCGCGCTCTCTCTCTCCCCTGCTCCACCATGGTGAGACGTGCTTGCGTCCCCTTTGCCTTCTGCCATGATTGTAAGCTTCCTCAGGCGTCCTAGCCACGCTTCCTGTACAGCCTGAGGAACTGGGAGTCAATGAAACCTCTTCTCTTCATAAATTACCCAGTTTCAGGTAGTTCTTTCTAGCAGTGTGATAATGGACGATACAAGTAGAGACTGAGATCAATAGCATTTGCACTGGGCCTGGAACACACTGTTAAGAACGTAAGAGCTATTGCTGTCATTAGTAATATTCTGTATTATTGGCAACATCATCACAATACACTGCTGTGGGAGGGTCTGAGATACTTCTTTGCAGACTCCAATATTTGTCAAAACATAAAATCAGGAGCCTCATGAATAGTGTTTAAATTTTTACATAATAATACATTGCACCATTTGGTATATGAGTCTTTTTGAAATGGTATATGCAGGACGGTTTCCTAATATACAGAATCAGGTACACCTCCTCTTCCATCAGTGCGTGAGTGTGAGGGATTGAATTCCTCTGGTTAGGAGTTAGCTGGCTGGGGGTTCTACTGCTGTTGTTACCCACAGTGCACCTCAGACTCACGTTTCTCCAGCAATGAGCTCCTGTTCCCTGCACTTAGAGAAGTCAGCCCGGGGACCAGACGGTTCTCTCCTCTTGCCTGCTCCAGCCTTGGCCTTCAGCAGTCTGGATGCCTATGACACAGAGGGCATCCTCCCCAAGCCCTGGTCCTTCTGTGAGTGGTGAGTTGCTGTTGCTGGTCAGTACTAGGCTCGGGCTGGAGGTGGGGGCTCTCTGGTGTCGTGGCCCAGTCTCAGGCTTAGGCAGGCCTAGTATACCTGGGGCTGGGGATGCACCTCTTGGCATCCCTACCACATCCCCATGTCAACCAAGCTTCGCCCTGTGCCTGAGTTGCCCACCCCTCCTCTAGAGGCAGGAGACTGCTTGATGTCAGTCTAGGATTCTGGGCCCACAAGGATCTCCTGCCCTTCCATGGGCCGGGGATTTTTACTCCTGACCCTCCTACAGAACAGGGGATTTGCCTGGTTCCTGGGCGTGAGAGGGGTTACACCTGCCTCAGTGGTTTAAAGCTTTTGCTGCCTGCCAGACGAGTATAGTTTCATGTCTCAGCCAAAGCAGGTCCCTGCCTCCATCCCTGGGCCACCAAGGGAGGCTCTCTCCAGCCTTCTGAGACCTGCCCCAGCCTTTCTCATCGGCATCTGGGAAAGGCCGTGGACAGAACATGGAGTGATTGAAAACCTCTTCGTGATGGGGGCTCCCGGCTACTCCAAACTCATGTAGCAGCCCACACTGGGCCTGTAAGAATGTGTGAAAAATTTTAGCTGATTTCTTCTGACCCACTTGGAACATCTCTTACTCTCAGGTCTTGACCAAAGTGAAATAATTTACATATCCGGCCTTTCCTTGGAGGGCCTTATCACTCGGAAATTGTTTACCTGATTGTCTTTGACCTCAGGTCTTGGATGGGCTCCAAAAAGTTGTGCTTTTTGTAGTTTCTTTGGCTTTTTCTTGTACGGAAGGAAATGATATTCAATTGCAGCTTTTGATGTCCTCGGCAAAAAGCAGAACTTCTCTACCTTAAATTTTTATGCTTATTTAACTTAAATATTAAAGTAATCAATATCTCTATTATTTCTTCCAAACAATACAAGCATTTAGAACAGTTTAACTCTTCGCACCACTACCCACCCTGTTCACATGTTATTGCCGTTAAGAACTTGGTTTTTTTTTTTTTTTAGACGGAGTCACTCTGTTGCCAGGCTGGAGTGCAGTGGCGTGATCTCGGCTCACTGCAACCTCTGCCTCCTGGGTTCAAGCGAGTCTCCTGCCTCAGCCTCCTGAGTAGCTGGGACTACAGGTGCGTGCCATCACACCCAGCTAATTTTTTGTATTTTTGGTAGAGATGGGGTTTCACCATGTTGGCCAGGATGGTGTTGATCTCTTGACCTTGGCCTCCCAAAGTGCTGGGATTACAGGGGTAAGCCACCGCTCCTGGACTTTTTTTTTTTTTTTTTTTTGAGACAGAGTTTCACTCTTTCACCCAGGCTGGAGCGAAGTGACACTATTTTGGCTCACTGCAACCTTCGCCCCCAGATTCAAGCGATTCTCCTGCCTCAGCCTCCCAAGTAGCTGGGATTACTGGTGCCCACCACCACGCCCAAATAATTTTTGTATTTTTAGTAGAGATGGGATTTTGACATGTTGGCCAGGCTGCTCTCAAACTCCTGACCTCAGGTGATCCACCAGCCTTGGCTTCCCAAAGTGCTGAGATTGCAGATGTGAGCCACCGCGCCCGGCCAAGAATTTGGTTTCTATCTTACTTTTTACCTACCACAGATCAGCAACATTACTATTTAATATGGTCAATGTTAACTCAGATCTTCCCCTATCCTCATGAATTCCATTATGCATCTTTCTTCTTACATCTTGGGCAGTTCTTATTAAATAATTTTTCTTTTTTCTGAAATACATACTTCAGAGTCTCCTACTCAAAGTGTGGCCCACAGACCAGTGGTGTCAGCCATTGCCTGGGAGCCTGTTAGAAATTCAGAAACTCAAGGTCCAACCAAGGCCGCAGGACCGGTGTTGGTATTTCAGCAAGACCCCCAGGTGATTCATCTGCACATTCATGTTAGGGAAGCACTGGTTTAAAACAGTGTTGACCAAATTTGCTTGATAATTGGAATCACCTGGGGAAATTGTTACAAATCCAGACATTGGGCCCTCCCTCAGTTTGCCTGGGCTACAGTCACAAAATGCTCAGGTGGCTTAAAAACAGAAACATATTTTCTCCTCCTAGTTCTGGAGGCTGTGAAGTCCAAGATCTAGATGCCAACTGAATCAGACCCTCTTGTCAATGACAAGAGTCAAACTCTGTAAAACATTTGCAGAGATTTATTCGGAGCCAAATACGAGTGACCAATGGCCCGTGACACAGCCCCAGGAGGTCCTGAGGACGTGTGCCCTAGGTGGTTAGGCTGCAGTCTGGATTTACACATTTTCGGGAAACATAAGACATCAATCAATACATGTAAGATATGGCTGGGCACAGTGGCTCACACCTGTAATCCCAGCACTTCGGGAGGCCAAGGTAGGTGGATCACCTGAAGTCGGGAGCTCGAGATCAGCCTGACCAATGTGAGAAACCCCATCTCTACTTAAAATACAAAATTAGCCAGGCGTGATGGCGGATGCCTGTAATCCCAGCTACTCGGGAGGCTGAGGCAGGAGAATCACTTGAACCTGAGAGGCGGAGGCTGCAGTGAGCCGAGATCGTGCCATTGCATGATGATGGATGAAACTGCATCTCCAAAACAAAAAAAAAAAAATGTGCATTGGTTCAGTCCAGAAAGGTGGGACAACTCCAAGTAGGGGCTTCCACATCACAGGTAGATTCAAAGGTTTTCTGATAGCAGTTGGCTGGAAGAGTTTATCTAAAGACTTGGAACCAATAGAAGGGAATGTCTGGGTTAAAATAAGGGGTTGTGGAGACCAAGGTCCTTATTATATAGGTGAAGCCTCCAGGTAGCAGGCTTTGGAGAAAATAGATTGTAGTTCTTATTAGACTTAGTCTGTTCTCTCAGTCTTAAGGTCTCTGGTTTTGTTTGTTTGTTTTTGAGACAGGGTCTCACTCTGTCACTCAGGCTGGAGGGCAGTGGTGCAATCACAGCTCACTGCAGCCTCAACCTCCTGGGCTCAAGTGATCCTCCCACCTCAGCCTCCCAAGTAGCTGGGACCTCAGGCACATGCCACCACACCTGGCTAGGTTTTTCTATTTTTTGTAAAGATGGGTCTCTCTGTGTTGCCCAGGCTGGTCTCAAACTCCTGGGCTCAAGCAGTCCTCCTGCCTCAGCCTCCCAAAGTGCTGGGATTATAGGTGTGAGCCATCACGCCTGGCATGTCTCTGTTTTAAGGTGAATGCTGGTCAGCTGTGCCTGAATTCCAATGGGAAGAGGGTATAATGGGGCATGTCCAACCCCCACTTCCCATCATGGCCTGAACTCGTTTTTCAGGTTAACTTTGGAATGCCCTTGCCTGAAGGGAGGGTCCATCAGTCACCTGGAAAATTTAGTTTATTTTTGGTTCATGCTTTCTTCCCACAAGGCCCATGCTTTTTTTTTTTCATTATTTTATTGTTTAAAAATGTTTTCCCACTTCAATAAGCTGGTCTACCAAATGGCCACCTTCTTGCTGTGTCCTCATGTGGTGGAAAGAGACAGTGAGCTCTGTCATTTCTTCCCCCTCTTATGAGGGCACCAGACTTACCAGATTATGCCCCCCACCAGCCCTGCCCATTGAGCTGATTTTAAACCTCCTCACAGGCCCTATCCCCAAATAGTCACATTAGGGGTTAGGGCTTCAAACCACAAAGTCAGTCCATAACAAGCCCCAAACAGTGAAACCCGGGAATCTTGTAGGGTAAGACCTCTGAATCCCACACGCATTTGAGACCTTGCTTGTGATCAGACAAGTTTGGGGAGCCCTGCTTGAAAATAATCTATCAGCATTAAACTCTTATCTCTTGTCTATGTGAAAATTACTTTATTTAGCGCTCGTCCTTCAGTGATCATTTAATTGGTTAAATGAGTCTGAGCTGTTATTTTCTCTCAATATCTTGAAGATTTAGCTCTCATGCCTTCTGACTCCCCTTGCTGCTGTTCAGACGTGGCTTCAGAGAAAAGTACAGTCAGCCTAACTGCCGCTCCTCTGTTGGGTGAACAATCTTTTCTCCTTGAGCTATGTTCTCTTTGTCTTGGGTATTCTGAATTGTTATCATGAGTTGTTTAGCTGTGAAATTATTTGTATTTATTCTGCTGTGGATTTGTTGTGATTCCTGAAGCTGAGCACTGATAACATATATTAATGTTGGAAAATTGTACCCGTTATCTTCCTGGATGGTGTATCTCCCACAATATCCCTTTTCTCTCCTTTTCCATTTTCCACTGCATATCTGCTCCATTTTTCCCACTGTCCTCCATGTCTTTCAGCTTTTCTTTCATATTTTCCATCTTGTTGACTTTCTCCTGCATTCTGGGTCAGTTCTTTAGAACTACACTTCATTTCACTAAATCTTCTGTTCTGTTATGTCTGTTGCTTAACTCAGCCTTTTGGGTTTGTAGTTGTTTTTGTTTTATAAATCTCAACAACTACGTGGTTTTATTTCTAGAATTTACAATGGATCCTTTTTCAAATTGATTTTTTATTGTTCCTTGTTCTTGCTTTTGATTTTTTTTTTTTTTTTTTTTGATAGAGTCTCACTCTGTCGCCCAGGCTGGAATGCAGTGGCACGATCTTGGATCCATGCAACCTCTGCCTCCTGGATTCAAGTGATTCTCATGCCTCAGCCTCCTGAGAAGCTGGGATTACAGGTGTCCGCCACCATGCCTGGCTAATTTTTGTAATTTTAGTAGAGACGGGGTTTCACCATGTTGGCCAGGCTGGTCTCAAACTCCTGACCTCAAGTGATCTGCCCACCTTGGCCTCCCAAAGTGCTAGGATTACAGGCATGAGCCACCACACCTGGCCTAGTTTTGATTCTTTTTGAAGCATTTCAAACGTACTTACGTTATTTTATTTTAGCAGTTGGGGTCTTAAAACCCAGCCCAACACTCACTGGCATAAAACAATGATTTATTGTGAGGCACCTCCACTGTTTGCCTGGGGTCATCTGACCTAGGTTGGGCTCAGCTGGGGTGCTCTGTCCATGTAACTTTCATCCTCCTACCAGAGCCCAGCAAGCATTCCTGCGCAGATCCCTCTCCTGGCAGTGAAAGAAATCCAAAAGGACAGGTGAAAACATGAAAGCCCTCTTAGGGCCCAGGCTCAGAACTGGAACCCTGTCATTCCCACCTCATTCTGTTGGCCAAAGCAAGTCACTTGGGCCACGCACAGTCAAGAGATAGAAGAAAAAAAATAATTTGTCCCTTTTGTGGGAGCAACTACGGAGTCACATGGCCAAGGCACGGATGCAGAGAAGACTCAGATCCAGGGCCAGTGGTGCCAGCTTCCATACGTTCTGGATCAGATCATTCCTAATTGGCAATCTTTGGGGTTCTGGTTTTGCTGTTTGTTTTCTCTCACTAATGTAAGATTTTCTTTTTTAAAAATGTAAATACATATTCAAATTGGCTTTTATCTATGGGGATCCTGTGTTATTGGGCTGAGAAATGTTCCCTCTGGAGAATATGTATTTGTTTTCATCAGGCACCTTAGGACACTACCAGCCTGGAGTTTCTTTAAATTGGCTTCTCCGCGAGAGGTTTCCTTGGCCACACATTTCTGTAAACTCGGCAATGGCATGACAAGCCGTCTGTGATTACACATCCTCCAGGGAGGGTGTTTCTTTCTCCACTCTGTGAAGTTCTTTGTGCCTTTGTTTCTTCTGAAAGAGGGATGGAGAAGAGAGGGAAAAGAAAAAAATGTAAATTATTTACATCAAGATTGTTTTAGTCCATTTGTGTTGCTCTAAAGGAATACCTGAGACTGAGTAATTTATAGAGAAAAGAGGTGGATTTGGCTCATGGTTCTGCAGGCTGCACAGGAAGCATGGCTCCCCATCTACTTCAGACTGTTCCATTCATGGTGGAAGGTAAAGGGGAGCCTGTGCATGCAGGTCATATGGCAAGAGAAAGAGAGAGAGAGAGAGAGAAGAGGTGCCAGGCTCTTTTCAAGCCACTCAGGGGCACCAAGCCATTCATGAAGAATCAGGTCCACAATCCAAACACCTCCCACCAGGCCCCACCCCCAACATTGGGTATCACATTTCAACATGAGACTTGGTAGGGAAAAATAAACCACATCCAAACCGTGGCAGAGGTCTTATTCAAATCAAGGCATTTGGAAAACTTTAGGAAAACAAAACCTTCAGAGGAAATGTCAAAAATAGTTTTTAAAATGTAGAAAGCCTATGTCAAAATGATTGGCATATTACAGAAGTTATTCAAGCAAATATAAAAGAACAAAGAGAAGATCCTGTGTCAACTGAGTATTCAGGAAAGCTGCCCTTTTTGGAATTATGAAAAAGAAAAATCTCCTTTTGGAGAGATCATTGACTGTGTTTCCTGTGATCATATTTTAGCATTAGGGTAAGATTTTGTTTCTTTTCAGCCATTGTGTCAAAAGGGTCTCACTGTTTTTGCTTTTTCTCTTAGAAGAACAGAGCTGTCGAATGCCAGTATGGGGTCTGGAGGTTCATGCCCTGCCACTCCCCCAAGGAAAGTGACCTTGGGTGTGTGATCTTGCCTCCCCAACAGTTTTCCCAAGAAAAGTAGAGATGAGGAACCTCACAAGCTTCTTTTTTTTGAGATAGAATCTCGCTCTGTCGCCCAGGCTGGAGTGCAGTGGCGCAATCTCAGCTCACTGCAACCTCCACCCACGGTGTTCAAGTAATTCTCCCACCTCAGCCTCTTGAGTAGATGGGATTACAGGCATGCACCACCACGCCTGACTAATTTTTTTTTTTTTTTTTTTTTTTTGAGACGGAGTCTCTCTCTGTCGCCCAGGCTGGAGTGCAGTGGCGCGATCTCGGCTCACTGCAAGCTCTGCCTCCCGGGTTCACGCCATTCTCCTGCCTCAGCCTCCCGAGTAGCTGGGACTACAGGCGCCCGCCACCACGCCCGGCTAATTTTTTGTATTTTTAGTAGAGACGGGGTTTCACCGTGTTAGCCGGGATGGTCTCGATCTCCTGACCTCGTGATCCGCCCGCCTCGGCCTCCCAAAGTGCTGGGATTACAGGCGTGAGCCACCGCGCCTGGCCACGCCTGACTAATTTTTGAATTTTTAGTAGAGACGGGGTTTTGCCATGTTGGCCAGGCTGGTCTTGAAGTGATCCTGGCCTCAAGTGATCCAGCTTCCTTGTGATGATTAAGTGAGGCACTGTAAGTTAAGGGACGACACGGAAAAAACATGCCTAGCTCATCTAATTCAGTTTTGAAAGTGCTGCTCAGGAGCTCACTACATCCTCAGGCAGCCCTTGATCTGCAGCATCTGGTGAATTTCCTTGGGGGTTTCCCCCATCAACAAGGCTACGGGAAATCCTATGTTGGGAATGCCGTGGGAGCTGTAGAGGCAGGATGCAGGCATGAAGGAGGCATGAACTCGCCTCTTCAGTTGTCCTAATTTGTTCTGGATACATCTGACTAGATGGGAAACAAATGAATCAGAGGCACTGTTTGGGTCCAGGTCTCCCGTCACACTTTGCTCCCTCTTTACCCTTTCTCAGGCTCATCATTCCTGCCCACCAATCTGGTCTTCCCACTGGTTTCGTGTCCCTTCTGAGTGAAGACCTTTTAGCATTTGTTGTGGGGCACATCTGGTAGAGACACATGTTCTCAGCTTTGGTCTAAAATGTCTTTATTTCACTTTCACTTTTGAAATATGTTTTTGCTGGGTATAGAATTATAAGCTGATAATGTATTATTGTTTTTTTCAAGGACTTAAAGAGCTCATTCCATCATCTTCTGGCCTTCATTCTTTCTGGTGAGAGGTCACCGTCATTCTTACTGTTGTTCCCCTCAATATAATGTGTCTTTTTTTGTCTGCTTTTTTTTTTTTTTTTTTGAGCTAGGGTCTCACTCTGTTGCCCAGGCTGGAGGGCAGTGGCATAATCACAGCTTACTGGAACATCCCCCCTCCCAGACTCAAGCGATCTTCCCACCTCAGCCTCCCAAATAGCTGGAACCACAGGTGTCCACCATCATGCCCAGCTAATTTTTGTTTTATAATTTTTTTATAGAGGTAAGGTTTCTCCATGTTGCCCGGGCTGGTCTCAACTCCTGGACTCAAGCAATCCACCTACCTCAGCCTCGCAAAGTGCTGGGATTCAGGCATGAGCCACCATGCCCAGCCCCACTGACTGCTTTTAAGTATGTCTTGAAATTCTTAATCCTGAATTTCTCTTTATCTTTAGTCCTCCACAGTTTGACTATGATGCTGCTGGATGGTTTTCTTTGTATTTGCCCAGCTTGGGATACACTGCCCTTCTTGGGGTAGATTTATATCTTTTACCAACTTTAAATATTTATTGGTCAGTATCTCTTCAAATATTGCTCTCTGAGTCTCTAGTTACATATATGTTAAGCCATTTAACATTGTCCTACAGGTCTGAGATCTTCTGTTCAGGTTTCCTTCCGTAATATTTCAAAAATTTAGAACAATTTTAGATTTACAGAAGCATTGCAAAATAGTACAGAAATCCCTATATACCCCACCCCCAGTCTCCCCTATTATGAACATCTTGCATTAGCCTGATACATTTGCCACAAGTAGTGAACCAATAGTGATAATATTACTATTAACTAAAGTTCACACTCAATTCACATTTCCCCGTTTTCCCTCATGTCCTCTTACCGTCCCAGGGTCATATCCAGAATGCCACATCTTCTCAGGCTCCTCTTGGCTGTGACAGTTTCTCAGACTTTCATTGTTTTCTTGTTTGTGTTTTTGTTTTTTGTGATCTTGACAGTCTTGAGGATTACTGATCAGGTGGAATGACCCTCAGTTGGAATTAGCCTAATGGTTTTCTCATGATTAGACTGGGGTAACATGTGTTGAAGAGGAAGGCCGCAGGTCACAGGTGCACACTTTCAATGACTGGACTTATCACTGTTGATGTTAACCTTAATTGCCTGGCTGGAGGTAGTGTCTGGTTTCTGCGCTGCAAGTTACTTTTTTCCCTTCTTTTTCATAGTGCAGTCTTTGAAAGGAAGCCACTGTGTGCAGCTCACACCTGAGGAGTGGGGAGTTATGCTCCACATCCTTAGAGGCAGAGTATCTACCTAAAGTATTTGGCATTCTTCTGTATGAGAGATTCATCTATTCTCCCTCATTTATTTATTTACTCAATGATTTGTAGATATTTATTTTACACTTTGCATTATAATCCACTGCTATATTGCATTGCTCAAATTGTTCTAACTCTGGCCATTGGGAGTTGTCAGTTGCTTCTATGACCCTCTGATGTATCCCCATTATCGTGAATTTGGGGTGAGTTTTTTGGGGGGGAGCACTTTCTTACTTTTTGACATTTCAACATGCTCCAAGCTCATCTCGTATGTTTCCTACCCCAGTTGTATAATCAACCATTTTTCTAAGGAGCCCTGGCTTCTTTTATCGGATAATGGTATCAAAAACCAACAGCTTCTAGGATAATGTGGTGTCTGAAAAACAAACAGAAACCAAGAGCTGGGTCCTATTCTTTGCTTATTGCTACTCCTTGGTTGGTGTTGCTTCTAGTCTAGCTCACCTGGCAGAGCAAAGGAATATGTATGTATACATGAACCCATCTAGATACTCATATCTATAAATATTTATATATGCAACCATCTGCATCTATATTAAGCTAAAAATGAGTTCACACTGTTGTCTCCAACTCTACTCCACCACCACATGGACCATTCTGACTTCCTCCTTTCCTTGTCTGTAACTTCTCACTGCAGCAGCAATAAGCCCAGCCACCTGCTATCCACTTACTTTTTCCATTCCAATGTACATGTGCAGTGGTTTCAGAGTTCAGCTGGGATCCCATGTAGGACAACTTTATCAACTAGAGTACAGCGCTTATGTACAGCTTCCTTTGCTTTAGTCTCATAGACTCTACTCATTTCTAAAGTTACTTAGGTCAACACTTTATTCCCCTATCCATTTCAGTGAGATTGTTTTATACATTTGTCTTGAGTCTCATTCTGCGTTTCATCCTGGGATTCCCCTGACAGTCTAAATAATTTTTTAACTTTGCATACAATAAGGTTTACTCTTTGTGCTATAACATTCTGTGGGTTTTGACAAATGGGTTCACCATTCACCACCACAGTATCGTACAGAATAGTTGCCCTGCCAAATGCATTCACTATTTGTCATTTTTTGCCCCCAAAACTCCCTTGTTCTTCACCTATTCAACCTCTTCAACATCCATTTTCCCAAACTCCTGGCAACTACTATTTAACATCTCTCCTCTCTAAAGTTTTGTTTTTCCAGAATGTCACATAATTGGAATCAGACAGTATGTAGCTCATAGTTTTTTGTTTTTTGTTTTTTGTTTTTGTTTTTATTTTGAGACAGGGTCTCACTCTGTCTCCCAGGCTGGAGTGCAGTGGTGCAATCTCAGCTCACTGCAGCCTCAACCTCCCGGGCTCAAGCAGTCCTCCCACCTCAGCCTCCCAAGTAGCTGGAACTACAGACGTATGCCGCCATGCTTGAACGTCCTTGCCAGGCGCATGTGCCCCTCCTCATGCTTTGACTCCAAAGGCAATGCAGCCACAGGCCTCTCCTCTCCTGGGAAGGCTTCATTCCTCCCTGGAATTTGACTCATGCTGGTTTCTCTATGTCCTCAGCTCTCGTGGGTTTCTAAAAGTGCCCATGCTGTAGGTTCTCCAGCTTGCTCTCCTGGCTAGGGTGGGGGCCACAGTCAATTTCAACTTTCTGCATCCTAATCAGAAGCAGAAAGCCCTTGCCCTCCTTGTCACCACTTTGGTCAGAGGTGATGTCCCTCGAATCCACTCTTTTGCTGAGGTGAGGCCCTCTGGAGTCCACAGTCCAGTCTCTGGTCCATAGGCTCTGGGTTACTGCAATTGGCAAACACCACAGGGCAGCCATGCCTTCCGCTCGCACTCACCACCTCCTTTCCGTTGCTGGCCTGGGGGATTCCTTTGCTCTGAAGCTCAGCCTTGCCCTTCAGCACTTTACCTCGGTGTATGCAGCATGCGGCACTTTCTCCCTGTTTCCACCGGGCGGGGGGCTCCTTGAGGGCTGGGCCCTGTCAGGCTCACATCTGAACTGCAGCATCTGGCCTGGCTCACAGTCATCATCCAGTGTTTCACTAATGGCTTTTTGAATGGCCAGGCCCCCAAGGAGCTGATATTTTTGTGGCTTCTAGCACCCTCTCTGCAGTCTCTGCCCAGGGCTAGGCCAGGTTCCAGGCCTGCCAACAGCCCTGACCTGAACGAGCCCTGTTCCCTCCTTCCATTCAGTCCTCTGTGTACCTCACTGCTGGGGAAATTCGGCCACAAGCCAGGTCTGAAGGTAGCCAGGCCTGGCTTGTCACCTCTCTGGACCTGGGGTCCCCTCTTCTCTCCATCCCACCCTCCTCTCCCATACATCTCTCCAGGCAGTTGACAGCCATCCCAGGAGCCCCCGATGCTGACCAGGCAGGCCCCTCCCAGCAGGCAGTAGAGAGATGGAGGGAGGGTGGCTTGGCACCTTCAGCAGCAGTGAGGGTGGAGGGGCTAGGGACAAGGGTCATTAGTGGGAAGCCACCCTCTCTGAAAAGGCCCTGTCCCTCTAAATGAGCCTGCCCTGTGGGACTCCAGGAGCGTGCCACCTTGTGTGGGCCTTGTCAGGGTCAGGAAGATCCTGAGGTAGAGGAGGCTGTCGGGAAGAGGAAGGTCTCACCTCAGGACCCCTCTAGGCCCTGGCACATCGGGGACCTTGGGGTGGGTGGAGGGAGAATTAAAGGGTGGGGCTGGCAAGGCAGGGCAAACCGCCCCCCATTCAAGCCCAGCAGGACACAGATTGAAGCTGGCCCCTGCAGTGAACTCTGTGGATCTCCTGTCTCGCTGCCCTGGGGACCAGCCCTCACTACAGGGGTAGGGCTGCAGCACCCAGCACTGTGGGAAGATGGCGTGCTGACCCAGGGAGGCCCCCAGCACCCCCAGGGAGCTGCAGGCAGGAGGCCGCAGCTGAGCGCTGTGTTTCTCCCCAGGGAAGCAGCTGCCACGCCTTGCTAGCCGGCTGTGCTTCTTACAGGAGGAGAGGACCTTTGTAAAACGAAAACCCCGAGGTAGCCTTTGCCTTCCCTTCCAAAACAGCCCCAGGCAGGTGGGCGCTGGCCTCCCAAGGTGGGGGGACTCCGTGGAGGGGCAGGGGCTGGGTTCTGCCCAACCCTCATGTGCCGGAGGAGGGCCATGGGGAGAGGACAGTGGCAGGGACCTCAGCTGGGTGCACCTGCTGGACGCAGGAGGCTTACTGGGCACTGTGGACACTCCGCACCTGCTCCTGCGTGGCCTCAGCACATTCAATTCCACCAGCTGGCACAGGGGTGGGGCAGGCCGGGGCAGGGCATGCAGAGAGGGGCAGCAAGGCAGGCTGCCTGGAGGAGCTGGCCCTGGCAGCAGGTGAGAGTGGGCTGGGCAGAAGGCAGGAGGGCAGAATGGCCGGCTTCAGCCCTTGGGGCCTGGGGCAGCTGTGGGGGTACATGGAGGCAGAGGGTGTAAAGGGGCTCCCAGGTCCCTGCAGCGGTCAAGGACAAAGAACGAAGCTCACTATCACTGAAGGCCTCAGGCCTGGGCCACCTGGGGAGGACTTGGGCTGCCAGGCTGGACCACCCATGGGGATGGAAGATGGGGTGGAGGGCCACACCCCACCCCCACCAGACTATGCTTTGGTTACCCTGGCCTTGCCCTACTGGCTTCAGCCCATGCTCCACCCACCCTGACCTTGCCCCGCCCACCCCAGTCTATGCCCATCCCCATGCCACACCCACCAGACCTTGCCCCGCCCACACCCACTCCAGTCCTGCCCCACCCTCTCCGTGGCTCCCGGTGCTCAGGCTGCTCCTTGCCCGCAGGGATCCCAGAGGCCCAAGAGGTGAGCGAGGTCTGCACCACCCCTGGCTGCGTGATAGCAGGTAAGCCCCGCCCCCTTGCCGTCCACAGCCTGCCCAAGGGCTGGGGGCTCCCGGCTGACACTGACGTAGGCCCCGCCCAAGGCCCAGGGAAGCAACTCCAAGACACGGCGGGCGGTGGAGCCGGGTGGGCCGGACTCGGACTCGCTGTGGAGCGGGCGGAGCTGGTGTTTCTGGCATCTGGCGTCCGCTGGGCCCCCAGTCCCCAGCCTCCAGCAGCCAGGCCCTGCAGCAACAGCATCCCGTGCCAAGAACCCCAGCGGCTTTTGTCCACATTTATAGAAAGAAAGGTTCAATGAATAGCCACTTTCTTATTTCAGATTTTCTCCCAGGCATTTGTCTTAAAATTGGGGGTCAGGTACCGCTATTTGCAGATGACAAAAACTGTTAACATGCTGTGAAAGCGCCAATAGTGGAGAAGCTCTGGACTGTGGCTTTTCTGCCCGTGCTGGGGGCTGGGGGGCCTGTGGACACGCCTTCCGTGAGGTCCCCAGCCCCAGAGGTGGAGTGGCCAAGACCAAGTTGGACAGAATTTGAGGGACGGTTCTTGGTCGGGGGGTGCAGCCCAGCTACCCCAGTTGAAAGCGTTCAGTGGGAAGCCTGGGTCTCCCCTGTCCTGTGCACATTCGGGGTTCCTGGGGCAAAGCCAACCCCTCTAGCAGAATACAAACCCCCATGGTGGTAAGAGTCGTCCCTCCCTCTGGGGACCAAGCACACTGATGAGTGAGGGGGCAGGGGGCAGAGTCAGAACAGAAAGGCCCTGGCGGACAGCCAGGAGCTGGGCCCGGCTTACAGGGCATGGTCACCAGCTGAGCACCTCCTGTGAGCTGGCACCATCTCAGCCATCGCCTCAGCCTGCAAGTCAGACCGCTGGTGTTCCCGGATTCACAGACAAGGAAATGAGTCTCGGAGGGTTTGGGGTTCAAGATCAAGTGGTTAATAAGTGAAAACCCAGCCGACTCATGCCTGAATTCCCAGCAACTCTGGAGGCCGAGGTGGACCACTTGAGCCCAGGAGTTCCAGACCAGCCTGGGCAACACAGCGAGACCCTGTTCTAAAATAAATTTTTTAAAAAGGCATTCGGGAGAGGAGACACACATCTGTTATCCCAGCTACTCAGGAGGCTGAAGTGGGAGGATTGCTTAAGCCCAGGAGTTCAAGGCTGCAGTGAGCTGTGATCACGCCACTGCACTCCAGCCTGGGCAACAGAGTGAGACCCTGTCTCTAAAAATAAATAAGTGAAAACCCTAGCACTGAATCCAGGTTGGGGGATTCCCTCTCTGCAGCTCAGAGAGGGTGGTTAACTCTCCCTGGGCACACAGCTGCGACTGGATGGACAGCAGCCCCTTCCCAAGGGACCAGGCTGTGTCTTGGACCGGGAGACAGGCTTCTGGGCTGTCCACAACTCTCTCTGTCTCCCCTCTCCCTGCTCCACGCCATGGGGACGAGCAGCTGCCAGGATCCTCCAGAACATGGACCCGACCACGGAACCGTGTGACGACTTCTACCAGTTTGCATGCGGAGGCTGGCTGCGGCGCCACGTGATCCCTGAGACCAACTCAAGATACAGCATCTTTGACGTCCTCCGCGACGAGCTGGAGGTCATCCTCAAAGGTGGCAGAGCACGGCCGGGGGTGCAGTGGGGTGACGCCGAACAGGACAGCACCGGGCCAGGAGTTGGTCCTGGCTGTGTCTCGCCCCTGTTTGTGCTTCCTCCTTGGTCCAGTGGGCGCAGAGGAGAGGGAATAAAGACCCAGCAGCTGGGGGGCCGCCTCTCGCCGAGCACTTCAGGGGGTGTAGGGACCTGTGACCTGGCCCCTGCAGCCTCGTCAGGCCTCTGTCCAACCTTTTCCTGTGCCCACAGCGGTGCTGGAGAATTCGACTGCCAAGGACCGGCCGGCTGTGGAGAAGGCCAGGACGCTGTACCGCTCCTGCATGAACCAGAGTGAGTGGGGGCCGCCAGGAAGGGGCCGAGGCAGGGGACGGGGGCGGGCTGCCCCTGCCAGGGCCTAGCGCAGCCCCAGGACCCCATGGCTGCCCCTAGGGTAGGAGTGGGTGCCTTTAGGACTCATGCCAGAGGGTCTATGTGCTGTGTCCCGCTCCCAGCCACAGGGTCCAGGCTCGCAGTAATGCCAGCTGCCCTGCGGCCTCACTCACACCCCAACCCCAGCACAGGCCACACGTTCCAGGCTGCAGGAAGACTGTGTGTGTGTGTGTGTGTGTGTGTGTGTGTGTGTGTGTGTGTGTGTATTATATGGATATGAGTATGTGTATATATGTGCATGCATATTATACATTTATATGCATATGTGTGTGTTGTGTGTATATGTATGTATATTGTGTATGTATATGTGTATACGTGTATGTGTATATATGTGTTCATGCATGTATCTATATATGTTACATGTGGTTTGTGCATGTGTACATGTGGGTACATGTGTTGTGTATGCATGTATGTGTGTTGTTATGTATATGTGTATATGTATATGCATGCGGTGTGTACATATGTGTGTGCATTGTGTGCACATGTGTGTTACGTGCATGTCACATGTGTATTGTGTATAGTGTATATGTGTATTATGTGCACATGCATGTATGTGTATATGTGTGTATTCTATGGGTGTGTTGTGTGTGCATATGTGTATGTTGTGTGTGCATGTATGTGTGTGTTATGTGTATATGTGTGTACTGTATATATATGTGCTGTGTGTACTTGTGTACATGTGTATATGTGTGTATGTGTATGTGTGTATGTGTATGTGTGTATATGTGTTATGTGTGTATACATGTTATGTGTGTGCTGTATGTGTGTCATATGTGCTTGTGTGTGCATGTGGATGTATGTGGATGTGTGTGTGTGGTGTGGGGGGCAGATTATCCATGTTTCAGTTCCTATTAAAGGAATTCACGTGCTTGGAGCACCCCCGGCCCAGCACCGTTTAACTCCTCCACTTGGGGGTCTGCAGGCCCAACCTGTGGTTGTGGCTGCTGTAGAGACAGCTTCTCCGCTGAGCACCAGGGTTCAGGGCTGGTTGTTTTGCCCAGGGGGTCTCGTGGAGCCTCCGCCTGACTGTGGAACTCGCTGGGACCCTGGCTTTAGGGGGCGTCTCCGTGAGACCCCTGCTTGGGTGCGCTGGGCTTGTCTCCTCCCCATGGAAACAGAAGGCTGGGCCCCCATTCTGGGCAATACTCCCAGCTGGAGATGACTTCCTGTGTCCTCGCCTTTACTTAATTTTTGGCCTGAGAGGCTGAATATACAAACGGCAGGGGCCAGACCATGTGGAAAACTGGAACGCAACTCAGGACCGGCAGCCCAGCCGGGAACCCAGCCCTTTATCCCCAGTGGGCAGCCCAGGAGGTCAGACGGCACTCCCCACGGCATCCGGCCCCTAACAGCCGGGGCCTGCCTCATCACAGGCAGCCTCCCCTGGAATGTCTGTCCCTTCCTCCAGCATAGGACCCTAGCCAAGCCCAGAGGAGGCCGGCCTCTAGTGAGCCCGCCACAGCCTCCCCAGGCCAGCAGCCCCCACTCAGCCCACTCGGGCCTCCCCTCTTCCACTAGGAAGCCCTGCTGCTCCCTGCAGGCCTTTGACCTGACGGGGCACCTGCCATGCTGTGCCAGCACTGAAGCCTTCACTTTGCCCTGTGGGTGGTCTTCACTTATTCCCACAGTGACTATCTCCGCGTCCCCACCTTTACCTAATCTTCGACTGCAAAAGCCCTGCTTGTCGGGGCCCCACCGTGCTGAGCCGAGACACAGGACACACACAGGCCCCAGGGCTCCCCTGCCTACCCCGCGCCCCCTCCCAGCCCACCCACCGCTGCCTGAGTCCTCGCCGAGGCTTGGCCTGATCCCAGAGCCTCCTCTCCTCTCCCAGGCTCCTCGCCTGCTGGCCGGCTCCCAGGCCCCAGGGGCTGCCTCCCATCATCCTCTTTGTCCCCCGGGGCTCATGTGCTTTTCTCAGCCCCCAGGTCTCCTTTCACGCCCGTGTCCAGTCTCAGCCTCCGCCTCCTGCGCTGCAGAGCTGCCAAGATGCTGACCTGTGACGGGAGGGTGCAGGTGTAAAGGCCCAGAGGCTGGGAGGCCGCCTCTCGCGGAGCACTGCAGGGGCTGTGGGGACCTGTGACGCCGGCCAACGGCGCCCCCACAGTTCTGTGTCGTGGCACGTGAGCCACAGGGAGGCTGGGAGAGTGACCACTGCGTCCCTTCTCAGGTGTGATAGAGAAGCGAGGCTCTCAGCCCCTGCTGGACATCTTGGAGGTGGTGGGAGGCTGGCCGGTGGCGATGGACAGGTGGAACGAGACCGTAGGTAAGGCCGGGCCTGGCAGCAGCCTCACAGACAGACAAAGGAGGACCAGGACCAGGGCTCCTTCGGTCTGAGGCCTTCCAGGAGGGGACCCCACCCCCACCCCCAGCTGGCTGCTCTCAGGAGCCCCAAGAGGCCCAACCCAGCCGGGGCAACCTCAGGGTCCTGGGAGGTGGTTTAGGTTCCATGCTGGGGAGTTGGTGCCCCGTGGCCAGTCCCATCCAGCCCTGCAGAGGGGTGCCCCTCCTCGGCCCCTAGGAGCGCTCGACACTCAGGCCCCAGCCAGGCTCCGGCCAGGCCCTGGCCCCAGGGCTCCCCACTCTGAGCATGTGCTCCATTCCCCCGGGGGCAGGAGTGGCACCTCACGTGGCTGGCAGCCCTGACAACCCCATGCTGCTCCCAACCCCCTCCGGTCACCTGGGGGCCCGCCTGTGGCTCCTGGGCTGTTAGGGAAAGTGTCTCCCACATCCCCCAGCCCCTAAGGCGCACAGGTGAGCTCCCCACCCTATGGCCCCCTAGTTCCTGGCTCCGGAGGCCAGATTCACCGACAAGGGGCCGGGCTGGGGCCCCAGGGCCCGCCAGTCTCCAGTGCGGGGCACTGTCTCCCCAGGACTCGAGTGGGAGCTGGAGCGGCAGCTGGCGCTGATGAACTCACAGTTCAACAGGCGCGTCCTCATCGACCTCTTCATCTGGAACGACGACCAGAACTCCAGCCGGCACATCATCTACGTACGAGCCGCGCCGGTGGGCAGGGGTAGGCAGGGTCCCCAAGCCTGGCTGGGGGCTCTTGCAGCACAGCAGAAGGATGGGCCAGGCCGACAGGGAGCTCCGGGGTCTCCTGGGACCTGGGCTCCTGGCTCCTGTCCACGTCCGTGGGCCCGGGAACGAGCTGCTGCTGCTGGAGTTTCTGTTGGGCCTCCTGGCCAAGCTGGGGGCCACAGTAGAACCCGGTTCTGGTCAGAGGGGCGGGGGCTCCTGAACAGCGGGGCTGGAACCGGGGCAGGAGGCCTGACCTCAGGGATCCACTGCTGGCCACGGGCTGGAGGCCAAAGAGAAACACACGAAACAAATACGCGCCCCACTCTGGGGGAGCCGCGGGTGCTGCGAGGCCCGGGACAGCCTGAACCCCTCCCCACCCCACCCCCGCCACCCTCTCCAGTCCAGCCCAGCGCCCCCACCATCACTCGGGGCAGGGTCTGGCCTCCCGGGTCCGGCACAAGCTCCACCACCAGCTCCTGGGCAGAGCACGTGTGCACGGGGCACAGTCCTGTGGGGAGGCGGCTGCAGCCTGCCTCAGCCAGGCTGCGGGGACCCCGGGCCCCTTGCCCAGGGTCACACCTTCTGTATTTCCAGATAGACCAGCCCACCTTGGGCATGCCCTCCCGAGAGTACTACTTCAACGGCGGCAGCAACCGGAAGGTGGGTGGGTCCTCACCGCAATGCCAGATGACCCCCCCATCACCCCCTACCCCGTGGTCTGGCCTTCCCGTTGCCCACCTGGCCTTCCCTCCCCGAAGCTGGTGTTAGTGAGCACCTGTGGAGGTTGAGCCCGGCACTGAGGGTGGCGGGTGCAGACGTGACCTATTGCTTGCCACCATCCTGGGGGACGTTCCCTCAACACCCGGGCCAGGCCTGGGGACAAGCTCAGCTCAGCAGCAGCCCCATGGGGCAGAACTGTCATCCCCCTCCCGTCAGTACAGACCCAGGCTCTGCAGCACCGGATTCCCAGGAGGGCCCCTGGAGATCTGAGTGCAGGCAGCTGGGCCCCGAGCCTGCTCCATCTCAAGGGGCTGTCAAGAGAGGGGAGGGATGAGGACCCCCACTGTGGACAAGGGGACCTTGAGGCTGGCAGGCCCAGGGCTAGCCCAGGGTGCAGGGAAGGGTGGGGAAGGACAGGGAGCAGGTGAGGAGGGCAAGGCATCCAGCACCAGGGCAGAGGTGAACAGGCATGAGGCATGAATGCCCCAGAGGGCCAGACACAATCCAGGGGGCCTCCTGGTGGAGGTGGGCTATGAACTAGACTTTGAAGGATGACCAAGCCCAGAGGAAGGGCCGTGTGGCCAAAGGTGGAGCAGTGGGGCTGAGAGAACCACGCCAGAGCAGGAGGGACTGGAGTGTCTCAAAAGCGCCATGTCTGGCCATGTGTTCAGACCAGGCAGCTATGGGCCAAGCCTGGCCAGAGCATTGGCCTGCACTGGGGAAGCCCTGCCCAGCGCGAGGAAGGCAGCTCCCTGAGGAGCAAACTTCCTCAGGATCCCACTCCAGACACTCAGGCCGGGAAGCACCTGGGTAGGGAAGCCCAAATTAGCCCTGGCACCCACCACCCCGGCACCCACCACCCTGGCACCCACAGCCCCGGCAGGCCCAAGTTAGCCCTGGCACCCCAAGCCCAGCACCCCAACCCCAGCACTGAGAGCCCCAGCACCCACCTGTGCAAACCCTTATAGGCAGCCACACAGTTTAAGCCCTGAGCAGCCCTGCAGACTAGGTACCCCGTCCAGTGGCTCGGGCACAGGTCACGCGTCTGAGACGCTCCCACTCGGCACTCTGTGTGCCCGAGAGCCTGCTGGTCAAGGTGGGTGGACACGCATTAGGGGCTTCCCCATGTCCTACGCCCACCCCACCCCCACAGAAAACTCCCTGGGGGCCATGGTGGCTGAGGCCACCCAGCTCTGCCCGGCGTCCTTTGGCCCAGGTGCGGGAAGCCTACCTGCAGTTCATGGTGTCAGTGGCCACGTTGCTGCGGGAGGATGCAAACCTGCCCAGGGACAGCTGCCTGGTGCAGGAGGACATGGTGCAGGTGCTGGAGCTGGAGACACAGCTGGCCAAGGTAAGGGGGCCGGGGCGGGTGGGGAGCGGGCAGCGAGTGGGCTGGGAGCCCCAGGCGGTGTGGCTGGCCAAGGTGAGGGGGTGCTGGGTGGGCCGGTAGCAGGCAGGGACTGGGCCAGGAGCCCCAGGGGGCATCCTGGCCACCCGCCCGTGTGACTGCTATCCCCGGCACAGGCCACGGTACCCCAGGAGGAGAGACACGACGTCATCGCCTTGTACCACCGGATGGGACTGGAGGAGCTGCAAAGCCAGTTTGGCCTGAAGGTGAGGCCACACCACACAGGAGGCCGGCACTGGCCGGGTGGAGACTCGTGGGGGACATGGAAGCGGCCCTCTGAGAGGGCACGTTGCCTGGCATTTAAGCTCAGAAACATTCCCCATCCCCGAGCAGGGAGACCCTGTACCTGATCACCCAAACTTGCTGCAGAGCAGCACCAGCACGATTACTAATGTCACTGGGACAGCAGTGCCAACTGTGCCATCCTGGAACAGAGTCACCCATCTGTGCGGTGCTGTGATGGCCCCGGTCTTCTGAGCAGGAAACGGAGGCCTCAGGGGGCTGCTGATGTGTGGGGGTGTACAGGGTCCCACCCAGGGCTCTCAGACCCCAAGTCCCGCTCAGAACCTTAGCAGGGTGCTTCCTCCCAGTCCTGCCTGCCCTGAGGGTAGCAGTTCCCCCTGGCCACACCCTCAGGCGCTCCCCTGCCCAGTGCCCAGGCCAGGCACCGCCCTGTGCTTTGAGGTGGGGGCTGGAGAGGAGCAGCCCAGCCTGGGAAGGGGCAAGTCCCCCACTCCCTCAGCCGACTCTCACCCTGCTGGAGCAGCTGGCCTTCTCGAGGGCCTCCTCCCCCAGGAGGCGCAGGCGTGCAGCTTCGGCAAAGGGTGCCCAAGTCAGTGGGGGGAGGGCAAGGGCAGAAGGGGGTCCAAAGCCCCTGCCCCCTCAACCAGAGTATGTCCCTGAGTGTCTGGAGCCACAGCTCTTGCCAAGGGCAAGACAGAGAGACTCTGGGGAGAGCCTCGCCCCAGGGCACCTAGTGCCTTGGAAGGCTGGTGGTCCCTAGATCGGTTCTGGTCCCCAGGGCTGGCCTGCGGGGACACACCTTCCCCAACACCCCGCTGCCCAGAACACACGCAGTGGGGCCAGGCTCTGCTCTGGCACTGGGCTTTATCCCCTTCCCAAACAAAGGCCTATCTCGATCGAGGTTCCGGTGCGGGAGAGGGACAGAAAAGCGGAGTGACCTCTAAAACGTGTCAGAAAGCCAGAAAGGGGGCAGGATGAGCTCAGCCAGGACAGCAGACAGGAGGTAAAGCCTTGCAGAGAACCAAGGGCCATGGCCATCTGGGGCCAGTGTGGCTCACACAGCAGTTCCCCAAGAGTCTGGGGCAGGGACTCCCAGCTAATGAGCACCGGGGCTAGAGAGAGATGGAGTAGGAAGTAAAGCGGGGGATGCCGTGTCCGACCTCGGGGGCCACTTGAAAGTCTCAGACTCTGCCCGAGAGGAGTGGGGGTATGACAGGACGTGACCTGGTTCACAAGTAAGAGTGAGTGAAGGGGACGGGGCAGGTGGCAGAGAAGCCAATCAGAGGCTGCCACGTAGCCCGGGCAAGAGATGGCAGCTCTGCCAAGGGGGGTGCCCGTGGTGGAGGTGGCTTTGGGGTTGATTTTGGAAGTGGAGCCAACAGGGTTTGCAAAAGGACTAAATATGGAAGTGAGAGAGCTCAGATGGCCTGAGGTTGCCGTGGAGACATCACAGCGGCAGGTTCAGGGGAGCGTCCAGGAGCCCAGGGTTTGGGGACATTTGGTTTACAATGCATTTATGATGTTCAGAATCGCCCCAGAGTGAACACATCCACACAATCACCCCTCAGATCAAGACTTACGTGACCACCGACATCCCAGAAGCCCCCACATGCCCCTGCCTAGCCCCTGTGCCTGCCTCCTTCCCTGGAGAAGAGACCCTGACTTCTCCCTGGAGGGAGGCCGGTCCCTGACGTGGCCTCTAGATTGCTGAGTGGCCTCTGACTCTAAGAACATGCGACAACTCGGGTCCCACTGTGCTGTCTCTGGGCCTTTTCTGAGTGATGTTGTCATGCCCATGCCTGTGTGTGCCTGTGGCAGGCAAGTGGGTAGGAGTGGAATTGCTGGGTGGAAGCACACGCATCTGTTCAACAGTAACAGGCACTGTCTTTCCCCAGAATTATCCAGGGATGTGCGCTCCCCAACAGCGGCTGGTGCCACACCCTCGCCCGTGCTGGGTGGTGTCCGTTCTCAGCCGTTTCTGCACCTGTGTAGTGGGGTTTCATCTGGGTTCAATGTGACTTTCCCCAAGGGCGGAGGAGGTTAAACGCCATCTCCTGTCAATTGGCCAATGCCATTCCCTTTTGTGGAACGTCTGTTTGAGTCTTGCCCATTTGTTCTATCGGGCGATCTTTCTCTGATTGATTCTTGGAGTTACCTATTTTAGATGTGACTCCTTGGTCAGCTTATGTGTACAAATGTTCTCCCCACTGGGCAGCTTGCTTTTTTACTCTCATAAGGGTTTCTTTGTTTCAATGGAGGCTATTAAATGGTCCAATTTATTGGCTTAGCAAATGTGTGCAGATCTCTTCTTCGTGGTTAGTATTCTTTGTGTTCTGCTAAAGAACTCTTTGCCTACCCTCAGGTTTGCTTAGGTCTACAATCTACTGTGAGTTGATTTTTTTAATGGACAGTGAGATGTAGGAATTGTTTCTTTCTTATGGATTTCCAGTCATTCAGCACCATTTATTAAAAAGAGCCCCCTGTGAGCCCCTGGTCTTGGTGCCTTCTGTGTTATAAATCAGGTGTTCCTGTGTGTCTATGCGTGGGCCCATATGTATATTTCTGGACTCTCTTTTGCCCCACTGGTCTCTTTATCTATCCAAGTGATAACCCCTACCACCATCACTCCTTCAGCTTTATAATGTCTTGATAGTCAATAGAGTATATATTTCAACTTTGTTCTTCAAGAGTGTCTTGATAATTCTCAGTCCTTTGCATTTTCACATAAAACTTAAAATCTGCCTTCCATTTGCATACACGCACACACACAAAAAGAAAACTCTGCTAGAAATTTGATAGGGATCACTTTGAATCTCTCTATCAATTTGGGGAGACTTTGCAATGCTGAGTCTTCCAATCCATGAACATGATATATGCTTCCATTTATGCTTCAATTTTTCTTAATAACTTTTAAAGCTTTCAGTGTCAAGTTCTTATACATATTTTATTAGATAAATTACAGGTGTTTGGTTTTCTACTATAAATAGAATCATTTTGAAATTATCTTATTTGTTGCTGATATATGGAAATACTGACTTTGTAAATATGCAGTCTTACTCAATGCACTTATTAGTTCTGGTTATTTATTTGTAGAATAAACAAAATCATATCATTTGTAAAAAAACAGGGGGGTTGGGTTTTGTTTGTTTGTTTGTTTGTTTGAGACAGGGTCTCACTCTGTCATGCAGACTGGAGTGGAGTGGCACAGTCATGGCTCACTGCAGCCTTGACCTCTTGGGCTCAAGCCTCCTGAGTAGCTGCGACCACAGGAATACACCATGACCAAGCCTTGCCTGATTTTTTTTTTTTTCCCAGAAACAGGGTTTCTCTATGTTGGCCAGGCTGGTCTTGAACTCCTGTGCTCAAGCAGTCCTCCCGCCCTGGCCTCCCAAAGTGCTGGGATTACAGGCATGAGCCACCGCACCTGGTCCAGTTTTATTTATTCTCTTTCAGTTCTTACTGGCTTTATTTCATGTTTGCTTTTACTGAACTGGACAGGATTTTGAGCATAATGCTGATGTCATAATAGTAGACATTAAAAGAAAAGCACGTATATTCTTACCACTAAATTTTATGTTTGGCCAGGCATGGTGGCTCATGCCTGTAATCCCAGCACTTTGGGAGGCCGAGGCAGGTGGATCACCTGAGGTCAGGAGCTTGAGACCAGCCTGGCCAACATGGTGAAACCCTGTCTCTACTAAAAATACAAAAACTAGCTAGGTGTGTTAGCACATGCCTGTAATCTCAGCTACTAGGGAGGCTGAGGCAGCAGAATTGCTTGAACCCAGGGGTCAGAGGTTGCAGTGACCCAAGATTGCACTGCTGCACTTGAACCTGGGCAACAAAGCGAGACTCTGTCTCAAAAATAAATTTAAAAAAAAGTTATGTTTGCTATGGAGTTGTTTTTGTTGCTTCTGCTGCTTCATACATTTCCTTTATCAGGTTATAGAATTTTCCTTCTATTTTTCTTTTTATCTTTTTTTTTTTTTTGAGACAAAGTCTTGCTCTGTTGCCCAGGCTGGAGCGCAGTGGAGTGATCTCAGCTCACCATAACCTCTGCCTCCCAGGTTCAAGCGATTCTCATGCCTCAGCCTCCCAAGTAGCTGGGACTACAGCATGCGCCACCACACCCAGCTAATTTTTGCATTTTTAGTAGACACAGGGTTTCACCATGTTGGCCAGCATGGCCTTGAACTCCTGGCCTCAGGTGATCTGCCCGCCTCGACCTCCCAAAGTGTTGGGATTACAGGCGTGAGCCACTGTGGCTGACCCCTTCTATTTTTATTTGCCAAGAGTTTTTATTATGAATAGATGGCAGATTTTATCAAATGCTTTTTCTGCATCTGTTGAAATAATCATGTGACTTTCCTCCTTTATTCAGTTATTGTAGTGAATTAAAATTATTTTATTTTCAAATGTTACACCAAACTTGTATTCCTTGAATAAATCTAATTCAGCTGTGATATATTAGCATTTTATACAAGTATGGCTAGGTTCTATTTGCTAATATTTTGCTTAGAACTTTTGTATCTATGACATAAACGAGACTGGCTTATTATTTACTCTGCTTATAATATCCTTATTTTGGTATCAAGGTTATTCTTGGCCTCATAAATCAAGTTGAAAAGCATTTTCTCATCTCTGGAAAGTTTTAATAAGATTGGCAGTTTTCCTTAAATGTCAGATAGAATCCACTGGTGAAGCCAAATGGGTCTGGAAATTTCTTTATTGGAAAGTTTCAAATTAAATATTCCATTTATTTAACCTAGAAGACTATTCATATTTTCTATTTCTTTTTTTGTCATTTTTGCTAAGTTGTGTTTTTCTAGGAACTTGCCTGTTATACTTAGGCTTTCGCATATATCTGCATGATCGCTTGGGTTTTTACAGCTGTAGGCTCTGTAATAATGTCACCCACCCTTTCCTGATTCTGATTACCTGCACTTCTCTCTTATTCCTTGAACATTCTTCAACAGGGGCTGGGTTTCTTAGATTCCCAGGAACTGTTTCTCCCTCTCTCTCTCTCCCTCTTTCTCCCCACTTCCTCTATCTGCAGGGATTTAACTGGACTCTGTTCATACAAACTGTGCTATCCTCTGTCAAAATCAAGCTGCTGCCAGATGAGGAAGTGGTGGTCTATGGCATCCCCTACCTGCAGAACCTTGAAAACATCATCGACACCTACTCAGCCAGGTGAGGCCCAGGGAGGGTCTCCAAAGGCCTCAGCATCTTTGCCCCTGCTCTCCCATCCTCCCCAACACAGCTTCTGCTCCCAGGAGGGGACCCTATGAAGCATCTGCCCTGAGGGGTGTGGGACATGAGGGGTTAAGCTTTAGTGGCCAGTGGAGTCTTACATTAAAAATGTGTCACATCCCAAGCACCCGGGGCAGATGGGCTGGATCTTGGAGGTGGTTGTCCTGGAGGTTTTCTCCAGCACCCATAACTCTCTGGGGTGGAACGTGCTGGCCAAGGGCCCTAAGCCATATCTCCTCCCTTGCAAAGACCTCTCACCTGTTCTCCCCTCACCCTCTACCTTCTGCCCCCAGGACCATACAGAACTACCTGGTCTGGCGCCTGGTGCTGGACCGCATTGGTAGCCTAAGCCAGAGATTCAAGGACACACGAGTGAACTACCGCAAGGTGAGCCCCTTCCCTGCCCAGAGCCTGGCCGGGCACTCATTCATTCAGGCCACGATGCTGAGCATAAGCTGTAGGCAAACACCGAGGTCCACACCAGGGTCACAGCCATGGACGAGGCAGGGCGAGGCGCCCACCCCAGTGGGGAGTGGACCATGACAGTCAACAAGGCAGAACGTAGCTCTGCCAAAACCGCAGAGTATGATGTGGCGGGGAGGCAGGGAGGGACGAGGACAGGGAGCACTGCTCCGGGGAGGCGACATTTGAGACCTTAAAGGCCTGAAGAGGCGGCGGGGTGATTTCCCGGGAGCAGAAACAGCCAGTGCCAGTGCAGAGGCCAGAGGCAGGAGCAGGCAGGGGCCGGACCCGTGGTCAGCAGCGGACAGGAAGGAGAAGATGGCAGGGAGGGAGGCGAGGTGACCACGGGCCACAGCAGCCGGTTTGGATTGTACTCCCTGTCTGAAAGCCGCAGGGGTGCTAAGAGCAGAGACGCGGTCAGATATGCTGCTCCTGTAGTCACTGTGGCTGCTCCAGGGCTGGGGTGAGGGTGGAGACAAGGAACCGCAGGGAGGCCCTAGGGGGATTCTGGCTGTTCTGGGGAGAGTGAGTTGAGTAGGGGGCGGGGTCAGCATGGAGGCCGATGTGGTCACCCAGGTGAGGTGACAGGCTTGGCCATGGTGCTGGCAGACACACAGACGCAGGGGAGGTGTTGACCGCAGCAGCTGAGGGATTGGGTATAGGGGCTAAGGGCAGAGGGGAGTCGGGACTCTCAAGACCTTTGTTAGAGTAATGGGAGGGACAGAGGTCCCCACTGCAATGGGGAGACTGAGGCAGAGGCAAGCTGGGGGCAAGTCAAGCCTCCTGTTGCCATGGGGGGGTAGGTCAGAGACATCTGTGAGTCAAGCGTCAGGGGGGCACTGAGTCTAGGAGCTTTGGGGAGGAAGAAAGGGCTGCCTCCCTTTCCTAAAGGGCAGGAAGTCCTGCAGCCCAGAAGGTGTGGCAGGACGCTGGGCAGAGTGCTCCCTGGGCTTTGCCTGAGTCTGGGGCCCAGAGTCTCGTGCTCCTGTGTCCCTGGGGACAGATGAGCAGGTGTTCTCACAGCTGCTTCAACAATGGAGAGACCAGGGCCCTGGGAGCTGGTGGCTGAGAGGGACGTGGTCCCAGGCCTTGCTCTGGGGTCAGCGCCAGCCCTGTGCCTTGAGACTGGGGCTGGAGTCCTGGAGAGCAGAGTCCAGCCAGACAACCAGGACAGGGGCCGGGGAGGAACCCCCCCAACTCCTCAGGGTAAAGGCCCAGCTCTCAGTCTGCGGAAGTTCCCCAATCACAATACCATGCCCATCCTTCCCCCCGCCGCAGCAGCACCCAGAGGTGAGGCTGAGATCATCCCGTGCCCCCGCTAGCCCCGGGGCACCCTGAGGCTGAGGATAGGTGGGTCTGCTCACCCCGTAAGCCCAGGGCCCCACGCCAGGCCTGGGAAGGCTGACGTGGGGGCCCGTGGGATGATCGGGTGGCCCCACCAGGCGCTGTTTGGCACAATGGTGGAGGAGGTGCGCTGGCGTGAATGTGTGGGCTACGTCAACAGCAACATGGAGAACGCCGTGGGCTCCCTCTACGTCAGGGAGGCGTTCCCTGGAGACAGCAAGAGCATGGTGGGCGCCCCTCATCCATGGCCCACGCGGGGCCAGCCTTCCACAGGGACACCGAGCCTCCCTGCCCTGAGACTCCCACCCCGCCCAGGCTCAGGGGCACCTGCCCCAGCTCACCAGACAGAGGGAGGCTAAGGGAAGCCGTGCCCACCCCATGCCCCTGACCCCAGCCGGCCACTGGGCCCCAGCCTGAGCCCTGCAGGTCCAGCTGGGAAAGGCACAGGTGGTACAAGTTGCCCCTGGCCCACGAGGACCCACAGCCCAGCAGGGAGGACCCTGAAGTTGGGTTGTCATCTCATCCCCCCACCGGCCCCACACCTCACCTGAGAGGCCCACAGCTGGGCAGCCCTGGGCCTTGCCCCGGCGGGGCTCAGACCAGACCTCCCCAAAGCCCTTGAGGCTGGTCATTCGCCCTCCAGATGAGTCTGGGACACGAGGGCCATGCCCGATTCCCAGGTCAGAGAACTCATTGACAAGGTGCGGACAGTGTTTGTGGAGACGCTGGACGAGCTGGGCTGGATGGACGAGGAGTCCAAGAAGAAGGCGCAGGAGAAGGTATGTGGCTCGCAGAGGTCAGGGCAGCCCCGACTGGATCTGGGCACGGGCAGCACCGCCCCGACAAAGCCTCCTGACGGTCCCCACGGGGAGAAGGCAGCCCCGGGAGGCGCAGACAGGACCCCACGGGGAGAAGGCAGCCCCGGGAGGCGCAGACAGGACCCCACGGGGAGAAGGCAGCCCCGGGAGGCGCAGACAGGACCACTCGCCCACTGTGGAGCTGAGGAAAAGCAGGCAGGGGCAGGAACCAGGCCTGGGACATCCCCAGCACCCCCCATGAGCCAGCGGGGGTAGCGGTGGCCTCGGGAGCAAGGGTCAGACCCACCAGAAGCTCCTCTGGACCCAAGTGACAGACGGCAGCCGAGTGACCCCTCCAGGGCCCCTGCCCCCACCCGGACCCCTGGCGGGCTGTTGGGCTCTAGGTCAGGTGGGCGGAGCCTTCCATATTCTGTCCCCATTAAACCTCCCCAGAGCCTGCAAGGTGGGGGCCAGATCCCGGAGCCCCCCAGCCCCTCACCACAGGACAGGGAGAGCACAGCCAGGATGCCCCGGGCTGACCCCTCCCACAGTGTGGCACTCACTGACCGGCCCCCGGGCTGACTCCATCCGCAGTGGGGCACCCACTGACCAGTCCCTCCTCCCCACTCAGGCCATGAGCATCCGGGAGCAGATCGGGCACCCTGACTACATCCTGGAGGAGATGAACAGGCGCCTGGACGAGGAGTACTCCAATGTGCGCCCCCAACCCCAGCCCTAAACTGCCCCCCACACCGTGGACATGGGCCCTGATTGCCTGGGGGCTCCTCTGTGCCAAGCTCTGTGCCCTCCTCCCAGGCGCTAACACAGCTGTCCTCACCGTGCCCTAGGGTGGTGGCTCCAGCACTACCCTCAGTGTACAGATGGGGAAACTGAGGCCTGGAGGGACGAGGGACTTGCTCAGAGTCATGTAAATGCCCACAGCCAGGGCTGCCCCGTTCACCTGCACCCACAGCCGACTGTCCACGTGCGGACGCCTGGCAAGGCTTGAGGTCCTTCCCCAACCACCCAGGACCTCTCCCCTTGCTCCTCTGAGGGCCCGGCCCCAGCATCTGGCAGTGACTGCCCCTCTCCCGTAGCTGAACTTCTCAGAGGACCTGTACTTTGAGAACAGTCTGCAGAACCTCAAGGTGGGCGCCCAGCGGAGCCTCAGGAAGCTTCGGGAAAAGGTGGACCCAAATCTGTGAGTGGCATCGCTGGTGCGGCATGGGCGGGGGGGGCCAGGGAGTGGCCAGTAAGGCGTGCAGGGCTGCCTGCCAGGCGGGGGACTGGATGCGTGGCTGGGGTCCAGTGCCAGCTGAGGGGTGCAGTCACTGGGCCTATCTTGGACAGAGTCCCCCATCACCCTCTGCTTTCTGGGGCCCAAGTCGCCTCCTCCTCAGGGACCCCAGGAAGGAACCAGATCTTGGGATAGGCCTGGGCCCTTGCTCTGGTGTGGCCAGGGTAGGCCCTGGTCCATCAAGGCAGAGAGAGCCCAGAGGGAGGGTCCCCGGAGAGGCGGCTCCCAGAGACCGGCTTGTCTATCACAGCTGGATCATCGGGGCGGCGGTGGTCAATGCGTTCTACTCCCCAAACCGAAACCAGATTGGTAAGTTCCTCCCCCTCCCTGCCTGCCCAGGCCCTTTGGTGCCAGAGTTGAAGGGGTGGCTTGCAGCCCCCTGCCCATCCCTTCCTCCTGGGGGCACCCCAGCCTGTTCTTGGAACATTCTCCTATGTCACCCCTTGCTGCCCCCGTGGGGAACACTCACTCCCGTGCCCATGAGCGGCTTCGGGAGGGACTTGGCAGGCGGCCCAGAGCCTTTCCTGCAGGCAGAACAGGATGGTGGGAGGAGGCCGGACTGAGGTCCTGGGTCTGCCAGGCACGAGCCCGCCCAGCCTCTGAACCTCCGTGTCTTCATCTGTAAATTGAGGGAATCCTGACCTCTGCCTCCCGGTCTGTGGGATCAAGTGTCAGAACCCCTGGCAGCGCCATCCCTGAGCCTGGCACACAGGAGATGTGTCCACTCACAGCTTATTCTTTGTCCCGCCCTTGGGGACAGTATTCCCTGCCGGGATCCTCCAGCCCCCCTTCTTCAGCAAGGAGCAGCCACAGGCCTTGAACTTTGGAGGCATTGGGATGGTGATCGGGCACGAGATCACGCACGGCTTTGACGACAATGGTGAGCGGCCGCCCCTCCAATCACACACGCCCTCCCCTCTCCGCGGAGAAGCAGCCAGGAAGGGGCCTGGGGGCGCTCCATTCAACCCCTTCACGGTTTCAGTGGGGACACCGAGGCCAGGTCCTCAGGGAGCTGTGGGGGCAGAGCAGGCTTTGAATGCCAGGCTGGGGCCCTGTCTGGGGGCACTGACTCCCAGCATGGAGGAGGGGACCCAGGGACTCCAGCCCATGACCCTGACTCCACCTGGCACTGGGCACTTCCCTCCCACGGCCTGTGACATGGGGACGACAACACTGCCCAATACAGCAGCGAAGCCCAGATCCCAGCCTGGGAGACTCTCCAGACGGCCAGCATCCTCCACCGGGGGGTGTGCTACCCCCGCCATGGCCATGCTGACCTCCGCCCCTCGGTGGGGACTGCCCTGCCTGGGACAGGGGCCCCAGCTGGTTTTCCCCTGTGGCTCGGCCATCCGGACCTTCCGTGGGCAGTCCTTGTCCCCAGGGACCACGTACTCCTCTCGCCTGGAACTTAGAGTTTGGGCATCCCAGGAGGAGCCCTTAAACCATGATGCCTCCAAGACCACAGGACCCAGGTGCTAGGCCCTAGCCTCAGGGGGTGGCATGGGAGACCACTGAAGCCCTCCTTCTCTGGGGGCTGTGTAGCCCCAGACAGCTGCTGCCCCTTGGAGCCCGCGATGCTCTTCCAGGCTCAGCCTACTCAGACTGTGGGCTCTCCGTACTGGGGCTGGCTGCAGGAGGGGCAGGAGCGGCCAGGCACAGTGGCTGCCGTGGGGCCAGGCACAGTGCAGCCAGGGGCATGTGGGCAGCCCTCCTCTGCCCCTGCCCAGGCCGGAACTTCGACAAGAATGGCAACATGATGGATTGGTGGAGTAACTTCTCCACCCAGCACTTCCGGGAGCAGTCAGAGTGCATGATCTACCAGTACGGCAACTACTCCTGGGACCTGGCAGACGAACAGAACGTGAGCGCTGCCACCAGCACCCAGGCTGCGGGGGTACCGGAGCCCCAGCCCTGGCCCTGAGGGAGAGGGAAGTCAGGGCCGGGGCTGCCCCAATCCTGTCTCCTGTGCGCAGGTGAACGGATTCAACACCCTTGGGGAAAACATTGCTGACAACGGAGGGGTGCGGCAAGCCTATAAGGTGGGGCCTGGCAGGGGAGGGGGCGTCAGCGCGGCAGGGGAGGGGGCGTCAGCGCGGCAGGGGAGGGGGTGCCAGTGCATCAGGGGAGGGGGCGCCAGCACGGCAGGGGAGGGGGCATCAGCGCGGCAGGGGAGGGGGCGTCAGCGCGGCAGGGGAGGGGGCGTCAGCGCGGCAGGGGAGGGGGCGCCAGCACGGCAGGGGAGGGGGCGTCAGCATGGCAGGGGAGGGGGCGCCAGTGCATCAGGGGAGGGGGCATCAGCGCGGCAGGGGAGGGGGTGCCAGCACAGCAGGGGAGGGGGCGTCAGCATGGCAGGGGAGGGGGGGCATCAGCGCTGCAGGGGAGGGGGGCACCAGTGCCTCAGGGGAGGGGGCGTCAGGGGCTCATTCGGGACAGGTGGTGTGCAGTGGGCTGTCTGGCCAGGGATCCCCCCCCGAGGGCCCAGCTCAGGGGTCCCTGAGTGACTGAGGTGGTGAGCGCTCATCCGTGGGGTGTGTGAAGGGCCCTTGCAGCAGCAGGACCCCCACAGGGGTAGGTCCTGGAGCCAGACCTCTGCTCTGCCCTGAGATCTGAGGGTTCTGGAGTCCAGGCTGGCAGGCCTGAGCTCAGCTCCTGTCTGGTGCCTGCAGGCCTACCTCAAGTGGATGGCAGAGGGTGGCAAGGACCAGCAGCTGCCCGGCCTGGATCTCACCCATGAGCAGCTCTTCTTCATCAACTATGCCCAGGTGGCAGCCGCAGTCCTGGTCCCACCATCCCCATGCTTCCCCACTCATCTCTGGAGGGCCCACTCTGGGGCACCTCCAGGGACCAGAGCCCAGCATGGAAGGCCCCTTGGGGGAAAAGCATGAGGGGCAGGGGGCGGGAGCTGGACAGGATTTCAATGCTGATGGGAGGAGGGGAGCACCTGCTGACTCCCCTCACCCCACCCTAGAAGGGGCAGCCTGGGGATAGTGGAGACCCTCCCCCACCCCTCCTGGCCACCCCACCACGCCACCTGTAGCCACGCCCCCAACATGCCCACAGGTGTGGTGCGGGTCCTACCGGCCCGAGTTCGCCATCCAATCCATCAAGACAGACGTCCACAGTCCCCTGAAGTACAGGCAAGTCTCCCATGCTCACAACCCCCTTGCCACCCACAACCCCCTCACCCCCACCCCAGTGGCCTGTAAAAGAAGAAAGCACAAAAAGTGGCTCAACAGAGACAGGTTTATTTTGGGAATAAACCTGAGAGGGGCTTCTGGCCGATTTCGGTCAGGGACATTCTCTTACAGACTAAGGGCATTTAAGGGTTTAGGAAGGGGGAGCCTACCGCAGGCTGCGAATGTTTCTGTGTGAAGGAGAGTTTTATTGCAGAGTTGGAATATCTCTGGCTGGAGGGGAGGTTATTCTCAGGATTGGCATGTTTCTGGTCAGATGGGGGTTTATCTCATGGTTGAAATGTTTCTGCTCATACTGACATGAGCCATTAGGCTGATGTTTTGGGCTGGTTTTTAATCACGGAGAACTTAAAATGGCCATGTTTGTCCAAGATGGCAATGCTCCTGCTGTCACACCCACCCACCCACAGGGTACTGGGGTCGCTGCAGAACCTGGCCGCCTTCGCAGACACGTTCCACTGTGCCCGGGGCACCCCCATGCACCCCAAGGAGCGATGCCGCGTGTGGTAGCCAAGGCCCTGCCGCGCTGTGCGGCCCACGCCCACCCGCTGCTCGGAGGCATCTGTGCGAAGGTGCAGCTAGCGGCGACCCAGTGTACGTCCCGCCCCGGCCAACCATGCCAAGCCTGCCTGCCAGGCCTCTGCGCCTGGCCTAGGGTGCAGCCACCTGCCTGACACCCAGGGATGAGCAGTGTCCAGTGCAGTACCTGGACCGGAGCCCCCTCCACAGACACCCGCGGGGCTCAGTGCCCCCGTCACAGCTCTGTAGAGACAATCAACTGTGTCCTGCCCACCCTCCAAGGTGCATTGTCTTCCAGTATCTACAGCTTCAGACTTGAGCTAAGTAAATGCTTCAAAGAAATCAGAGGCCTTGCTTGTCTGGGAGGGACCAGGGTGGGTAAACAGGTAGCAGTGGTCTTGGGCAAAACAGCTGCCCGGGGGTGGGAGAGAGTGACAGCTGGGAGCTGATGGGGAGGGAGCCAGTTCCAGTCAGGTCTCCTAGGGTCCAATGCTAGGGCCAGCAGTGACCAGGATGCCCCCAAGTGCCCACCCCCAGGGACCACACATTCAGATGCGGGGAGCCCCACTGGGGCACCGGGGGACCCAGAGAGCTGCAGCTGGGAACCTGAAATTTTAGCTTGGTGTAACTGAAAGCCAGAGGAGGGGCTGAACGCAAAGGGACGCAGTGGGTCACCTGCTATGCATTTTTAAATGGCCACTGCAAGGGTGGCATTGGGGGCAGGAAGGGAGCCGGGAGACCCACAGGAACCCACAGTGGTCCCCAGGTCTGGACTAGGGAGTGCAGAGAGGGCTGCAGTTGTCATCGGCCTGCATGGGAGGGGAGGGCCTGAGCAGGTAGTCTGACCTGGGAGGTAAGGGGCTCTGCTCTGGGCCTGTTAGGGTCCCCAGGGAAAGGTGGCCAAGAAGCTGGACACACCTAATTAGACTAAGACCCTCCCGGGCCGGCCGCCCCAAAGGCCATACCCAGCAGGTGCAAACAATGATTCTGACATCAGTAAAGAGCCTTGGGGCAGGCTGGCCCATCACCTGAGAGTCTCCAGGGTCCACCCACCCCACCAGGTGGAATCAAGCCCATCTCTGCCCTGAAAACCCAACTCTCCTGAGTGGCCCCCACCAGACACAGGCACTGACCCCGACCCTGCTGGAGCTGACCCCACGCTCCTCTCCTGACGTGGGCTTGGGTCTGTCGCCTTTGAAGGGAGTGACGGGGCAGTGAGGTTACCATCCCCAGTGCCCCACAGGCCAAAGGCCCAAGGTCTCCAGAGAAAGTCGCAGAGCAGGAAGATGACACCTGGGACTCACAGCCACCCTGCCCGCCCTGAGGGCCCAACAGTGAGCAAGGCGGGGGCTGTGGAGGATGCAGGGCTCGGAGCCTGCGAAGCAGTGCGTGGTCAGGAACTGCAGTTTTAATGGCTCGTTGCTGCCGGCGGATCAGGAGAGGTTCGGCATCCCGACCCAGCGCCTCCGGAACAGTTCTTCCAAGTGGACTTCCAGCACACCTAGGGCAGCAGACGCCACCCAGATCCTCGGAGGCCAGGGCCTTCGCCTCCCTCACACCTCTCTGTCACACTGTGGGGACAGCAGGGTCCCATGGGGCCGCTGGACACTGGATCAGACAAATGCCTGGAGGGCCCCCTTGGACAATCCCCAGCCCTCCCAAGGCTGAGAGGACACGCCTCTCTGCCCGCCACCCCATGTGTCGCCCCCACCTCTGAGGACAGTCCCAAGGTGCCTGTCCATCCAGCCATGCTGCCCTTCGGCCCCTCTCAGCCTGCCCCACTCTGCAAGTGGGGTCACAGTGGCATCCATATCCCAGGGCACAATTGGCATGATGCCCACAGCGCTGTGGCTCAGCTCCCAGCCAAGCCGAGTGCTCCTCCCAGGGGACCTAGGGGCAGGGCGTGGGCTGGCAGGCAGCGCCCCCAAGGCCCAGCTCACCTGAGGCGGGTCGCTGGCACAGACCTCCGCAGAGATGCCCAGGACCTGCAGGATGTGCTCCTTGGGGACGTAGTCGCCTGGGGACTTCTGGACGAAATGCAGGAGCACTTTATCACCACCTGTAGCAGCGGGCAGGCAGTCACGGCACCCCGGAGGCCGCCTGCACCTCACAGCCACATACCAGGAGGAGGGAGGGTAGGGCAGCCCTGGCCAGCCATATCCCCCACCCGGCTACCCAGATGAGTGAGCTGTTCTGCCACAGCCCCACTCAGCCCAGCAGACACGCAGAACCAGGCCACATTGCGGCGGAGGGGCTGTGATGAGACTGACAAGCCAGAGAGAGGGCCTGGGCTGGGCCACCAAGTTCAGCAAGGCCCTCCTTGAGGCAGTGGCCGAGGCCCCTCCCTCGACCCACCTTTGCTGACCACCAGCAGCCCTCCGCTCTGCAGCAGGTCCCCAGACAAGTTCCCCTGGATGCCAACAGCCTTGGCCTGTCAGGAGTGGGTACAGCCTGAGTCAATCCTAGAAGAAAGGCTCCTGGGAGCTCCCACCACCCCCCGGCCTGTACACCCTTGACCCGCACACACCTTGGCAGCCACATCACGCACGGGCTTCCCCAGAGCTGCTGGGAGGATGCTCAGGCTGTTGTACCTGCGAAGACACCAGGTCGCTTGGCCAAACTCCGGAGAAGCCTGGGTCCAGAGCCTGCTCCAGTGTCCATGAGACCAGTTCCTAGGTCAGGCCCCACCCCACCCACCCGCCTCACCAGGGCTCAGAGATGGCACAGGCGACCAGATCAGTAGCCAGCCCAGCCCACCGGCAGGTTGGACACCGAGCCCAGTGGCTGCTAGCCGAGGGTCCACAGAGGGTGCAGGGAGCATGGATGGGGCCCCAGGCTGGGTGTGCCCAGGGATCTGGCTCAGCTGGCAACTGCCAAGCAAAGGAAGCAGCCTGTGGCACAGACACCAGAAAGCTAGGATGGCCCCTGATGGGCCACGAGGCTCCACCCCACGAGGTGGTCTGGACACCGAGAGTAAGCCCCGGACGAGGTGGCTCATTACAGTCACCCAGCACCCAAGAGAAGGCCTGGCAGAAGGGCTGGTCAACAGTGCCACCAGAGCCGCCTTGCCCAGGAAGGCCCGAGTGGACAGCACCACAGAGGGCAGCAGGGAGAGGAGGTGGCAGGGAGCGGTGGGAACCCCTGGGCCCCCCACCCCACGCTACCCAAGGGTTCCCGCCCCCACTCACCGCTTGAAGCCTAGCTCCTTGTAAAGCTGCTTGCTCTCATCCAGGTAGAGCTCTGGAAAGCGGAAGCCACATGTGTGTGCCCCAGGCGCAGAACCAGCCCCCAACCCACTCACCACAAAGAATCGCCCTCCTCCTTCCGACCCTCTGTTCCTCTGCCCACCCTCCGTGCTCAGCCCACCCCCGCAGGGCAGGGAGGGGTAAAACGGGGCTGAGTGTCCCCCCTCCCCTCAGAAGAGGGGCTGAGTCCCAGAGGCAACAGGTGGAGCCGGCGGGGCAGAGCTCGTCCAGACTCTGCTGCTGGGCCCAGGTCTGTGCAGGGCACCACCCAGCCACCAGCTGCGGGGCGGGGAGGCAGGGAGAGATGAGGGACGCTGACCCGTGGGCATATCAAGGCCGCTCCAGCAGACAGAAGGGCCGGGGTTGGGCAGGAAAGGGCCCCGAACGCCCTGAGCTTAGGGAAGGGTATGTGCGCCGCCGCGGCGGGGAACAGGACGCACCTCCCGCGAAGTAGTCGCCGTCCAGGAACTCCTGCAGACCCAGGGCCTCGGGCCCTACGCCCACCAGGCGCACGCCGTGTTGGTCCAGGAGCCCAGCAAGGCTGCTGAGGTCCTGGGCGATCCAGCGGCACACCACGCACCCGAAGCGCCGCAGCCCGGCCACCACGCACGCGTGCTCCCGCCACAGGCTCCGCAGCTCCACGGCCTGCCGGGCGGCTGGGTCATGGGCGCGCCCCGTTGCCCCCAGCCCCGCCCAGGCCCCGCGGCCCCCACCACCCCATCGCTGCCAGGACGCCCGGGCAAGGAGCCAGGGACGCGCCCACCGCCCTGCGTCCACCCGGCCTCACCTCCCCGGTCACCGCATGCTTCAGGATGCACGCGCCCACGCGAGCAAGGTCCACCGTGCTCATGGCGGCCGCTGCCAGCCCTGGTTCCCGGCTCCCCGACTCCCTGTTCCCCGCTCCCGGCTCCTCGCTCCTGGATCCCCGCTCCCGGCTCATAGATCCAGCCCCAAGCCCCGCCCCGAGATGCCCCGGTCCCGCCTTTCTTGCTGCCGCCGAGGCCCCGCCCCTTCGGGCTCGTCTCCGCCCCGGGCCCGCCCCCAAGATGGCCGCAGCGCGCCCCGGCCACGCCCCCGACCGCACCCCGAGCCCTGCTCCGCCCCCTCGGATTCGCCCCTAGTCCCGCCTTGTTTCCCCTCCTACTCCAGGCCAAGCCTCGAGATCGCGGCGCCAAATCCTGGGTCCGCCTGCTTCGGTCCCTCCCGCCTCCTCAATCCGGGCCTTGCGGGACAGTTGCTGTCCCGCGTCCTGGTCCCGCCCCTAGCCCCGCCTCTCCGTTGGGCCGCCGACTTGGACCCCGTCGGCCATTGGCGCAGCAGGCGGAGCTGGGCGGTGCGGCCCTCGGTGCGCGGTGCGCCTGTGCGGAATGCGGCGGGAGGCGGGCAGCCGGCTCGGGGTCGTCCCGGGGGGCGCCGGGGAGCGGCTGGGTACGGTGGGCCCAGGGGTGGTCCAGGGAGCGGCGGGGGTCTCCCTGCGGCCTCGCGCGAGACTGGGCTGGACTCAGGGTTGAGGGGAGAGGGTGAGCGCAGGGGTCGCGGGCATAGGGGACCGCGGGCCGGGGTCTCCCGCGGGGCGGGGGTCCCAGCAGTGGGGGGCGGGGGGGTGCGAGGGCTTAGCCTTTCCACGTGGCCTGGTTTTCGCTTGAAAATCCCCGCAAATGCGGCAGCATCTCAATTATACATGGACGCGATGTCTTTAATCATGAAATACTGTTCATGTCGTGCCGGTTGCATATCAGCTTTTAACCCGCCAAACCTTGGGGCGAAATAGACCCCGGGGAGATAAGCACAGCTCCCAGAAGTGCACTGCGGGTCAGGTGCCTGGCAGATGCGTCCTGTTCCTCCCCCACTGCAGCCCTGTGATAGCTTTTGTCACCGAGTTGGGGTGAGGGCCGGGTCACAGCTTCACCCGGCCTGGGCTCCCACCTGAGCGGGCCCGGCCTGGCAGAGTCTGTGCTGCTGGCACGGGTCCTCACTCCCCAGGCCCCAGGACAGCTCCAGGGGCCTGGGCGGGCTGGAGAAGGAAGGGGGAGCCCCCACACTGTATTCCAAATAAAGAGAGGCCCCGGGGGGGTGCTGCTGCTTCGCCTGTGCCCTCGCCCTGGGGTGGTGAAGGTCCAGACTGCGAAACGGAAGTCGTCACTATGTCAGAAAGGGCAAAAAGCAAAACAAGGAAGGGGAAGCACTAGGAGGGAGGAGCTGTGGCAGCTCCAGAGCCCAGGAGTGCAGCCCCCAGAGACCAGGGCTACCCCTCTACCGTCTCGGGCTGTGCAGGAGGGGCCCTCTACCCTCTGGAGTTGTGCAGGAGGGGGCCCCTCTACCATCTGGGGCTGGGCAGGAAGGGCCCCCCCCCACCGTCTCAGGCTGTGCAGGAGGGGGCCCCTCTACTGTCTCGGGCTGTGCAGGAGGGGGCCCCTCTATCTTCTGGGGCTGTGCAGGAGGGGGCCCCTCCACTGTCTCAGGCTGTGCAGGAGAGGGCCCCTCTGCCGTCTGGGGCTGTGCAAGCAGTGAGCAAGCTGCCGCCTCCTTGGGAGCTGGGATCCCAGACGGGATTCAGCCATTTTCAGAGACGTTCCCAGAAACGAGAATGCGAGATCAATTCCTCGCCTGGCATCTCCCACCAACGCCATCGCTGCAGGAGCCTCACTGGAAGCCAACGGGCAGAGGAGAGTGGGAAAGGAGCTTGCAGCCTCCCAGCTCCAGTGATGCAGAGCAGAAGGTGGCTGGGAGGCTGAGAAGCCATAAGAAAATAGCAGGGCCAGCCCATGTGGCCGCTCAGATACATGCTATGTGTGTGTTTGCATATGTAGGGGCTGAAAAACTCCACCTCCATCCTTTTGAGGTCCTGGCTGGGCCCAAGAGTTAAATCAAGATAAGACAGATCATCATGCCAGTGTATTTGATTAAAGTTGGATGTGGCTCAGGAGCCCTCCTAAGGAAGTGAAGACCCAGTGAAGCAGACTCAGTCGTGTGCTGAGTTGGACAGAGAACAGTGAGGTTTGAGGAAGCAGCTAGATGATGTGGGGGGCTGAAAAGGTGAGAGGCATTTTATCAGGGACTGTACAGCATTTGCTGGGTCTCAGCTTCTCATCCTTGAGGATCAGAGCTTTCTAGTGTAGGGAGAGCATCTTTCACCTGGGAATTTCATCTTCTGCTTTTAAGAAACACAAGAGAGATCAGAATGATCTTTTTGCACCTGTTATTGTTTTAACTGCCTTTAATTCCTAATAGTGACTATGCCAGAGCAGCCTATTTTGGGGTGGCACCTTCTTAACTCTGCATACTGTACATATCTGGCACACATCATTTAAAGTAAATAGACAGGCTTGCTTACTTTTTACTCAAGTGCAACATAATTCAGAAAAGTGCAGACATGCTCAGTAGACAGCTCCTTCTACACGCCTGTTGACTTTCTTTCATCAATGACATATTGGTCGGCTCTTGCTAGGCTGTGTTGCCAAAACAACTCGCAAGCCTGGGTCGATCACAGCAACCAAGTTTCCCCTCCCACTCAGGTTTCTTGTCGGCCACGGGTGGCTCAGCTTCTGATGCCTCCTTCGTTCTGGGGTCCAGGCTGAGCAAGCTGTGGCTCTCTGGAACATGCCGTTCTCCTGACAAGGGAGGACATGGAGGAGAGATGGAGAAACCATGCCACACTCTCCCAGCGGCCATGCACAGCTGGGATGTGTCGCTTGCACTCCCATGTCACTGGCCAGAGCAAGTCACATGGCCAAGGAGGGGCAGGGAAGAGCACTTCCTCCTCCAGGTGGTGCCAGCTCTGGGACTGGGTTTTAGCTTTCCTTACAAAGGAAGAGCTGGCCCGTTACCGCAGCAGGGATGCTGACAGAAGACGTGAAACTCCGGGGTCAGAGACAAAGGACTTTTTCATTCATGGCGTGGCAGGCAGGTGCTCACCTGTGTGTTTGGTCTTATCCCCTTGCCCCCAAATTCCACGGGTGCCATGTGGGTAGGCCTGGGTGGGCACTGCACAGTCAGTAGGTTTGCGTGGCCACTGAGGAGCCCTGCACTGGGGGAGTCAGCTGTTTCTGCAGCAAGCAGTGAGCAAGCTGCTCTTTGTCCCTAGAGGACTCTCAGGGCAAACCACCCTGAGAAATGGGGGAGGGTACTCAGGGCCTGCATTCCTGGCACACCCTGTGAGAGGTGGGGGGCACGAGACACTCGTGGAGGACTGCCCTCTTAACAGGAGAAGCTGCCAGTACCAGAGGCCAAAGAGACTTACCCAGAGATTTCACCGGCATCCCTGGGCTGCCTGGTGCCACATATGTGAAAACAGTCATTTCATGTAAGCTTGTCCACTCAGTAGCATGAAGGTGGGAGGGTGTCTTAGTCATAGATGGGGTGGCTTCTAAAGAACAGAAATTGATTTCTCACATTTCTGGAGGCTGGAGGTCCAAGATCAAAGCGCCGGCATATTCAAGGTCTGGCGAGGACCCCTTCCTGGTTCCTAGATCACTTCTTCATGCTGTGTCCTCACAGGGTGGAAGGCATGAGGGGGCTCTGGGGGGCCTCCTTTTTAAAGGCACTAACTTTGGCCGGGTGTTTTGGCTCACGTCTGTAATCCCAGCACTTTGGGAGGCCGAGGTGGGCGGATCACCTGTAGTCAGGAGTTCGAGACCAGCCTGGCTAACATGGTGAAACCTTATCTCTACTAAAGATACAAAAATTAGCTGGACGTGGTGGAGCATGCCTGTAATCCCAGCTACCCGGGAGGCTGAGGCAGGAGAATCACTTGAACTTGGGAGGCAGAGGTTGCAATGAGCCAAGATCATGCCACTGCCTCCCAGCCTAGGCGACAGAGTGAGACTTCGTCTCAAAATAAAATAAAATACATAAATAAAAGCACTAACCCATTCCCGAGGGCTCCACCCTCACTACCCACCTAAGCACATGCCGAAGCCCCACCTCATAATGTCATCACATTAGGGATTCGGTTTCAGCATATGAACTGGGGGAGGGGGCACAAATGGGGGAAACTGGCTCCACTGTGTGAAAATTGTCAATACTAAGGCAGAGTCACTTATGTCAGGACCCAAGCAAAACGGAGCTGGGAGGCCTCAACGGAAGGTCCCTCATGCTCGGGTGCCTATGATGAGAACTGTTACAGGGACTCCGACAGCACACAACATTCCAGATCAGCTGCTCCTATGAAGACATCTCCCCCGCAACAATCATGTTACCCATGAGTAATCACCAACCCTGCAATAAGCTCCTGTACCCAGGGAGGTTTATTCCAAAACAATCTGTGTAGACTTCCTCTTCCCACCCCTAAAAGAAAGATACACCTACGGTCCCCCTCAGCATGCATATCCCAGATTGCAATCCCCTGCCATCCCCCAGTAAACTTTATTTGGGAGAGCCAGTCTCTCTGTTGTTTATTTTACATTGACAAGTTGCAGCATCGTGGCCAGCAGCAGAAGTCCTACTAGGCTTCTTGAGTCTGTGGGTTGGTATCTTTAATCAGTTTGGGAATTCTTTTATTTTATTTGTTTGTTTGTTTGTTTTGAGATGCAGTTTTGCTCTTGTTGCCCAGGCTGGAGTGCAACGGCTCGATCTCAGCTCGCTGCAACCTCTGCCTCTTGGGTTCAAGCGATTCTCCTGCCTCAGCCTCTGGAGTAGCTGAGATTACGGGTGCCCACCACCCATGCCCAGCTAACTTTTGTATTTTAGTAGAGACAAGGTTTCACCATGTTGGTCAGGCTGGTCTTGAACTCCTGACTTCAGGTGATCCACCCGCCATGGCCTTCCAAAGTGCTGAGATTACAGGCGTGAGCCAGCGTGCCCGGCTGGGAATTCTTTTTTTTTTAACACTATCTTATGATGTCTCATTCTTTCCTTCCTTCCTTCCTCTTATTCTGGGAAGCCCCATACGCATATATTAGATCTTTTAACTAATGCGTCTTGTTGAGTCGGAGTCACATAAGTCTCCTGTTCTCTGTTGTGCTTTTCTTTCCCACGGGTATTTCAGTGGCTGTTTGCACCGTTTCTGTTGCCCTGTCTCTGTCTCCCCTCCATGGTCCACCTGCCACGGGGTCCAGTCTGCCATCACCCGTCTCATGACACTGACCTGCAGCCCTGGGATGTCCATTTGGTTCTCTCGTTTAGGTTCCAATCAGCTGTGGAATTCTCCATCCAGAGATCCCGTTAGACGGCATTTCCTGTTTTTAGTAACACATGAATGAGTTATTTTAAAATACCTGTCTACTGACACTCACATCTGAGGTTCTGCTTCTGTTGCCTCTGTTTTCTTTTCTTTTCTTTCTTTTTTTTTTTTTTTTTTTTTTTGAGACGGATTCTTGCTCTGTCGCCTAGGCTGGAGTGCAGTGGCACAGTATCAGCTCACTGCAACCTCCACCTCCCGGGTTCAAGCGATTCTCCTGCCTCAGCCTCCCAAGTAGGACTACAAGCGCGCACCACCACACCTGGCTAATTTTTGTATTTTTAGTAGAGACGGGGTTTCACCATGTTGGCCAGGCTGGTGTTGAACTCCTGACCTCAGGTGATCCACCCACCACGGCCTCCTAAAGTGCTGGGATTATAGGCATGAGCCACCACACCTGGCCAGCCTCTCTTTTCTTTTGATAATGGCACACACCTTCCTGCCTCTTCTCGTGTTTACATCTCTGTTCTAGCCCTGGGCCCTGCAAACCTTAGGGGAGGTGTGCCCAGTACACAAACACACGTGTGTGCACAAAGATAGGTCACTGTCAGGGCGTGGGGAGATCGCAGGACCTGCATCAGACCAGGGCTTATTCAGATGCTGGCTCTGGCACCGCCCAGCTGGGTCACTGTGGGTAAGTCACCACCTTGTCTAAGCCTCAGTTTCTTCATCTGTAAAACAAACCCTGGTAACCACCTTTGCCAACCGCACGCTCAGTTATCAGCCACTCTGGCCGGCTCGCCTTGCTTCTGAGCAGCAGGAATCGCAGCCCCACTGTGGCTGAGAGGATGCTGGAGCGCTCCAGCTCCATCCCAAATGGCCCCTGGCCCCTGCCATCCTGCCCATCCCCCTCCAGCAAAGCCCAGGATGTCCCTATGAGAAGCCTCACAGACTCAACCAGGTGGGCAGGCTGCAGAGGACCCCTGGGAAAGAGCAGCTGTGTTTCCCCAAGTCCCACCCTATATACACCAAAGATGGGATTTGATCAACTTTCTTTCTTTTATTATTATTATTATTATTATTTTTGAGGCAGGATCTGGCTCTGTCACCCGGGCTGAAGAGCAGTGGTGCAATCTCAGCTAACTGCAACCTCTGCCACCGAGGCTCAAGTGATCCTCTCACCTCAGCCTCCCAAGTAGCTGGGACTACAGGTTCCGCCTGGCTAATTTTTGTATTTTTAGTAGAGATGAGGTTTCATCATGTTGGCCAAGCTGGTCTTGAAGTCCTGACTTCAAGCAATCCACCTGCCTCGACCTCCCAAAGTGCTGGGATTACAAGCTGAGCCACCGTGCCCAGCCTCAAAACTATTTTGTAATTGTGATAAGATATACATGACATAAAATTCACCACGCGGAGCATTTTAAGATCAGTTCAGTGGCATTAGGTACATCCACATTGTTGCAGCCATCACCACCATCCATCTCCAGAATTTGTTGACAATCCTAAACTGGAACCCTCACCTATGAAACACTAACTGCCTCCCCCAGCCCCTGGCACCCACTGCTCTACTTCCTCTCTATAAATTTGACAATTGTAGGCTCCTCATAGAAGTGGCATCATAATGGCCTTTGTCTTCTATAAATGGCTTATGGCACGTGGCATAAATTCCTCAACATCCATCCATAGCACAGCCTGTGTTCGATCTCCTTTCCAAGGCTGAGCACCTTCCACTGGACCTCTCGGCCACATTTTCCTTATTCTTGTACCTGTTGATGGGCTTTTGCGTGGCGTCTACATTCGAGCTCTTGTGGACACTGCGGCTGTGAACCTGGGTGTGCAAATATGTGCTCAAGTCCCTGTTTTCAGTCCTTTGGGATCTATACCCAGAAGCGGAGTGGCTGGATCACATGGTCATTGTAGTTTTAATTGTTAGAGGAACTGCCCTAATGGTTTCCACAACATCTGCACCATGTCCCATTCCCGCCAGCAGTGCACGGGAATTCTAATTTCTCCCCTTCCTCAGCAACAATTATTCCTCTCCAGGCCGGGCACGGTGGCTCATGCCTGTAATCTCAGCACTTTGGGAGGCCAAAGTGCGTGGATCACCTGAGGTCAGGAGTTCAAGACCAGCCTGGCCAACATGGTGAAACCCCGTCTCTACTAAAAATACAAAATTAGCGGGGCATGGTGGCAGGTGCCTGTAGTCCCAGCTACTCGGGAGGCTGAGGCAAGAGAATGCCTTGAACCCGGGAGGCAGAGGTTGCAATGAGCCAAGATCTCGCCACTGCACTCCAGCCTGGGCGACAGAGCAGGACTCTGTCTCAAAAAAAAAAAAAAAAAAAAAAAATCTTATTCTCTGTATTGGGGGCTTTAAAAGAAGCCGTCCATCCCGCTGGGCCTGAGGTGGTCTCCCCGTTGTTCTGATTTGCGTTTCCCATTTCCCAAATGCTTGGTGGCACCGAGCCTTGTTTCAGGGGCATGGTGGCCATTTGTGTGTCTTCTCTATTCTAGTCCTTTTCCATTTTTTCACCCAGTGGTTTGTTTTTGATGTTGTTGGGGTGTGAGGGTTCTTTACAAATTCTAGACGGAATGCCTTATCTGATACATTTCCTCCCAGTCCATGTGTTGCCTTTCATTCTATTCATTCTTGTTTGTAAAGCCCCATGTATCTATTTTACACGTTTCTGCCTGTCCTTTTCCTGTCATACCCAAGAAATCAAGAAATCACTACCAAGTCTAACATCAAGAGGCTTGTGTTTTCCTTTGAGGGTTTTAGAGTGTTTTGTTTGTTTGTTTGTTTGTTTTGAGACGGAGTCTGGCTCTGTCGCCCAGGCTGGAGTGCAGTGTTAGCCAGGATGGTCTCTATCTCCTGACCTCGTGATCCACCCGCCTCGGCCTCCCAAAGTGCTGGGATTACAGGCGAGGGTTTTAGAGTTTTAGGTCATAATTTAAAACAAGCCCCAGCTCCAGCAGAGTGGAGCTGCCGCCAGGGGTCACAGCCCAGCGTCTCAAACGCAGTGGTGCACAGACTAGGGAAGGCCCAGGCCTGGGTGGGTCTTTCCGCAGGATCCTGGAATGTTGCTTAGGGGAGGCTGAGACCAGACTGGCAGTCACCTGTCTGGGAAAGCACCAGGCCCTGCGGAAGTCCCCATGGTGACAGTCACGTCCTGGCCATGTGGGCGGGTGTGGGGGAGGGACCGCAGGGAGGCGGAAGTCCTTGTTTTTTCCTGCAGTGGGCACGGGCAGGAGCTGAGCAGCCCGAAGCCATGAGTCGCTGTCACTGCTCTTTCTGTGCCTGGTGCAGCCCCAGCTCATGGGGTCTGGGCCACCTCTGATCCCATGCCCCCCACTTCACACTCGGGGTTCTGGCTTCCCTGCTGTGAGCCTGTCTCTCCTCCGTGGGACAGGCCAGCCTGGGCAGCCATCCCAGTGCTCACTGCCCAGCATATAGTGGGTGCCTCATAAATGTGGGCTGAACAGAGCCTGCCCCGGGCCCCCTGACTTCCAGACATAAAGTAGGTGCTTCATAAATGCAGGCCAAACAGAACCTACCCTGGGGGCCTCCACTTCCCTTTGATGGGGGCAGAGACCCTCTGCCGGGCAGCGGCCACCCAGTGCCTGGGACAGGTGCCCCTTTCTCCCACCCTGGCCTATCTCGGGGCATCTGAGGGAGGACGGGGCTGTGCCCCCCACTTCACCCTCGAGGGTCTGGCTTCCCCACCTGTGAGCTTGTCTCTCCTCCGTGGGAGGAGCCGCACCGTCGTTTTCACTTTCCATGATGACCGTTGAGTGAGAGAAGATGACGGCAGCTCCTGCGTTTAAAAAGGAACCATCCGCGTAACTGCCGCAGGCAGGGCCCGTGCTCGGGCAGTGAGGCCTCGGCCCTGAGAAGGCCCGGACCCCACAGGCCTGGCCCTGGCTGAGAGGGAGTTGGAGTCCCCCGCCTGGGGCAGCCCCTCTGCACCTGGGGTGGTGGAGCAGGAGCTTGGCTGCAGGCGGGGCTTTCCTCCCAGCTCTGGGAGCCACCTTGCTGCAAACGCTGTGACTTCCGAGAGCCTCCGTCTCTGTTTGACACTGTTAATCCTTTAGGTGACTTTTTTTTTTTTTAGATGGAGTTTTGCTCATCGCCCAGTCTGGAGTGCAATGGCGCGGTCTCAGCTCACTGCAACCTCTGCCTCCCAGGTTCAAGTGATTCTCCTGCCTCAGTCTCCCAAGTAGCTGGGATTACAGGTGCCCAACACCACGCCCAGTTAATTTTTGTATTTTTCGTAGAGATGGGGTTTCACCATGTTACTCAGGATGGTCTCAAACTCCTGATCTCAGATGATCCGCACGCCTCCACCTCCCAAAGTGCTGGGATTACAGGCGTGAGCCACCATGCCTGGCCTAGGTGACTTTTCATGGTGAGATAACACACAGGCATGGTGAGCAGCATGGCAGAGGACCTGTGTGCAGGGCCCTGTCTCCCGCCGGGGAATCCTTCATCTGGGAAATCTCCGCTGCGGGACAGGGATGCTGTGTCGTCAGGACGCAGCGTCTCTCCAGGGCACCCGGGCCTCCTCTGAGCCTCTTTGCGCTCTTTGGCTGCGTGCTTTCTTCCCTGTGGCAAAAGGTACATGACGTTTTATTGACCATTTCAGCCATTGGCAAGTGTGCAAATCAGTGGCTTTAGTCCATTCGCAATGCAGCTGGACCCCACCCTTTCCTGATTCCCGCAGGCCAGGGCTGAGGGCGGGGAGGGGCCTGTGCAGCAGCCTGAGACCGGCTGTCCAATGGCAGAGCTTCCTTCTGGGAAACCATGGGTCCCCTGGGGCCCCATGCTGGAACCCCAGCAATGGTGGTTCACGTGTCTCTCCATCTCACTTCCCGTGCAAAAGCGACACAGGCGGGTACAAACCCAAACAGTGCAGACATGGAGGAGACAGAAAAGTGAAAATGGTTTCTGAGCCCCTCCAGCCGCCCTCTGGGCACACCAGCCTGGAGTTCTTCAGACACAAGCACTCCCTGCAGCCAGCGTAGTTGGTGCTCACTGGAGGGCTGGCCAGGCCTGGGAGCTGATCCTCTCAGCAAAGTTCAGCCCCAGGGATGAGCTCAGCCGGAGAAGGAGACCTCTTTGCCTCTGGGGCTGCTGCCCTGGTGGAGCCACGCCGGGAACCCGAATTCCAGCCGAGACAGTTCTGGACCCAATTGTGTCTCCCCTGATTTTCTGTGTGGAGACTTAAGCCCCAGTGATGCTGCATTTGGAGGTGGACTTGTAGGGAGGGAGAGACACCAAGCGCCCTCTCTCTGCCCTGGCCAAGGGGAAGGCCGGGTGAGGACATAATGAGAAGGTCCCTTCTGCAAGCCAGGAAGAGACGCTGCCTGGAACCAACCCTGCCTGCGCTGGCTCCGGGACCTCTCGCCACCAGGACTGTGGGAAAATGCTGCCCATGGCTTCAGCCACTCAGTCTGTGGGACTTTGTCCTGACCAGTTGAACAGATTAACACAGCCTAAAAAAGTGTACACATGTGGGCAAACATACATACACAGAGAAGCAAACAGTGCTCGGGGGAGGGGACACCAGACCTTGAGGAAGTGAACCCAGGGCAGGGCTGGGCCGGGAGTGGCTGGGGTGGGGAGACCTGGGTTTGCCGGAGCCCGCGGTGGAGCAGGTGGAATGCGACCTCCTCAGAGCCTGTGACTATCAGGGAAGGAGCGGCCCAAGGAGGCCCGAGCAGTCTGCCAGGGGCAGGGCCCCTATGGGTGTCAACATCTTCTGAGAGTTGGGCACAGCCTGGACTTTTCCCAGGGTGGGGCCGGACCTCCCAGGGGCTTCGGGGCTGGGCCAAGACTCCTGGATTCATCAGGCTGCAGCCACACTGGGGTTGTGGGCCACGGGTCTGTTCCGTGCAGACGGACCCAAGGGATGGACAGACATAGGACAGCCTGGTACCAATTCCCACTTGGAAACATCACCTGCTTCAGGGTCCGTATGACGTCCAATAAAGTACACCCGCTGTGAGCCTGTGAGCCTTGAGTCTGGCAAGTGCCTGCCCTCACATAACCACCATCACTTTTGTGATGAAGACATTTCCAAGAAAGTTCCCTTGTTGAGCTTCTATGGACTGAATGACGTTTCCCCCAATTCACAGGTCTAAGCCCTACACCCCAGTGTGACTATGTTTGGAAATGGGGCCCTCAAAGAACTGATTAAGGTGAAGAGACGTAATGATGGCCAGCACTACACAGGAGGAATGGTGTCCTTATAGGAAGAAGAGGCGCCAGTGTCCTGGGGGCAGAGGGACCACCCTGTGAGGACATAGGGAGCAGGTACCATCTGCAGGCCCAGGAGGGAACCAACCCCACCTGCCCCTGCATCTTGGACTTCCAGCCCCCAGAACCATGACAACATTGCGTTTCCATTTCTTGAGCCCCCAAGTCTGTGGCCCTTTGCTTTGTTTTGACACCCCAGCAACATGAGCCCCTTCCCAACCCCTCCCCAGCCCTGGCCACATCATCCTTGACCTCTCTCTCCCAGCAGGTTAGATCTGCCTGTCCCAGAATTTCACCTGAATCACAAAGCGTGGCGCCTCGGGGCCTGGCTCCCTTCACGTGGCCTGATGTCTGCATATTCATCCGCCGTGCAGTGTGTGTCCACGGTTCATTTTGTGTTGCCACGTAGCATCTCATTGTGTGGCCCTAGCCCAGTGTGTTAATCCGTTCACCTGCTGGTGGGTGTTGCAGTGGTTTCCAGCTCTTGGTTATCACCGAGAAAGTGACTGTGAACTTTCGCACACACGTTTTGCTGAGGACAACTCCTTCCATTTCACTTGGTTACTAGGAGTGGAGTTGCTGGGTCCTAGGGAAGGTGTGTGTTTCTCTCTAAAAGAATTTGCCAAACCGATGTCCAAAGCTGTACCATTTCAGGCTCCTGCCAGCAGCACGTGGGAGCTCTAATTACCCCATGTCCTTCCCACACTTGGTATGGTCAGAACTTTTCCTCTCCATCACCGTGACGGGTGTGGAGTGGAATCTCACAGTGGTTTAACGTCATTTCCCGAATGACTGTGCATGCTGACCACCCTTTCATGGCTTTGGTGAAGTTCAAATCTTGCCCATTAAAAAACAATAGTGCTGTTTGTCCTCGTATTGACTTGTAAGAATTTTCTCAGAGTGTTGGAATTGTCACCCAATGCGTGGTTTGCCTTTTCATTTCCTGGAAAGCATACTTCCAAGAGCAGGAGTTGCTAATGTCAATAAGTCCCAATTTCAAACATTTTCTCTCGTAGCTCTTGTGTTCTGCGTCCTGTCTAAGAAATCTTTGCCCACGTCCAGGTCACAGATATTTTCTCCAATGTTTTTCGCAGGAAGTCTTATAGTTTGAGCTTTACATTCAAGCCTATCGTTCGTTTCAAGCTAATTTTTTGTGTCGTGTAGGTAAAGATTAAGGCCATTGTCCCCTGTCATTTATCCAGTATTCCAGAAATTGTTTGCCAAAAAGACTACCTTCTTCACATTGCATTACCTTGACACCTCTGTCAGAAATGCTTGCATCATCTGTGAATGGGTCTCTCTCTGGCCGCTCCTGTTTCATTGACCTATTGGCACGCCTCATGCCCGCCCCACTCTCTCTCAATGGCTGAAGCTCTACAGTAAGTCTTTAAGTCAGGAAATGAAAATACTCCAACTTCGCTCTTCCTTTTCACTATTATTTCGGCTGGTAAATGTCCTGTCTGTTTTCATATACATGTTTAGAATCAGTTTCTCGATTTCGACGACCAAGCCTGCTGGAATGTTGACTGGGATTGCATTGGTCCATTTGGGGGACAATGGGTATTTTCCTCATACTTGGTCTTCTGATGTATCCACATGCCATGCCTTTCCAGTTATTAGAACTTCTTTCACTTCTCTCGACAACGTTTTCACTGGCCTTGCGGGTATTTTGTTAAATTTCCCCTAAGCATTTCCTGTTTTTTGATGCAAATATGTTCTTGTTTCCCTTATACTTCAAATTCCAATGTTTAGTTTTTAAAATATTGGCCTTGCATCTTGTGACCTTGATAATAAAGTGACTAGTTCTCACAGGCATTTTGTCGATTTCTTAGGACTTTTATACACATGAGCACATTCTCTGCAAAGAGGCAATGTCTTTTTCCCCCTTTGTGTCCAATCTCTATGCCTTCCATTTCTTTTTCTTGTCTTATTGCACTGGCTAGGACCTCCAGTACCATGTTGAGTGCAGGTGGTAGGATGGGAGTCCTTGCCTGGCTCCTGACCTTTAGAAAGACACATCCTGTCTCACCTGCAGACTTGAGGCATGGGGCGACTCTGCATGCCATCTCCTGGGCTCAGCTTCTGCACCACTCCCTGGTCTCTGCAGCTCTGTCTTGTAATTTCCAGCTGCAATCCTTTTGCTTTTACCCAGCCCATTTCTCTTTTGTGTGTGTGTGTCTTTTTTTCCCCTTTTTCTGCAGAAGAGGGTCTCTCTATATTGCCCAGGCAGGTCTTGAACTCCTGGGCTCAAGCTGTCCTCCCACCTCTGCCTCCCTAAGTGCTGGGATTACAGGCATGAGCCACCGCACCTGGCTTAACCAGCCCATTTCTTAAAATGTAAAGTGGGTTTCTTGTAGTCAGCCTTTAGTTGGCTGTTGGTTTTGTATCTGATATGGCCATTTCTGTATTTAATTGGACTATTTAGGCCATTTATATTCAAAGTCATTACCTATACAGCTGGATGTGGGCACACCATCTTTCTATTATTTGCTGTTTCATATTTCTGATTTCCCGTTGTCCTACCTTCTGTTTGATTATTTCTGTAGTATTTCATTTCATCCCCATGGTTGCCTTCTTAGTGATACATCTTTGTTTTCCTTATTTAGTGGTTATTGAAGGGTTTGTGACATCCATCTGCACTTATCACAGCCTATATTCAGGTTGTGTGACCACTAAACATGCCTGCACCTTCCCACGCAGCGGGAAATGCAGAAGAATCTCACCAGCACACACTTGCCTTTCCCTTTCATAACTTATACTACTGTCATAGGTTTTAATTGTATATGCTTTAAATGTCACAATGCATCACTAACATATTTGCGTTAAGCATTTTATTATTTTTGAAGATATTTAAAAATGAGAAAAAAATTTCCTCCCACATTTGCCATTTCTTTCATCCATAATTCCTTTGAGCAGATTTCAATTTCCACATGAGGCCAGGCAAGGTGGCTCACGCCTGTAATCCCAGCACTCTGGAAGGCCAAGGTGGGCGGATCACCTGAGGTCAGGAATTCGAGACCAGCCTGGCCAACATGGTGAAACCCCATCTCTACTAAAAATACAAAAATTAGCCAGGCATGGTGGTGCACACCTGTAATCACAGCTACATGGGAGGCTGACGGAGGAGAATCCCTTGAACCCAGGAGGCAGACGTTGCAGTGAGCCAAGATGGCACCACTGCACTCCAGCTTGGAGAAAGAGTGAGACTCCATCTCAAAAAAAAAAAAAGAAACAATTTCCCTATGAAAAAACTTCCTTGTGCTTGAAGAAAGTCCTTGGATGTTTCTTGTCATGCAAATCTGTCTGCTGCTGAGAAATTCTCTCAGCTGTCAGTATGTCCTCAGTCTTTGATTTGCTTTCATATATATATTTGAGATAGGGTCTCACTCTGTCACCCAGGCTGGAGTGCAGTGGTGGGAGCTTGGCTCACTGCAACCCCTGCATCCCAGGTTCAAGCGATTCTCATGCCTCAGCCTCCAGAGTAGCTGGGACTATAGGCATGTGCCACCATGCCTGGATAATTTTTGTATTTTTAGCTGAGATGGGATTTCACCATGTTGGCCAGGCTGATCTCAAACTCCTGACTTCAAGTTATCCGCCCGCCTCAGTCCCCTAGACTGGGCCCAGCCTCCAGTTCATTTATTTTTGTAGCTTAATAGACAAGGTCTTGCTCTGTTGCCAGAGCTGGCCTTGAATCCTGGGGCTCAAGTGATCCTCCTGCCTCGGCCTCCGAGTTGCTGGGTCCACAGGCGGAGGCCACCGAGCGTGGTCTATTTTTGACAGACAGATTCACTGGGTTTGGAGTTCAAAGGTGAAATGTTCTTTCAGCATTGTAAAAATGTTTTGCTCACCTTCTGACCTGAACTGTTCCTGGGGACAAGTCCGCACGGCCCTTATCTTTGCGTCTTTGTACCCAAAGGTGGCCTCACCTGACCCCGGTGTCCAGGTCCCCTCTGTGTCCCTGGTTCCTGGGCATTGATTAGGATTTGCTGTGCAGTGCATGCCTCTCTATTTACCCCTCTTGGGGTCTGTTGAGCTTTCTGCATTTGTGGGATCACAGTTTTCTTGTAGTTTAGAAAACTTTCACTGCTTTTTCTTCAAATGATTTTCTGTTCCTGCCTCTTTCTGTTTCTCTGAGACTCTAACTGCACTTCTGTTAGGCAGCTCGATATTTTCCAGGAGATCTTTGAGAATACGTTCATTTATTCATTTTCTGTGTGTTTTTCATTTGGGGTAGATTCTGATAGTATATCTTCAAGTTCACTGGTGTTTCCTTTTGAGCTGTCTAATCTGTTGTTAATCCTCCTGTTTTTGTTTTTGTTTTGAGGCAGGGCCTCCTCTGTCGGCCAGGCTGGAGTGCAGTGGTGTGATCATGGCTCTCTGCAGCCGTGACCTCCGGGGCTCACGGGCTCAACTGATCCTCCCTCCTCAGCCTCCCAAGTAAGTGGGACTCCAGGTGTGCGCCACCAGGCCTGGCTAATTTTTGTCTTTTTTGGAGAGATGAGGTTTTGCCTGTGCACAGGCTGGTCTGGAACTCCTGGGCAGATCCTCTTGCCTCAGTCTCCCAAAGTGCTGGGATTACAGGTGTGAGCCACCACACCTGGCCTAATCCTACTGTTATTGGCTGAACAGGATCCCTCCAGAATTCACGCTAAGAATGGGATGGGATGAAGAGATTGGACTGTAAAGAGGTGACTGGCTGAATGAGGCCATATGGGTGGGCCCTGATCCAGAATGACTGGAGTCCTCCTCAGACGAGGAAGTTTGGACAGAGACACGTCAGGGAAGTGCACACACAGAGAAGCGACTGCGTGAGGACACACGGAAAGATGCCATCTGCAGACCACAGCCGAGCTCCCAGGGAGCGAAACCTGCTGCCACCCTCACGCCAGCTTCCAGCCTCCAGGCCTGAGACAGCATTTCCGTCGGGGAAGCCAGCTAGACCGCGGCGTCCTGTGACAGCCGCCCAGGGGGACTGGTGTGCCTACAAGGACGTTATTCATTTCAGACCTGGCTCTTTGTTTTGTCCTCCGTTTCTCACACCAGGCTTACATTTTCCTTTAGAGGACGTTGTGATTGTCATTTCAGGGTCCACGCCTGACAATTCCACTGTGGCTGCCCTTCTGGGCCTGTTGCTACTGACCCACATTCCCATGGTTACTCTTCCCTGCATCTGGACGTAGCAGCAATTTCTCATTGGATGTGGACATTGTGCTGTGACGGCTTTGATCACCTGGCATTTTTGTTGGGTTGTTTTGGGCCTTCCTTTAAAGGACGCTGCGCTGTGTTCTGCGTGGAGTTCAGCTCCTTGCTCTTCACTTTGGTCTTCGTGTGGCTGGTTCTGAAGCCTCTTAGAGCAGGTCCAGCCCAGCCTTTCCTGCAGGAAGAGTCCAGCCCCACTCCCAGGACGGGCCCTGCTGGGTGGCTGCCGACAGCCCAGGATCCTCCAGGACTCTCCCCCTGGCGGTCGGAACTCCTGTCTCCCACCTGTGAGTCCCAGGGGCCGGGGGTCCACAGCCCCCTAGGGTCCCACCCATGCTGAAAGTCCACCTTCCACATGCATGGCGCCCGACTCCGGAGGCCTCAGAGACCCTCAGGCAGCCTTCTGGAGCTTTCTGTCTGTGCAGTTCCCTCCTTTCCGGAGCTCTGCCTGCCAGGTCCCTCTGCGGATGCCTCCCTGAGCCCTGACCTCCTTCTCCTCAGCCCGCCAGGACTGCTGGACCTGCCTGGATGCCCGCCCCTGCTCGGCCATCCTCAATGGGCCTCCACCCCAGGGCTGGGGTGACCCGGGCTGAAAACAGTTCATCCTGAGTTTCAGTCTCGAGCTTTCGTGGCAGGAGGGAAACTGCTGGCTGTGTTACTCCACGGCGGCTGGAACGGACGGGACCAGCTCCCTTCAGAGGGGCACTTCGGTTGGTTCTAGAATTCTCCTTTGCTGTGAAAGCTGCCAGGCACATTCTACACTGGCCACCCTCCACCTCAAATGTGCGTTTATCAATGAAACGCCCTAATAGGACCTCCTGGATCAAAACACTGAGTATTGTCCTGCAACCTGCCTCTCAGAAGGCCGTGCCCTCCCGCCTGGGATCCTGCTGCTTCTCCGCCGGCCACCCCGCACACGCTCCGCTGCCTCTCTGGGCCGGCTCAGCCATTTCACGTTCCTGTGTGTGCACTGAGACATCCACCCTGGCACGCTTCTTCCCCTCAGCACGTGGTCCCCACGCTGTGCCTGCCCAGCTCGGAGCCCAGAGGCCCCCGCAGCTCCCCACAACTTCATGGTGCAGTGACCTGAGGCCTCCCCTGGCTCAGTCCCTTTCCCAGGGTCAGGGGTCCATGTATTGAACCAAGACGGGAGGTGCCTTCCCCCTGAGCTCTGTCCCTGCTGAACCTGGAAGGCAGCGCCCAGTGGCGGCTCAGACCCCCAGAGCCTCTTCTGAGGTCCGACACTCCTCTGCTCCCCCCAGGGAGACCCCCTGGCCTGGCCCCCAGCTCTCGGTGCCTCGGTTTCCTCACCTGGAAGGTGGGGATGTTGAAGGTGCCTGGCCTGTGGCTGTGCACTAAGCTAGGGTGACTGTGAGCTTCCAGAGCTCGAATGTCTGGAAGGAAGGGCGCGAGCTGGGTGCGTGTGAGTGTCCTGATCATGGACACAGAGCGTGGGGCCCCTTGGAGGGCTGGAACCCAGGTGGGGGATGCCCGGGTGGTGGGACAGAGTGGGGCTGGAGGAGAGGGTCTGAGGAATGTTCCGGCCACAGACACCCCAAGCCCATGGGAGGTCAGGAGTTGGTCACAAGGAAGGTGAGGTGGGGAACAGAGCTGGGGCCCAGGGTCCTGATTTGGGGTGAGAGGTGACGCCATCCCCGAGGCAGAAAGACGGCCAGGGGAGGGGAGGAGGTGGGGAAAGCAGACGGACGGGGAGGCGGGGGGAGCCCAGGGCCAGGAGTGTCAGGGGCAGGCACTTGAGACAGAGGCACCCTGAGGTTTCCCAGCAGGCAATTGATACCCTGGCCTGCAGCGGGGAGGAACCGGGGCTGGGCTGGAGGCCTGGGGACGCCTGGGGCTGCCCCAATTCCCAGCAGACACCTCACCCTCTGGGAAGCCCCAGCTGCCCCAGATCCCTCCCACAATGCTCTGACCACCCCCAACCCCCAAGTCCTCTCCCTTCTGTCCCCAAGCCCGAGGCCTTGGAGCTGCCCCCGCCCTGGGCCATGAGAGCTGGACACAGAGCCCTCCAAGTTCCACGGGCCTCCTGCACCGCCGCCTGCTCCGCCCTCCTGCCCTCCCCCTCGGCCTCCCCTGTGAGGGCTGCCCACCTAGGTGACCCCGGAGCCGCCTCCTCACGCCTCCATCTGCTCTGCACACCGTCCACTAGCCTGACAGCTGCCCAAAGCCTCCAGAGCACAGAACGGGCCTGGTGTCTGCGCCTCCGTCTCGGGGTGGGCCACGGCCGGTTCTGTGTCCCGTCCCCTCCCCGCTCACCAGCGGTGGACCCCAGCTTCCCTCTGCAGCAGCACTCAACTCATGCACTTTCTTGCAGACGCGCAGCCCACCTCGCCCCCGCAGGTTCCTCTTCATTCAGAGCCCCCCATGGCCTGGGCAGTCCATCCTGAGTGTCCGCACCACACGACTGTAGACGTTTGGCTTCTGGACTCAAATCCTTCACCAGATCGTGACCAGGAGGGCAATGGCCAGGCCTCGGCCTCAGCCCCCTGCCTGGCCTGCACTGGCACAGAGCAGGGGAGGTGCAGGCCGACCTTGAAGGCGCAGGAGTGGAGGGGGAGCCCTTAACTGGGCCCCGGACCCTGCCCTCCATCCCTTAGGGTGTGGCTCCAGCCCTCGGGTACCCACAGCCGCTGTCCCATCCTCTGTGCCCAGGGGCTCCCATCAACAGAAAAGGGAAGCATCTTTGGGGGTTTCTGGACAGTCCCCTGGAGACGGCCCTGCCGGGAGGTTGGGGTGTGGGGCTGACCCTGTGGGGATCCATGGAGACCCAGGTCGGGGCTGTGTGGAGGGCCTCACGGAGGGCAGTGGGGTGATGCGGTGCTGGACTCTTGGGGGCCTGGGGCTCCTCAGCTGTTGCAGAGTGATGGGGGGAGGCCCAGCCTGGGGGTGAGGGTCTGTGTTTTGTGCCCGTGACACTGACCAGTCTCAGCCTCAGTTTCCCCATCTGCCCCGGGGGGAGGTGTGCCCAGAATGCCCTCTAAATCCCCTGCCTGAAGCCGGGTGTGGTGGCTCACGCCTGTAATCCCAGCACCTTGGGAGGCTGAGGTGGGTGGATCACGAGATCAGGAGTTCTAACCCAGCCTGGCCAAGATGGTGAAACCCCGTCTATACTAAAAATACAAAAATTAGCCAGGCGCAGTTATAGGCGCCTGTAATCCCAGCTACTCAGGCAGCTGAGGCAGGAGAATCGCTTGAACCCGGGAGGCGGAGGTTGCAGTGAGCCGAGATGGTGCCACTGCACTCTAGTCTGGGTGACAGAGCGAGACTCCGTCTCAAAATAAATAAATAAATAAATAAATAAATAAATAAATAAATAAATCCGCGGCCTGGCCCCTGGCCCTGAGTTCGTGGGGAGGGCATCGCCCAGTGGGATCCTGGGGTCTCTGGGCTCAGGCCCTGGCTGTGACAGGAGTGGGGAGGGGCCCTGTGTCCCTGGGCCCAGGTCATGGGGGTGTAGGGAGGAGAGGCCGTGGGCCACCAGGGACCATTGTGTCTGGGGAGTCCCCTTGACAGGAGGCGCGGGGCTGGGGGGTGCTCACCTGCCTCTCTCTCCCTGTTGGTTCTGGTGGGCCCTGGGATGGGGGCGGTGATATCCTGTGGGCAACCGGGTCGGTGGGGACCGCTGGGGGCTGGAGAGGGCCCCGTCTCCCGCCTCCTTGGGCTGCCTCATTCCCTCCCTGATGACCCTGGTTTGCTGCACAAGGCCTGGCGGTGCTGGTGCTGGGACAGCCCACACTGAATGGATTGAATGGATGAAGGAGTGAGTGCTGTACTTAGCCGGGGGCGCTAGGCGCTGCGTCGGGAGCCTGGGACATTTCCTCCTGCTGCCTGGGAGGTAACACCCTGGACTGCTGGAGTCTGCATTCCAGGAGAGCGGGCAGACCACAGAAAAGGGAGAAAAGGGGTGGAGGGTCAAGGCGGGCGGACACAGGGAACAGGGAGCGGGGACAGGGCTTACTCAGCAATCAGAGAAGACCTCACGGAGGAGGTGAGGTGTTTAGGTGGTTGGTGAAGGCGGAAGCCCCAGGAATGGGTTAGTGCCCTTAAAAAAGAGACCTAGAAGGCTCCCTCACCCCGACCACTGTGTCAAGACACAATGAGGAGCCATCTAGGAACCAGGAAGAGACCCTCACCAGACCCCGAATCTACCGGCACCTTGATCTTGGACCTCCAGCCTCCAGAAATGTGAGAAATAAATTCCTGTTCTTTTATTTTTTGAGATGGAGTCTCGCTCACTTGCCCAGGCTGGAATGCAGTGGTGGGATCTCAGCTCACTGCAACCTCTGCCTCCTGGGTTCTAGCGATTCTCCTGCCTCAGCCTCCCGAGTAGCTGGGATTACAGGCACCCGCCACCATGCCCACCTAGTTTTTGTATTTTTAGTAGAGGCCGGTTTTCACCCTGTTGGCCAGGCTGGTCTCAAACTTCTGACTTCAAATGATCTGCCCGCTTCGGCCTCCCAAAGTGTGGGGATTACAGGCGTGAGCCACCTCGCCCTGCCGAATTTCTGTTCTTGTTAAGCCACCCAGTCTATGGTAGTTTTTATTTTTATAGCAACTTGAATAGAACAAGATAACCTCCCACATTCAACAGCTACTGAGTGGACAAGCTTAAATTAAACAACTGTTTTCAAAGATGTGGCACCGGGCGGCCCAGGACAGCGGTGCCGCTGAAATACTCTCAGGGCCCTGCGCTGCTGGCTGCCTCCCACTTCTCTCCCCTCTCCCTCTGCCGTCCTGTCTTCTTTGCCCAGCCTCTCCTTATTTCTCTCCTCTTCCTTCCTTCCCCCCACCTCCCCATAGCCGGGCTTGGACAAGTCAGACAGACCTCTGAGGTCTCATCCCGGAGCTGCCACTAACCCAGCCTCCCCCGGGACCTGCCCTCACCTCCCAGAGCCCTGGGAGCCAGGGACACTCCCTGGGGCTGAGTGAGTACCGGGGGCTGCACCTGCCACTCCCATGTCCTCGGCCCCACTCCCGCGGATGCAGCAGGTGGCTGGTGACCGAGGCCAGACCTGGGAGCAGCAGCTCCCGCTGGGTGTGATTTCTCTCAGGGAGCCTCATCGTCAACATCATTGATTTCTCCACACTTGGCCTAATCTCATGCATGAAAAGAAGAAAATCAAGGGGTGAGCACACAGCGGCCCCATGAGGGCTCGTGTCCCCAGCCGTCGTCTCTTGGAGCTCTGTCCCCCCAAACCTGGGAGGTGGCCCCAGAGCTTTTCCAGGATCCATGGCTCCTCCCAGGAGGAGGAGCTACAGGTTGGGGCAGGTGGGCTTCCTGCTGTGCCTGGAGCCCAGATGTCAGGTGGCCTCCCTGGGGGAAGGGAAGTTGGGGCCCCTGACCAGGGAGCCCTCTGCCACCCCTGCCCGCTCACTCCATGGCCCCATGCTCCCACCTGCCCCCGGGACTGTGGGCAGAAGGGCAGGCTGTGCTTGGCTCCCATCTAGCACTGGGGGGCAGCCAGGTCTATGGGGTCAGCCTCTGAAAAGGTACCCTGGCAATGACCCTGGACGGTGGTCAGGAGCCGGTCCATGCACAGGGAGGCCCGTGGTCCCTGGAGACCACGCCTCCAGTTGGGGAGAGGGTGACACGGGGTGGGGCAGCCAGAAGTGCTGCTTTCTAGGGGCCCAGGGCTCCACCTGGCCTGCATGGGCCTCTCCACACCCCAGGACGCTAAGCCAAAGCTTCCACAGGACAAGGGGTGGCAGGAGAGGAGTTGGGGTGGGTGGCTCAGCCTGGGGGCTCTGCTGGAGGCAGGTGACAAGGAAAGGAGAGGGGGTAGGGCGGGGTGGAGCGGGCATGCTCGGAGGGGCTATGTGGCCTCCATCCTCATGGCATGGCTGCAGGGTCATTCCCCTCACCGCTTCTAACTTCAGATGTGGGGAAAGGGGCCTCATCCCGACCATTAAATGAATGTGTGGCTCAGAGGCCTGGTGAAGCCCCTGCCAGCGGGACCTGGGCCTGGCGGGTTCCCGGAGCAGGTGGAGAGGGCTGGGCACAGCAGGCGTCACTGATACTGGGGTTTCTCGGTGGACACAGCTGGGAAGTGTAGGTCAGATGTAGATCTGGGGTTTTTACTGGGCAAATCTGACACCATTTGAGCATCAGAATCCACAGCAATAGCCTCGGACGGAGCCACAGAGGTCAGAAGAGCCCACTGAGAGCTCAGCTGTTGGGATATGAAGGGGCGGCCAGGGCTCCTCTCTGGGTGGAGTGAACCCCCAGGCATGACGGGAGGAGGGCAGGGGTCCCCCGAACAGCCCAGCAGCCATCCTGGAACTCCTTGTTCAGCAAGAAACACCGGGAGGTGACAGTTTGAGGAGAAACAAGATATTTACATCCTCCCACAGCATCTCCCCAAATACACTGTTTCATGACAAATAGAAAACAGGAGCCGAATTCAAATCCAATTTAGAAAATCACTTCCGATGTGGTATCCACTAAACACCACACTGCAGCCAACCCAGTCCAGCCTTGGCTGTGAGGCAGTGCCCGGGGCCTGTCCTGCTGAGGCCACAAGAGTCAGACGCGCAGACAGCTGGGGTCTGAAGGGCCCTCTGGGCTGGCCCAGGAGGGCTGGGTGTGTGGTCTGTGAGCGAGGGGCAACTGGCGCTCCTCCTCAGGACTCTGGGGAGCTCAGGCCACAGCAGAACAGAGGCCCCAGGCCCTCACTGGCCCATGGGAATGGCACGTGGCGTCCCCAGCTCTACCCCAGCAGGGGCCCCACCTCTCCCTCCACTGGAGGAGACGGAAGCCAGCCCAGGGCGGAGCCCCCAAGCCTCCGGGCTCCGGTGGTTCCGCCAGGTGGACAGCCTCTTTCAGCAGCCGTCGCTCCAGGTATCTCTGGCGTCGGGGTGCAGAGTCTGTGGGTCAGTGGTTTGGGCTCCTCCCCGTGAATGAGGGTATTGTCTCCTCCACGGCCACCGTGGTGACGTCCGGAGGGGCCTGCAGGGCCTCAATGACTGTGGCCTCACCTTCTGCCTCCTGTCTTTTCCGCTGTGAGCACACGAATCGTGGAGACCCTGCCTGCTCAGGCCCCCCTGGGACTCCAGGTTCTCGGGTTCATTTTACTGCTTTCAGTTTGAGGGGGTGGGTTCTTTCCTGAGCTACCGTGGCTGTACTTGAAAGACTCAGGACCCTCAGAGAACTGGGAGCCCCCACCATGTACACCAGAAACACCAGCCCCAGCGGGGAGAGGGGAGGTGGGAAGGTGGAGGGGGGAGGGAGAGGGGGAGGAGGATCAATACCTGGACGGAGACGATCACCTTGACTACATCACCTGCAATACACAGACACACAGGTCAGGGAGGGGCAGTGTCTGATCAGGGGACACAGGCTCATGGCAATGGTCTCACAGCGGTGGCGGAGGCACAACTCCTGCTTCTCCCTGGGAGACCGTCCCCAAGGGACTGACCCTCTCTGAGAGCAGAGGAGGCCAACTGTGTTGGGACTGCTAGCCCAGCCTGTCCCCAGGAGGCCCAGCATGGGTGATAGGACTGGGGGCGCCCGGCCCACCTCCCCAGCTGAGGCCCCCAAGTGCATAACTAACCCTAATTCAACCGTCATCTATGGGAGGGGAACAAGCGCTTCACAGTGGAGAGGCCCTGCCCACCATACCAGCAGGTGCCCAGTTGGGTGAGACTAAGCTGCTGCCCGGCCTACCCTAGAGCCTGAGGCCCCGAGACCTCCCCGCATTGGAGGCCCCGGGTGAGGATCAGGTGGCTTTGCTGCCGCCTGGCTGGAGGATGGGGCTGACTTTCCCTTCAGACCTCAATGCTTAGAAGCTGCGTCCCCGGGGGCTGTGCACAGGGCTCCCAGGGCCACAGCCGGGTCCACACAGCGGGGTCAGTGCCCAGGAGGCCAGGCACAGGAGGCCAGGCACAGCACAGGTGCCCAGACCAGGGCGGATAGGTGGATGAATGAATGAATGAATGAATGGCCTTACTCTCCTCAATGAGGACAAAGCCTTGTCCCCAGCAGGGCGGCTGTTGACCCTCAGCCCAGAGCTTCTCCCAGCTGAGCAGGGCCTGTCCTGCTCCCCACATCCCACAGGGGGCAGGCAGGAGCACAGGGTCATAGAGTGCGTGGGCAGGGGTGGCTGAGGGCTCCACGGTCAGGGGTCCCACCTTCCCTTCCCCCAGGGAGGCCAGCTGACACCTGGGCTCTGGCCACAGCAGAAAGCCCACCTGCCCCAGCCTGCAGTGGCTGCCCTGGGAGGAGCCGCGGATCCTGGAAAAGCTCTGGGGCCACCTCCCAGGCTTGGGGTGACAGAGCTCCAAGAGGTGACGGCTGGGGACATGAGCCCTGATGGGGCCGCCGTGTGCTCACCCCTTGGCTTTCTTCTTTTCACACATATGATTAGGCCAACTGTGGAGCAAACAATGACGATGACGAGGCTCCCTGAGAGAAACCACCATACCCAGTGGGAGCTGCTGGTCCCAGCTCCGGCCTTCGTCACCAGCCAGCTGCACCTGCGGGAGTGGGGCCGAGGACGTGGGAGAGGCAGGTGCAGCGCCCAGTGTTCACTCAGCCTCAGGGAGCCTCCCTGGCTCCCAGGGCCCCAGGCAGTGAAGACAGGTCCCAGGGAGGCTGGGCTGGTGGCAGCTCCAGGATGAGACCTCAGAGGTCTGTCTGACTTTTCCAAGCTCGGCTATGGGGAGGTGGAGAGAAGGAAGGAGGAGAAGAGAAACAAGGAGAGACTGGGCAAAGGAGACAGGACGGCAGAGGGAGAGGGGAGAGAAGCGGGAGGCAGCCAGCAGTGCAGAGACCCCAGAGCACGGGAGACCAGTGGCAGACAAGGACAGAAGGTAGAGGGAGAGCCAGTGTCGGGACAAAAATGGTTAGAGCTGGAGATGGACAGGACTGAGCTGGGGCCAGAGGACGAGGAGGGCAGAGCAGGATGGAAGGCCCCACCGCCCCCTCCCTGGGGCAGCCATCCCTGCTCCATCCCAGGCTCCGCTGGGGGACCCCAGCTCCTCCCAAGAAGCTCTGAAGTCTCAGGTCAGTTAGGGGCCCAGGGTCAGCATTTGAAGGTGTCCTCCCGAAGGTGGACAAAGAGCAGAGTGTTCACTTTCCCCAACCCCTGAAGCCCAGGGGCCCTCCCATGGCCCTGACATTCAGGGACACCCACAGCCCCAGGGGACAGGGGATCTGGAGGCAGCCTCCCTCTGGGCCTGCTTCTGGGAAGGCCCATCCTGAGCCTCCAGGAAGCTCAGATCTGATGAGGCTTTGTCTGGGCCCATGGAAGGGGTTATCTGGGGCACACAGGCTTCAGCCCTGCAGCTCTCCTGGACGCAGGCATGTGACCAGGGTGCCGCTCAGGGTGGGACCTTCAAGCCTTTCTGCTGGAGAAGACGGTCATCTCCCAGGGAAGCAACGTGGAGCCCCCTCCCCAGGGCACAGAGCTGGGCCTCCCCCGGGTTCACTTACTTGGTCTGGTGCTGACATTCCTCCAGGGTCCCATTGGGAGAGAAGGTCCCCGGGGGGCAGTTCTGACACAGGGTGTCCTGACTCTCGGTGCCTGAGAAGAGAGGGACGGACAGAGGGGGCTGAGGGCACCAGGCCAGGAGGGGGCTGGCGGCTAGGGACTGCTTGTCTGTGAGCTTCTAGACCTGGGTGCTCTACGGGTGATGGGAGGACCAGCGGGGAGGGGCAGGCTCCCTGTCCAGAGTCTTGGAGGTGGGGCCTGGGGTGGTGGCTCTGGCTGTCCCGGCCTTGAGTAGCTGGGATCTCATGAGTCCGGGAGTCCCTCTGTGTCCACATCCTGCAGTGCTGCGGGGGCTGCCCGGCCAGATGCAGGCCAGGGCTGGACACTTACTCCTCCTAGACTTAGCTTGAACAGTGGCATTAACCATGGTCACTCCCATAAACCCAGGCTCCAGACCAGGGGCCCGAGAGCGAGGCCTGGGGACTGGGAAGTCCCAGAACCCCGAGGTGGAGCAACCTGGGGTGGCCCTTCCTTGCCCCTTCCCCTGCCTCCATCACCTGTTCCCCACTGGGCTGCTTCCAGGACAGGGCTGAAGTGGGTGGGCCTGGGGCTGGCCAAGGTTCTGTCTCACCAGGGCCCCTGGGCAGGCCATGCCGTCGAGGAAACCTGGGGCTCCAGACAGCGGGGCACTGGGGACCAGGGTGGAAATGGGAGGGGTGTCCGCCACCCACCGCTTACCTCCCTTCTGCACCCTCTGGCCCGGGCTGGAGGTGGCGTAAGCGCGGCACGCGGCGCAGTGGTCCCCGTCCTGGACGATGCAGAAGTGGCCTGGGCTGCAGCCACACACGGCGTTCTCTGTCCTGGAGCAGTTCCGGCTCGCGCGCAGGCCCATGGCTGGAGTCCAAGAGGAGGGGCTGAGAGGGGTACGTGGAGGCCGGGACACCATCCACGGGCCAGGACAGCATCCACAGGCCAAGGACTGCTGCCAGGGCGCCCTGCCAGGCTGAACCCCTGGCTCAGCCAAACGAGGTGCCCAGAGGTACCCAGCATGGAGGACCTGAGGCCGGGAGGGACACCAAGGGACGGCAGAGCTGCGTGTGGGACGAGGGCTTGCAGGAAGGTCCTGGGAGGGCTTCGTTGATGGGAGAAACCAGCCTTCTGCCCAGATGGGCAGGACGCCGAGCTTGCACTGTCAGTTCCAGGGCAGGGTCCCGCAGGCAGGTCCTCGCCCCACGTGCCCACCCAGACACCCACCCCGCAAACGGGTTTCCCATCTGTGCAAACCAGGCCATTCCAATGGCAGAGGCAGGTAGGGTGAGAGCCCCACTTCTTCAGGTACTGGTGGAGGTGGGGTACAAGCTGGGCCTGGGCCCCTCCTGAGGGCAGCCTCACCTGCCACCTGTGCCCCCACATCCTCAGCCCAAGTAGACAGGTGCTTTCACAAGAGGGGAGGGGCATGGAACTGGGCATGCAGGTTGAGGTGTGAGCCCCAAATCCCAGCCTACATGCATGAACCCCCAAAGCACTCCAGCTTCCTCTTCTGTTCATGGCTAGCCCACCTGCCCTGTGCCTCCCTGTAGGCTCAGGCCCTGCCCCCAGGTGTGCCGTCAGCCCTGTCCCGCAGGTGCAGTCCTGCCTGGCCGCAGGGAGCACTGGCCATGCTGAGCCTGGCATGAGGCTCCAAGGGGACAGAGCCGTTGGCCGCATGGACAGGCTCTGCGCTCAGTGACTCAAAGGCCACCTCTGGGTCTGGTTCCCCTTTCTGTCTGCCTGGACTCAGGTGGGCACCAGCCTCCAGGTGACCTCTTCCCCTGAGGTCACAGGGGGAACCAATATCTGGAGGAGAAAGGGACAAGAAGCCCTGTGGGGAAGCAGCAGGCCCGAGTGCCGGCCGGAGAGTCCCAGCACCATCCCATTCCACTTTGCAGCTAGGGACGTGGGCACAGGAGAGGTCTGGGCACCCACCCCGGGCACCAGAGGAGCCAAGGACGAGGGATAAGGGTCAGTCGCCAAGCTCAGGATGGCCCACCTGGCGGTGACAAAGTGAGAGGTGAGACAGAGGTGGACGGGGGCCGGAGGCTGACCTCAAGGCGTCCCCTGCAGGGTGCATCCATGGAGATGGGGTTGGGACCTGGCCTGGGGCAGCCGGGGCCTTCCTGGGGCACTGTGGCCATGGAGAGAGGGTGCAGGGTGCGGGGGCATCCAGGCTGCCCAAGCGGAGGCTGGGCCGGCTGTGCTGGCCTCTTACCTGGGTCACACATTTGGCACTGCAGACACTTGCTTAGGCCATTGAGGTGGGCAATGTAGGTGCCTGGAGGGCAGGGTTCACACACTGTGCCCGTCAGCTCCCCGCAGGCCTCCTTCACACGATAACCTGCCGCCCAGAGAGTGGGAACTTCGCAAGTCTGCGGGAGGCCCCTTCGGGAGCCCACCCATCACTCCACCCGCGCCCAGAGCCCAAGCAGGGAGACACCAGCTAAGGGGACTCAAATGGCCCATGAGCCCCACGGGACACAGCAGCCCCATCAGCCATGAGCAGAGCTGCTCTGGGGAAAATCGGAAAGTTCTGGAAGCACATGGGGCCTCCTGGGACACCTGGCCCGGCTCTGGTATGTGCCCCCGAGCCCATGTCTCTGGCCACGGTGGGCCAGCCACGTCTCTCAGACCCACCCCCTGTGCAGTGTGACTGTGAGGGTCCCCCAGGGTGAAGAGTCCAAGCTGCTGGCCTGGGGGTTCTGCCCTCACTGTCTGCACACCTAGCCCCAGGGCTTCATCACACCCATGGCTGTGGGGGCAGAGAACACAGGGGTGTCTGGGGCAGAAGGGGGCAAGAGTGTCTGCCCTCGGCCCACAGAGCTGGCCCGCCAAAGGGCTGCACCTACCTGGACTGCACTTGGGGCAGCACTCGGAGCCCACTGGGTACTCGTCCTCCTTGCAGGACGGCAGAGCTGGGGCGTAGCAGGGGGCTCCCAGGAAGGTGAGATACAGCACCTAAGGGGGTCAGGACAGGCATTGGGAGATGCCCTGGCTGCCCTGTGGGCTCTGCCAGGCTTGGCCCCACAGCCTGAATCTCCCTCTGTGCAATGGGGAGGAGCGGCAGTGCCTGGTAGAGAGGACAGAAGCGGGCCCCAGGCCAGGCTCATGGAACAACCTTGCCGACCGCTGGAGCCCGGGATAGGGTGGGGACCGCCCCTCCTCCAGCCCTGATGACGCTGCCTGGCAGCGCGGAGCCCTGGGAACTGGAACTCTGCCCTCGCCAGGGACCCCACACCCCACACCTGGGAGCATTGAGCCCACTGGGCAGACAACCTGCCGGCCCCCCTGCTGGCCTAGGTTGGACCTGCTGACCCCTGAAGAGCCAGCAGGGGCAGCCAGGGATGGGCCCCAGAGGCTCACAAGCCAGACAGTGGGTGACAGGCTGATCAGGGCCACATCGGGGAGGGTGGCTCTGCCGTGGCCTCGTTCCTGGGCTGGCTGATGGGCAGTCGGGGGCCCCTGATGGGGATAGTGGCTGGACAGGCAGGAGTGCCACATGAGCATGGAGAGTATCCCCACCCCACCCACCTGGGTCCAGCCCCCTGCTGCACACTGATCTTATCACCTGTCACCAAGGTCAGGGCTGCCGGGGAGTTGGGTCACCTGCTCGAGGGCCCCGCCCAGAGACGCCCAGAGACACCCAGCCCCCAGAAGTGCCCACATCCGGCCAAATGGGGGCTCACCAGCTGCCCGTGGACGGAGTGGTGAGTGGGGGACACACGCAGGAGGAGGTCTGCTGGGTAGGGCTGTGGCTCTGCTGCTCACCCCACTGTGGTGAGCCCAGTGCTGGGGGTCTGGGTTGACCCGAGAGCCCCAGGCAGCAGGGGACGGGCTGGACGCCGGAGCCAGCAACGGCCAGGACAGGGGCATGGGGAAGAGATCTGTGGGAGGCCCTGGGGTCAGAACTGGGATCTGCGAGCAGACGGAGAGGAGGCTCGGGGGCTCACCAGCCTCAAGACGTCGGTTTTGGGGGTGGATCTCCAGGGAGGAGGCCCCCAGTCTCCAGGAGGCTCCATGCCTCAGGCTCAGACCGGCAGCTCGGGAACCCAGCTAGCAGGATGAACTCCAGCAGAGGAACTCAGCGCCATTGCTGCGGCTGTGGGCCAGAAGAGAAAGAGAAAGAGAAAGAGAATCCGCCTCGGTGTGACAAGCTGTGCCTCAGAACCCGAGCAGCAGGAGAGTGGGCAGCAGGGGGTGTCTGGCAGCAGAGAGGGGCTCAGGCCTGCTGGGTGGAGCGGCGCTGGGGGACACAGGTGGGCCCTGCGGGAGGCAGGAGCTGTCCAGGCAAAGCCGAGGGGAAGGGCCGGTATGAAGGAGGCGCCCGATGGGAGGGGCGAGTTCTCCCCCTGCACCATTCCAGTCCACTCCGGGTTTCCTGTAGAAGGGGGAGCCCCCCAAAGTCCATCTGTGTTTCCCCACCTCACTCACACACTCAGGGACCCTCGGCTGCTCCCCGGGGCGCTGACTGACATTTTTGCCGAATAAAGGGGCCCTGTGGGTTTCCTGTTCCCATCTCAGCTTCTGCTGAACAGGGTAAACTTCCCTTCCGAATAAAACCACCAGAATGCGGTCTGGCCAATTTCAGTCATAGACCCACCAGGCCTGTGTCCCTGCGTGAGGGGGTGGGAAAAGCCCAGAGTGCCCCTACCCGTCCCCTGGGAGGGGTGGAAGGGCAGCTCTTGCTCCCCCTGCAGAGACGCTGCGCGGACTGGGAAGGCTGCCAGCCTCGCCCGGTCTCCCTGTGGACCCTGCCCTGACCCCACCCCAGCTTCCTGGCTCCCTGCACCCCACTGGGCTTCCCTGCCCCACAGAGCCTGGTGGTAGGGAGACCTCCGGATGGAGACAGCCCACAGTCCCGGAGCCCCAAGGCAGGCACCAGTGAGTCCCTCGTGACGGCCTCGCTCCCTGCATCACATGGAACCTCGTGACCCACGTGACGACGCCAGTGCCCCCGTGGCCCCTTCCTGCTGCTGGACGTGATGCAGTCAATGGAAGCCCAGGTCTGTCACGCACCGCCTGTGCTTGCCCAGAGCAGGTCCCAGTCACCCCCTCTGGCACCGCCTGCTGCACACCAGGAACCCCCACCTCCAGCAAGCCCATCTGCCAGACGCCTGGCCCAGGACCGCCCCCTGCCCCTCGACTGCCCCCTGCCCCTCCTGGTCCTGACTTCAGCCAGGTGACCCCCTCCAGGGTCCAGCCCTGGCCCCTGGGGGACTCAGTGGCATCTGGTGGAAAGGACCTTGGGGATTGCGCCCACCCTCACCTGCAGGAGAGTTGGCAGGGTGGCCAGCCACAGGAATCTGTGGCAGGAGCCCGGGGACCTGCACCCCAACTAGAAAGTGTGCAGCCCTGCAGGCCGGCCCTGGAGAGGGAGCAGGCAGGGGTGAAGTTAGGCCGGCTGTGGTGTGCGACACCGTCCTGTGGGGCCAAGCGTCCCGAGCTCCAGAGGCAGGTGCACTCCTGGCCAGCATCCAGGGTGGACGAGCCCAGACCCCAATACTCTGAGGCAGGGTGGGGGACCAGGTGGCACCCAGTGGAGGAAAAGCCCCCAAGAGACACGCAGGAGCATGGACTCCCACCCCACAGCTGGAGCCTGGGAGAGGAGCCCCATCTGCTGTTTCCCTGGTGCACTCACATCCTGGCCCTCAGCGCCCCCTGCCAGGAATGTCCCCCACATGCAGAGCCATGTGGGTCTTGCAAGGAAGAAGAAGGGGGCCCCTTGCATCCTCCACTCCCGGGGGCCCCAGGAGGGCATGGGGGCTCCAGGGTGCAGGGACAGCACGTTCCCTCACCAACTCCCCAAGAACGCCCAACCTCCAAGAGCAGACACAGCGCCTACACCTGCCGGTACGGGGCTCCAACCCCACTCTCTCAGATACGTCCTCCAGAGTCGTCTCATCCACCCCACCCTGGGGAGGAGGGAAACTGAGGCATGGCAAGAGACAAGACTAACACAGGCATCAGTGAGACTCAGCCCCTCCTGCCCCTTCCTCCATGCCCCTCCTACCCCGACTTCAGCTCCCACACCAAGGCCCCAAGCCTGACATAGGGCCCCAGGTGCCAGGCCTCAAGGGGGCTGAAGGGAGCCCATCTGCCCCACCGAGGGCACAGACAGTGCCAGGTCTTTGCTGAAATGTCACCTCTTCCTTGAGGCCTTCTCTGATTGCTGAGTAAGCCCTGTCCCCGCTCCCTGCTCCCCGTATCCGCCCGCCTCGGCCCTCCGTCCCTTTTCTCCCTTCTCTGTGGCCTGCCCGCTCTCACAGAATGCAGACTCCAGGGGTCCAGGGTGTTACCTCCCGGGCAGCAGGAGGAAATGTCCTGGGCTCCCCACCCAGCGCTCAGCGCCCCCCGCTAAGTACAGCACTCACTCCTTCATCCATTCAGCGTGGGCTCTCCCGGCACCAGCACCGCCAGGCCCTGTGCAGGACCCCAGGGTCATCAGGAAGGAAATGAGGCAGCCCAAGGAGGCGGGAGACGGGGCCCTACCCAGCACCCAGCCATCTGCATTGACACGGCTGCCCGCAGGATATCACTGCCCCCATCCCGGGGCCCACCATTACCAGCAGGGAGAGGGAGGCAGGTGAGCACCCCGAGCCCCACGCCTCCTGTCGCGGGGACTCCCCAGACCCAATGCTGTGCCAGTGCAGGCCAGGCAGGGGGCTGAGGCCGAGGCCTGGTCATTGCCATCCTGGTCACGATCTGGTGAAGGATTTGAGTCCAGAAGCCAAACGTCTACAGTCGTGTGGTGCGGACACTCAGGATGGACTGCCCAGGCCATGGGGGGCTCTGAGGGATGAAGAGGAAACTGCGGGGGCGAGGTGGGCTGCGCGTCTCTGAGAAAGTGTGTGAGTTGAGTGCTGCTGCAGAGGGAAGCTGGGGTCCACCGCTGGTGAGCGGGGAGGGGACGGGACACAGAACCGGCCGTGGCCCACCCCGAGACGGAGGCGCAGACACCAGGCCCGTTCTGTGCTCTGGAGGCTTTGGGCAGCTGTCAGGCTAGTGGACGGTGTGCAGAGCAGATGGAGGCGTGAGGAGGCGGCTCCGGGGTCACCTAGGTGGGCAGCCCTCACAGGGGAGGCCGAGGGGGAGGGCAGGAGGGCGGAGCAGGCGGCGGTGCAGGAGGCCCGTGGAACTTGGAGGGCTCTGTGTCCAGCTCTCATGGCCCAGGGCGGGGGCAGCTCCAAGGCCTCGGGCTTGGGGACAGAAGGGAGAGGACTTGGGGGTTGGGGGTGGTCAGAGCATTGTGGGAGGGATCTGGGGCAGCTGGGGCTTCCCAGAGGGTGAGGTGTCTGCTGGGAATTGGGGCAGCCCCAGGCGTCCCCAGGCCTCCAGCCCAGCCCCGGTTCCTCCACGCTGCAGGCCAGGGTATCAATTGCCTGCTGGGAAACCTCAGGGTGCCTCTGTCTCAAGTGCCTGCCCCTGACACTCCTGGCCCTGGGCTCCCCCCGCCTCCCCGTCTGTCTGCTTTCCCCACCTCCTCCCCTCCCCTGGCCGTCTTTCTGACTCGGGGATGGCGTCACCTCTCACCCCAAATCAGGACCCTGGGCCCCAGCTCTGTTCCCCACCTCACCTTCCTTGTGACCAACTCCTGACCTCCCGTGGGCTTGGGGTGTCTGTGGCCGGAACATTCCTCAGACCCTCTCCTCCAGCCCCACTCTGTCCCACCACCCAGGCATCCCCCACCTGGGTTCCAGCCCTCCAAGGGGCCCCACGCTCTGTGTCCATGATCAGGACACTCACACGCACCCAGCTCGCGCCCTTCCTTCCAGACATTCGAGCTCTGGAAGCTCACAGTCACCCTAGCTTAGTGCACAGCCACAGGCCAGGCACCTTCAACATCCCCACCTTCCAGGTGAGGAAACCGAGGCACCGAGAGCTGGGGGCCAGGCCAGGGGGTCTCCCTGGGGGGAGCAGAGGAGTGTCGGACCTCAGAAGAGGCTCTGGGGGTCTGAGCCGCCACCGGGCGCTGCCTTCCAGGTTCAGCAGGGACAGAGCTCAGGGGGAAGGCACCTCCCGTCCTGGTTCAATACATGGACCCCTGACCCTGGGAAAGGGACTGAGCCAGGGGAGGCCTCAGGTCACTGCACCATGAAGTTGTGGGGAGCTGCGGGGGCCTCTGGGCTCCGAGCTGGGCAGGCACAGCGTGGGGACCACGTGCCGAGGGGAAGAAGCGTGCCAGGGTGGACGTCTCAGTGCACACGCAGGAACATGCAACGGCTGAGCCAGCCCAGAGAGGCAGCGGAGCGTGTGCGGGGCGGCCGGCGGAGGAGCAGCAGGATCCCAGGCGGGAGCGCACGGCCTTTTCGGAGGCAGGTTCCAGGACAATACTAAGCGTTTACATCATTGCACTATTTGATCCAGGAGGTCCCACTGTGGCGTTTCATCGATAAACGCACATGCGAGGTGGAGGGTGGCTGGTGTGGAATGTGCCCGGCAGCCTTCATAGCAAAGGAGAATTCTAGAACCAACCGAAGTGCCCCTCTGAAGGGAGCTGGTCCCGTCCGTTCCAGCCGCCGTGGAGTAACACAGCCAGCAGTTTCCCTCCTGCCACGAAAGCTCGAGACTGAAACTCAGGATGAACTGTTTTCAGCCCGGGTCACCCCAGCCCTGGGGTGGAGGCCCATTGAGGATGGCCGAGCAGGGGCGGGCATCCAGGCAGGTCCAGCAGTCCTGGCGGGCTGAGGAGAAGGAGGTCAGTGCTCAGGGAGACATCCGCAGAGGGACCTGGCAGGCAGAGCTCCAGAAGGGAGGGAACTGCACAGACAGAAAGCTCCAGAAGGCTGCCTGAGGGCCTCTGAGGCCTCCGGAGTCAGGCGCCATGGATGTGGAAGGTGGACTCTTCAGCATGGATGGGACCCTAGGGGGCTGTGGACCCCCGGCCCCTGGGACTCACAGGTGGGAGACAGGAGTTCCAACCGCCAGGGGGAGAGTCCTGGAGGATCCTGGGCTGTTGGCAGCCACCCAGCAGGGCCCGTCCTGGGAGTGGGGCTGGACTCTTCCTGCAGGAAAGGCTGGGCTGGACCTGCTCTGAGAGGCTTCAGAACCAGCCACACGAAGACCAAAGTGAAGAGCAAGGAGCTGAACTCCACGCAGAACACAGCGCAGCGTCCTTTAAAGGAAGGCCAAAAACAACCCAACAAAAATGCCAGGTGATCAAAGCGGTCACAGCACAATGTCCACATCCAACGAGAAATTGCTACTACGTCCAGACGCAGGGAAAGGTGGCCGTGGGAACGTGAGTCAGCAGCAACAGGCCCAGAAGGGCAGCCACGGTGGACTTGTCAGACGTGGACCCTGAAATGACAATCACAGCATGATTTCAGGCAGGAGCCTGAAATGGTACAGCTTTGGACATCGGTTTGGCAAATTCTTTTAGAGAGAAACACACACCTTCCCTAGGACCCAGCAACTCCACTCCTAATAACCAAGTGAAATGGAAGGAGTTGTCCTCAGCAAAACGTGTGTGCGGAAGTTCACAGTCACTTTCTCGGTGATAACCAAGAGCTGGAAACCACTGCAACACCCACCAGCAGGTGAACGGATTAACACACTGGGCTAGGGCCACACAATGAGATGCTCCGTGGCAACACAAAATGAACCGTGGACACACACTGCACGGCGGATGAATATGCAGACATCAGGCCACGTGAAGGGAGCCAGGCCCCGAGGCGCCACGCTTTGTGATTCAGGTGAAATTCTGGGACAGGCAGATCTAACCTGCAGGGAGAGAGAGGTCAAGGATGATGGGGCCAGGGCTGGGGAGGGGTTGGGAAGGGGCTCATGTTGCTGGGGTGTCAAAACAAAGCAAAGGGCCACAGACTTGGGGGCTCAAGAAATGGAAACACAATGGTGTCATGGTTCTGGGGGCTGGAAGTCCAAGATGCAGGGGCAGGTGGGGTTGGTTCCCTCCTGGGCCTGCAGATGGTACCTGCTCCCTATGTCCTCACAGGGTGGTCCCTCTGCGCCCAAGACCCGGCTGCCTCCTCCTCTTCCTGGCTGCAGGGAGTGCTTGTGTCTGAAGAACGCCAGGCTGGTGTCCCCAGAGGGCGGCTGGAGGGGCTCAGAAACCATTTTCACCTTCTGTCTCCTCCATGTCTGCACTGTTTGGGTTTGTACCCGCCTGTGTCGCTTTTGCACGGGAAGTGAGATGGAGAGACACGTGAACCACCATTGCTGGGGTTCCAGCATGGGGCCCCAGGGGACCCATGGCTTTCCCAGAAGGAAGCTCTGCCATTGGACAGCCGGTCTCAGGCTGCTGCACAGGCCCCTCCCCGCCCTCAGCCCTGGCCTGCGGGAATCAGGAAAGGGTGGGGTCCAGCTGCATTGCGAATGGACTAAAGCCACTGATTTGCACACTTGCCAATGGCTGAAATGGTCAATAAAACGTCATGTACCTTTTGCCACAGGAAAGAAAGCACGCAGCCAAAGAGCGCAAAGAGGCTCAGAGGAGGCCCGGGTGCCCTGGAGAGACGCTGCGTCCTGACGACACAGCATCCCTGTCCCGCAGCGGAGATTTCCCAGATGAAGGATTCCCCGGCGGGAGACAGGGCCCTGCACACAGGTCCTCTGCCACGCTGCTCACCATGCCTGTGTGTTATCTCCCCATGAAAAGTCACCTAGGCCGAGCATGGTGGCTCACGCCTGTAATCCCAGCACTTTGGGAGGTGGAGGCGTGCGGATCATCTGAGATCAGGAGTTTGAGACCATCCTGAGTAACATGGTGAAACCCCGTCTCTAGGAAGAATACAAAAATTAACTGGGCATGGTGTCAGGTGCCTTGTAATCCCAGCTACTCGGGAGGCTGAGGCGGGAGAATCGCTTGAACCTGGGTGGCGGAGGTTGCAGTCACAGCGTTTGCAGCGAAGCGGCTCCCAGAGCTGGGAGGAAAGCCCCGCCTGCAGCCAAGCTCCTGCTCCACCACCCCAGGTGCAGAGGGGCTGCCCCAGGCGGGGGACTCCAACTCCCTCTCAGCCAGGGCCAGGCCTGTGGGGTCCGGGCCTTCTCAGGGCCGAGGCCTCACTGCCCGAGCACGGGCCCTGCCTGCGGCAGTTACGCGGATGGTTCCTTTTTAAACGCAGGAGCTGCCGTCATCTTCTCTCACTCAGTGGTCATCACGGAAAGTGAAAACGACGGTGCTGCTCCTCCCACGGAGGAGAGACAAGCTCACAGGTGGGGAAGCCAGACCCTCGAGGATGAAGTGGGGGGCACAGCCCTGTCCTCCCTCAGATGCCCCAAGATAGGCCAGGGTGGGAGAAGGGGGCACCTGTCCCAGGCACTGGGTGGCCGCTGCCCGGCAGAGGGTCTCTGCCCCCATCAAAGGGAAGTGGAGGCCCCCAGGGTAGATTCTGTTTGGCCTGCATTTATGTAGCACCTACTTTATGTCTGGAAGTCGGGGGGCCCATGGGCAGGATCTGTTCAGCCCACATTTATGAGGCACCTGCTGTATGCCTGGCAGTGAGGGTGGGGCCCCAGGGGCAGGCTCTGTTCAGCCCACATTTATGAGGCACCCACTATATGCTGGGCAGTGGGTACAGGGATGGCTGCCCAGGCTGGCCTGTCCCACGGAGGAGAGACAGGCTCACAGCGGGGAAGCCAGAACCCCAAGTGTGAAGTGGGGGGCATGGGATCAGAGGCGGCCCAGACCCCATGAGCTGGGGCTGCACCAGGCACAGAAAGAGCAGTGGCAGCGACTCATGGCTTCAGGCTGCTCAGGTCCTGCCTGGGCCGACTGCAGGAAAAAACAAGGACTTCCGCCTCCCTGCGGTCCCTCCCCTACACCCGCCCACGTGGCCAGGACGTGAATGTCACCATGGGGACTTCCGCAGGGCCTAGTGCTTTCCTTTTTGTTTTTTGTGTTTTGTTTTTTTTTTTTTGAGTCTGGCTCTGTCACCCAGGCCGGAGTGCAACAGCGCGATCTTGGCTCACTGCAAGCTCCGCCTCCTGGGTTCACGCCATTCTCCTGCCTCAGCCTCCGGAGTAGCTGGGACTACAGGCGCCCGTCGCCATGCAAGGCTGATTTTTTGTATTTTTAGTAGAGATGGGGTTTCACCGTGTTAGCCAGGATGGTCTCGATCTCCTGACCTCGTGATCTTCCCGCCTCGGCCTCCCACACTGCTGGGATGACAGGCGTGATCCATCGCACCCGGCCAGGGCCTGGTGCTTTCCCAGACAGGTGACTGCCCGTCTGGTCTCGGCTTCCCCTAAGCAACATCCCAGGATCCTGCGGAAAGACCCACCCAGGCCTGGGCCTTCCCTGCTCGGTGCAGGGCTGTGGGCGCGACCCCTGGCAGCAGGCCAGGACGTGGGGGGCCGCCCTGCCAGAGCTGGGACAGGGCCAAGGGACCCTCCACCTCTGAATTTGCCTTGGGAGCTGAGACTTCTGATGGGAGACCTCAGACCTCTGTCTGTCTCTTCCTCTGTCTCTTCCTCTGAGCCACAGGGGCTGCAGGTCCAAGCCTTTTGCCTGGACAGGCCGCTAGCCACCAGGGGGCAGCAAAATCCAGGCCCTGCCTCCCCGGCCGCAGGTGCCACTTCCTAGAACCTGGGCTCCCTGTGCCATCACCTGCGTGCCTAACCCTGGGTGTGCATTTGGGGCCACACTCACTGCAGCCCTTTAAGAATCCACCCCCTCCTCCCTCCCCTCCCCCTGGGAAAACACAAGGGCTGCCCTCCATGGTCTGGTTGTCAGTGAGGGACACGGGGCTGGGCCCAGACACTAGAATAAATTATTCGGGTAATACATGGTTCGATGAGGGGCCAGGTGAGCCCGTGGGGGTTGGGCAGCCATGGTCGGGTTGGATCACGGTCCAAGGCCGGCCCCCACTGCTGCAGGGCCTCAGCCCACTCTCACTTCCTGTGTCTCTGTCATGGTCCCAGAGTGCAGGAGCCCCGTTTGCTCATCTCTAAAATGGAGTCATGTCGCTCTGCCTCCCGAGCTATTGGGAGGTGACTGGCGGACACTCCCACAGGTGGCTGGTACACAGCAGGGCTCACAGGGGCACTGGACAAACCGGGGCTCCCCCAGATTGCTGTGGGCAGGGAGGAGCTGTCCCCAGCTCAGAGCAGCCCTGACGGGCTTTCCAGCAGGGGCCAGGGTAGAGGCCAGCGGGGCAGGGCCCCAGCCCAGGGAGCCCCGAGCTCCCTGCCCACGTCTTGAGCAGAAGCCTCCAATCTCAGGGGCTGCAGTCGGCCAAGCTGTGGGCCAGAAACTCAGGCAGAAATTGCAGGGCTAGTGCCTTTATTAAAGCTCCATGGAGGGGCAGCTCCAAGGCCTGCACGCCACAGTTGGCCGCCATTGCCCAACTGACACAGCACATCCCCCCCGCAGTGCCTCCACAGCCCCACACCCCGGGGCAATTAGCACAGGGCCATGCCCTTCCATTGCGCAGCGTTCACCCACCCCACCACCACTTCAGCATAAACCGTGGAGTCCTTTCCCAGGCTGGACGGAGCCGGGGTCCAGCTGCGGGGCCTGGCTGGGGAAGCGCTGCCCGGCTGGGGAGGCGCTCCCCAGGCCCTCCCCACACACCTGCCCCTCCCCGCCGGGCGCATCCCCACCTCCCGCTGCCTCAAACCGCCTTCCTAACAACACCCTTTCCCCAGAGCCCCACCTCCAATATGTAGACTGGCCGCTCCCTCCATGGGAGGGGCTGCTCAGCCCACGCCCCGCCCTGGCGCTAGGCACCAAGCAGGAGGGGAACGGAAATCCTCTCTGGTTCGCTGGGAGATGGGGAGCCTGGCAAAGTGGCCACCAGGGCGTCCACCGGGTCCCCTGTGGGCGGGGTTGCTGGGCGCTGCTCCTGGGCAGAGGCCGAGGTCTCTCCGGCCCGTTGCTCTTCATTCACCGTGGCCTGAGACTCCCCAGTACTCGGTGGAGGGAGAAGGCCGGAAGGCTTCCCGGAGGCGGCGCGCCAGGCCTTCCCTGAGGTCCATCCGCGGCGCTCTCGGCGGCCCGGGCTCCGGGAATGAGGTGGCTGGTGAGGCCCGCGGAGTGGGAGGCCGGTAGGACGCGCGTCCTGCCCAGCGCAGGCGACAGACACCCCTGCCGCCACCCCCGCCAGGCTCGCCGGGGACGTTTCCTGTTCTGTCCCCAGCTGGGAGCTGGGCTGGCACCGCACGAACTTCTCGGACAGCAGGGAGAGCAGAAAGGTGGCAAGGAGCGCCCACCCGCCCCTGCCTGGCCCCGCAGGAGGGCCCTGCGCTACCGCCGCACCGCCACGCTCTTCACTCTGGAGCACCGGCCTCAACGAGCGCGCGGGGCGGAGGGCGGCCGGGAGGCGGCGGCGGCGCAGGTGGTGGAGGCGTCTTTATGGGCGCCAGGCAGTGGTGCACGCTTTCCCACGCCCGGCAGCCAATTGGAGGCCAGGGCCAGAAGAAGCACGGCCCCGCCCCCTAGCTCCGGGCCGGGCCACCCCCACCCCCACCCCCCTCACCCCCCACACCCCCCACTCCCCGCTCCCCCCGCCCCCGGCCTCCAGCAGGGCGATGTGGGTAGGCGTGGCTGGGGGGTCACGTGGGACCTGACCGGGAGGAGGAGCCTGCCCATACGTCCCTCCGTCAAACCTGCTCCCTCCCTGTCCCCAGCTTTCCGACCACCTGACCTGTCCTCCATCTGACAGTCTTCCAGCCTGGCCAGGAGCAGCCCCAGCCCAGGCACCTGCCCGGGCCTGGCCTCCTCAGGGGTGAGGACAGGGGCCGCAGAGGCAGCTCCAGCTGTGGAAGCAACAGGGAGACAGGCCAGGGAAGGGGCTGAGCCGCAGCTACTGCACAGGGGGGCCAGGGCCACTGCTCCAGGAAGCCCCCACCCTCCTCCTGCACTTCCTGATAATCCAGGCCAGCGGCCACCTCCCCCAGGAAGCCCCCGACCCTTCCCTCCCCTGGGCTGGCTCTCATATTAAAAGGTCATCCTTGGAGGTGCTCTGGGCAGTTAATTCCAGGCAGCAGCCCCACACCCCAGCTTCTCCAAACCTGGTATTTGTTAACCAGCCGCCCTTGGGGGTCCTTCCATCAGCCTTGGGAGGCAGCAGTGCTGTCCCACACCTCAGACAAGGAGACTGAGGTCCAGGGAGGAGGCCTTACCCAGCTCACTGCCCCACCAGGTCCCTCTCCTGCCCCCTACACTGACAGGGTGGGCTGCTGGGTGGGCAAGAAGATGGTTGCAAAGGGTGTGAGAGCCGTGCAGGCCAGACTTGGAAGCAAGGAAGGTGCCAGCCCTGGGGACTCATGGCCAGCGTGTGGGGGCGAGCAATGGGTAGTGTGACGGTGGAGGCACGGCGCCAGGCATGGTAGTGGGTGCCTGCAGGGTCCTCCTGAGCCATCCTTTACCCAGGCACCCATGATAAATGACAGGCCCAGGAAGGGTGCCAGTCTCGGGCCAAAAGAGAGGGGGTAGCAGCTGGCCTGGGTGGCTGCACAAGACTACCCCTATGCCCTGGAGACCTCCTGCCCCCATGGCCAGAAGGGAGGTGCCTCCCTGTCACGAAAGTCCTGCTGGGGGTGGCCAGGTAGGCTGTGGCTGCCGCTCCGACAGCCCCGCCTGCCTGAGGCCATGAATGGCCGGGAGCCTTTTGTGGGTGAGCAGCTGGCTGCCGGCCCTTTCTGTGGGGCTGTGGGAAAGTCCTCGGGCCAGCCTCTCACAGCCTCTCAAAGCCCGGATTATCTCTGGGTCTGCAGGACACCCTCTCAAGGACGCCCCCAGCATGCTTGGGGGCAGGGACGCCTCTGCAGAGGCCCTGTCTGCTGAGCTGTGGCCCCAGAAGTCGCTTGGCCAGGAAGGGTCTCCTGAGTGGAAAGACCCCTCGGACACCCCACTCCATGCCCCCTACCGCATCCAACCGCCCAGACTCAGAAATGCCCGCCACGCCAGGCAGGCTGTCCTGGAGCCCCGGCTCACTGTTGTCCTGGCCTCTAGCCCTCTGGGGAAGGGCGTGCTCAGCAGAGGAGCTTGCTGGGGGTTGCTAGTAACCCCCCCTCGACCCCAGGCCACGTGGCTGCGCCCACAGCTGGGCAGACCCAAGCCAGATCCAGGGCTGAGATCACACTTGGAGGTGCTCAGGGCTGAGGGCCTCGAGGCAAGTGCTCACTTACTCAGCACCTACTGCATACAGGCCAGGCAGAAGCTGCTCAGAGTCCTGAGAGTGGGGCAGGACCACAGCTGCCGCACCCACACCGAGCAGGGGTGGGCCCAGCTCTAAGCAGAGCTGCCTGCGGCCAGCTGGCCTTTCCCTGACCCCCAGCCAGTTTCCAGGAAGCCTGGAACACGGGCAGGGGTCGCCCACCCAGGAAACCGAATGAAGGCGAGAAGAAGCAGAGCCGGGCAGTGCCTGGGGCAGGGGTCTGCGTGCCGAGGCCACTGCACATGCCTGGCGCTCATCCACTCTCCGTCCTCAGCACAGGCCTTGGGTGGGAGCGTTATCAGCTGCATTGCACAGATGAGGAAGCTGAGCCCCAGAGGGCCCACCTACTGAGGGGTACTCCCCAGATTTGAACCCCGTGCCCACAGCCCTCCCCACTGGGCCGTGTGCACACAGCCTGCATCAGGGGTAGGGCAGGGAGGCAGGCGCCTGCCTTGGTCCCCTCCTGGCACCTAGTGCCATGCCAGGGCCAGAGCGTGCAGGGGACAGCCAGGAGGCTGCGGGAACTGGAAGGCACTGGACAGGCCAGATGTGTGCGGTTTCCAGCGCGGTTGCTCAGGGAGCCTCGGCTGCTTCCCAGGCCTCAAAGGCAGCCTGGAGGGGGCCCTGCCGCCCGCTGGGACGACTGCTCCCCAGATGGCCTCTGAGGCCGGAGCTCAGCACACAAAGCCCAGGCAGCCCGTGGCGAATGAGTTTGTTGCCGCGCACGCGCCTTTTGTGCAGGATGAATGTCCGCAGAGGGGGGTGGATGTGGGAACCCACCCGGAGCGGGCTCCAGCCCAAATGCCCCTCCAGGCAGGGGAGGTAGGCGGGTGCCTGGGGCAGCACACAGCCTCGGTGCCAGCCCCGAGCCCTGACACAGGCAAGCAGTGCCGGGCTCCCCCTCCCCCACCTCACGCAGGAGCCACAGGCGAGGGAGGGCTGAGGGTGGCTGCCACTCTGCTGAGGGTGGCTCCAGGGCGGGGGAGCTGCCTGATGGGGCTGGAGCCCAGTGGGCTGAGGGCTACTGAGCAGGAGGCTGAACACATTCCCAGGGGCTCCAGGGGCTGGGCCGGGGTACTGGGGGGAAGCAGGACCTTCTGGAACCTGCCCTGGGCACCTTCAAGTCCAGAGGGTGGCTGCCCTCCAGAAGCCAGAGTCTCCCCTGGTTGAAGCCAGGATGCATCTCAGTCCTGGGGGTGGGGACAAGAGGCTGAAGGTCTCTGCCAGACCTAGGGGGCAACTAGAGGAGGAAGCGCAGACTCCCAGAGCCCCCTCCCGTTCCTCCTCCCTCACCACGGGACCAGCAGAACTCTCGGCCCGGGGGCTCACTTAATGAAAAAGGGTGGTTCCTGCCCGGCTGGGCTGGCAGCCTGACCTCTCCTCTGCCTAAGCTCGCCAGGCCTCTTCCTCCCTTCCCTCCATCTGTGACAGGGGTGCCATATCCACTGTGCTGCAGCAGGTCCCCGGAGACCCCCATCCATGGCTGTGGGGGTGCCCCAGGCATGGGTCCTCCCTGCTGGTCACTGCCGAGGGTCCCCACGCTGGGCTGGAAGCCCCTACCTGAGACAGCTGGCCCATCGTAATGGGGGTGGTGGTGGGGATGGGAGCCCCACTCGGTACCACACCCCAAATAGAGTGCTGATAAAGGCCAGCATCCCCTGTAAGAGTTGGGGCGGCACATCAAGGGAAGGGCTGGGATCCAAGGCTCAGAGAGAAGTGATCACTGGGGCCTGGGGCTTGAGCCCCACATCTGTGATCTCCCTGGTCCCCCTACACGTGGATGACAGAGGCTCATAGACAGAGGGTCCCCCACACCCTGGCCAGATAGTGCTCGCAGAGCTAGGGCACCAGATGGGGGGTGCTGGCACAGGGCCAGTGCAACAAGGCCAGGGCCACAGGAAGGGCCAAACACCTGCAGGCCAGTGGGACAAGAGAATGGACTTCCAGACCCAGAGTCCCAGAGCTGCCGGACCCCACCCAGGGCTTCCCAGGTAACTGACAACAAGCAGCACCCCCCCGCCTCCCAGCAGTATGGCCCAGACCCCAGCCCCTCACAGGGCCTAATCTGCTTCAGGAGCAAGCGAGCTGCCATCCCGCAAAGCCCTCAGCACTGCTCCAGGCTGCTGCTCCCCCTGGACTCTGCCCCCTGTGGAAGACACGTTGACCCCACCCTGTGTCTGTTTGTGGAGCCCCAAAGATCAGCTAGGCCACCCCCTCAATAATCAGTTGGGGAAAAAGGCCAAAAGTCAGCCCAGGACCCCAGCGAGTCATGTGGAGCTGCCAGTCTAGCCGGGAGGGAAGCTGGGACGCTTTTCAGTGCAAAGTAGGTCTTTCCCAGCGGTGGAAGAGCAGACCCGTGCGCGTGCTCTGCGGCAGGGACCTGAGGAAGTGCCTGTGGCCAGCGTGAGGGTTACATGAGCAAAGCAGGAGCCTGACCCGGGTGGGTGAGGCTGCCCACCTGCCCTAGCCCAGGGTTCTCTCTGGCCTCGGCCTCCACCTGGCAGCTGGGCCCTGGGTTTCCATGGGCCTCAGTTTGCCACCCTGTCCAATGGGCACGATGACGAAGCCTCAGGACGGTGTGGCCACACTCAAGTGCACACTCACTCAGTCCCCTCCTGAGGCTCCCACATCAGCCCCAGAAGTGAGAGGAATGGGGCACCCCCCGGGGGCGGTGAGGACAGCGATCGATCGTGGGAGGCTCTGCCTGGGGCAGGTAGTCCTTCACTGCGGGTGGGACCAGTGCTTATGAAGAGGGCCCAGCAGTAACCACTGCAGGCCACGTGGCCAGGCTTCTGTCCTACCACGCCACTGGCGTCACGCCAGGAGGTGGCCTTCCTGGATAGCATCGGGTGTGGCGCCCTGCTGTGTCTCCGTACAATGTTATTTATGGACGCTGAAACTTGAATTTCATCTTTTTCACAAGTAGTGAAACATCTTTCTTCTCTATTTATTTGTTTCAGCTGGTGCTGAGACCGGCCGACCTGTAATCCCAGCTACTCAGGAGGCCAAGGCAGGAGGATCGCTTGAGCCCTGGAGTTCAAGACCAGCCTGGGCAACACAGAGAGACCCTGTCTCAAAAAAAAAAAAAAAAAAAAAGTAAAAAACACTCTTGGGTGGGGGTGGGGAGTGGTACAAAATCAGTGAGAGGCCCAGACGCTCACCCCTTTTCTAAAAGTTTTACAAATATTAACGCTTCTGATCCTCCCGAAACCTAGTGAGGGGGCCCTATCACTGTCCCCATTTAACAGATGAGGAAACTGAGGCACGGGTAGGGTTAAGTGCCCTGCCCGAGGTCCCACAGCTGGGGACCCTGGGATTCCTCCCTGCTCCCGCCTCCCCAGCCTCTAAGAACCAGGGATTGTGGGGCTGGGGACGAGCCTCCTGAGCATTCCCTTAGCCCCTAACTTGAGAGCCCTCCCGGCCCAGGCGAGCTGGGACGCAGCCCTCCCCACCCCTCCCCAGCTCTCCGATGCGCGGGTTTCCAAGCCCCTCCCTCCGCCCGGCTGTGGGTTCGCGCTCGCCGGCGGTTCCCACACTGCGCGGGCGGGCGGCGAGGGAAGCGTGCCTGGGCCCCCCCGCGGCATTAGTGCCGGGGTCTGAGTCTGAATGAATGAGGGCGGCGGCGGGGGGCGCGGGGGGGCAACTCCCAAAAGACCATCTGGCTCCGCGTTATAATAGAGCAATAAAGGGCTTGTCTGCCTTTCAGAGGTTGGGAACGAGCTGCTCTCTGACACCGCGGGGTTTTTAACCAGCTTGGGACGGCGACCCGGCCCTGCCCCGGGGCGCACGGGGGGTGGGGGGACACCGGCGGGGCGGGGCGTGCGGCCACGTGGGCCCGGACGGCCCCTAATCCCCGCGCCCGTGAGACTGCGGGCCGCGGGCTTTCCCACCACCCACCCCTGCGCACCGGGGGAACCAACCCCACAGGTGTCCCCATGGTCCCCATAGCAGCCTGGTTTTACACTAGGGAAACTGAGGCCCGGAAAGCTGGGCAGGGGGAGCCTGAGGTTGCGCCCATGCCCTCTGGGGTGTGGACTCCAGTCCCTTGGTGAAGGTGGGGCCTGGAATGGTGCACAAAGCTGGGGCCTCAAGCCTGGCCTGGGACTTGGGAAGGCTGCAGTCTGTGGGGGGTGCCCTCAGGGCTACAGGAGCCCCCTCGGCTTCAGGAACCCCCACCCCATCTCCACAGATGCCCAGGTGCCCTAGGAGCAGCTGGCGTGCCCTGCGCAGGGGTGTGGGCTACTGTCTCAGCAGGGGCCCCAGTGGCCTCTCGGGTGCCAGCCTCACCCCAGCAGCCCTGGAGAACCCAGGCCCAAGCCAGGGCACCAAAGGGCATCAGCTCGGTGGGCCTGGTGCACCCCCAATTCTCCAGCAAGGGCCCTTCCCCCTGAGGTTCTTGGGTCAGGGCTGCGGCGGGGAGCCCAGCCACAGGTCCTGGTGGAGGGATGGAGCCTTACCTTAGTCAGATGAGAAATGGTACTTCCACCGCCCAGCTCAGCCCACCTATAGTGCTCTCACGCAAGGCCTTAGGCCTGCCTTCCCTGTTCAGACCCTACGGGTCCCCGTGTGGCCAGGTTGGTTGCGATCGGGAGATGGGTAGAGGGCCCTGCCCCCTGACTTGGTGCCCCTGGCCAGGTGCAGTGTGCAGTGCAGGGACTGGGACACCTGTTTGGGCCCACAAGCCGTATTCCAGGTGAGGATCAGACAGCAGGTGGCCAGCCCCAGCACAGAGTCTCCTGGGCTGGGGCTAACTGGGTATGGAGGGGGTGGGCGCTACTCTGCAGTGCCCCAGCTCTTTCCCCGCCATCCTCAGGGTTTGTCTCACTTCCAGCCACCTGGAGCCAGGCCTCCCAAGACCAAGATGAGCTTGGCAGGGAAAGCCCATTTTACAGACCCGTAAGCTGAGGCTCAGAGAGGAGTGGGGTGTGTCCAACAGTCTCTAAGTGAAAAAGACAAGGGCAGAGCCCAGCCTTGGCCTGGACCTTCTGCTTTCACCAAGCCACTCAGTGCCTGCCCCGGGGCCTCTGGGAAGGAAACACGCTCCTGGGGGACCCCTGCAGGTTCAAGCCTGCACTGCACACTGCACCTGGCCAGGGGCACCAAGTCAGGGGGCAGGGCCCTCTACCCATCTCCCGATCGCAACCAACCTGGCCACACGGGGACCCGTGGGGTCTGAACAGGGAAGGCAGGCCTAAGGCCTTGCGTGAGAGCACTATAGGTGGGCTGAGCTGGGCGGTGGAGGTACCATTTCTCATCTGACTAAGGTAAGGCTCCATCCCTCCACCGGATGGACTCTGCACCCCAGCTCTGCACCTCAGCGCAACACTGAAATGCCGCAGGAGATGGGCCTTCTGTCTCCACAGTCACGGGAAGAGCAGGTGTCTGTGTTCCCAGCCTGGGGAGTTGCTGCAGAGTAGGAGCTGAGAGGCTGACCCCCGTGAGGGCCCCAGAAGCACACCTGGGCAGGCCAGTCCCCTCACCTTGTGAAGCCTCAGTTTCCTCATCTGTACAATGGACTTGATCATCATAATCCAAAATCACAGAGTTGCCGTGCAGATGCGAAGCCCTTCTGGGCTGTGCACACAGGGGATGCTCATTTGGAGGTCAGGCTGTAGAGGCTGCGAGCCCTGTCCCACTGCAGCCCGGCTTCTCAGCTGGGTATCTCACTGGCTGTGACACCCCTGGGTGCTGCCAAAAGGTGTTACTCAAGGCAGACTCTCTAACCCACTTGGGATGCTCAGGCCCCCAGGTAGAATTCAGGCCCAAGGGGTGATTGGGGAGGGGGGTCTGATGTCCTGACCTCAGCAAATCGGAGTACTTCAAGCCCAGGGGAGGCTCCACATACTGGGGGGCTCAGCACACAGAGGATGATCTGCACACAGGAAGGGCTCTGCACGTAAGAGGTATCCACACACAGGCATGCTCTCTACACAGTGGGGGCTCTGCACACAGGAGGGGCTCTGCACACAGGAGCGGCTCTGCACACAGGAGGGGTTCTGCACACAAAGGGGACTGCACACAGGAGGGGCTCTGCACACAGGAGGGGCTCTGCACACGGAGGGGACTCTGCACACAGGAGCAGCTCTGCACACAGGAGGGGCTCTGCACACAGAGGGGACTCTGCACACAGGAGGGACTCTAGGGACTCTGCACACAGGAGGGGCTCTAGGGACTCTGCACACAGGAGGGGCTCTGCACACAGGAGGGACTCTGCACACTGAGGGGACTCTGCACACAGGAGGGGCTCTAGGGACTCTGCACACAGGAGGGGCTCTGCACACAGAGGGGACTCTGCACACTGAGGGGACTCTGCACACAGGAGGGACTCTGTACACAGGAGGGACTCTGCACACAGGAGGGACTCTGCACACAGAGGGGACTCTGCACACAGGAGGGGCTCTGCACACAGAGGGGACTCTGCACACAGGAGGGCTCAGGAACTGCTATTTACTTTAGCACAGTGTGAACAGGGAGGCCTATCCAGCCTCCACCCTGGACGATGAGAGAGTTCTCAGCCCACCCTCTGACCGAGGTCACTCCACGTCAGGCGTGCAGAGACAGGCCCAGCAGCTCCCAAGGACGTCAGACCCCCCTTCCCCAATCACCCCTTGGGCCTGAATTCTACCCTGGGGCTTGAGCATCCCAAGCGGGTTACAGAGTCTGCCTCATAACACCTGTTGGCATCACGTGGGAGTGTCACAGCCGGTGGAGACCCAACTGAGAAGCCGGGCTGTGGTGGGACAGGGCTAGCAGTGTCTGCAGCCTGACCTCCACCCCAGGAGAAGGCTCTGGCCCCTGCCCACCTTTCCTCGGGCCTCGGCTTCCCGACTGGACTCTGCATGCCCTGACCCCCTCTTCTGGGTGTGAGCAGCACACAGCGGCACCTCCTGTGGGAAGCCAGCGTCAAGGGGAGGAGCAGCTGGTCCTAAGCACTGAGGGCCACACCCTGAGCTCTGTCCCTTCTTGGCTCTGCTGCCAACTGACTGGCAGCATGCCCCTTGCCAAGGCCTGCCCCCAGGCATGGTGGTGGGGGGCATGACCGTGAGACCTTGGCAAGTTATTTTGCCCCTCAGCACCTCTGTCCCTCACCTGCAGATAGGGACGCACTTACCTGCCTCGGAGGGCCGCCAGGGGCCTGGTTGAGCACCGTTCCTACTGGGCAGGGCAGGGCAGAGGCACTCCTGTCAGGGTTTTTCCCCACAGTCACCCCAGGGCCCAGGGCTCACGTGGCACAGAGCAGTGCTCGGCCAATGCGGGTACTCTGGGAGTTAGGGCAGCGGGGCAGGGTGGGGACGGGTGGCCCAGCTGAGGACATCTGAGCAGGCGTGAGCATTCCTGGGCACATGCACGCAGATGCATGCATAGACACACATGGGCACACATGCACACACACACACACTGGTACACACAGACACATGGGCACACACGTACACAAGCGCACACACTGGTACACAGACACATGAGCGCACACACACACTGGGACACAGGCACACACACACACTCGTACAGACACAGGCACACACACGTACTCAAGTGCACACACATAAGTACATGCATACAGGCACACACACACACACGCACAGGTGCACTCACACAGGTGTATACACAGGAGCCTCCTGGGCTGGGCACGGTGGCTCACGCCTGTAATCCCAGCACTTTGGGAGGCTGAGGCGGGTGGATCACCTGAGGTCAGGAGTTCAAGACCAGCCTGGCCAACACGATGAAACCCTGTCTCTACTAAAAGTACAAAAATTAGCCAGGCATGGTGGCGTGTGCCTGTAATCCCAGCTACTCAGGAGGCTGAGGCAGGAGAATTGCTTGAACCCAAGAGGCGGAGCTTGCAGTGAGCCCATATCATGCCTTTGCACGCCAGCCTGGGCAACAAGAGCGAGACTCCGTCTCAAAAACAAACAAACAAAAAAAACCACAGGAGCATCCTTCCAGACTTGGAGATGTCAGTCCTGCTCACCTGGTCTCTCTTGCCCCAAGCTGGTGTCCCTGTAGTGCCCTCTGCCTGGAAGGTGCTTCCCAGAACTCCTCAAGCAGAACTCGCCAACACCCTCCTTAGTCACCGTTCCCTCTGGAAGCCCCTCTTGGTCACCCACCTTCCCCTTTGTCCCCACCTCAGGGATTCTTTCTCGCCCTTCTGAAGATGCAATGACTTCCTCCCATAGGAACCTATGCATGTGGATGCACGTATGTATGTATGTGAGCATGTGTGTGTTGTCTGTGTGTGTGCGTGTGTCTGTGTGTGGGGAAGCCCTTTCAAAAACTGCACAAGTAATAAATGCTCATTCAAGAAAACACAGACATGAAAAATTAACCAAATCTATGTCCCCAAAACTGTGTTGGCTCTGCTGGGGGGCGTGCGGCTGCCCGACTCTGCCACCGGTGTCAGACAGGCTCCAGCTCAGCTGTTGCACCTGGCTTCACCGCAGGTCCATGCCGGGCCCAGTCTACACCCTCAAGGCATCTCCCACAGGTAAGAGTGTCCCCTACCCCCAGTGCAGGAGCCTCAGTCCCAGCTCAGCATGTGTGCTCAAGCATCTGCTGACCAACGAAAGAGAAGCTGCCCACTGAGGGGGGCTGGCTGTGGGGAGGAGCTGGAACCAGCCCCATTTCTGGACCCAGGTCTTTGGTCCAGTTCTTCATTTAGGAGGGGAGGGGTGCAAGGAACTGAGGCCACAGGGAGGCCACCACCGGCCTAGCAGAGGGGCCAGGGCGTGGAAAGGGCCGAGGATTTCCTCTTGGCCTCATGGTGGTGCGCCACCCCCACAGAGCACCCCTAAAGACGAGAGCCGGCGGTTCCCACACTCCGCGCTCCTGGCGGCCTTCCCTGGTGACAAAGGGCATCGCGCGTGCCTCGCTGGCCGCCTTCATGCTACAGCCTCCCTTTGTCCACACGTCCGTGCAGGCCACCCACCATCTGGAGCTCCAGCTCCCAGCACTGATCGGATCGATGCGCTGCTCTGCCCTCGCCAGAGGGTGGAGGGCTGCAGGGAGCGGGGGGAGGCCACACCGTCCCTCACCAATGCCCCCTCCCCGCCAGAGGGCTCCCCGCACGTGAGCGCCCCAGGCTCCCTCCCCCAGCTCCGCACACCCCTCCCTTCCCACCACCCCACCTCCCTCAGCTCCTCAGGAAGAAGACGGGGCGCACCACCACACGTCCCCGTCTCACGTCAGACCCTCACCAGCTGTGTGGTGTGAGCACCTCTCTGCGCTGCAGACTCAGTGTAAACAGAAAATAAACAGTGCCTACCTCCTGGCTTCGTAGTCAAGTCTAAACTGGCAAGTACACATGAAGTGCATAATAAATACTCGAGTGTTGACTCCTCCTGTTAGCTGACCCAGAGTACATGTGACCTTGGGCATGTCACTTAACCTCTGTGACCCTCTTGCCCCCAGCCCCCCAGCTGGAGAGTGAGCACAGGCCCACGCACTTTGCAGGGAGGGCTGTTGTAGGAAGTCGGATTTCCATGTTCCATACCTGCCTGGTGATTCACAGATGCTCAGCGCCTGAGGACTCTTCCTCCCTCCCCCACTGCAGCTCCCGCCTGGAGCCCCAAGGAGAGATCTCAAACCTCTCCCAGCCACTCCACCTCCCATGAACAGGTGCCCTCCCTGGCCGAGGGTGGAGACTCGGAGCCACACCTGGTCCGGCTGCATCTGTTCACAGCTGGGGAGACAAGCTGGGTGGCTCCTTGCAGCAGGTGGGCTGGCTGCTGATGCGGGGGGTGGCCTGGCTCCAGGGCAGAGCCCTATGCATGGATGGGCCCAGGGCAATGGCAGGCAGTGCTGGCCACTGTTCAGGCAGGGGTCCTGGATGTGGGGGAGGCCGCTGTCTCTGAAATCTGGAACGGGGCCATCTCCCTGAACTGACTTCCCAGGCAGCAGGGCGTTTTGCAGACTTCGAGTAGAGTTTCCACCCAGAGGCCCCCAAGCAAGGGCTTCAGGGGCTGGAAGAGGAAGAAGCTGGGAGCTATGGTTACCCCTGACCCTCCTTCCCCAGGTCAGCCTGGCTCCTGGCCCCCGCCAGCCTGCCTGTTCCCCACACTCCAAGCTGGAAACCCTTGGGGACAGGAACACCAGGTCGGGGGTGCCCGGCACCACACCTACTTCCTCAGCTGGAGGCAGGGCCTGGGAAGGATTGTGGGGGCTGCCACTGCCTGGGCGGGGAGGGGGCAGCAGGAGGGAGTTCGTGGTTCTTCTCCAGAAAAGCTCCTCCTTTTTGTTTTCTCCAGTTGTGGCAAAATATATATAACATAAAACAACCATCTTAGCCATTTCTCAGCACAGAGTTCCATGCCATGAAAAGCATTCGTGATGTGCCACCATCACCACTGTCCACCTCCAGAAAATGTCCATCTCCCAAGCCGAACCTCTGTCCCCAGGAACGCTTACTGCCCAGTCCCTCCCAGCCCCTGGCACCCACCATTCCACTTTCTGTCTGTGAATCTGACGACTCTAGGGGCCTCCTACAATGGCACCACCTGGGATGGGCCCTTTTGTGACTGCTTTATGTCACTGAGCACAGTGTCCTCAAGGTGCAGGCCTGCTGTGACCTGCGTCACAACCTCCTTCTCTTCTGAGGCTGAAGAACGGTCCACTATGTGGAAGGACCACATTTGTTTGTTCACAGACAATGGGGCGGCGGCCGCCTCTTGGGTTTGGGAACCGCACTGCTCTGAAGACAGGGCCCAAATAACTCCCCCAGGTCCTGCTTTCCATTCTCTTGTGCATGGACCTAGAAGTGGAGCTGCTGGGTCCTATGGTTGCTCTGTGCTTCATTTTTGGGGGAACTGCCAAGCTGTTTTCTAGTGTCTGCGCCGTTTGACCTTCCCAGCACCACGTCCTGCTTTGGAGCTGGGAGCAAATGCCCCTGGAGCTTCCCATCGCCCCCCACCCCCACGGGCCCCTCCCCTCCGAGGAGCTCTTCGCTTTGCTGTCAGCCCTGGAGGGAGTGGTGCTGGGCGTGTGGATTATTTAGAAATGGGTCATGGTTCTAGACGCGTGCATTCCAGCTTAATCATGCCCAACTTGTAGGTTTTGCCTGAAGGCCCCCTGCCTCAACAGTTGCTGAGCTGTGGAGGAGAATAGAGAGTCCATGTTTCATGGGGACAGAGGTTCAGCTTGGAGAGAAGGACATTTTCTGGAGATGGACAGTGGTGATGGTGGCACAGCATCGTGAATTGAGACAGCAAAGTGCCCTGCCTCAATGTCTGTGTATGTGGAGGCAGGAGGACTATTACCAACTCTAGATGTGCCAACCCCACCCCAACTATCAAGCCCCTTAGACTTACTGAGCCCTCCAGGGTTGGGGGCTCAGGGAGGTGCAGGCAGGACAAACTCCCTCCCTCCTCAAAGCCCGGCTGGGGCAAGAACACCCCCATCCCACGCTGAGCTGCTGGGGGCAGCCAAGGTGGAGGATCCCAGCCCCCCAACACTTCACAGTGCTTCTGTGGAGCAGAGCCTGCCAGCCTGGAGCAGCCTCCAGCCCTCCCTCCTCCAGCCCCCTCCGCAGCCCACCGTGGATGGTGTGAGCCGGGAGCCTAGTGAGTTTCCCACACTTTGGCCCCATTCACAGTGTTAAACGGCCCACAAAGGCCAGGCGTGTGCCTCGGAGGCCGCCAGAGCTGCCATCTGGCCCGAACTCAGGGAGGGAACCAGCCTTTCATCCGGCCAGGATTCAACACCATTCATTTCATATTTCCCACAACTGAAAATTGGATCAAAGCTGCTCCAGTCCAGGGGGAGGGAGGAAGAGGCGGGAGGCAGCAGCCCCCACACAGCCCACCCACCACCCTCACCTCCGGCAGGCCGCCATCCTGGCCCACTGCGGGTGGGCGGGCCGTGGGGGTGGGGAGGTTGGACCACATCTCCCGGCGGCACGTGTCTCCTGTGGGCTGAGGAGCTGGCTCAGGGGAAGGGACCAGGACAGGACACAAGCCCCAGCCACCTGCCGCTCCAAAGCCTGCGGGAGCAGGGCCTGGCCTCAGTGCCACCCCCATATCTGGGCACAGGCCCTGTCCCCGCTGCCAGCAGCTGGGTGGTCAGGGCACACGTGGCTCAGGTTCCGTTTCCTGCTGGCGGAGGTGCTGGCCAGGGCCTGCCTGGGCTGGGGCCACCTGCCCGTGCTCCCGCACCCCTAGCCCCTGGCTAAGCACCTCCTTGATGTGGCCGCTGGACCAGCAGCGTATAGGTCATGGGCACACGGGTGACTACCTCGTCCTGCCCTCCCCACCCCCAGTCCAACCCCAGGGAGCCCATAGTCAGGCAAGGGACATGCCACAATGTGACTGCCGCCAGCATGAACCCCACTTCAGCTGCGAAATAGCTCCACTGAACACAACCAGATCCCCTGTGTAGCCGGGAGTCCAGAGCCCCTAGCCAGTGCCAGCCGCCATCAATGCCCAGAGCTGTGGGAGCCATGGCGTGAGCGCGTGGCCTGGACACCCCCACACGGGTTGCCCTCCTGCATCCATCAAGGGCCAGAGTGTTGTGGTGGGACCCCACCTGCTCAGAGATGAGCCCCCAGCAGTCCCAGCCCCCAGTGTCACTGCCTCCCTCTGACAGCCTGGAGCATGAGTCCCCTTCAAGGGAGGTGTTGTGGGAGTACAGCGGGGGTACGAGGGTGAATAGGGGCTCCCTTCCTGCCACCTCCAAAGTCACCTGATGTTTCTGCCTGGGAGCCTCCCAGCCTAACCCTTCACAATGGTGTCCGGCTGGCCTGTGGGAGAGCCACCCTGCATTGGCTTGAAGTCCTGTCTTCCCCTGCTGTCCCAGCACTGTCCTGGCTGCCCCCTGGACCGTCCATCCTTGTGCTGAGGACCTCCTGGAGCTAGGCCCACCAAGCGAGTCACTCAGAGCCGGGGGTCACTGCCGAGAGCCTCCGGGGAAGGCTCCTCATTGGACCCTGCCAGCTGGCCAGGGAACCCCACTCCTGGATTCAAACTCTGCCTAACCAGCCCTGATGCCAGCCCCAGCTCTGGGGGCTAAGGCCCTTCCGCTAGGACCCGGCAGGGTCCCAACCTGTCTCTAGGAGCCAGCCCAGGCCCCGAATCCTCTCCTAGTCTCTGCTGCAGAGCATTTGAGGAACTGTGACCGCAGGCTAGGGGGTGGGGGTCTCCCAAGGGACCCTCCCCTAAGGACCCAGGGTGGGATTCATTGCCTCAAAGTGGCTGCGGGCACTCAGCTCAGTTGGCCAGGTACCGGGGTTATTAGCTCATCCCATGGACCGGTGGTTGGGGGCGGGGGGCTAGGGCTGGCATGGCCTCTGATCCTCAAGTCTGCCACCTGGCACCCACTCCCTACCCACTGGCAAAATGCCAGAGGAAAGCAAGCCCTACAAGTGCCCTGGCTGCCAGAGAGACTAGGTGGAGCTGTGGCATGCATAAACAGTGGCCACAGCAAGCATGCCAAGAGCCGAGGCCTCCCGAGCTGCGTGGACACTGTAGTCAGATCCCTGGCCAGATAGGGGTGGGGAGAGGCCCCTGAGGGACACCTGCCAGCTCGTGGAGCAGCCCCAGTGCTGCTGTGGGTTACAGTGCTCCTGGGAGGACAGGGTGCAGGAAGCGGGGAGAGCTGCCGGGTGCCCGGCTCCGCGGGGAGAGCTGCCGGGTGCCGGGCTCCACGTGGAGCACGGGCCCCAGCTTCCTGGAGCTGCCCGGAGCCCAGCCAGGAAGGCACAAGGCCCATTTTCTAGGTCTGGAGAAGTCAGGAGTCCCAGGTGACAGTCAGGGGGCTTGTAATATAGGCACGTAGGACTGATCCTAAGAGCGTCGCCCCCTCTGTCCCCCTCCCCTGGAGGGGCAGCAGGTCCCAGTCAGGGAAGGTGCCCATCCCCCAGGAAGCCGTGGCACTTGTTCATTCTACAGTTTTTCCCTTATCTGCTCCTACGGCCTCTGCCAGCCAGCAGTGGGAAGCCGCTGGGGAGAGGCAGGGGAGGGGAGCGGAGGGGAGGGCGGGGGAGGGGGCCCTCCTTCCTGCCCCCCTCCCGTTTGGCGGCCTGGGAAAAGGCAGCATATTGAGGCGCGGGGCTCCCGGCATCAGGCCCCGGGATGCTAATGAGGGCGAGCGCGTTCCCACAGCCCGGACATTGTGCCGCGCGGCCCACCTGCTCCTTGGGGAGCGCCCATTGTGCCCGCGCCAATTCACAGGCAATTTAGCGTGCGCTAATGGGCCGGCGCCTTTGTGCGGCCCGCCCGGCCATTGGCCGCGGAGTGTGGGAACGGCCGCGGCGCCCGGACTCCAGGCGCCAGGCCGCCGCCCGCGCCTATATAGGGCGTCGGCGCGCGGGGCCGGTGTCCGCGCCAGCCCGGGACGCGCTTGGCCTTGCCCGCGCCCGCTCGCCTCGTCTCGCCCGGCCTCCCCGCGTCGCCTCGTCGCCTGTTCCGCGCCAGGCATGGCCCCCAGCACTGTGGCCGTGGAGCTGCTCAGCCCCAAAGAGAAAAACCGAGTAAGTACCAGACTCGCCCGGCGCGCTGTCCCCGCGGCCTCCGGTCCTCGGGGGTCCCTGCGCCGTGCCGGGCCAGCCTGACACCCCCTCCTCCCGCAGCTGCGGAAGCCGGTGGTGGAGAAGATGCGCCGCGACCGCATCAACAGCAGCATCGAGCAGCTGAAGCTGCTGCTGGAGCAGGAGTTCGCGCGGCACCAGCCCAACTCCAAGCTGGAGAAGGCCGACATCCTGGAGATGGCTGTCAGCTACCTGAAGCACAGCAAAGGTGAGCGCGCCCGGGCCCCCCGCGCCCCGAGTTCCCACCGCGCCCCGGCTCCCCCGCGCCCCGCCGCCCGCTCACCGCCGCCGCGTCTCCCCGCAGCCTTCGTCGCCGCCGCCGGCCCCAAGAGCCTGCACCAGGACTACAGCGAAGGCTACTCGTGGTGCCTGCAGGAGGCCGTGCAGTTCCTGACGCTCCACGCCGCCAGCGACACGCAGATGAAGCTGCTGTACCACTTCCAGCGGCCCCCGGCCGCGCCCGCCGCGCCCGCCAAGGAGCCCAAGGCGCCGGGCGCCGCGCCCCCGCCCGCGCTCTCCGCCAAGGCCACCGCCGCCGCCGCCGCCGCGCACCAGCCCGCCTGCGGCCTCTGGCGGCCCTGGTGACCCGGCGGGACCTGCGGGCGCGCGGCCCGACGACCAGAGGGCGAGCCTGCTCCTCTCGCCTGTAGGGAAGCGCCTTCCCGCCGTCGTCCGCCCCGGGCTTGGACGCGCCCTTCTCCGGAAGGCTCTGGCCCCAAGCTGGCCGGCCCGCAGGAGCCCCATTCTCAGAGAATGTGTGTGCAGAGTCCCTGCCGTTTTAGGACAATCAGGGCCCATCTTCTGCCAAGTGTCTGACCCCATGGGGTTGTTCTGTGTTTGCATTTAAGCAAGTGACTTCTGGGAAGTCCCCGGCCGCCCGGGGTTCTATGATATTTGTAGTGCCGGGGCTCGCACACTGCTGCCCCCAGCCTGTAGAGGACTTTCTTCAGGGCCCGTAGCTGCTGGGCGTACCCCTGGCAGGCGGGCTGTGCCGCGGGCACATTTGCCTTTTGTGAAGGCCGAACTCGAGCTGTATCCTCATAGGAAACAGTGATCACCCCGGACGGGCGTCCAGGACCCTGAGGGCCATGGCCAAAAGGCTCCTGAGTGTGCCTGGTGGTCTGGCTGGGGCTCACGGTGGGCTGTCTGGGGAGGGTGGGTGCCTCCACTATGATCCTTAAAGGATTCCTCTGTGTGGGTGGATGCGTGTGGGCACGACTTTGTACTCAGAAATTGAACTCTCAGTCACGTGGAAGCCACGGGACTGCTCCGAAGCCGCCATAATAAAATCTGATTGTTCAGCCCCCAACACAGTGTCGTCTGCTGTGCCTCACGCCTGTCCTTGGCAGCCATGGAGCGGGTCTGCAGGGGTGAAGGGGAATGGGCAGGGCCATGGTAGCAGTTAAGCAGGGAGGGACCCCTGCCAGTGGCCCCCTGGACCCCGGAAGAAGGGTGGGGTCCTTGCTCCGGAAGAACAGGGGGAGGGAGGGATGGAGGGAAAGCAGGTGAGGGGCAGGGGCAGGGGGAGGTGGGCTGGAGGGGTGGACATGGTCGGAGCCCTGGGTCTCCCCCCGCCCAGGCCTTTCACTAGCTTCCGGAAGGTAGGGGTGGGGCAAGGTGACAGCGCAGGACCTTAGGCTGTGTCCACTGAGAGGCGACCCAGGGCCACAGCCCGCAGTAGATCTGTTGCTACAGCCAAAGGGGCTTGGCCCTGGGCCAAACAGGAGAAAACATTTGCCCCGAGTTGCTGCTGCACACTCCCACGGCCTGCAGCGCCAGTCCTGGCATGGGCTCCGGGGACACCTGCCCGCTGGCCACCGTGCCAAGGCAGGATCTGGCAGTCCTGGCAGGAGCCTGCACGGGGCCATCCCTTGCCTCAGAAAGGGCATGTATTTTTAGGCAGGCCACAGGGTGTTGGCTGAGTCTGCAAGAACTGAGGCCTGTGGCTCCCAGGGACCAGCTCCCAAGGGGCAAAATCCATCCAGCAAGGATTGGGCCGGAGTGGGCCGCATTCCCACCCCCGCTGAATGGTAGCCCCGTGTGTGGGCCTGCCCTGCCTGCTCCTTCCTGCTCAGCCCCTCTCGCTCCGCTCAGCCTTCAGCCCCTTTCTGGCTACTCCACAGGCAGTCTAGACAGGGTCCCCCCACCAGACCAACCCAGTGCCTGCCAGTGGTCCCTACCGAGCCCCGGGGTATGGTGGGCAGAGGACAGGGAAGGCCCCCATTCACCTGCATGTTTCCCGCATGTTCAGTGGGCACACAGGTGGGCGCCCCTCATGGAGGGCACCTCCTGCCAGCCTGGCCCATGGCACACCATGCTGCCAGGGGTCTGAGCTGCCAGAGGTCTAAGCCGCCTGGGGTGTGCTCCACTCTTCCACCCAGGCCTCCCTGGGGCAGGCTCCCCCTCCAGAGCCACACACCCACCCCCTTGGAAGACACAGGCAAGGATGCCTCCTCCCTGAAGGCTTGCCCTGCGCACACAGATGCATTATCCCTGGAGTTTGTGCCGCCCCACAGGCCTGTGCTCCCAGGAGCCCTGCCAGGCAGCTGGTGGCATTCTCCACGTGCAGACAGAGGCTGAGGGCCAGAGACATGCAGTAATGACCCCGGGTTACCCGGGAGGGGCTGATCTGTCTGCTTCCAACACTGGGCTTTTTCCCAAGGCGCCCAGAGCCTCTGGAGAAGACGCATCTCTTCATGCCAGCAGGGCTTCCCAGCCACTCACCCTGGAACCCTGGCCTGCCCCACCTATACCCCTGTCCTGGCTCCAGCTGCTTCCAAGGCTTGTTCCTGCAGCCTCCCAGGCACCTGTCTTGCCCACAGGCAGCCTGCCTGGCTTCCCCCGACCACAGCACTTTCCACGGATCGCCATTACAGCACACATCTTCCCTACCCGCAGGTGCATGCCAGGCTGGGGCTCCTCCCAGGTGGGGCAGGGTTCCCCACTCCTCTGGTTTGCATGGGACTTTTAACATTGAAAGTCCCACGCCCCTGGGAAGCCAGGATTGAGTCACCCTAGCAAAGAGCGCATCACATTCGCCCTGGCGTGCAGGGCCAAGCTTACAGCAGGCACTCGCTGAAGGGCAGGGCTCTCTGACAGTCTGCAGACCCACGTGCCCCCTTAGAAGCAGGTGGGCGGCCTCTGCGGCCTCCCTCAGCAGGGCTCAGAGCACTTGAGTTAAGCCTGTGGACAGCGCGGTAAAAGAACATCAGTCCAGATGTTCTGTGCTGATGCGCGATCTCTGGAGGATAACCGCCCGCCCGCCCGCAGCCCCGGGCCTCTCGGACCCCTGCCCAGCACTGGCCCTAGCTCGCCCTGTAGCGGCCGAGACCTCAGAGGCCGGGGGTGGGGGAGGGAAGGGGCGGGGCCGGCGCCTCATTAACATAATCTATGCGAGGGGGCGTTTGGCAGTCAAATATATGCGCATATATCTCCATGGCTGATGAGCTGGCCGGGCACTTTCAAAATGGCGGAGTGTGGAGCGAGCGGCAGCGGGAGCAGCGGGGACAGTCTGGACAAGAGCATCACGCTGCCCCCCGACGAGATCTTCCGCAACCTGGAGAACGCCAAGCGCTTCGCCATCGACATAGGTAGCCGCAGGCCGGGCGCCGGGCGCGGGCTGCGGGGGCGGGCGGGGCGCCGGCGGTGGGCCGGCGAGCGGGGGCGGCGGGAAGGACGAAGGGCGGGGGCGCGGGCCTCGCGCACAGCCTCACGGGCCTTGTAGTCCGCGGGCCCGCGCACAGCCTCACGGGCCTTGTAGTCCGCAGGGTCGCTGATGCGCGGGCTCGGGGCGACGGCCGGACTACAGCTACCGGCAGGCGCCGCAGGGACCAGAGCGGGGCCTGCCGGGCCTGGTAGTTCGCGCGGCCGTCCTGGGTGGCTGGGGGCCGGGGTCCAGCGTTACCCGCCGCGAGGTGGGAGGGTCGGCGGAATTTTATGTCTTCGGCCACATCGGCATCTGGGCGCCCCGGCTCCGCCGCTTGGCTGGTGGCTGGCCTGAGATTTGGGGTCCTTAGTTCTGGTCGAGACGAGGACGAGCTCGGCGGGAAGCCCTTGGCAGAGTGGCCCCGAAAAGGCCGCGCGTTCCCGCGGCGTGGCCAGCTGTGGCCCGCGGGCCGGACAGTCCGTGCACAGGCCCCGCTCTCTGGAGAGTGGACGCCGGGCGTGAGTTCAGGCGGCCGTGGACGTGGGACCTGGGAACTCGTGCCTCTGGTTTAAAAGCCACCCGTGCCTTCCGTGGCCTTTAAGGCGGCCTGCACTTCTGCCCTGGCCTCTCCAGGGTCCGCTGCAGACCCTCCTGCCTGATGGCTGTGCTCTCAGTAATGACGGCGGGCCAGGCTCTGTTCTAGACCTTTTTCCCACGCTCCTGACTCCCGGACACCTCCCAGCCACCTCTAGGGGAGGAACGCGAATTACTCCCTTTTCGCAGATGAGGATACCAAGCCCCAGAAAGGTGAACTAATTTGCCCAGGGTCATCGGGCTAGAAAGTGGCAGAACCAGGATTTGAACCAGCCACTCCCTGCTCTCCTACTCTGCCCATGTTTCAGGCATGAGGGCTTCCTGGGGGCAGCTTCACCTGGAGAAACCCCCCTTGAATAGCCGCTGCGGCTTCACATACCTCTCCCTCTTAGCACTCATCTCGGTCGTAGGCTGAGTCTGCTTGTGTGTGAATCCCACAAGAGCAGCGGTGTGTCTTGTAGCCCCAGCCCCCGAAAAGGATGCCCAACCTGTCTTTGCCGCCCAGTAAATACTGGGATGAATGGGCCTGCCGCTGACTGCTTCCCACCTCCCTGGAAAAGCTGGGACTCAGAGAGACCCAGGCCATTCCCTCTGAGCTGTGTGCTCCTGGTGCATCTGACATGTTTGCTGCTGTGGTGTCCTCGGGGTTGTTGGTGTCATCATCTCTCTGAGATGTCCAGCCAGGGAAGGGTGTCCTCTAGGGAAGTGGGGGGCGATGAGAATGGAAGTAGCTATAGGTCCTGGCTCCCACCTTTCAGTGAGCTTATGGGAGGCAATGCTTCTTAGGGGGTGTGGCCTGGTGCCAGGTATGAGAACGTGTGAGTAGCATCTTTAGGGACCGCTGATAGGACTTGGGACTGACTGGTTATTGGGCTGCAGGTGCTGAGCTTGCAGCCCTAGCCTAGGGGATTGTCTACCGCAGGCCTCACCAGAGGCTCCCCAGCCATGCTTCCCAGCCTTCTGAGACCTTGAGGCCCGGTAGAGCGTGTGCTCTGCAAGGTTCTGCTGCCCTTACACTGGGGGATTCTGTTACTGGAAGCAAGTCGGGATTAAATGTTTCTGAAATGCAATTGCAGTTGACCTGCATAAGTCACTTGGGGAATGGCCAGGAGAACAGGGCTCACCGTGGATGTTCTGTGTGGCCCCGAGAGGCCAGTGAAGCCGCAGAGCTGGGGCTGTCCAGGAAGGGCTGTCGCAGCCCTAGAGGGCCCTGGAGTACCAGCCTGTTCTCCAGGCTGAGCCCAGGGGGTTTCTTGGTAGAAGGATACTCTAAGAGGTCTGTTTAGTGCTGGTATTTATTTCCCCTCTTCAAAGTTTCTCCCTGCGTCTGGGTCCTGTGTCTCTGGTTCTTAAGAGGACCTGTTGACTGATACTGAGAGACCTTTTGTTTGTTACTCCTGACCGAGCTGCTGGGAGGCCACGCTCAGGGTGGGGTGTCTTCAACCCAGGAACCCTCAAAGCCAAAGTGCTTGTCAACAGTGTTGTTTAAAAGCAGGCTTCTCCCATTTCCTCTTCCCTTGCCTGTGTCTGGATCTAGGAAAGCTCACCTGCCCTGTGTTCTGGCAAGCTGTTTTCCTCTCGATGGGACGCTGATGTCTGCTGAGCAGATTCACCTCTTTGAAAGCAGCAGGGACGTTGTATTTCTCAAAACATACTGCAGCTTCGATCTGATTTTAGGTTTCTGCGGGCTGTGGGGAGGGTTCCTCAGAGGCAGGTGAGACAGGAAGGGGCCACGGGGCGGTGGTGTCTGCTTGGCTGTCCTGCCCTCCATTGGTGCCCAAAGAGGAAACACAGGACCAGAGAGAATGGCAGAGGGGATGGGGCCTGTGGGACAGGGAGAACTAGAAGGCCATGGCTCAGATGTGAAGAGCACAGGTGACCAAACCTCTGGGAAGCCCCCTTCCCCCACCAGCTGTTGGCCTCAGGGCCGAGCGCGGGCAGCCCGGAGAGCCGCCAGGAGGCACTCCTGTCACTGCCTTGCCAGGCGCGGTTTGCTGTGATTCCGAGGGGTCCCTGAGCTCAGCCCGGAAGGGTCCCCGCCCGCAGGCGGTTCCCTCTGCTCTAACAGATCTCCCTGCTGTGCGTGCCCCTCGCGCCTCAGGTCCCGTTTTGTCCCCCCGGGTGTGGGGAGTAGGCAGACGGAACACTGGCCTTGCTGGGCCTCTCCGTGCAGGGGTCTCAGGGAGGGAGGATGCGTATCTTGCAGAAACCAACCCACCCCCACCTCTGTCCCAACCCCAGTACATCCTGTTTGGGCATGTATTTAACACAAAGAACCCAGGGCCTGAAACTGGATTTCTGTGACCTGAGAGTTTGTTTATACTGACTTTTGATGAGTCTCTTAAAATAGATCTTCATCCTCTTGCATCATCTGTCGTTTTAGAAAACGATTTATTTACTGAGGTGAGTCGGCGGCATGGTGCATGTTAGTGAGACTCTCCGGGCCCGGCCAGCACTGGGGGCAGGGGAGGGGATAAGGAGGCTTAAAGCCACAGGCTAGGGGATCAGATTGAGCCTGTGACGCGTCCACCAGACTGTACGCCAGCCGTCGGGGAGCCTGCCCTCACCACCAGGCAGGAGGTGCCCTGGGATGGCTGTTGTGGGGCCTGGACACGGTGGGTTTTGCTACATGAACAGCATTGGCTGTTTGCTTGGTGTTTCCAAATCTTTTTACTGACCTGAGTGCTTGTTCTCAGACATCCTTATAGTATTTTGTCAAAAAACAATAATTTGAAAATAACTTTAGCCTCATTACTCTCATGATGTGGGATTTTTGCCTCTTTTTGTCAGGCCCTGTAAGAAATGCACTGTGTTAAGTCACTATAGCACCATCCAGTGCCCTCCGTTAAGTCACTATAACACCACACGGTCCCCTCTGTTAAGTCACTATAGCACCATACGGTGCCCTCTGTTAAGTCACTATAGCACACACAGTGCTCTCCGTTAAGTCACTATAGCACCACACGGTCCCCTCCGTTAAGTCACTATAGCACCATCCAGTGCCCTCCGTTAAGTCACTATAGCACCATACGGTCCCCTCCGTTAAGTTACTATAACACACACGGTGCCCTCCGTTAAGTCACTATAACACACACAGTGCCCTCTGTTAAGTCACTGTAGCACCGCGCAATGCACTCAAAGTCACATTTTGTTTCTTTTTCTATTTGTCATTCATGTTGTTTCAAATCTATGAATACAACTCTAGCCTCAACAATGTCTGTTTTTTTTTTTAACTTAGAAGAATTTGTCCTTGAAAAGGCCTTCTTCAAGAATCTTTTCACTTTTCCCTGAAATCTGGTTCAGGTACATAGAGCCCCTTCCATTTCCTGATATTTATTCAACCTTTGATCACAGGCGGCATCCTGGAAGCCACAGGGCTTCTCGAGAGCATCAGAGAGACTTTGGCCTGTGGGGAAACGGACTTTGGTGGCCTCTGACTTCTGGCTACTTTTGGGGCTGGGGCTGCATTTTCTGCCTGGAGCCTCTCAAGAGTAGCCAGCGGCACCGTTTGCCTCTCCAGGGTAGGGGAGCTGCTCAGGCCCCGTTACCGCCCTGGGCTGTGAGGAGAGCCTCCTTTGTAAGCAGGGACGGTCGAGGGTGTACTTCTTAAAACGAAAACAGCCTGGATTTGTCAGCTTATCGCTTTGGGTCATTAGCAAGATCACTTGAAACTGAATTTTCTTAAAGCAGTGAGGATAACCAAGGTTACCCAAAGCAAGACAGCTCTCCCTTTCCTCTGCAGGACTTGGTGCCAAGGGGAAGCGGGACCTCTTGAGCTCAGTTTGGCCAGGGAGCTGAGGAGGAGCAGAATTTGAGAAAGAAAAGTGTAGATTTGATTGTTCGTTTTCCTGTCCTCTCTTTTGTGCCCACAGGGTTTTTAAGTTCCAGTAGCCCCAAACCCCTCATCTACAGAGACTTTAGTCTCCAGGACACCCAGAGAGTGTGGGGCATGGACCCCCAGGCCCCGCTGTGTCCTGGTCCTGAATCCTGCCCGGTTTGTGTCTCCCCTGCAGGCGGGTCGTTAACCAAGCTGGCCTACTATTCAACGGTACAGCACAAAGTCGCCAAGGTGCGGTCTTTCGACCACTCCGGAAAGGTGAGCCTGCACTGTGGCCACCCGGGGCAGGGCAGCCGCTTCTCTGTCGTCTTGGACCTGGCACTTGTCTCGCAGTCATCCCTCTGCTGCTGCAGACCTCGACTTTAGTGTCCTGGGAGTTTCTAGCAGGGACAGCCTCCCCTGCCTTCCGCCGTGTCCCTTCAAGACCCTTTGTAGGAACCTGCGCCCGCCTGTGCTCCCCCGGGAGAGGCTTCCGCTCCTGCTGGGTGGCCCTGAGGTCGCCACGGTCCTAGGCTCCTCCCTCTTGCCCAGGATTCTGCCTCAGAGCGCCGCCTGGTTGAAGGCTGGCGCGAACAGCCAGCTCCACTAGGGCAGGGTGCGCACAGCCCAGCCCGGCGCGGTGTCCCACACACATGCGGCCTCCCCTACTCTGTTTTCCAGGACACAGAACGTGAACATGAGCCGCCCTATGAGATTTCAGTTCAAGAAGAGATCACTGCTCGACTGCACTTCATTAAGTTTGAGAATACCTACATCGAAGCCTGCCTGGACTTCATCAAAGACCATCTCGTCAACACAGAGACCAAGGTCATCCAGGCGACCGGGGGCGGGGCCTACAAGTTCAAAGACCTCATCGAAGAGAAGCTGCGGCTGAAGTGAGTGGGGATCTCAAGGGCGAGAAAGGAACATGTGTCTGCCCCCGAGTCCCTGGGTGTCCCAGAGCCGCGTCCCTGGCGCTCGTGTGTCAGATTGCGCATGGGGCATGGCTGCCCCTTCGGACCAGGCAGGCTTGCATGGTTGCACCTGTCTGTGGCCCAGACTCTTTAAGGGGTTGGCGCTTCCTTTTCAGAGTCGACAAGGAGGACGTGATGACGTGCCTGATTAAGGGGTGCAACTTCGTGCTCAAGAACATCCCCCATGAGGCCTTCGTGTACCAGAAGGATTCCGACCCTGAGTTCCGGTTCCAGACCAACCACCCCCACATTTTCCCCTATCTTCTTGTCAATATCGGCTCTGGAGTCTCCATCGTGAAGGTAAGACCCGGCTTCATGAATGAATGAGTGGATGGTTTAGCCATAGTTTGTTAAGCCCTCGCTGTGTGCAGGAGCCAGGGCTGGGCACATGGATGGGGCCCAGTGGGCGGGAGGGGGGTGGCGAGGCTGTGAGCTCAGAGCCTCTGTGGGAGGGGCATCAGCGCCCCCAGGCTTGGCCATGAGAGTCCTCCCACTGGCGGTTGGGGTGGGGGCGGGGTTCACCCCAGCGCAGCACATGGGGCGGGGGGCGGGGGAGCCTGTGTGGCTGAGGGCCCACTGAGGGCACACCTGCCCTGGCTCTGTTGCAGGTGGAGACGGAGGACAGGTTCGAGTGGGTCGGCGGCAGCTCCATTGGAGGCGGCACCTTCTGGGGGCTTGGCGCTCTGCTCACCAAAACGAAGGTATGCGGCAGCTGCCAGAGACCTTCCAGGGGTCTGCGGAGATGTCTGCTTCCTTCCCCCGAAGGCCTGCAGCTGGGCGGTGCAAAAGCTGCTTCCGGGCCTCCCTCCTGACTCGCGTCAGTGGGTCTCTGGCCTCTGCGGCTTCACTCTTTGCGCCCTGAGGGTTGGGTGTCCCAGCAACCCAGAGCTTCTATCCTGGCTGGGTGGCCCGAGGGTCCCGCTTGCCGCCTCCTGCCTTTGGTCCCACGCGATGAGGGCCCATTTACCCCCTGCCCGCGCGTGCCTCCTGCCATGGGCTTGGTTTCTGGGGTCGTGGGGATTCCAGCAGCTCCTGGCGCCTCACCCGCCCCCTCGCCGTGTCCTGCAGAAGTTTGACGAGCTCCTGCACCTGGCCTCGAGGGGCCAGCACAGCAATGTGGACATGCTGGTGCGGGACGTCTACGGCGGCGCCCACCAGACTCTCGGGCTGAGCGGGAACCTCATCGCCAGCAGCTTCGGGAAGTCGGCCACCGCCGACCAAGGTGCTCACCCCGGCCTCTGCCGCCAGAGAGCAGGATGGTGGGGACACTTGGGGTCTCACGGACAGGAGCTTCCCCCACCATTGCTTTCCCACAACTGCTCCCTGGAGAGTCGGGGTCTTGGGTGTCAGCCCTGTAACCTCTTCCTGCCGAGTCGCTGCAGCTCAGGCCCACTGCTCAGAACGTCGGCAGATAAACGCCACGGTCTTGGTTTTGGAAGAAAAAATAGTTTCCTGATTGGGTTTTTTCCTCCTTCAAAACAAAGCTTAATCCGTCCAGGAATGATTCACACATCACACGCAGCCTCCCGCACTTGGGCTCCAGTTCCCCCACTCAGCTCTCTCTCCCCCTCCCCTCCCACTCAGCTCTCTCTCCCCCTCCCCTCCCACTCAGCTCTCTCTCCCCCTCCCCTCCTGCTCGCTCTCATGTCGTGCACTTGCTGTACTTGGAGATGAGTGCCTTTTCCTTCCCTTCCTCAGAGTTCTCCAAAGAAGACATGGCGAAGAGCCTGCTGCACATGATCAGCAACGACATTGGGCAGCTGGCCTGCCTCCACGCACGGCTGCACAGCCTGGACCGCGTGTACTTTGGAGGCTTCTTTATCCGGGGCCACCCCGTGACCATGCGCACCATCACCTATAGCATCAACTTCTTCTCCAAGGTAACGGATGCGCCGCCCTCCCCAGCCTCTAACGCAGACCCCCCAGGATCTTCCCAATCAGTCATGCTGGTTAGACACCGCAGCACCCCCAGGGAGGCCTGGAGGGTGGGGGCCAAGAAGCCCAGCACCCCTCCCTTCTGACTGATTCTGGGCAGCCTACATTTTGTGGCACCGTGGCCACCTGAGTTTGAGTACATCACCAGTGATGAGCATTCTAGAGAGCTCCAGGCAGGCCTGCTGATCTGCGCTGGGGTCAGGGTGCCCCTGCCCCCGCAGAGGCACGCCCACCCACATGCCTGACGCAGAGACTTGTGGGCCAGGGACTCGCTGCATGGGAGAAGCTATCTCACCCTTAGCTTTCTTCAAACAGCAGCCCGCCCTCTGGTGCCAGGCGCGATTCCACTGGCAAGTATGCCGTGGGTGCCATGGCGCCTCTTCGAGGGTTTGGGCCGCGCGGTGCGAGGCCCGCGCACGTTGAGCTGGTTTGCGGAGGCACCGGGTGTTGTGTGGGGCCAACAGCAGCACGTGTGCTTTGGCCACGGCAGGGGGAAGTGCAGGCGCTGTTTCTGAGGCACGAAGGCTACCTGGGAGCCATCGGAGCGTTCCTGAAAGGAGCTGAGCAGGACAGTGAGTCGCGGTGCTGGCGCCCCTGAGCAGCGTGGGGCCTCAGCTGTGGCCTGGGCCTGTGCTCCAGGCCAGGGCGGCCCAGGGTGGAGGTGGGGTGGGGAGCGTGAGTCCTCAGAAAGTGACAGCAGCAGGCATGTCTAACATTTTAACAATTTAGTTAATAAGCGATTTTATACCCTTTCCTCCTCCACTCTCCTGCTTTTGAATCAAGGGCAAGGTTAACACAAGTGACCTGGCTTCTTGCTTTCCAGATCCTAACCAGTACAGCTGGGGAGAGAACTATGCAGGCAGCTCCGGGCTGATGAGTGCATCACCCGAGCTCGGCCCGGCGCAGCGGGCGCGGAGTGGCACTGTGAGTAGTGGGCTCTGGCCGCCCCGGGCCCCAGGGGAGCAGCCTATGCCGCACTCACCTCGCCTGTCCCTGAGCGAAGCCTCTTGTGGCTGTCCCGGCTGAAAGGCGCCTCTGCCCATGGCGAATCCTCCCATGGACCTGGGGTATAACTAGGGGCAAGAGAAGGACACTGTGGCTTGCTTTCCCATCTCCCTCATTGGGTGCTTTCGTATTTTGGAAACATTCAGCAGGAATTACGGAGTCTGTGTGATCCGGCCTTCTTGTTTGCAGAGAGATTGCTAAAGTTCAGGGGTGACGGGGACCTCTCCCCACGCCAGAAGGCCCGTCCACTTTGGAGTTGAAACCCGAAACCGCAGGAGCCACCCAGGGCCCTGCCTAGGACTGCGCGCTCTGCCGCACACTGCCGCGCACTGTGGCTGATGGTCTGTCGGTTACAGTCTGCTCTCCTCGGGGTGTCCCGGCTCATTCCTTGGATCCCCAGTGGGTTTGCCCTGGCCTGAGCTGGGTGGCACTGGCGGGCTAGGAGACGCACCCCATGTCTGCCGAGTTGGAGCTGCTCCGGAAGGGTCCCCCGCCAGGACCTGCGTCAGCCACGGGATGCCCCCAGCACAGCCCCACATGGCAGGAACCGCCCCGTGTCACAGGCTGTCAGGGTCCTCGACCGTGCCCCCCCGCGGGGCTCATTCCTTCTGTAGCTGTGAGCAGTTAACCTGAGGTCACGCACAAAGCTAGTCGGACCCCTCAGGACAGGCCGCTGGCATTGTTGGCAGGAAGTTGCTTGTCATTTGTAGACATGGGGTTCAGTGTCAGTATTTTCAAGACCGCGACTTGTTGAGTTTTGGCTTCTCAGGAGGGCGCCTCCCTTTTGTGTGGGTCCTGCAGTTCACACCAGGCCACGGCCTCGCACAGACGCACCACACTGGCCGCAGCCCTGGTCTGCCTTTCCCACCGCCAGCACTAGGCAGGGGAGTGGGGGCGAGGCTCTGGGGGCCTGGCAGAGCCCCAGGCTCTCAGCTTTTGCCCTGCTGTTGGGCAGAGGGGCTTGGTGTCTTCCAGCCTCAGTTTCTGATTTGCCAAGTGTGCATAATTTGCCAAATGTCCTGGACTGTAACCTGGAGTGACTGCGTGGACGGCCACAGTGCTTCGGGGGCCCCGTTCAGGAGGCGCTTGTTACCTATTTGGTACCCCACCAGTGGCACAGCCCTGCCAGGCAGGAGGGGCCCCCACCTTACTGAGGATCAAACTGACATGCAGAGAGATGGAGTCATTTATTTCAGTTTATATTGTCCAAAAAAGTCAAAGCGAAGATTTGAACCCATTTGTCAGGATAGAAGGAGCCTGCGACCTGGCAAGGCAGCACCAGGCGATCCCGGCTGTGGTCCGTGGTAGTTAAGGTGGGGCTCCTGCCGCCTTCTGCACTGGCTTTGGGAAGTCACTGGCTTTTTCCACGTGGAGCTTCTGCCCGGCATGGGCTTCCCACCTGGAAGGCGTCCCCTTTGCTCTGGAGGTCCCTGCCCACCCAGAGGCTGCTTCTCCAGCCCCAGGGGTTGCCAGCAGGGGTGCCCCAGTGGAGAAGGGCAGAGGGCCAGCATGTGACCTGTGGGGTAGCCACCGGAGGGTGGGAAGAGGCGGTCAGCTACACAGTTCCCCTCATAGCCCCTCTGGTCCCAGAGCAGCGGCTGCTGCGGTGAGCGTGCAGAGAGCCGAGTACTGATGTGTGCGTCGGCTCAGTTCAGTTCACTTCCTCCCGGCATAAGGTAGAAAAAGCCAGCAGGGCCCGTGAGCGCGCCTGTGCTGGGTGCAGGTGGCCCCGGGGTGCCCTGGGTGCATAATGGCCTGGCCCTGCCATAGTCCTTCATGGACAGAACGTGCTGGGAGGCCCGGCAGCCATGGAGGAAGAAGGGTGCATGTGGGGCGTGGGGACTCCCTGCCCGGCACGGAGTGGAACACTGCCTGGTGCTTAGTGAGGACAGAACCCCAAACCTCTGTGTGCAGACACGGCCACCTGGAGGACCAGAGGTGGGAACAGTGTGACTGCAGGGGTCACGGGAGGAGGTGAAACTGTAGGGGTGACAGGGAGGGGTGACTGCAGGGAGGTGGTGATGGGGGAGGGAGTTACTATAGGGATGGTGGAGGAGGGGTGATGGGAGGGTGACTGCAGCGGTGATTGGGGAGGTGTGGCTGCAGCGGGGAGGTGCTGGGGGCAGGAGGCGTGTGGTGGGAGCAGACGCAACCCCAGTGTCAAACCAGGGGGTAAGTCAAGGTATCCGGCTCAGGCCGCCGGGCAGCTGAGGGGGCCCAGTGGGGGTCTCGTCTGTGGCCCAGAGACGTGGCGGAAGAAGGCAGTACATCTCCCTTCTTAGAGAGAGAGTGGAAGCTTCTGAGTGTGGCTTGGGTCGTTCTGAACCATGGTGACGTTTCCACCCTGCCACTGCCTGTCTTCCAGTTTGACTTGCTGGAAATGGACCGGCTGGAGAGGCCACTGGTTGACCTGCCGCTCCTCCTGGACCCGCCCTCCTACGTGCCCGACACGGTGGACCTCACCGATGACGCTCTGGCCCGAAAATACTGGCTCACCTGCTTTGAGGAGGCCCTGGACGGGGTGAGGGCTCCGGGTGCCGTCTAGACGATTCCAAGGCCGCAGCCGGGTTAACCTTCCAAGGCTCCGGGGGCAAAGCCAAGGTGGCGAAGGGGGACAGGCCAGTGTTGTCCAGAAACCCCTTGATCTGCGTCTGAGTGAGGGGGCGATTTTGGTTTCTCAGGCAAAAATACCGCTCCTGGCCACCTGGTGGGTCAGTGAGGACGTGGCGTCTGCGAGGCACGTTGCTTCTAAGGGCAGCTGATAGTTCTGCTAGCTAGCACATTCCTTCAAAAAGCAATTTAGGAGACGTCTCTGCTCTTTTGAGGTGTGACTGAGGTGCGGGAGGCATTGTGGGACCCTGACTCTGGGGGTGGGGTGAGACTCAGCCCCAGCAAGCTCCCGGCGAGGCCACCTTGGGACTCCTGCGTCCCACCTTCTCCAAGGCTGGGCTGGTCCCGTGGAGCAAATGCCAGGCCCTGGGCCACGCTGCCCCTCAGGAGCTCAGCTCGGGGCCAGGGAGCCCCGGTAGCAACACGCACTCTTCACGAAGCCCTCGGAGAGGCCGGGTCGTGCCAGGGTTTGTCCTGAGGGAGGAGTCCCAGCCCTGCCCAGGACCCGGAGTGAGCTCTGAGTGCCCAGAGCCCCTCGTCCCCGGCACAGGATGGGGGCTCGAGTCTGAGGACGTGGGTCTTGGCCTCGGGTTTCCTGGGGGGTGAGGGACCAAGGTCACTCCTGCTCCTGCCTCCCAGGGCAACTGGGAGGGGCGAATGGCAAAGGGAAGCCTCGGGTGACCGTGAACTGTCACCGTCAGCCTTTCCTGTTCCAGTAGAAACTGCCCTGACCACAGCCCAGGCAGCCCCCACCCTGCCCGAGTCCCCCACAGCAGGCCCTGACCCTGCCCCGGGAAGCCCCCCATAGCTAGCCCCCACCCTGCCCCAAACAGCCCCCGACAGCCGGCTCCCACCCTGCACCAGGCCTCCTACAGCCGCCCCCACCCTGCCCCAGACAGTCCCCCACGGCCGACCCCCACCCTTCCCCGAGCCCCCTGCTGTCACGTGGGGATTCGCAAGCAGCAGGGCCAGCGCTTGACTAACCCCCTCCTTCTGTCGCTGGCAGGTAGTGAAGCGCGCAGTGGCGAGCCAGCCAGACTCTGTGGATGCAGCCGAGAGGGCGGAGAAGTTCCGGCAGAAGTACTGGAACAAGCTTCAGACCCTGAGGCAGCAGCCCTTGTAAGTGCCCAGCACCCCGGTGTGTGGCCACCTCTTCCATCCAGAGGGCCCCTGCACCTCTGAGAAAGTGCCGTGATGTTGGCATTCGGACCCCAGCTCGCTGGGGGTGGGTGTGGGCCCTGGCGGCACAGCCCCCTTGGACCCCGCCTCAAGCAGCGTTTGCACTGCCGGGCTCCTGAGGACGTCCGTGGCACAGCCGAGGATGGCAGACGGGCGGGTGTTCGGCCTGCCCTGCTCAGCGCCCTCTGCCGTGTCTGTCCCCAGCGCCTATGGGACCCTGACCGTGCGCAGCCTGCTGGACACCAGGGAGCACTGTCTGAACGAGTTCAACTTCCCGGATCCCTACTCCAAAGTAAGTGCAGTGTGCCCTGGCCTTCCGCTCGCTCTTGTCCCCGTCCCGCTGGCACCGCGTGTCCTGTCTCTGTCCCGCTGGCTCGGGGCATCCTGTCCTGTCTGAGGCCATGCAGGTTTGGTAGCGGCCCCAACTCCAGCCCTGGCACCACAATAGCCAGGGCCTCTGTTGGCAGCATCTGCTGAGGAGCTGTGTTACCCCCACAGATGCTGGGGCCACTTAGGGGTGGGGACTGCTGTGACTAGAGAAGAAGGGTGTGAACCCCAGTTTGGATGTGTTCCTGACAGACACAGGCTGCCTGCCTGCAGGAGCCAAGGGCCTCCCAGCTTCTGTGAGGGTGGGCGATTGTGGTTGGGGACTGCTTTCCCCTCATGGGGAGGGGCTGGAACCCTGGACCACCCTGGCTCCCTCCTAGGAGGCTGGACAGTGACCAGAGGCCTCCTATCCCGGCAACGTGCAGGGCCGTGCAAGGTGGGCCTTTCCGGGCGTCCGTTTTGCTTCCCCAAGTCTGGCGGCCAGAGCCCTCCTTGGCCCTTTCTGCCAGGAGGCAGCGGGCAGCAGCGGAGGCATGGACTCCTCCCACCTCTTCTGGGAAGGGCCAGCGCCATGCCTCCCTCCCCTCACACGCCGAGCCTTGTGACAGCGGAAGTCTGGGTGTCGAGGGTTTTGAGGCCAGGGCTGTGGGTACCTGTGGGGGCCGTGTCCTCCACTCTTGTCCTGCCCTTCACCCACTGCTCAGTCACATGGGGGCTGAAGTTGTCCTGGGCCTCGTCCTCAGAGCCCCGTGCAGCTGTGCGCTGGCCACTGTCCCGGACCGATAGGCTTGTGCCTGGTGGGGTCCCAGTTGGGCCTGAGTCTTCGATCCTGAGGGGCGTGGTATGGAACAGGCTGCGCCTGGCAGGTGTCCAGGGTGGGCTGAGGCCACGTCTTCACTCAGGCCTGGCATCTGGCACTCTCCACAGGTGAAGCAGCGGGAGAATGGCGTGGCGCTGAGGTGCTTCCCCGGGGTCGTGCGCTCCCTGGACGCGCTGGGCTGGGAGGAACGGCAGCTGGCGCTGGTGAAAGGCCTCCTGGCGGGGAATGTCTTCGACTGGGGGGCCAAAGCCGTGTCTGCGTAGGTGTCTGCGGGCTCGGAGCAGGCTCTGCAGCCTGTGGGTGCCTGTCCTGCCCCAGGCTTGCGGGCAAGGAGGTGGAGCGGGTCCCTTGGGGGTCACGTGGCGCTTGGTGGCTTGGTGGCTCAGGGCTTTGGGGCCCAGGGAGTGCACATGGCAGCAGCGCCAGGGGCTGGGCAGGGCGCAGCGCCCTTGTCTGTCCCCTCAGGTTCTGAGGAGGCCCCTTCCTTAAGCATGGGTGCCGCAGAGGCCTAAGGGTGTGGATTTGAAAATCGGGGCTGGCATTTTCTATTGTCAGAATCCAAATTCATGTTTCCTATGTGTGGTAGGAATTAAACATTTCTGATGTGATGATCAAAGGGTGCTTTGCAAAGCAGTCCCCTAGACTGGCCTGTAGGACACGCAGGTGTCTAGCACCTGGCGCCGTCTCCTGGGGCTCTGAATCTTGAAAATGAACCCCCCCACCATCATTTACCTTCACTCCCAAAGAAGCTGCTTCCAGTCTCTGGGCCTCCCCAGGCGGCCGCACCACCTCTCGTGGTCCCTGCTTTTTTTCATGTGGGGCTGGAGGGAAATGCCTGGGTTCTCAGCCCTCCCTGGGTCCCACTCGTGTCTCGAGACATAGATGAGAACGCCGCCTCCAACCATGGCTGCCCCTCTGGGACACAGGCCCCTCCCGCAGCCTGTCAGGAGCATTGGAGGAGGGTCCTGACCCATGGGATTGGCCTTGTGGCTGGGGGCTCCCCACACCGCCTGCATGGGTGCCAAGCACAGGGACCATACTGCGGCTGCCAGTCACCGAGAGGCTTCCCTGGCCCCGTGGCTCCGAGTCCACCTTGAGAAACAGCCTGTGCTCTCTCAGACCTTTGCTTGGTGGCCCCCTGAGCCTTCTGCGGATCGCAGCATGTTAAGAACGCTGTATCTGTTCTGCCTGGGAGTGATTTGGGGTCTTCACGTTGAGCAGCTGCCTCTGTCCCACCTGGGAGGGATTTGGGGTCTTAGCAGCTGCCTCTGTCCTGCCTGGGAGTGATTTGGGGTCTTCACGTTGAGCAGCTGCCCCTGTCCCACCTGGGAGGGATTTGGGATCTTTACATTGAGCAGCTGCCTCTGTCCCGCCTGGGAGGGATTTGGGGTCTTCACATTGAGCACTGTGGCTGAAGGTTTTTGTTCTGTTGTCTTAATTTTCTTTTCTCCTCCTCCATGCAGTGTCCTTGAATCCGACCCCTACTTTGGGTTTGAAGAAGCAAAGAGGAAGTTACAAGGTACGGATGGCCAAGTAACTTGGGGCCTTGCCTTGTGCTGGGGCCATGCCTGGACGTTCTCTGCAACAGCGAATGCAGTTGCGGTCGGGGTCCAGGCACCTCCCCTGCTCAAGGCTCTGTCAGCTGGGCTTCGGGGGCGGGGAGAACTTGCTTCCTGGAGAGACGAACACCTGAAGACGCGTCTCCCTGACCCCTGACCTGGAGCACCGGGCTAATCATGTGTCCCTCTCTCTGTCTCAGAAAGACCCTGGCTCGTGGATTCCTACAGCGAGTGGCTTCAGAGATTAAAGGTATGTGGAGGGGCCTCCCACCTCTGCTGCTGGGGACACAGCGGGGCCCGGGGGGGTGGTCACTGGAGGGAGGTGGGCATGGGCTGCCTCGGGTGGCCCTCCCCTCCTGTTAGAGTCTCACCATCCTGCGAGCCAAGGGTCTCAGCATCCCCTGCCCCACACTTGCCCTCCTGTCGTGACTGCTTCTTAGGTCACCTGCTCTAGGCACAAAGCCTTGCCAGAAGAGACAGGCACTGGCCCCTGCAGGCCAATCCGTCCCTGGCGCCTCTGGGGTCCTGAAGCCCCAGTCTCAGCCCCTGCAGGCTGGCCCGTCCCGGTGCCTCTGGGGTCCTGAAGTCCCGGTCTCAGCCCCTGCAGCCCAGCCCAGTCCCGGCACCTCTGGGGCCCTGAAGCCCCTGGTCTCGGCCCCTGCAGGACAGCCCATCCCTGGCATCTCTGGGGCCCTGAAGCCCCCAGTCTCGGCCCCTGCAGGGCAGCGTGACGGGCAGCAGGGGTGCGGACTGACTCGCTTGGATGCGCCTGTTCCCAACTGAACGTCCTGGTTTTGTCTTACAGGGGCCCCCTCATAAATGTGCCTTAATTTTCGCAGATAACAGTGGAATAGACATCATTTTGGGAGTCTTCCCCTTTGTCAGGGAGCTACTCCTTAGAGGGACAGAGGTGAGTGTTGAGGTGGTGGGTGGGGCCCTTCCCCTGGGCTTCTCTGCTCTCGGTGGGGTTGGCGCCGCTGTGGGCCTCTGGCGGTGGTCGGGGCTCCTCCGGACGCAGCAGGTAGGTGCAGGCAGCAGCACGGGGGAGGCGGCCCAGAGCCGTCATCTGCTGGGGTGGAGGCTCCGAGCCCCCTGGGCTCAGGCTGAGGGTCCATGTGCTGAAGCCCAGGGTTGACGCCAGGCTCCTGGAAGGGTGCTCACAGCAAGGAGGCTTTGGGGCTGTGACTTCACAGACAGGCAGGTCCCAGGGGCAGGCTCTAAACTCAGCTCTGCCCCTCGGCTCAGCTCCCTCCCAGGGGCCACAGAGTGGCAAGGTCAGGCGAGGTCCCTGCTCCTCAGCAGCAGGTGGCTGGCCAGGCCCGCTGGGCACAGCACCCTCACCCAGCCCAGCCACTCGAAGGCCGGGGTGCACGCAGGCTCCATGCTGGGCCAGCACAGGTTCCTAAAGAGCCTGGGCCCTCCTCCTGCAGGTCATCCTGGCGTGCAACTCAGGCCCCGCCCTGAACGACGTGACCCACAGCGAGTCCCTCATCGTGGCAGAGCGTATTGCGGGCATGGACCCTGTCGTGCAGTGAGTGTTGGCGGGCAGTGCTGGGGGGGCCTTGATGGGGAGGGGCACCAGCTGGGCAGAGTGGGCCATGGGGATTGTCACTGAACTGGGAGCTCCTGGGGGCACTGACCACCTTGTATCTGGCAGCTCTGCGCTCCAGGAAGAGAGGCTGCTGCTGGTGCAGACGGGCTCCAGCTCCCCGTGCCTCGACCTCAGGTAACCCCGCACCCTGCACCTGTTCTCTCCCTCCTGGGCTCTGTGCCCTCTGTGCCGTGCACCTGCACCCAGGTGCATGCGGGACACCGACCTCAGGACTGCCCCTGCGGCCTCTCCTGACCCCAGGCCCGGATTGATCTCAGGAGGGGACAGATATGCCATCCCCGAAGGTGGCCTGGGGAGGGTGAATGGATTCAGGGTCTGAGGTGGTTACACATGGGCTGGGTTTGGGGACTTGGGGCAAGAGGGGCCAATGTCCCTGTGGCCACTCAGCTGAGACCGAGGGCGACCTGGGCAGCTGCCCGGTGTCTGTCACCTCCGTGTCCCACATAGATGCCAGGCTCTGCTTCTGTGGTTCTGGAGGTCATTAGTCAATTGTATGTGGTGCTGTCTGTCCTCCTGATTGCAGAGGAGGAAGGAACCCCTTAAATGAGCGGGTTCTGAGTGCTGGGGCCGCTGGTCTGCTCTGCCTGGTGGGATTCTCCAGTGCTGGCTTCATCTGTGCCCCAGCCCCACTCTCACCAACAAGGAGGGCGTGAAAATGACAAGGAATCCATCCCTAGAGTTCACAGGAGATCTAGGGCAGAGTTTCCAAGCTGCAGCTGCTCTGGCCCTGTGTGAGCTGCTGCTCTGAGGAAGCCCCAGGCTGAGGCAGCTACCAGGCGGAGGCTGGGTTTGGAGGCCTCCACATCAGGGAATTGAGCGGTAGGGGTTTCAGCCTTCACGTTGGTCGCCGCACTGTATGGGAAGTGGGGTCTGGGGTCTGCTTGCCCAGTCTCACCGTCCTCTTCCTCCCCAAAGCCGCCTGGATAAGGGGCTGGCCGCACTGGTGCGGGAGCGTGGCGCGGATCTGGTGGTCATCGAGGGCATGGGCCGTGCTGTCCACACAAACTACCACGCAGCCCTGCGCTGCGAGAGCCTCAAGCTGGCCGTCATCAAGAACGCGTGGCTGGCCGAGCGGCTGGGCGGCCGGCTCTTCAGCGTCATCTTCAAGTACGAGGTCCCAGCCGAGTGAGGCGCTGCAGCTGCCGGACTCTTCTGCTTGTCACTTGTCAGGAATGTGTTTTTACCACCACAGGGAAACTGCGTTCAAATCAACGTATTTATATGGTACTGCTGTGACGCGGCACATACACCCCAGCCGCACAGATGCGTGTGACCCAGAGGCGAGACGCAGCTTTGTCCTGGGAGACGTTCATATTGGAATCTATTTAACTGCTAAAGAACCTTTTATATATATATATATATAAATAGAGAGATCTATACAGGTATGTCTGACGGGACGCAGCACCGTGGGCACGCACCAAATAGAGTTTTTAAAAGAGGCCGGAGCCATCTGCGATGTTTTATTTCGGAGCAGGGGCCCCTCCCGACTCCTCCCATGGGGGGAGCCCAGAGCGGGAGCCCTTCCCTGCGCTGCTTCTAGACCTTGTAGGCAACGAGTGCCAGCCGCCCCGCAGACCCCATGGCCCCGGGCCCCTGCGTCTCTCACCGCTCCCTCCGGGCCAGAAGAACCAACTCAGCCACCCTCGTCCCTCCAGCGCCCTCCCCCTGCACCTGCGGGATGTGTGGGTGCTGAGCAGCAATTCCTGACTCGAGAGCCTGGGAAAGGAGCCCTCGACATCGATCACCCTCAAGGGCTCTCAGGCAGCCAGGGGCCGACGTGGACCCTGCTAGGAACTGTGTGGACCGCGTGGGTTTGGTTGCTATGGCCTTGGGACCAGGCTCCCTGGGGCCGTGTTCTGTGGCTAGGGTGGGCATGGCTGGGGGGAGCTGGCAGCAGGGAGGCCCGCTGGGCCTGGCCCCTGGGAGCTCTGAGGCGCCTGGGGGTCCTCCCCCTCAGCCCAGGTGTGGGATTGAGACCACACATAGCATCGTAGAGAGGGCAGGAGGGCACAGGGCTTGCGGAGGCCCTGCTGGGGTGGGCTGGCTGCAGGCCCCCAGCTTTGACTTCATGTGGTGGGAGCTGTTCCTGGTGCTGAGCTGCTGGGCAGGCCCTGAGGAGGCTGAGCTGCTACCTTGCCCCACCACCCCCACCCCCGCTGGGGTCCCCCACATCCAGAGGCTTCACTGAGACCCCCAAGCACAGGCTGTCCTAGGCCAAGGAGGTGGGGTGGCATGGATCACCTTCCAGACAGCTTTGCTTGGTGGTCTGGAACCTGCAGAGGCTAAGACCCCTCCCTCATGGAGACCTGGCCTGCCCAGAGGTGCCCAGTGGCCATTTCTGGCCCCCACTGTGGTGTCTCTTCGTGACCTGCCCTTGGAGTCTGCGTGGAACCTGAGTCCCAGCCCTCGTGCAGCGGCCACCAAAGGGTCTCGTGTCCTGGCAGAGGAGCCCGGGGGCAGCTGGGCTATCCTGAGGTGGACTGTCCCCCTGGCTCCAGCTTCTCCCTCCTGTGGGTCCCCAGGGCAGAGGCCCAGCCCCCGGAACCCCATGGGCCCTCACCACTTTCCGGCCCTCTCCTCAGGCCCGGCTCTCTGATGGGGAAGCCCTCCCAGCCTGCATCTCTGTAGCCTTCCCTGACCCCACTCGGCCCCTCCAGCTCTTGCTCCCATCCTGGCCCCACCCTCACTGGTGGTGGGTGGCAGCAGTGGCCTGGCCGCTCTGGGCACCCGGATGTGTGACTGCCTGGCCTGACACCCACAGGGCTTGACCCCGGGGTTGGAGAGTCCATCTGTGCTGGGGACGCACCCACTACAGAGGTTTGGCCTGAGCCTGGCCCAGACAGGATGCCGAGGAGGAGGTGGGGGATGCACAGAGGCCTGGAAGGACAGAGCCAGGACAAAGACACCAGGGCCTAGCCCAGGCTCAGCCCCTGCACACCCCCATGCAGGGCCTGCCGGTGGCCACGGCCTCAGCTCCCCTCTTGCACAAGGGGCCACCCAGCCTATGAGCCAGGCACCCCTGTGCCTCCGGGCAACCCCAGCCTCTGTGACCCCAGCCCTTCCCCAGCCCTTTCCCAGCCCTTCCCCAGCCCTTTCCCGCCGAAGCCGGAGCTGGAGCAGGAGGGCTCTGGCCTCTGCCTTGTTCCCTTGATGTGGCCATTTCAACGGCGCTTTCCTCAAAACACGAGCTGGCCCCAGGCCCTCAGCCCCTCCTTGACTCCCGCAGACCCCCAGCTGGCTCCCCAACCTCTGCCCTGCCCACGGCACCACTTGGGGGCTCGCCAGGAGGCCTCGGTCACCAGGCTGCTGTCAGTGTCACTGCCGGGGGCTCTGTGAGTCCCCTGTCCCAGAGCTGAGACTCCTCAGGTTCAGGTGCCGCCCCGGGCCCCAGGCAACCAGCTCACCACACCCCTGCTCTCGGTGGGGCTGCAGCTGCCCACACGCAAGTGTTCTGGGGCTCGAGGATGACGAAGTCCTGCCAGGCTCTCTCTGAGGGGCGTGGTGGGGCTGGGGGAAGGGCGGCACCAGTGGCCCCTCTGCCTGGCTGAGCTGGGGAAGTGGTGACAGCGATTCCTGTGGCCGCCCACAATCCCTGTCAGTGCAGGAACATGGTGAGGGCAGAACAGCCCCCTTAGAGCTCCCCCAGCACCCCAGGATCCCGGCCTCCGGGCCTCAGGCCCGCCTTCCCAAGGGCCCTGCCTGGGCACAACGCAGCCAGGGGTGAGACGGGATACCCCGACAGAGCAGTGCTCATCCGGGTGGTGCGCCGGGCAGGCCCCTTGGGCAGCCGCAGGTGACAGAGCCTCATGGGGCAGGACATCCCCTGACTCCCCTGGCCACAGGGTGGGCCACACCCACTCCCACTGTTGGGGCAGCAGAGGACGGGCTGCAGCACAGGCTTCCAGAGGCCCGACCAGCACCCCAGCTTCTCTAGGGTAGGGGCCTTTCTGGAACCACCATGCTCTGCAGGCAGAGCAGTCCCCCGGGTTGGGGGGCCTGTGGCCCGGGGTTAGGGCCTGCGTCCTGAGGAGCAGGCTTTGCAGCCTACCCTGGGAGCCTGTCCAGCTCAGCCCTCTGAGGACAGGCCAGGTCTTTTCTTGGGGTGTCTTCTGGGCCTGGCGCAGGCTCCGACGGGCACCTGGTAAGTAAGTGGCACAGGAGGCTGAGCGAACGGGAAGCCCATGCGTGCTGGTGAGCACGTTTATCAGAACCACGTTTGGGAGTTGACAGAGGCTTAGGCATGGTGCAGAGGGTGGCGTGGTCGGTGCAAGGCAGATACAGGCTTCAGGGCAAGGCCCAGACGGCCGTCCTGAGCAGCCCTGGTGCCTCACAAGCACCCCCGCCTGTGCCGTGGCCAGGTCAGCCGCGCCTCCCGGGGCAGGCTCAGGACAGGTGCGCACAGATGCACACCACACACACCTGGGGTGAAAAACCAGGTAAAAATGGAAAGGGACTTGGTATCATTTTAATGTTGTATAAGTTTTGCTTCTAAAAATTTAAATATTTCTCTATGTACAGATCCTAAAACGCCGGGAAAACTGCCTGGCAGGGCCAGCCTCGAAGCCCCTCCTGTGGGCCCCGGGCCAGCAGCTTTAGCCTTTCCTCCCCGGGAGCAGGGGCAGGAGGGAGGCAGGGGTGGAGGGGACACAGGGCAGCCAGGGGGACACAGTTTTGGGGGCCTGGCTGCCCTGTTTCCTGAGCAAACAACACGCCCACCCCTGCCCTGGGCCTCCAGAGCCGCCCAGGTTCCCACCACTGACGGTCAGAGGCGGAGCAGGACCAGGTTTTCAGCAGCCGCGGATGCTGGCCCGAGGGCTCCCTTGGAGGGTGCTGGTGCATCCACACTGCCCTCGTGGCCCACGGAGCAGGCGCCCTCGGGGGTGCCCCGCTCCTCTTCTGGGGGTCCCTGCCGGCCCAGGCCCTGCAGTCTCTGCTGCCGCTCCTGGGCCTGGCGGGCCCGGCTGGCAATGGCACGCACGCGGCTGTGGCTGCGGGAGGAGGAGCGCCGCACAAAACCAGGGCCCCCTGCCACCCCCTCCCCAGCCGGGCCCAGGCTGGTGGGTGACGTGATGTCTCCTGCCTGCTGGAAGACAGTGAGCCAGCGCAGCTGCTCTGTCAGGGTGTCCCGTCTCACCCCTGGCCCCGACACCCGCCGTGTCCCTCCCGGGAGGCCCAGGCTGTGGCTCAGTCTGCGGGAGCCGCCCTCAAAGCTAGGGGCAAAGTCATCAGCAGTGAGGTCGCCCAGGCTCTTGGACTTGGCAGCCACGGGGCAGTCCTGCACGCCCACCAGGGAAAGGCAGCCCCAGGGAGGCCGGAAGGGGAGGCCAGCCATCCTTGGGGCCAGGGACCTGGGCTGCAGTTCGTCAGGTATGGGAGGCCGCTGGCCTGTAGCCCGAAGGTTGGGGTTGGATTTGCTCTTGGTCACAGGTGGCAGGTCTGGGCGGGCAGCCGAAGCCGAGTGGGGCCTGGGGGGCAGGCGTCCCATGTGGGCTCCAGCGAGGTTCTCACGGCTGCGGCCCAGGCCCAGGCTGGGCAGGGAGAGGTCAATGACAGTGTCGCTGGATGACATGCTGGAGGAGGAGGAAACGCTGTCTCGGTGGCCACATGGCTCCAGCCGCTGCCACAGCGGGTCACTGCCCGTGGCATCGGAGTACACGGCAGGAGCTGGAAAGGGAGCGGCCAGGGGCCGCCACCCTCCCAGGGGCTCCGTGGGCACCTGCCCCTCACTCTTCACCCTTCTAATCACGGGCAGGTGGCCCAGGGTCCGGGGCTGGCTCCTGCCGTCCGTCTGGCTGCCGGGGGCCCTCTCGTATGCCCCGCCGGCGCCCTCGCCGTTGCACGGCCGAGGCCTGCTGTCTCGGGGCTCCTCAGTGTCCTCTAGGGGGCTTGCCACATTGGCTCCGGGTCCTGTGGGGTATGGGGGCCGTCCCTGAGAAGAGCTGGTGGGGACAGCCGCTGGTGGCGGGGGACCAGGGCCTGGGGCGGGCTCCTCAGCGATGGTTTCCAGGCTGCACAGTGGGGGGAGTGGCCGCTGCGTGGAGAGGGGGCGGGTGTCTGTGGGGAGGTGGGGGAGTGAGAGAGAGCCAGAGGGAGAAGCAGAAGAGAGAGAGGGAGGCAGGGAGAGAGGCGGAGAGGAGTCGGATCAGGGTGGTGTCCCCGGTGCCCTGTGCCGAGGGTCGCCAGGCCCAGCTCCCACCCCGAGGCATCCCCCGGGCGCGGCACACTCGGTGTCCCCACCCTGCTGCTGCTGGGGCCCAGTCCACGCCCTGTGCCGCACACGGGGCCCTCCTTGGGCTGGGACAGCACGGGACACCGGGGCTGGGCCCCGTTACCTGTCACTCGCCGCTCTCAGTTCCTAACTACGGAGGCAGCGTGGGTGGGGGCAGAAAGGAAAGCTTGGTCAGGGGGGTCTGGAGGGGCAGGGTGGTGTGGGGCGGGCTCCGTGTATGTCCCTCCCTCCAGGCTAAGGAGACACCCTTCTAGTGGGGTGCTTCAGCCCAAAGCAGCGAAGCCCTGGGGCCCAGGGAATCTACTCCACGCAGCACTCAGCAGGCTCCAGGCGTCCCAGGGGCGCAGGAGACGCCCAGCAGCTGCACTACCTGCCCACATCAGACTTCCCAGTAGGGACCCCTGGAGCCTGCCCTAGAGGGAGGTGGGAATGGGATGGTACGTGGCCCCCAGTCCCAGGAAAGGCATCAGGGGCCATGCAGGTCGCCAGCCGCCCAGGAGGTGAGTTTGGGGAAGCGCCCAGCCGGAGGGGCCCAGCATGTCAGGCCACAGTCCCGGCCCCAGACCCTCAGCAAGAGCAGCTGGTTCTTCCCAGCCTGTCGGGCCTCAAACCAGCTCCACCCAAGTCCCAGGGCCTCAAGCTCAGACAGGAGGGCTGGGGCTATGGGCCACAGGCAAGCCAAGGGAGCAGAGTGCCACGGAGACAGTGCCACGGATACAGAGCCACGAGCACGAGCACACGAGGCGACACCGTCCACGCAGAAGCAGCAGCAGGTGACCCAGGCCCAGCCATGCCAGGGGCGTGCGGGAGGACCACGCAGGGCAAGAGGGGCTTACCGGCGGAGAACATGGGGGATTTACTCCTGATCTCCTCCAGCTTTTGAGCAAACAAGGCACTCATCTCTCCCTGCAGGGCCCCCGGTTGCCTGCAGGCACCCTCAGGCCAGCGGGGGGACCTTTCGGGGATGCCCGGGCTGTCTGGGCTGCTGGAGTCCGAGGACATGGAGCCGCTACCGCCTGGACCCTGCCTCCAGGCCCCAGGACCCTTGGGGGCCTCTCTGCTTCTCCCCGGGATAGCGTGAGGGTCCAGGCCACAGCAGGGGGCCCCCAGTGAGTCAGCCCGGGCCCGGGGCTGCTGGCGAATGGCTGCCTGCCTGCTTGCAGGCCCCGGGCTGGGTGGCCGCTCCCTCTGCAGGCCCCCGGTGTTCACGCCGGCGCAGGATCCCACCACACACTTCATGCATGTGGCGGCCATCCCAGCAGGCCCGGGGCCGTCCAGGACACGCGGGGGCCGCACTCGCACAGGGCTCTTCTCTGCCACCGCAGCTGGCGCCTTACCTCGGGGGCTGCCGCTGCCGGGCCCCTCCTGGGCTGGGGCTTCCGGAGCAGGTCCGGGCCCGGGGGGCACCACATCGTCTGCCACCCCCTTGGAGCCTGTGTCCCGTGTACCCAGGACCAGCTCCGGGAAGCCCCTGCGGCCCGGCTTCTGGCTCTTGGTCGGGGCGCTGGCCGTGCGCCGCAGGATCCGCTGGCTAACGGAGGGCCGGGCCGGGGGCCGCCCAGCAGCATGACTGTCCAGCGAGCCGGGCTTTGGGCCTCGGAGGAAGAGGCCTTTTAGGCCCAGAGCCTGCTTGACCTGCAAGAGAAGGAGCCCATGTAGCTGTTGCCAGGGGTCCCAGCCCAGCTGCAGCTGCTCCCCCAGGGCCAGCTCTCCAGACCGTGCCACAGACGTGCCATGCGTGTCTCGGTCCGAGGGGCTGGGCCACCTCAGGCTGGGGGTGTGTGGACACACCAGGGCCTTCAGGAGCAGGGTCCCTAGGGCAGCTCTGCCTGGGACAGTAGCTGCTACAGATCTAAGTACACATGGCCCACCCCACCCTTCCGGCAGAAACTGCCCTCGCCTGACCTGTCCAGGGCATGTGGGGCCCTTGAGGGGCATGGAGAGAAGGTCTTTCCCTCCGGAGGAGAGACCTCGAGCCCCAGCCTGGCCCACCACAGCCTGCACCTGCTCAGAGGCCCGCAGCCCCCGGCGCTAGCAGGGGACACTGGCGTGGCACTCCCTGGTTGTGTGTGCCCCACCCTCAGGCAGGAGTAGCTGGTCCACAGCAGGAGTAGCCAGGTGCAGCGGGAGGCCCACTTGCCCGGCCCGTGTCCTGCCCACTCCCATGGTGATACTCGTGCCCTAGGAAGTACCACCTCTTCCAGGAAGCCTTCCTGAATTCCCCCAGGCAGCCTTTTCTGGTCTTGCCCTGCCCTCCACTCATGTGAGCCCCCAAGGCCCGCAGCTGGCTTGCTGCCCCCTGAGCCCTGCCAAGATGGGCTCAGACTCCCAGCCCACCAGCACCTGGCCACAGCCAATCTTCCTGGACAGCTGGGCCCAGGAGGTCCCTGCCTGGGCAGAACAGCTGCTGAGAGGGAGGCAGCCGCATCTCCAGGGCGCAGAGGCCAGAGGGGCCCTCACATGCCAGATGCCCCCGAGACAGCACCCACCGCGCCCCCATGACGAGCCGTGCTCGTGCACAGAGCGGCCCAGGCCCGGCAGGTGGGTCACCCCCCTGCAGGGGCGCCTCTGGGCAGATGCGTTCAGATGGCCAGCACTTGAATCAGCTTCCTGATTCAAGATCCCAAATCTACGCATTTGGTCACAGTGGCTGGGAAGCCATTTAGAAGCAGATCCGGGATTCTGGCTCGGAGCGCCGGCCTCAGGGGTGCCCTCATCCCATGCACTGGCATGGTTGGCAAGGACAGGGAGGGAGTGGGAGGCGAACTCAGAACCAACAGCCTGAGGGTCCGAGATGGGGGCAGGAGAGAGAAGGAGGGGGATAGGAGGGGCACAGTGGGGGCTCCAGCGGGCTGCCCGCCAGGGAAGGGGCTGAGGGAGGGGAGGGAGGACTGAGGGAGGGGAGGGAGGACTGAGGGAGGGGAGGGAGGACTGAGGGAGGGGAGGGAGGACTGAGGGAGGGGAGGGGAGGAGAGGCCAGTGAGAAGGCGGCCACCCAGCTGAACCCTGGATCTGCCTCGTAAATGCCACTATGGCTGGGGATGGCCAGGGCCCCCGGAGCCATGTCATGATCCACGTCACATGAGCGACAGTCTCCAAATGCTACCAGGAATCATGGATGCTAATGGGGTGCGGCCTGGGCATGCAGGGGCGGCGGGCCGCACTGTCCCGCGCACCGGGTACCTTCAAGGCTCCTAACAGAGCTGCACTTCTAAAAGTAGGCTGTGGCCATAGAGAAGCCGACTGCAAGACCAAAGAGACAGGGGGAGCAGGTGAGGCGGCCACAGCAGTGGCGTGGGGAGCCCTGCAGCCTGGGGGACGAGGAACAGATGGGTGGATAGACGGCAGGGGCTGGATGGCACCTCTGGGCCCGAGAGCATGGCAGGAGAGAGTCAGCACTGGGCCTGGGCAGGCCCCTCCTGCTGTGTGTGCGGGTTCCCCGAGGGCCAGCTGCAGCCAGCAGGACCCAGAGGGCACTGGGCCCCAGCTCAAAGCCAGGGCAGCAGGGCTGGCACCAAGACCACTTCCTGCGGAAGCCGAGGCCCCACCCTGACCTGGGGCAGGGGACAGACATGCTGGGTGTGGAGTCACAGGCAAACCCGGGCAGCTGCCTTCCACGTGACACCAGGAAGTAGAGGGGTGGGGGGTAGTAGAGGGGAGAGGGGCATCACTCGGTCCCTGCTGAGAAGCCAGATGGCAGCACTGTAGGGGTGGAGGCTGCAAGGCCCCCAAGAGTCTGAGACAGGCATGGGTGACACAGGGCGGGGCAAGGCCCGGAGCACTCAGGACCTGTCCTGCCCGAGATGCCCAAAGCCAGCCCTGAGATCAGAGGTGGGCACTGGTGGCTCAGGAGCCAGGCCCCCACAGCAGCCCCTCTTGAGATAGAGGAGCAGAGGCCCGGGGAGGGGACCCTAGGCCTCACTGCCTGAGTTCAGGACCCAGCACTGGGGACACATGGGGGGGCATGGGACAAGGGGCTGGTGTGGCCCCTCCCCATGATGGCTGGTGGCAGGGGGTGACACTCACCTTACCGCTGATGTCACTGACAGCCACATGCACGAAGATGGAGGCCTCTTCCATCCCTTCTAGGTACACGTGTCTGTAGCCTGGAGCAGTGTGGGTCAGCAGGGTCATGAGGTCACAGCCTCCCAGGGCCCCCACCTGCTCTGCCCCCCATTCTACTTAAAGGTCCCAAGACCCCAGATACACCCAACAAGCCCAGGCCTGGGGCCTCTGCCTCCTGTGGGCCCAGCACTACCCCACCTCCTCCAGGAAGCCCATTGGCATTGCACCAGCCTGCAGGGACCTCTTCCTGGGGGTGGCCCCTCCCCCACAGGCCATGCCCCTGCCTGACCCGCAGATCCCCAGGCTGGCTCTCCTCCCGTCCTCAGCTCCTGTCTCTTTGGTGCCAGGTGCAGGCCCACCTACACAGGCACTGACTCACAGGGGAAAGAGTACCTGCCCTGCCCTGGGGCCCTCGGCCAGTGTGGGGGGCACCGTGTCCACTCCTGCCCACCTGGCATCATGCTGCTGAAGGCCAGCGTCCTCTGGCCAATGAAGTCACGCCCGATGGGATCGTGGTCCCAGACGAGGAAGCGGACCAGCGCGATCTCCGGCATGTGCACCATGAAAACCAGGGTCTCCTCCCAGGTGGGGTTGAACCCTGGGGAAGCAGCGCCAGGAGGAGTGTCCCATGGGGAGGGCCCGGCCCAGCACCGCTCCAGCCTGGAGCCCCCGGCCCACACCACTCCCAGTGCCACTCCCGGTGCTGCTTCCGGGACTGCCCACCTAGAGGGGAGGGCGCCCAGGACTGTCACTGAGGGAGGCCTGGGCAGGGCACCCGGGCACACCAGGTAGCCCCAACCCTCCCCCCTCAGACTTCCATCACAGGTGTGACGGAGCCACGGCCCAGCCTCACCGTTGTCGTCCACCACGCGGGTCTGCTCCCTGCTGCAGTCCACAGGGAGCCCAATGATCTCCACCTCCACAAAGGGGTCGATGATCTGGGACACAGGAGTGGGGGTGGCATCAGGGCCCATCGCGATGCCCGGCCCGCCCCCAACTCCCACCCCTCCCGCCTGTGTGGGGCTGGCCCCCACCTCCCCACGGTCCCCCAGCATGGAGTCGCGCGGCTTGGGAAGCTGCTGGCCACTGATGATCCGGAGCACCAGCTGCTTCTTGAGCTGCCCGGGCAGGGGGTCCTCCGAGTTGGGGTTGAACACGCCTGAGGGGATGCCGGGGAGGTGGTCAGTGGCCCAGCCCTCAGCAAGCCCCCTGCTTGCTGGGGCATGGCTGCCAACAGCCCCCTCCCCAGCCCCCACATAGGAGACTGGAGCCGGTGCCAGGGGGAGGGAGGGAGGCAGTGGTCCAGGGGGGCACCTCGGGGTGCACCTGGCCCAGTATGGATCACCTTTGTGGCTACCGCAGCATGTGGGACAGAGCCCATGCCTCCCACAGCTGAGCCGAGGAGGTCACATGGCTTCTGGGGGTGGGTCTGGGTCCCTGGGGGTATGAGGGGTGGGGTCTCTGGTGACAGTGTCCCCAGGGCCCACTCAGGCTGAGAACTCTGAGGAGGGCAAGCCAAGGGCAGAGGTGGAAGTAGCTGGTCCACAGCAGGAGTAGCCTGGTCTAGTGGGAGGCCTGCTCGCCCAGCCCCTGTCCTGCCCTCTCCCATGGTGATACTCCTGCCAGGGCCACAGGGGGACCAAGCTGGAAGTCATCCACAGCAGACAAAACAGAGGTGTCTGAGAGCCGGGAGGAGGTTCCTCCAAACACCCAGCCCAGACCCAGGTCCTGAGACCCACAGAGGGGCCAGGCACAGGGGGCTGGGTCGCTGGCACTGGGGCCCCTCAGACAAGTCCTGCCATGAATCTCATGTGGGGCCCAGGCTCCCCAGTTCTCCATCCCTGGATTCCTGACGGAGCTGGGCCCTTCTTTGCAACGCTAGCAAGGAGGGTTCCCCCACCCACCTCCCCAGCATCCTGGGAGCTTCGTCCCAACCTGACCCTCCAGGGGACTCTGCCAAAGCCGCCCCCACCCCCTTGCTAGCCTGTGGGGCTCCGATCTCTGTTCTGGGGACACCCAGGAGGCCCATCCGAGCCCTGAGCGTCCGAGCCCTGAGTGTCCGAGTGCCTCACCCTGGCACATGCACCCAGGCTTGAGTACGTAGCCGCAGCCACCGTTGGCGCTGAACTTGGCTCGGTTCAGCTGCAGCATCCGCCCCTCTGACTGGTAGTTCAGGGCAACTGCGAGGGTGACACAAGGCTGCCCTGGTCAGCACCTGACCTTCCAGGTGTGTGCCCCGCCCACCCACCACCACACGCTAGCCTCCCCTGCACAGCTGCCGCGTATCTGCCGTCTGCCCCTCGTTCACCCAATGTGAATGGGACTCCAAGGTTCACACCTGTGCAGGACTGAGGCCAGCACATCCTGGAGGGACATCCCCGGAGCTGGCGCAGCCAGCCTCGCAGGCAGGTATCCCTGGGAGTAGGTGGACAGGCCTGCACCATCGCTCCCACATCCCCCACAAGGCCTGAAGGACCCTGCCCCAGTGCTAGCCTGGTGTCAGTGGCAGCCTGGTGTCGGCAGCATGCCACAGAGGTGTGGAGGCTCCAAGGGCAATAGAGCCCAGGACAGAACCGAGGCCCCAGCGGGTCCCCTGCTCGCCCCTTGGGCTTCAGGGACCGTCTGAGCCGAGCCCTCCCCACCACACCCAGCGCACCATGCCCGCACCCACCCATTTGGCAGCCGGCGTTCCAGAAGGGCTGCGGGTTGTAGTTGCTGGAGTCCACACGGTAGGAGGAGGGGTAGATGCGGGAGAGCTGCTGCTGGTTGAAGCGTAGGTACTGCGCCGGCTTCTGCTGCAGAATCTGGTGGGCCTTGGTCTCGCTGAAGGACGACACCTGCCAGCTGGACGCCGCTGTGGCGCCGGTGACCGGGCATCAGACTGCCAGTCCTCGACCTCGCCCGGCGCCCAGCAGCATAGCAGGGATGGGGGACAGGGAGGCCTCCGCCCGTGGCCCCAGGTCCCCGAGCCACTCACCCTCCATCTCTATGTCGTGGGTGGCCACGGACTTGGTGTACTTCACCAGGTCAGAGAGGGCCCGGGACAGCTTCATGGTCTTCTTCTGCCGGGTCGCCCTGTGGCAGGTGCAGGGGGTCAGAACCCCTCCCGTCCAGGGCCAGCCTGGCACCCAGCTCCGTGAGACGGGCTCCAGGGCTCGGGCAGCCTCATTAATTCACGCAGCAGGCCCCGAACCATCAGAGACGGACGCCAGACTGGGCCGCGGGCTGCGGAAACCTGAGTGCTGGGCAGGATGTGGGCTGGCTGGGAGCTACCAGCAGGTGCAAAGTCCCTAGGCACTGTGTGCAGTGGAGGATGACGTGGCCTGCCAAGCGTGGCAGGTGTGGGGGCTTCTGGAAGGTTCTGAGCAGGGGAGAGCTGGGCTCGGGGCCTGGGTCTGGCCTAGAATCGCTATGTGGAGAGGAGGCCAGGGTCCAAGGGGGCCTCCGTGTCGGCCGGGTGGCAGCGGCACACGTGGATCAGATGTGTGCTAAGGGCAGAGCCCGGCTGGCACGTGGGACGGGATGAGACAGGAGGGGGCTGTGCCCAGGCGAGGGGCACGGAGGAACCATTGGGGGATGGAAGTGAGGGGAGACGGCAATAGGAGGGAGTGGGCGGCACGGGGGGAGCCCAGGGTCCGGGAGGGGTGGGAGTTCCTTCTGGGCCTGTAGGTTTGAGACCTCAAAGAGACCCCAGACAGTGCTGAGGAAGGCCTCCGACACGGGGGCCTGGGCCTTGAATTCAGCCTGACTGGACGGGAAGAGGGGGAGCCACTTCATGGCAGGCATTTGTTGCCCCCTGGGGAGGGCATGAGGCTGGGGGCCTCATAAGAGGAGGCGGTGAGGACCGAGAGCCGACAGCCCGGCAGCATCCAGGGCTGTGGGGACCTGGGCCCTCCAGCCACCTGCTCAGCCGCCCCTGCCCCCACTGCCCACAGCCACCAGCCTGCCCTGCACACCACACTCCCTACCACTTCACTGCTTCCAGGGGCCAAGAAGGGGGTAGGTCCTGCCCTGCTCAGGGATGGTCCTGGTGGGGTCACCGCAGAGAAGGGCCCGGTTGGGCCAGGCTCCCAGGAGTGTGCGGGGCCTCCCCGTGGGGCAGGGCACCTACCCTCGGCTCTGGCCTCCCGGGGAGTCCTGACCCTCATCTCCCTCCTCCACGCTGGCCGCCTTCTTCAGCTTGCTGCCCTTCTTCTGTGCGGGGGGCAGAGGTGTGAGCTGTAGGGCCTCTGGCCCAGGCCAGGCCTTGGCGAAGGCTGGGGGGTTGGGGAGGGCCTATCCTCCGGGGTCCCCAGCGGCCCACGCAGCCTCCCATGTCCATCCCGCCTGGCTGGGCCTGCCAAAGCCTCCTCGGTGCCCTCTCGATCTGGGCTCTGGCAGACTCTCAGGGCAGCCACAAGGCACCTGAGCTTGGGGCGAGGGCCAGCGTGGGCCAGAGAAGGGATGTGAGCCAGCCAGGCACCTGTTCCCACCAGCTCCGAGCCCAGGCTTCTGGCCCAGTCCCTGGCACCTGCAACCGATAGCTCGGCCTGACTCAGAGGGGATCCTGTGAGCCAGGCTGGGAACCCTGGGGACTGGAGGAGACCCCCATCTGCTCTGGCTGGGGCAGGGCCCACTGGGGCACTGGGAGCAGGGAGGACACGGGGCACTGGGAGCAGGGAGGACACGGGGCACTGGGAGCAGGGAGGACACTGGGCCCAGACCGGGACCCTGGCCTGGGAGCTGCGCCGGACCTTGCGCCTGGAGAAGCTTCCCACGACGAGGCGGCCATTGCGTCTGCTGGCCCCGGCATCCTCCCCAGACTCCACGTCCTCTTCAGCCTTGCTCTGAGTCCAGGGGAGAGACAGGGACAAGGTGAGTCTAGCCTTGAACCAGGCAGGGAGGCCGGGACAGCCCCTGGTGGTCCCAGAAGGCCTTCCTGGAAGAGGTGGGCTTGAGCCAGGTCTGGAGTAAGGCAGACGGGAGGGGAGGGCAGGGCGGGGACAGGTTGGGGAGCCCCCGTGGCAGCCGTTCCCAGTCCACCCTGGGGCAGAGGCAGCTGCCGAGGAGAAGCGGCCTGAAAGTCAGGCCCCGGTGGAAACATTCGCTCACACCTGCCTCAGCGTCTCTCATGTGTTGTTTTAAACTCGTTAAGTTCTGAATCCTTTTTTCCCACCAGTGGTGACTACGTAATAACTGCGTTTGTGTGCCTGGAATACTGCTCGGCCAGGCCTGCTTGCGCAACCCTTTTACGAGCATTCCACGGCCCTGACCTGTTCCCGCAGTGCGCGGGTATCCCTAATCAGACACACGGCTCCAGGTGGGCACTCCCTGAGGCGGGTTCTGAGCTGGGGAACCCCAGGAAACCACTGTGAGCCTTCCTACCGCTGTATAAGTAGCAGACACATCCAGGGCTACCCTGCCTGCCCCCCGCCGAACCCAGGGCTGCCTCACGAGCTGCTCATTCACCCCAAAGCTCATTCCCAATGGAACCAGCAGAGCCTGTGCCACCACCTGACCCCTGCAGCCCCTCCCACAGACACCTCCAAAACATGGCCCAGCTGTGCTCAGGAGGGGCTCCCATACCACATCCTGTCCCCCACCAAGGGTGGGGGCTACTTTCTTTGAAACACAGCAAAGCCGTGGGCCTGCAGCAGCGGTCCCTGTTAGGAGGGGGCTTCCGCCAGAAGCGGACACATCACCCACCCGTGGCCATGCCCCTGTACACGCCCACCCCTCTGCACACACCCCTGCAACACCCACAGCACGCCCCTGCACACACACCCTCCCACACCCCTGGATGCTCCCACACTGCTGCAAAGAGGCCACTGTAGCTCTCATGACCACAGACACTCGGCGCTCAGCCACGCCACAGCAAACAGCTCCGACTGCTGCCCGCTCTCCCCAGCCTGGACCTGGGCCTGCCTGGACACTGCCTCGCTGGACGCGTTGGAAATCAGGGCACGTCGCGTCCGCAGGCCCCATGCCAGACGGGCCTCTCAGTCCTGTTGATGCGGCCGGGGAGCTCCCGCCAGCCTCCCTGTGCTCTGGGTACCACGGCCCAGAGGTGTGCCCTGCCCCTCCTTCACCCTCATAGGGAGCCAGGATGGGATTGGACGGCCCTCCCCACGGCCCAGAGTGGCCAAGGGGCCTTCCCGTCACCAGGCTGCACTGGCTGGAGCCCGAGGCCCCACGTGCACTGCAGCAGGAGGCTCCCAGGTTGTCCAGGTCCACATGGCTCTCAGACATGCTCGTCTCTCTCCACCTCCAGAAAAGCCAGCCCCGGTTTCCTCTGAATTTATTGGTGCCACGGCTGCCGGGAGAGGCGCTAGGAGCCAGACTGACAGTGCGCCTGGAGCCGGTCGGGGCCACCACACTTCACAGCTCCTTAAACATCCCCAAAATGCTGCAGTGACCCAGAGCCACGAGCGACTGTAAATCCAGGCATGACCGAGGAGAGGCACGCGCTGACCCAGGAGACGGACGGCCAGACACAGCCCGTACTGCACGGCCAGACCCGTTGTCACCCCTGGGACTCCCAAACAGAGGAGACAGCAAGACCCAACTATGCTCCAAGGGGCTGCAGGCAGCAGAAGGCCCAGGTGAGGGGGCCTGGATGGTGGTGGAGGGTCTCAGCCAGCAGCAGGCCCCCCAGCCCTGCCTCTGTCAGGGAGGCTGGGTTCTGGGCCCCGAGGGGGTGCTCAGGGAAGGGTCCTCACGGGGCAAGGCTGTTGGCTGCACAAGCACTCACCGGGTTGTGCTCAGCTTTCTGGGGGTGGGGCCCCTCCTTACCCACCGGCTTCTCTCCCCAAGATACCCATTCCTGCTGCCCCCGGGCCTCAGGGACTCGTGAGTAGAGGTCTCACGTCCTCAAGGTTCATGGGCAGAGGGGACACCGGCTACCCCAGGGGGACAGAGAGGCACAAGTGTCCCTCAGTGGGATTTGCCATCCCCACGACCCCCAGTGCACAGACACCCCCTTTACCTGGGCCACGCCCTCCGTGAGCTCCAGGGCTGAACGCGTCCCGGCCTGGCCTTGGGATCAGCTCCGCCCCTCGCCTGTACCAAAGACTCTGAGACCCTTCTGGGGTGTGTGTCCACACCAGGCAAGGAGTGCATCTCATCAGGGGGGATTCCCGCTCCTCCCCCAACCTTCGTGGCTGTGCCTGAGCCCCTCCTCCTCCTGCAGGAAGCCTTCCCTGAGCACAGAACCCCCAGCAGCCGCTCAGACCTGAGGTCTGCAGGGGACCACTCTCCTGGACCCGCAGATGCATCTCCAGGTTTTGCACAGGCCCAGCTGGCTGCCCAGCAGAGCCACAGATGGCCACTCTCCCCCACCTAGACACCTTGGGATAAAAATAAAGGAACGCCTCTCAGCTCGGGCCCTGCAAGAGCCACCTGCACAGGGCATGTTCCTCGAGCTCTCCTGCGGTGTCAGCTGTGCCGAGTGCTCCGAGGCCCGTGGGCGGAAACGCAAACACCTGAGTCTAAAAATACTGGTCCTGGAAGGGGACACAGCACCCTCACTTGGCCAGGGAGAAGTCACCTTCCCACCCTCCCCAAGGGTTAGGAAAAGAGCAAGGTCCCTGCAGGGACAGGCAGAACGAGCCGGTGCCACAGGGCACGGTAGGGCTCTCCAGGCACCAGGAGACCGTGTCCCCAGCATGGGCGCCCACCAGCACTGTCACCCTGTGGAGGGTCTGTAGGGCCCACCCACGCTCCCCACTCTGCCCCACCCGCAGCAGGACTGCGGGATCTGCCGGCCACAGCTCCTGGCTCCTTCGAGGTCTGCAAGGAGGCTCTGTGCACCAGGAGACCGTGTCCCCAGCACAGGCGCCCACCAGCACTGTCACCCTGTGGAGGGTCTGTAGGGCCCACCCACGCTCCCCACTCTGTCCCACCCACAGCAGGACTGCGGGATCCACCGGCCACAGCTCCTGGTTCCTTCAAGGTCTACAAGGAGGCTCTGTGACCGCAGGACCCGGCCCACCCTGCCTGTCACCTCTCACCCCACACACACTCCATTGTGTCTGCCATGACAGCCCCTGAGGGCCATTCGCTCCATGTGGAAACTTCCCCACGTGGCCACAGGCAGCTCTAGGCAGGGGCGCTGGGCAGGGAAGGCAATCATGTCCCCCCAGCTGGGCAGCTCTCAACGACTGGCTGGGCTTTGAGACCCCGCTGGTAGGTGGGTATGGATCATGCAGGTGTGTGCGGAGGTGTGTACAGAGGTATGCTTGTGTGCAGATTTGTGTGTGCACAGGTGTGAGTGCGCACAGAGCATACGTTCGGGGGCCCTGGCTGGCCCACAGGCTGGCTGTCGGGGGGGCCTGTCGGCATCAGGGGTGTCACCTTTTTGGCCTCTACCTTGCGTCCGAGCTTTCCAGATGGGGACAGTGTGGAGACGGAGAAGTTGTTGGGGTCCTCACAGTCCCGAATCTTCGACTCTTTGATGAGGGAATCCAGTTTCCTCTTAGCAGTGTTTTCTACACGCTTTCGATTGGTGGATGCCTGCAGGAGCCAGAGGCCGGCCTGTTGGCATCTGTCCCGAGCCCTGCGAGTAGTGGCAATGACAACCCCCAGGGTCACAGCACTCTGCCCACCCCAGGCTCAGGGAAGGCGTGTGATTCACCTCAGGGCCTGCAGGCAGCCACAGGCAGGACGGGAACCCAGGCCCACCCGACTCCTCCAGCAGCACGAGTCTGCCCAGCGGCCCCCAGCAGAGCCTGTGCGGCTTCTGGCCCTGTGGCCTGGGAGGTCAGTGCGCCAGCAGGCGGCACAGGGTCTGGAGTCCCACCACTGGCCACCATGTGCCTCAGGAGATGGCAGGGCCAGGGGCAGACTTCAGGGCAGCCTCTGAGCTGGGTTGGACGCCCTTCCCTGCCAGTGCAGCCCCCCGGGTGCCCCTGATGAACTTGGAATCCTTGAGGACAGGGTCTGGGACTTGGGTGTCAGACGCCCCTGGTGCCAGGTTGGAGTGGGCACAAAGCCAGGAGCACCGTGGAGCTGCCTTTGCCATCACGTGGGCCACACAGAGGCGTGTGCCGCACATCCCAGGCAGGAAGAGTGCTGCTGCCTCAGGAGTTTCTAAAATGGTTGGCCGCGTGGCCAGGAGCACGCTGCACAATTATCTCCCCATGCATGGCCCCTCTGGAAGCAACGGCCTTCCCTGCCTCACAGCAGCGGCCCCAGAGCAGTGTCCAGAGGAGAGGAGATCGGCGCCCCCGAGCCCAACACCTCACAGGACCCTCCCATCTCTGCAGCCCCCCACCCTGGCCCTGGCGGGGACACAGTGACAGCGCTCTGTGGAGGTGACTGCTGGTGGGACCCCCATATCAGAGTTGACCTTAGAGATGGCACTGCTTGGAGATGAGGCCAGCACTGGCCACGGGGGTGGCTGGGCAGTACTACCAGCCACCCAGCGTCCAGCCAGACTTGGTGAGGAAAAGGGCGGGAAGCTGGGAAATCCTGTGCCAGGGCCTGGGTGGGCCAGGTGCTGGTGGGAATGGGGTGGAGTCTGGCGTGGGACCCAGCCCCCAGTGCTGCCCCCACTTACTGAGGGGCCAAGAGGACAGGGCAGGGGGAGTGGATGGTACCCCAAGAGTCAGCTCAAATGTGGGAGCTGAAACTGGGAAGAGGCAGGCCTGCAGCTCTCATGCAGAGGGGTGGGTGGGCAGGGAGGACCCCCCAGGCCCCAGGCCGCTGTGCGAATCTGCCCCAATGTCCCTCTCTCCCGGATGCCTCCCTTTCTAACTCGCCCCAACAGCAAGGACGGACAGCTGTTCTTGGGAACTGCAGGCTCCACGCGCCCCCCTCCACCTCCAGCCCGACTCACATCCCCATTGAGGAGCTTGCAGTCATCGTCAATCTCATCAGCACTGTCCTCATCAGACACCTCGCCTTCCTCCGCATCCTCGCTGATGTTGGCTGGGAGCTTCTTCCCCTGGGGGAGGAGGTGCATGATGGGAGGGGCCCTGGAGAAAATGCTGGGAAGCCAGTACCTGGCACCCACAAAGAGCCGCCGGCCAAGGAGAGGGGCCTTTTCTCAAGCTCAGTTTTGGCATCTCAGCCATGGGGCAGGGGCCAGACTGGCCAGCTCCCTGTGGCTGCAGCAGCGTGAAGGGAAAGGCCTGGATGTGCATGAGGGGCCTGAGCCAGAGTGACCACCATGGGGAGATGGAGGCCAGGTCAGGAGCGTGGCCAGCCCTCAGCCCCCTAGATATGCCCATGGATGGCATGATGCCCCTGCCTGTCTGGAGCAGGGCACTGCTGCAGGCCCGAGACTCTGTGTGAGCTGGTCCCAGGAGGGCAGGGGCTCACTCACCTTCACGAGGATCTTGCCCTTGAGCATCTGTGGAGAGGGGAGTGTGGTGGCATCTTCACTGCTCACTGATGACAGGTCCAGCTTGTCCCCAAGGATGTCAGTCAGATACTGGGCCATTTTCTTCTGCTGGATGACACTGCAGTGGTTTTCGATGGACAGGATCACTGGGTACCTGTGGCCCCAAGGCAGAAAGAGCAGGATGAGGCCAGGGCCTCAGAGGATGGGTAAGCCCCACCTCTGCAAGATCCCAGGTCATCTAAACCATTGAATGAGGAGGGGTCTTCACCAGGAACCCAGGATAGCTGGGATTACCAGCAGCTCTGGGAGGTGGCCCACCCGTCAATGGCTTTGAAAAGCAACAGAGTGGATGGGAAAGGAGCTGGGAGAATCTTAGGGACTGGTAAAGAGAGCATGAGCTGCTTTCCCCAATAAGAAAAAAAACAAAGGCAATGAGAAACTCCAGGAAAACAAAAGGAACGTTTGAAAAAGTCATGGTTTTAAAATGATGTGGACAAAACCAAGGTACAGTGTGGAGCTATAGATAGGCTGGGAAATAGAATCCTTTTGACCTAGATACTGGGGACCCTGTCCTCTGAATGGCCCTGGGGTCCTGACATTGGTCCCATAAAGAAGGAGACATAAGCCTGGCACACACCATCTGGTGGAACATGGTTATTACCTGCACAGTGCAGAATGGGGAGTATAGCAGGGACTTTTAATTATAAGCTTTTCAGCTTCATTTTTAACCATGTGTATGTTTTACTTGGATTTTTACCAAAAGGCAGCCATGATTCTTTCAGAAAATGTAAGTGACCCAGAGCAAGAGGGCATGAACCAGGGCAAGAGATGAGCAAGTCCTGTGATGTGGAGTGGGCAGGCAGGGCGCAGGGGCTCATTCCCCCACTTCTCAGGCAAGAAACTGAGGCCTGAAGCCCAGGGCCTGCAGGAGAACATTGTGCCTGCACAGATTACACTGGTCATAGGTGCAACTCTGTCCTGAGATCCCAGCAGGCCCCTGGCTCCTCCCAGCTCATCTCTCCTCCCCCCATCCCCGCCCCTGTGCCTTGCAATGCCCTTCCCACCTACAGTCCCAGGGATGGGGCCAGCTCGAGACTGTGACAGCAAGGACCAGCTCTTCCAGGAGAGGCCCATCTACTTCTGTTTCCTAAATCAATCTTGCTTCTTCTCTCTTCCTTCATGCAATTAGCTCCTTGCCCACCTGCGAGCCTCATGTAGCCAAGACTTGAAGGTAATTCAAACCACACGGGGAGGCGGTCTTCTAATTCCAGAAACTAATTTCTGTATTTTCTTCAATAGTGTCTACAGCCACAGCTGAGTGACAGCCAATTGAGTCTGGACACAGAGTGGCTTCTCAGGGGTGATGAGTGTGGGAGCCACAGCTGCTGTGGGCACTGACACCGGGAGGTGCCACCAGGCGTGTGGACGAGCTGCTCCTGTGAAGCCCCTGCCTAGACCTGCGGCCATACTCTCTCCCTGCCCCTCTCTCCTCAACCAGAGATGCCAGAATGAAACCAGCCCCCTGGTCACCACAGTCACTGCTCCCAAAGAAAGGACATGTGGGTGTGGCAGGAAGAGCTAGAGCCTGGAGACCCTACCCTGCCCACCTCTGGGGCCAGCCCCGCTAGGCCCAGCCACTCACTCATTCTTGATGAAGGCATATTTGTTGATGGTTTCAATGACGTCTTTGAAGAGGATCTTGGAAGTCAGAGTGTAGCCATGGTGCACAATGGGCTCCCCGTCGGGCCCATCCCAGCAGTCCACTGCAGGCGGGCAGGCCTTGGTCAGCCCCAGGGGCCTAGCCACAGTGAGCCCAGGCAGGCTGAGCTTCGACCAAAAGAGGGCCTGTCCCATTGCTCAGTGAGGGACACAGAAGAGGCCTTCCCAGCCCCTGCCCAGAGATCCCCCCGGGGGCTCCTCAGGTGCAGCCCATCTCCCACAGCAGATGCCAGCCCACGGCCGTCACCCAAGGTCCAGGGCTTACCCTCCACGCAGCGGCAGCCAGCCTGCAGGACCCAAGCATACATGTCCACCCGTGACTGGGACATGAGCTGGTCACCCACGAGGTAGGTGTTGTGGGACGAGGTGATGAAGTAGTGGCTCAGCGGCTGCGTCATGTCCTGGTGCACATGGTGGTGCTCAGGGTTGAAGATGTCACCAGCAGGGCTCCTGGTGTAGTTGGTGAAGCCTGCAGGACGGCGTGGCATAGGGGCCATGTCAGCCCACCACCAGCCTCGTCTCATGACCACCTGCCCCCATGCCACACAGAACACAGAACACCTGTCCCGGCCCACAGGTTGGGCCCTCGTTGCCCCTCCAGCATCCCAGGACAGCTGGGCTGAGGGCAGCGCCCCACTCACCATCAATGCCCAGCAGCCCCTTACTCTTGTTTTCTGGGCATGGCTCAAACTGCTCGATGATGTCCTGGCAGCTCTCGAGGGTCACACCCGCCATCTAGGCCAGAGCAGGGGCATGAGTCCAGGCAGCCCATCCCTGGCCTGGGATAGCCTCAGGCAGCTCCCCCATCACCACTGTCCCCTGCCTGTCTCTGATTACACCAGGGATGACCATGGCCAGCCAGCTCCAGTGTCACATGACTTGGGACTACCGTGGATCACGTGGCTTTTGGATGGCTTGCTCTGACTATGAACTCTGACGGCACGGGAGGGGCCTCTGACCTCATCAGCTGGACCACCCCACACCAGTGCGAGACCTGTGGCCCAGAGTGGGCCTGGCACGGAGCAGAGGCCATGTGTGGGTGGGTACAGGAGAGCAAGAATCTTCATGCCCCCTTGGCAGAGCCAGGCAGGCACAGGCAGCCCCCTCATCCAGCCCCTCCCACTGTCTGCCCAAGCCGTCACACACTAACCCTCCCAAGAGATCTGAGCACCACAGTCCGGCCCAGCCCAGGCCACCCCAGGCATCACAGGCCAAGGGACCTCCAGGGCGCTATGGTGCAGCTGGGCCAGGAGCTGCCCAGCCCACTGACACGGCTTCTTGGAGGTCCCTGGGAACATGGTGAGGTAACAGGTGGGGGAGCCCAGAGCCAGTTGTGGGCCCCTGGGGAGGCCCAGCAACCAGGAGGCCAGGCAAAGGGCACCAGTTGCCGGCTGGAGGACTCTGGCTCCTGAGTGCACAGAGGGTTCCACAAGGCTTGGGGCAAAGGTCAGGGAGGGAAGGGTCACTTCTGCCTGCCAATCCCCTATCCAGGCCCCATTCCCACCTCTGCCTTTACTGGGACAGAGGACCTACTATCTGCAGCCAGGTCACCCACAGACACATGCTGGTGCCGCCCCTGGTGGCCAGGGCACAGGGCATCCGAGACAGTGGGGTCTAGCCAACTGGTGCTAGCTTCCCCTGCCTGGGCCATGCGTCCCGGGTGTCATGCCTGCAGGACTGGAGAAGCGGCTGCCACGGGATGGAGCCTGGCAAGCTGCCCCGGCCAGGTGGGGGCATCCCGGGAGCTCAGGCCCAGGGACAGCCCCAAAGGCCAGCTCTGGGTTTGTGGTAAGCTTGGGGGTGGGGTACTGCTGGGAGATCCTGGGTAAAACCCACCCAGACCCTACCTGGGATTCCCAAGGCTCCTCCTGCCACTCCCATCCTCGCCCTCAGACCATCACCGAGAGGCTGACGCAGCGCAGGTGGCCAGTAGAGTGGAGGTCCCTAAGCAGCACCCCCAGGCCGAGGCCAGTAGAGTGGAGGTCCCTAAGCAGCACCCCCAGGCTGAGGCCAGTAGAGTGGAGGTCCCTAAGCAGCACCCCCAGGCTGAGGCCAGTAGAGTGGAGGTCCCTAAGCAGCACCCCCAGGCTGAGGCAAGTAGAGTGGAGGTCCCTAAGCAGCACCCCCAGGCCGAGGCATCTTGGTCCCCTAAGGCTTGCCCTGTCCCTGCTCTCCTCCCTGAGGAGGGTCCAGGGTCCTCACCTGCACTCCTACGAGGCTGGAGGGTGGCCACACACAGTCTGAGCCCCTCCCATGGATCCCTGTCCCCACTGGGGCTCCGGCCTTCCCCTCCGCTGCCTGGCTGGACCTGCAACTCCTGCCACCAGGGCATGCGGTACCCAGTCCCTGCCCAGGCCTGATACAAGATGGCCAGAGCCCTGAACCTCTGGAAATGAGGTCCTTGGTCAGTGGGGCAGCACTTGGCCTTGGCATTGGTCTCTAAGGATGGCCAGGATTTCTTGGGGTCTAGATAAAGGGCTGAGCATGCCCCTCTGGATTCCAGGAGGCATCTGAGTGTCTGCTGGACAAACAGGTGAGTGGATATTGTGGCGGGCCTGGCACCCTAGGGGAGCGAGTCAGCCAGACCCATGTGGCTGGAACACAGGGGCAGGTCTCAAAGGCTGGGCCACAGAACCCTAGTCCACAAGATGCTCAACACCAAGGCAGGAGGCATGGTCAAGCTGTGGGAGGCGCAGGGTGTTCACAGTCAGGACCAAGCCATTCAGGGGCCCCTGGAGGAGAAACCACAAACTTTCCCTACCTGCTTGGCTGCCCCATAGAGCGCACCCTGTAATATCAAAACTAAAGCCAACTTGGGGGGCTCTCAAATGCCAGGCTGTGACCTGCCCCACCCTAATCTCTCCATCTCAGAGCAGGGGCATGAGCCCAGGTAGCCCATCCCTGGCCTGGGATAGCTTCAGACAGCTCCCCCATCACCACTGTCCCCTGACTGAAGCTCAAAGCTCAGAACAGAAGGCGAGGCCTGATGGCTGGCCCCCCAACACCTGCCCCGGGCAGCACACCTTCTGCTCCACCTGCAGGAAGCGCTGCAGGCTGGCGGCATCCAGGTGGTCCTTGTGGTTGCTGTAGGTCAGCATGAGCAGGTAGAGGTCCCGGCGGGTGGACATCATCTTGTAGAAGGCACAGAACTCTTCAAAACCCAGCGTCCCTTGGTGGTCATCCGTGTCCGCTTCCTGCAATGCAAGGCCTTGGGTCCCCATTGGCACCTCGACCAGGGCCTGCATGCACAGGGGTCCTTCAGGACCACCCCACTCCCCAGTCAAGACCAACATGCAAGCCCACCCTCCTCTACTCCACTGCCCTTGTCACGGCCTCCAATCACTCCCCAGGGCACGGGCCCACCCACCAGGAGGACAGCCCCATGAAAATGCAGAACTGACGCACCTGCCTGAAGCCATATGCTTTTCACCTTCAACCCACAGCCACCTCCATATACTCACCCCACACAGCAGTTAACACTACCCACACGGAAGCCAACATCACCCATACGGGAGTCAACAACACCCACGCAGGAGTCAACACCTCCCCCACACAGCAGTCAACACCCCCCACACGGGAGCCAACGCCACCCACACGGGAGTCAGCGCCACCCACACGGGAGTCAGCGCCCCCCCACACGGGAGTCAGCGCCCCCCCACACGGGAGTCAGCGCCCCCCCACACGGGAGTCAGCGCCACCCACACGGGAGTCAGCGCCCCCCCACACGGGAGTCAGCGCCCCCCCACACGGGAGTCAGCGCCACCCACACGGGGGTCAGCGCCACCCCACACGGGGGTCAGCGCCACCCCCACACGGGGGTCAGCGCCACCCCCACACGGGGGTCAGCGCCCCCCCAAACGGGGGTCAGCGCCCCCCCAAACGGGGGTCAACAACACACTCTGGGCTGGAGGCTGGGCATCCCAGCAGAAACCCAAGGTGCTACAGGGGCCATGGGAATCCCATGGCAGCAATAAAGTCCCCATGGAAGGGGATGCTTGAAATCCTTGAGCCCTAAGGATTGAGGACTTTGCCTCACAAGGGTATGGGAGCCCAGGGCTGGGCAGGGCAGGGTGAGAGCATGACCTGCTTGGAGGTGACATGGCCCCAGTGTGACACCCCAGCTCAGCCCCTACTCACGAGGAACACCAGGCCCAAAGGGACGCAGTGCCTAGCCCTGCTCTTCAAAGAGTTCCAGAGTTCAACATTTCAGGCAGGGGCAGCCCTGACAGCTCGTTTCACACCTGCCCAGCTGCTCAGCATCTTGAGGGGTCCTACGCTCCCAGTGAGCCGCCTGCTGTCACTTCGGCCCTGGCCCCCCACTGAGGATGTGGCCAGAGATGGGACGGGCTGATCAGATATGCCTTGAAGGCAGGGTTCCGCCCTGCGCCTGCTCACCCCAGGCCTGGCCACACCGACACCCAGCCAGCAGGTGTCCGCCTACACTGGCTGAGTCCTCAGGCCTCCACGGAAGCCCCAGACTGGGTGCCCTGAGAAGCAGGAAATACCTCCAAAAGTCGAGGAGGTGCTGCATCCACCACAGCAGTAGTCTAGAGGCTTCGTGATTTGGGCTTCCAGACAAGCCCCGCTGGGTCCTCTTCCCAGAGCCCACACAGGCTGAGGACGGCGTGCTCTCAGCAGCCCACCCAGGGGCTCCAAGGGGGCCTGCGAGGAGCCCAGAGTGGGGTCGAGGAAGCAGGCTACAAAGGGCCACCTGCACGCTGGCCATGCCTCTCAGGACAGCTTAATGTCCTGGTCCACAGGAGAGTACCCAGGGCCCCGCCTCGGCCTGCAGATGTGCCTCAGCTGAGCAGGAACCAGGGCCGGCTCGGCACCATGGACAGCAGCAGCCACCAGCCTGCCACTGGGGACCAGCCTTGCCTCCTCCCGTGGCCACGATCTGGGGTGGCCAGGGGTGGTGGTGCCAGCTCCCCTGGGATCCCCTCTGAGCCAGGGGAGTCACCAGTCAGGTGGCCCCATCAGCCCCTTTGTCCCTGTCCCCAGGGCAGAGCCCTGGCTGCCACACGCCCTACACCCACGGCTTGGCATGAAGGTGGGTCAGGACCCCAGGGACAGGCTGTGTGCCCACACCAAGGCTGGGATGAGGCCAGCGTGGCATGAAGGGCCCAGCTAAAGCCACATGCACTGGGCCCAGCACACACCAGATGAAGCCCTGGGGTGCCTGGTGCGAGGTGTGAGGGTAGCCCCAAGTCTGGGGGTGCCCACTCACTGCACCCAGGACAGCCATGAGGGGACACACTGCAGCTCAAAGGGCCCCCATGGGACAGAGCCTGGGCTGATGGCCCTCCCAGGGGCCATGGGACAAAGCCCAGGCCAGAGGCCCTCCCAGGGCCTGTGGCTGAGCTGGGCAGAGATGCGGCCCCCTCCACAGAGTGGCTATGTGCCAGGGTGAGCCACTCACCACTGAGCAGGAACAAAAATGCTCGGACAGTGAGGCCCTCGGGGCCTGAGCCCCACCCTAGAACACCCCTGACACAGTCACGTGGCATCTTTTCTTTCCACAAAGGGAAGCCACTGCTGTTGAACGTGCACTTTGGCTGAGCCTGCCTCGGTGCCCGCCCAGCGCACTCTGGCAATTAGGCCCCACTGGGTCCAGCCCACTTCCAGCCTTATCTTAGGTTTGATGAAATTAGCCTCAAGCCAAGTGTTTATCCACCATGCAGTTCTCTCTGATTAGGCCGTGCCAGGCAATGGGAGCCATCTCCAGATTTCTCTACAGCGAAGCTGATGCCACTTCTCAGAGCCCCTCCAGCCTGGCTGCAGGCTCCTTCTCTCGGCTCTGCAGGGCCCAGAGAGGATGCAGTACAGATGGGCGGGGAGGCCCAGCGCTCTGAAACTGGGGCCGTCTCCAGCTGTCTTGACCACCAAAGACCAGGGCCACTGGGCCTCCACTACATAGGGCTGGAGTGCCAGGCCGGTAACCTGACAGCAACAGCTACCTCGCCATTCCTCTCCAGAGCCAGCCCTGCAGACTGTCCCTGCTTCCGCCTGCCTGGGGTTCCCTTAGGGAGGTCTGGTTGGACCTTCAGGCCCCAGAAACCACGCACACTCGTGCTGGATTCAGTGAGGGGCATCTGTCTCCTCCCACTCAGAGGCCACTCTGGAGCCTGCACCCTAAGCCACCCTGCTGCCCGGGCCCTGGCACAGCCTCAACTCTGTGGAGGGACCTGCTGGCCCCAGAGCTGCCCCTGAGCCCAAAATGTGGCTGGGGATGGCCCCAGGCAGGCAGGGAGAAGGGGCGCAGACATGCAGACTCAGCCACCTGCCAGCCCCCACAGCCCAGGCAGACTGTGTCCCCACTGGGGCCTTCACAAGCCCCGGGCAGTCCCCAGAGTGTCTGCAAGCACCCAGCCCCTAACTCACGCACACACCCTGTCCTGTGAGCAGGCCAGCTTCCCTTGCTCCAGCCAGGCATGACCAGCCACCTACAGTGAGAACAGGCAGCAGCTGGCAGGAGCTGGCAGGAGCTGGCAGGGGCTGGACACGGCGGAGCTGTCAGGCTGTGAGCATGTGTATGCGTGTGTGTGTGCATGTGTGTGCCTGTGTGCATATGTGTATGTGCACGTGTGTGCGTGTATTTATGCACGTGCATGCGTGTGCGTGTGTGTGCGTGTATGTGCGTGTCAGAGACCCCAGGGCCTGGCACTTGCACCCACAGAACCCGCTTTCCAAGCTGCAGCAAAGCAGCAAGGCCCCAGGGCCTGGTTTGCTGGCTCAGCCAGCACCACCCGGAACCAGGACCTGCTGACGGGCAGAGTTTCTCTCCCCCGGCCCAGCAGGCTTTCCGGAAACAGAAACCAATTACAGACAATAAAGGCCGCAGCTCAGCTGAAGGCTGCATTTTCATAACTCCTAACATCAGGGTGGTTGGGCGAGGGCGGCATGGGGAAAGTAACGAGCTGCTGCGCATCAGACTGGGCCCTGCCAGGGCTGGTGTACCCCCCTCGAGGCTGCGGGGCTGGGGCCTGGGAAGGGGGTGCAGCTTCATTTGGGCACCTGCCCTGAATGCCCAGTCCACTCACCTGGCAGGGCCTGTGCCAGGTGCCCCGACCACTTTCCCCAGAGCTGGCAGAGCAGCCCCCGGCCCAGCTGCAAAGAGGCAGCACCTGGGCACCCACCTGCCTGCCTGCCATAGGCTGTGGGGTGGCTGGTCAGACAGCCCCATCCTCAGCAGCCAGCTACTCTGTGCAGCTTGAGGGCACTGCCAGGGTCCCCTCCAGCTCAGTCAGGGCTGGCAGGCTCCCAGCCACACAAGCACAGCCCCCGTGCAGCCCTGGCTCTGGAGCCCAGGTAGGGCTCCCCCCAGCTCACCCTGAACATCTGCTTCACCCTCTGCCGGGGCAGGTTCACGTTGAGCTTGTGCAGCAGCTGCAGGACCTCGCCAATGCTCAGGCTGCCATCCCCGTTCTTGTCGGCCTCGTCAAACGTCTGCTTCAGCCACTTTGGTGCCGAGTTAGGGGCCAACAGCGATCCATGGGCCCAGCCCTGACACCTCCACCCTCTGGCCTAGGGAGGAAGGAATAGGGGACCCCAGCCTACCGGCCACTTCCCCAGTGTGTGACCCGGCAAAGGACAGGCCCCCCCAGGGTGAGCAGCCAAGGGGCCGGTCCCTGGGTCTGCATTGCCCGATAGGTGCCCAAGGATATTGGTCCCTGGTGCGCTGGCGGCGAGCCAGGCTGTCCTCGTCGCTGATGCCGGCCATGAGGTAGCGCAGGCCAGTGACCCAGGTGCGCGCCACCTCGCTGCTGGTGGAGACCAGGTCCAGCGACTCGCGGTGGCTGCCGTGGTAGATGCTGAAGCAGCAGTTGGGGTCGAAGCTGCCGTCAGGGTAGCGCTGGAAGACCTCCGACTGCCGCCCCTCACTCACCTCCTGGATGGAGTCGATGGAGACTGCGGGGTGGGGAGGGAGCACGGGTCAGGTCCCCGGGGGCCCAGCGTCCCCCTGCTGGCAGCCCCAACACTGCGGAGACCAAGCAGCCGGGAGCTCCTTGCCCACCTTTGCGGGACCCTCGGCAGGGCTCAGGGTCCAGAGTTCAAGAACCAAGGGTGAAGATCTGCGAGACTGCACAGCCCCCCACTGCTGACCCGTGTCCCTCCCCCTTTCCCTTTCCTGTGGAAAAGACACGCCCCCACGAGGGAGAGCATCCACCTCCCTCCACCTGCAGCCCCCAGTGCCCGGCTGGCCCGGGGCTCCACGTTTAACCAGCACGTCTCCACGTTCCAAGGAAGCCCCTGGACACCTCCAGGGCTCCAGCGCCGCAGGTGGGGACAGCGGCTCCAGGGACCCCCAGCTCCGCGCTCAGGTGCATCGAGGCTCTTGTGACCTCAGGTCCCCCTGGGGGCTCCGCAGCGCGACTCTCTCCACGGGCCCAAAGTGGCTACACGCTTGGCAACTGCTGGGCTGAGGCCTTGCCTGGCATGCCTGGGTCCTGACCATCAGCAAAGCCATCAGAAACCCTGGCTGCGCCCTGATCCCAGCCCTTGAGGACTGCCATGTCTCTCCCCAAACCGTGGGACCCTACCCGTTCCCTGTGTGCCTCAACTCTCCCCACCCACCCCCTGCACAGAGCCTCCATCTCGGGTGGCCCCTGCTCCCTCCAGCAGCCATGCCCAGTGGCTGCCTGAGCCACTGTTTGCACCCATACCCATCCATCAGCATACCTCTGTGGGGGTCGTTTCTGTTTATGGGGAGCTGTGACCTCCCCAGCTAGATGGACTATGCTGTGCCCCTCCTTCCAGCCCAGCACTCAGCACAGGGCTGGGCACAGTGCTACTCGGTCCTCACTGAGTCCCAGGGAGCTCTGCCAGGCGGGCAGGGGGCCTGGATCCCTCCTACCCCACAGCCCGAGGTCACTGCAGATCCCCAAGGCCACTGAGCCCAGAGGTGTCCAGGCCTAGGGTCTCGCTGCTCCTCAGCCATCAGTGGCTGCCCTGGGAGGGTCCCTACCGTCGTGTCCCCCCAGGGACTCTGATTTGTCCCCACCCCAGGGCTCCCACTCACTCTTGGCCTTCTCGTTCTTGCGTGAGGGCCTCCAGCGGATGCAGGAGCGGTGCTCGTCCAGGTAGTAGAAGCGGACCAGGCCCTTGGAGCCGCCACGCAGCTTCACCATCTGCATCCCCTCTTGCATGGCACCCATGCACCGCTCCACTGGACACGGGAGAGACACGGCTGTCAGCGGAGGCACAGCCACTCCTCGCAGGAGAGACACGGCCGTCAGCGGAGGCACGGCCACTCCTCACGGGAGAAACACGGCCGTCAGCGGAGGCACGGCCACTCCTCACCTCGCCCGGCCCCGCCCACACCGCCCTGCCAGTGACAGGGCAAAGGCCAGAGCCCAGGGCCACCTCCACCCCAGGTGCCGGCTTGCCTGGGTCACACAGCTCAGCTGGGCCCTGCCACTCCTCCCCAGATGGTCCTGGGAACTGAGGGCCCTGCTCCCCACCCTGCTCGGCCACCTGCCACTCCCACCACCTCCTGGACCAGTCCTAGCAGCCCTGGTAACCGGCGCTGGGCCTGGGGCCCCGAGAGCTACCACTCAGACGGAGCCAGCACAGAACTCAACAATGGGAAGGCCGGGCACGAGGCAAGACAGATGAGGTGGCTGGGCTGGCTGTCTGGGGCCATAGTGCAGTGGAGGCCCCTTGTCAGGGGCGGGGTGGGCCTAGCAGGCAGCAACCCCATGCCCCTGCCCCCGCCCCTGGCCACAGGTGGCTCCTGGGAGCGGTCGAATTCCTGAGTGCCTGTGCCCCTGCCTGGGGCATCTCCAGGAAAGCCCCCACCCCTCATGTGCAACAAGCGCCACGAATGGTGCCATGAATGTCTGCGTCGCACGCCCTGCACTGCAGTATGGACTTGGGAGGCTGTGGTGCCGGATCCGAGCTTCACAACCCCTCCCCTCCCCTCCCCCAGGCTGCCTGCCTCGCTCCTTCTCTCCCCTCCTCTCTCCATTCAGCCTCCTGCTGTAGCTTGTCCCAGGAGAGGGGGCTGCAGGGTCCAGGGAGTCCAGGCCAGAGTCAGCTGTCCCAGCCCAGGAACAGACTGGTCTCACCCCCTCGGTTCCTGCACACCTGCTCACAGAAAGCCCGGGTCCCAGAGGTACCATCTGCTAAAGCACAGAGACGTTAATCCCCACCCCAGGTCTGCACGCTGAGGGACCCTGGCGGGGGCGTTGTAGAGGACCAAGGGCAGTACTGGCCGGGCCTTCTTGGGGAAGCTACTACGTGATCACGAGCAGAGGGGAATTGAAGGGATGGAAGCCATGGCATGGGGGGCTGGGCTCTCCGGGGCACATGGGAGGTGAAGACGCAGGTATGGCTGCAGGGATTTAGGAGAGGGGTGAGGCAGGACACAGGGGCAGGGGGCGGGCAGAGGCCTGCAACAGGGCAGCCTGGACAGGACCCTGTCTGCCGCTGGAACAGAGAGCTGGCAGGCCAGCCCGGACCGGGGCCCTCCACAGGCCACCACAAGACACACACTCCACCCTCCCAGCCATACCCAGCCAGTCTCCTCTGCAGAGTCTCCTAACGGCAAAGGCCCTCATGTCCGGCACCAGGATGCCAGCCCAGCCGCCTGGGCTGCAAGCACCACTGACCCCCAGAGCACAAGGCACCCCTTCAATGAGAGCATTGGAGCCACCTGAGATCCCCCCTCGCCCCCTTGGGTTCAGCCCCCAGGCCCTGCAGGTGCCTGGGAGACCGAGGTGTGCTGAGCACGCCTCTGAGCGGCTGAGGGGCAGGGCCAGCCGACGCTGCTGGACCCACATGATCCCTAGAGCACCCGGGGGACAGGGGAGGCGAGTGCAGGATGGGATGGAGGCCCAGGCTTCCCCCACCTCCAGGAACAGCCCCCACCCACCAGTCACCTGGCCAGGGCCAGCACTCAGCCCAGGCCACTCGCCTGCCCCTTCTTACCCAGGGGGCCGAGCTGCCACTCTGAAGACAGCACCACACTCCCTCCAACCCAGAGGAGTACCTCCGCCAGCCAGGCCACCGTTCCCTTGGTCCGGCTGTCGGGGGAGGGCCATGGACCAGACATGGCCTGACGACAGCCGGGCCTGCTTCACGGAGGCCACAGAGGCCCACCGGCCTTCGGGCAGCGGAGGTCAGGCAGTGGCAGCGCTGGCGACAGGACCTCCGTGGGGCCTTCTCTCCTCTGCCTCTTCCTCCTCCTCCTCAGGGCCCTCCGAAGCCCCCACAGGGCTGTGCCCAGGCCCGGCTGGCATTGGCCTGACCGTCACCTGCTGTCCTGATGGCCCCCAGGCCAGCCTATCCACCCTCCAGGGCCACCAAGGAATCCCTGACGCAGCCGCCTCCCAAGGCTGGGGGAGCAAAGGACCTCAGCCCCGCCCAGCCCCAGGCCCAATCCCTGTGCTAATCCCAGCTCCAGCCCAGCTGGTGGAGGATTTAGGCCGAGGGAACTCCCAGCTGGGGATGGGAGGGCACTGGGGAGGCAACAGAGTTTCCCAAGGCCCCAGGCCACCAGACCCAGGTCAGGGCTGCGGGACAAGAGCAGGACCAACGGGAGGGCCCTCCTGGGACCCAGAGAACGCAACCGGAAGGCCTGCAGGGTACTGTCCTCCGAGGACCCTGTGTGGGGTGGGCCTCCCCGCTGTGCGCCCACCACAGATGCCGAGGCTGGGCCTGGAGTGGTCCCTGCCCTCACCCCGCATCCCTACTTATGAGGACCTCTGAGTGGATCCCCAAAGTCCAGAGGCAGGTGGCCCAGAGCAGGGGCAGAAGCTCACCTCATCCCCGCAGCGCCCAGCCCCTGTGGCTGGAGAGGGGAGCCGAGCCGGATCCCTTACAGCGACAACTCCCAGCCCAGGCCCAGGATGTGGGTCCCTGAGCCTGGGTTGGGCTCTCCATGTCTCCCTCATGCAGCTGCAGCCCCAGCCTGACCTTTCTCCACGGTCACCGAGCTGTGGCGGAGGAGGTGGCCCCATGCCCAGGGCACGTTTGTCCCCACATTCTGCCCTGCAGGGATGACAGCCATCTGACCTGGACAGGGGCCTCGCCCAAGGAGGACCCACCCCACCGTCTCAGCTCCCACTGAGGAAAGGACTCCAGGTCCCACTGCCACCAGGACCACACAGCCCACCCTGTGTACTGGCCCCGCACTACAGGACAGCACAGGCTCTCCCATCCCCAAGTCCAGGCCGGGACACCAGGGGCAGCTGTGGGAATGGGAGGTGGGCAGACCCCGGCTGAACACCAGCCACCTGTGTCCTGGCCATGCCCATGCTTCGTGACCACACTGGGGAGAACCCCGCCCTTCTTCCCACCCACTGCCCAGGCTCTACTGGCTCCAGCAACAAGGACTGGAAGGTTCCGGGCAGCTGCTCGCCTCCCCCCATACCAGGGGAGGAGTTTGGCCTGCAGAGCCCAGGACAGGGAGGTGCCAGGGCTGGGCATCCTGGCAGAGCCCCGGGGCCAAGGTCAGGCGTGGGAGGTGGCAGTCCCTGAGGAGATGGCCATGCGTCTCCAGCTGACCACTGACAACCAGGGCCACACCCAGCCAGATCAGATGCAGTCAGCACAGAGCCAACCCAGGCCCCCACCAGGGGCCCCGTCACAGGCTCTGCTGCTCTCGGCGGAAGCAGGTCAGCAGGCGTTTCTGGGCTCTGCCGTGGAATTAGATTAGGGAGCCATGAGCTGCAGGGAGAGGAGAGGGGCTGGAGTCCCGGGCGTCCTCAGGAAGACAGGGCCTCGGGGAAGGCCACCGTGTAAGGGGCAGCGCAGGGGCCAGGAGGTGGCCTGAGGGCCTGGAGACAGACCAGACGGCCATAGCCCTGGCCCAGGGCCCCTGCCCACCTCATACTGGGCTGCTGCGGGCTTCCACTCTGACCCAGGGGGTCCAGTTCTCCTTCCTGCACCTCAGAGGCCTCCTGGCCTGGGACACACCTGCTGTTCCCTCACCCTGGGCCTGGCCCCAGCTGGGGGTGCTCCCGTCTCTCACCCATCCCTCCTTGAAGCTCCCCAAGGCTGGGCCTCTGCTCCCTCCCTCCCTCCCTTGAGCTCTCAGCCACTAGCTGATCCCCCATCAGCTGGGGTTAGGGCTTGGAGGCCGCCATCTGCCTGGGCAGGGGTTCTGAGAGGAGCCACACATAGAGTGCCTGGCCCCAGCCCCACAACGTGGGTCCCAGGCTCCTGCACCCCAGGCCCCCTGACCTCCTCAGCAGCAGAGCTGGAATCCTCAACTGTCCAGGCGGGTGGAGGCCTGGCTAATCCCTTCCTGACACAGGCCTCTGCCGGGGGCTGCCCTGCCTGCCCTGAGGTCCAAAGGGACCGCCCACTCCCCTCCAAAACTCAGGCAGACACAGAACCGCAGCTGCAGCGTGAAGCCGGGGGTGCCCCGGGCCAAGAGACGTGGCAGGGGCCCAGGCCCAGAGACTTAAGAACCCCTCCCCACGTGCTGCCTGTGAGCCGGCCCAGGGCCCAGCCCAGCCCCCACACAAGGTCACGGAGGGGGCTGCCCCACCCCCATGCCGGCAGGCGAGCCCAGCCCCACAGCCTGCACTGACGGGCCCTCATGCTCACCCTGCCTGCCCTGAGCCAGGGCCCGGCCATCCTGAAAGCCCACAGGGAGGCCGAAGAAGCCACGCTCTGCTCTGTGGTTCCACACAGGGGCCCAGCCCTCAGCCATGGTCCACACCCACCCCCAGGCCGCCTCGGCCCCTCCCGTGAGCCTGAGCCAGGACACCTGATGTGGGAGCTCAGGTGGGATTGTAGCAATGCACCTGGCTGTGGGCCCACACCAGAGGCCAGACTGGGAAGGGCCGGCAGTCCTGGTCGGGCAGATATAGGCTCCGTCGGGGAGAGGAGGGCCCTGGCTCACCTGCTGCTCCCCCAGGTCCCTGCACAGCACAGTGGGGCTCCCCAGTCCTCAGAGCACTGCCTGACCCCGGGACATCCCTGGGGCAGGGACCTCGAAGTCCTCCTCCCTGCTCTGTCCCTGTGAGGCCATGATCCAACACGTAGCAGGCGCTGGCTGGACACAGGTGGACAGGGAGGGACGGGCAGGACAGAGGCAGCTAAGGCCACCAGGCCTGCTCTGAGGAGGTGACGGGAGCCAGTGTCCACACTGGTGTCCAGGGTCCAGCTCTCAAGGGTCTGGCCGGCTTCAGCCCTGGGCCTGGAGAAGCCTCCCACACAGATGCACCCAGATGGGCGGATGGGTGGACAGACGGGCAGACGGGGCTGCACCCCAGTTGGGGAGAGTGCATGGGAGGGCTCTGCGGGCCCCACGGTGACACGCAGAGGAATGCGCCCGTGATCCCCTGGGCTCAGCCCCCGCACCTGGGCTGCACCGGCCCACCCTGACTGCCTGGCCCTGGTGGCTGCTGGGAAGCAGGGGTCCTGGGCCTGCCCCCCGACCTTGGGTTGTCCTCCCTGTCTCAGTGCCTCAGTTTCCCCACTGTGAGAGGTTTGCTCCTGCAGCCCCTTCCTTTCTTCCCAAGGCTGGAACCGGGCGGGTGGCAGCTGATTAGAGGAAGAGCGCGCGCTGTCAGAAGCCAGGGCGGTGTTGGCTTAATTTTGTTTTTATGGCGGAGATCGATCTTGTCCTAACACAGCAGGCAGCATGGGCCTCGCGGCTGTCATCAACAAGGGGCCAGCGGTGGCTCAGCATCTCCGCCTCTCCCCTGGGGAAGGCTGGAAAATAATGAATCTTCCAACAAAACCCACAAATCACACCCACAGGCCTCCCGGCATGTACACACACACCCGGGGCAGCTTTGGGTACCGCAGCCCCTCCCACGACAGGGGCATGGGGACTGCACATGCCCCTCCACCAACCTCTTCCCTTCACGAGCGTGTACGGGACGGGCAGGGGCCCCACCTCTTCCAGGCCTGTCCAGAGGTGGCCCTGGCTGCCTCTAAGCCCCCTCCTCTCCCGACGCTTGCTGCCTTTCAGCAGGACATTTCAAAGGACCTCCCTGGGCCCACCCGTGTCTCCCTCTGAAGCCCCCACAGGGCTGTGCCTGGGCCCGGCTGGCATTGGCCTGACCGTCACCTGCTGTCCCAATGGCCCCCAGGCCAGCCTACCCACCCTCCAGGGCCACCAAGAGTCCCTGAGGCAGCCGCATCCCAGGGCTAGGAGAGCAAAGGACCTCAGCAGCAGTGAGGCATGAGGGCCAGATGCTCCTGCAGCCCTTCCTGGCCCTGGCTCTTCCGCGCCCCCCTGCCCCTCGCAGCCCCAGCATCCCCCTCCCGTGCTGCCCCCAAGGGCCGGCCCAGCATGCAGGAGGGGCTGAGGCTGTGCTTGGGTGGACGGGAGGGAGGAGGAAGTGGCCACCTTGCCCCAGCCACAGTGCTCACTGGAGATCAGCCGGGCCCCTGGACTGGCGCCGCACGGGAGGGAGGGCCGGGCCCACACACATATGGCGGAGATTATTTAAACGTCTGAGAGAAGCCACTTGTCCCCCCGCACGTCTGGGAGCCTCCTCCCCAACTATTTTTATTTTATCAGGAGTGTGAGTCGGTGCCTCGAGCCCTCCCCACAGGCAGGACCCCAGAGTGGTCGTGCTAGGAGCCCAGGGATCCCAGAGTCAGGCTGGGCCTGAGGGGTCCCAGCAAGGGCAGGGGAACCAAGGGCAAGTGCCCGGGGCCTGTGGGGCTGGGGCCACCCTAGGCACACCTGGAGGGCACCGCAGGGACAGACGCTCTGCCCTCTCCTCTGGCAGCGCCCTCCGTGTGGCAGCCACTCCAGCTCTCAGCAGGAGGTGGGGGCGTTGTGGAGGGAAGGGCCTGACCCCATGGCAGTACCCAGCTCGGCAGGGGAGCAGGCCGGAGGGGGCCCTGGGGCCTGACTTTGTTCTGCCCCCTTGGGTGGCTCCTGGTCCGTGTGCACAGAGCCCTGGGGGAGCTGGAACGGCCAGTGTCCTAGAGCGTGGGGACAGGTTCTCGATGGCCAGCCATACTCCATCGGCCGCGCCACCTGACCTGCCCTCCACCTTCCACCGGCCCCAGAGCAGGGGGAGGACAGCAGCCAGGCTCATGCTCCCCTGGTGGCCCAGCTGCTGCTAGAAGGATCCAGCTCCCACAGGGCCCAGAGGGAGGGCCAGCAGACACCTTTCTTCTGTCATCCGGCCACCCGGTGTGGAGGGATGGACAGGAGGACTTGTGATGGTCACAGGTGTCCAAAGCAGTCCCAGTTGCACAGAAAGGTGCAGGAACTTGAGGCCACTGGACCCTCCAAGCAGCCGGCAGTGGCAAGTGGACAGGATGGCCTCTGAGGCCAGGTGACCCGTACCTTCCCCCAGTGCAGCCCTTCTTGTGCAGGTGGGCGCCTGCCCAGCCCAGGCCTCCACACTCTCCAGCTGGCCCGCTATGGCCAAGGGGGCCCCAACATCTGGCCTTTCTCTGGCCTCTTCGGGACAGCCAGGGCCAGGTCCCCATCTCAGTAAGGGTCCCTCCCAGAGTGGGCTCCCCTTCCTGCCCCCTCGCCGTCCCCAGCCATCCCCAGCTGGTGGCAGCCCAGCTCACAGCAGCGGTATTAATCGCACTTGACAGCCCCATCAGGAAGGGGACCCTATTAATAGCCCATTTCACAGCTTCCTCCCCCCACCGCGAGTGCCCCCCCCATTGTGTGTCCCTGGAGGCTCCTGTCCCTGCCACAAGTCACTGGTTTCTCTGAGGCCCTGGCTGCCTCTCTGCCCTCACTGAGCAGGGCATGGCCAGCAGGGGCATCGCACCCACCTGGCCTGGGGCTCTCTGAAGGCAGGTGCACGGCCTTGCCCCCAGCCACCGTCCAGGACACCCCAGAGGAGCTGCAGAGGGAGCCAGGCTCGTGGCAGCCACGGTGGGGGAGCCTTTCCTGAAAAGTCACCAGATGGAGCCTGGCCTGCCAGCTGGGAGAGAGGGAGCTCCTGCCGAGTGAGGGGAGGGGGCTGCAGCTCCAAGGGGAGGGTCCTCGGGCCAAGTGGTCAGAGCCAGCCCTGCCCCCAGCCCATAGCCAGGCGCGGGAGGGAGGGTGGCAGCTGGGCCGCTGCCAGGCAGAGCAGGCATGGAGCCACGGAGGAGGCGAGGAAACAGGAGGCTGAGCCCGCCACATCCGTCCCGGCACGGGGCTGCTCTTCCCGGCCAGAGCACCCCGGGCCACTGCCAGGCCGGGGAGCAGCCCCACGAATGCTCTGCCAGAGAGTCTCAGACAGAGAGGGTGTCCTGGAGATGGAGCTGGCCCTCTGAGCTTCCCTGCCTGAAGTTTCTGGGATCTTGTATAGTCGTTCCGTCCCTGTCTGGACCTCCCTGCTCAAGCTGGCCCTGGGGCTGGGCTGGCTGCCCTGTCTCCCACTCCTGCCTTTTGGGAGCCAGTGAGGTGCTCCCTGGGTCGGCCCCCACCCACACACCAGCTGACCCAGGAAGGGCACAGGGCTGCCCCTGAGAACTGGGCCGCCCGAAACCTCCACAACAGGGACCTGAAAGTCGGAGCAGCCAGGGGCCTGATCAATGTGAAATCAAGACCACTCAAGTCCCTCAGAGGTGTGTTCCTGGGTCGCCAGGTCTGAGCGGTGGAAGGGACCTACTCCCAGGACAGTGTGGCCACCGTCCCCAAGTCAGGGCTGCATCATGGTGCCTGGGACCTGCCTGCTGAAAGAGCCTCCTGTAGCCCTCACCCAGGTGCTGCTCTCTGGGGCAGAGCTGGAGGGGGTTCCACAGTCCCACCAGAGTGGCTCACTGTTGTCTCCAGTGACCGTCAGCCACAAGGCCCCCTCTCGGGGTCTTCACCCAGCTAGCATGGAGCCATGCCTGCGGCCACCACGGTGAGTGACTTCTCAGGAGCCAGAGGAAACGTCCTGTCCTGGGGATGGTGTCCACCAACTCCACCCTGCCCCCACACGGGAGGCCCGCGCCCACTCGCCTTTCCCACACAGGAAGTCCGTCCAGCCGGTGGGAGCCCACGTATGCAGTGCTGGGAGCAAAATCCCGGGAAGAAACAGGCACGTTGGATTACTCATCCCCTTCCCCAACCCCTCCCCCTGCCCACCCTCAATGAAGGTGGAGCCACTGGGCCTGGGTCCCTGAGAGGGCCCCAGGCACCCCACACACACCTGCCCCAGCAAAGGGCACTGCCCGGGCAGGGCCAGCCCATGGCTTCTCCAGGAGAAGGTGCCAGGAACTGGGACGCCATCGTCATCAGCTCATTAGCTGTGCAGATGGAGGGCTGGACCCAGGACACTGGCCCATCTGCTCCGTCCTCGGCGGCACGTGGAGTCTGTAAGGACTGTTCTGCTGGCTCCCCTCCCTCTGCCCAGAGGACGCAGGCACGGAGGGTGGGCTCAGAGCCACTCCCACCACTGCCCCCTCCTAAGACTAGGCCCTTCCCTGGCCAGCTGCAGACCCCAAGTGTGCTGGGTCTCCTGGAACCTGGGGCTTTGGGGCCACCCGGCAGCAGCCAGCCCCTGTCCACAGCAGGCAGGCATCCTGAGCCCAGTGGCCAGCACAGGGCAGTGACTCCAGGGAGCTCTCTGCAGGCCAGACAGGCAGGAACCAGGGACAACGTGCCCAGGAGAGCCCTGGGATGGGGGCTGCGGTCAGCGAGTGGGTGCACCTGGAGTGACCTGAATATACAGCCCATCCTACAAACAGTGTCTGCCCAGCAGCCCTGGTTACATCTGCCACACTATTCTCCATTCAGAGAGGGCACCTCCACTGGGGGTGGGACAGAGGAGGGGACAGGCACCCTGGAGCAGCTGCACAGGCCAGGCACGGCATGACCACTGCAGACAGGCTTGCTCTGAATGCCCACAGCCACCCTGTGAAAGCGCCCCATGCTATCCCTCTTGCCCATGGAGGCTCAGAGAGGCTCAGTCCCTTGTGTGAGGTCACACGGTTTATCAGAGGCAAAAACCAGCAACCCGTCCCCAGTCTGCCCAGCAGCGATGCCATGTCCCACCCCACGTGTCCATGCCAATCACAGGGCAGAACAAGCAGGTTCCAAACCACCAGGAGGCAAGCTCCTACTGTCCCTGGAAACCCAGGAGTTCCTCCTGGTGTCTGGCCTGAGCCACTTCTTCTGCAGCCGTGGCCACTGTCCCCCTTCACGTTTTCCTCTCCCCGCCCCTGGCCCAGAGCTAGCGCTGTGTTTGGGGAGCTGGAGACCCTGCCCCTCTGGCCCAGAGCTAGCGCTGTGTTTGGGGAGCTGTAGACCCTGCCCCAGCCAGTGCTGAAGGGGCCTGCCCAGGATGCCCCTCGGAAGCTCCTGCTGTGAACAGCCCCGGGGCTTCCGCCACCCCTGCTGCTCCGCTCTGTCTGCGCAGGGCAATGTCCGGCTCCCAGGTCAGGAAAGCGTGACAGATCACAGCAAGAAATCTCCAACCCGGAGCGGAGCGGGATGGGCCAGACCAGAGTGTAACTCCAGGGAACCCTGAGGACGCACAGCAACTGCAGGCCCCCCAGAGAAAGCAGCAGCTGCCCCTGTCCATGGTGCTGACTGCAGCTCAGGGCCACCTTTGCCAACCTCGATCAGGGGCTGGGGTGGGGTTGGGCCAGGAGAGCCCCCAGAGCCAAAAGCCAGAGCCTACCAGCCCCTGGCACCCCCAGACCTGCCCCCCACCCGAGCAGTGTGCATCCGCTGGGATCAAGCTGGAGGTCAGGACCCGTGCTGGCATGGCTGAGGGCGCCTCCCCCACCGCCCACCTGGACTGTGTTGGACCCTTTGCAGGGAGCAGACCCTCTCGCTTTCACGTGTCAGCACAGGGGCAGATGAGGCAGGGTGGGGGCGCCAAGGGGTGGGGGCAGCATCCCTCCTCTGGGACCGAGTCTGAGGGATGTGCAGGTAATGGGGTCATTGGGCCGTGCTCCCGGAGACCCTGCTGGGAGGAGCTCTGCACTGCCCACGGGGGGTCAGTGGGTCACCAGTGAACAGGTCCGGTCCTGGGCGGGTCACCAGTGAACAGGTCCGGTCCTGGGCTCCCTACGGGGACCATCACAACCCCCTTCTGGGATCCCACCTGCCCCCTTACCTTGGTCTTGGCTGAGCCCACCTGGGGGCCCAGGCTCTTCCATGGCCGGCGGGTGCCAATCCCAGTTACCGGCACGGCCCGAGGGACACCGGGCCCTGTGCTGGCCCCCGGCGTCCCCTGAGCCCCAGCCCGAGCAGGGGCACCCCGCGCGCAGAGCCCATGCCGATCGCAGCCCCACACGCTGCCCTGCCGCGCCCGCCCGTGAGGAAGGTGAGGAAGGCGAGGGGAAGGCGGGACGGGGCCGCCGCTGGGACCGCCCCTCCCGTGGGAGCCCCGCCCACTTAACCCTTGGCTGCCCAGCCCGGGCCCAGCAGCCTCTGCTGGAGTGGGAAGGGAGGACACCTGGGCTGGGGTCTCTGGCGGGAGCTGAGCTGGCTCCGCTGAGAGGCCAGAAGGGGAGGCGGGTTGGCTGCTGGCTCTTCCCATAGCAGCTTGAGCGACCACCCACCGTTCATCCTGTCCTCCCTCCCTCCCTCCCTCCCGGCAGGGCTCCTCCTACTGAGGGGTGGCTGCACCCCCAGGACCAGAGCCAAATGCTCCCTGGCTGGCTGCCCCTCCACCACAGGGACCCTCTGGTCATTACACCCCAGGCCCCGCAGGCTGCAGCCAAGAAGAGCCACTCACCCCAGGAGGGCCTCTGGGAAGGGCTGAGCACTGCCAAGGGTCATTGAGGTGACATTTCACTGGCTGCCCTGGGGGGCGTCCAGCGTTGGGGGAGGCCGAGTTCCAGCAGTAGCTCCTGGTGATGGTGACGGTGACGGCTGCAGCCCTGCGTGCTGCTACACCCCTTCCTGTGCTCTCCCAGCCCCTCGCCTCCCTGCCCTGTCTGTCCAGTGCTGAGCTGCCCGCGCTGGGGTCCTCTCCCTCTCCGAGCCAGCATTCTGCCTCCCCCTGCACGCGCTGCTCCCAGCATCTGAGGGACGTAACATTTTCCAGACAAAAGAGACGTCCACCCATGGGGGGTGTTCTGAAAGGTACCACCTCTGCCCCAAGGGGCCTTGAGCCCCCATCCCAGAGTGCGGCCTGGGAGGCTTGTGTGGACACTGAGCCCCGGATGTGGGCAGGGCAGGCAGGCACGCAGGCCCGGGCAGGAGGATGTGGGGCCGCCTCTGGGCTCTCTGAGCCGCTGCCACCTCAAGGTGTGACCACCTCCTGCCATGCGGGGCCCCAGGTGTGGAGGGGGAGGGGAGCCACCAGCAGCTGCAGTCACCACCTGGGTCCTGCCAAGGAAGGCCCCTGGGCGCAGCTGCCTGGCACCCTCAAAGGAGCTGCCTCCTGCCTTTACCACCACTCAGGTGGCCTAGGACCCTCGGCTGGACCAGCCCCTGCCCTGGGCTCTTGGGACCTGCCCTCGTGAATGAACAGTCTCTCTCACGACCCATTCGGCACAGCCAGGGTCCCAGGGCCTGTGTCCGCCTGGCTGGGCACAGCTGCGAGAAGGGAGGGGCGGCCCCCTCCCTCTGGGCCCCAGGTCTCAGTGGGTCCCGGTGCTGAGCTGAGTGGCAGGGCTGAGGGGAGGCCAGGCCACAATGGGGGCTGTCCAGGCAATGACACTGCAGTGCACGTGTGCCAGAGGCAACCAGTGGCCCAGGAGCAACAGGCGTCCCAGCATCCCCCACACCTGGGCTCTGCATGTCCCCTGGGACAGTCCACTCAGGAAAGGGCCAGCAGCCCCAAGTCTCAGAAGGGAGAAACTGAGGTGGGGAGAGGAGACAGAAGGCGAAAGCCACAGACACGCCCAAGGGTGGGAAGGAGGGAGAGGGGTGTGCGGGCTGCAGGTCCCGACCCAGCCACGCCTCCTTGGAGTGGACAGAGGCCCCTGAGCCCCCTTCCAGAGGCCGGTGAAACCCAGGTTCAGGTTCTAAGGAATAATCCATCCTCAGGGCCAGCCCCGCCCGCCACTCAGCCAGGAGATGATTTCCGTCACCGCGGCCTGCGATTAAAGGCGGTGATTAAAAGCCGCCCGCTGCACATGTTAATTTGCTTAAGATTCTGATCTCCTAAATCTCTTTTCTGGGCATTTAAGCAGAATTCTGTCTTTGAGAGCATTTGGCCCGGCGGGTGGCAGGTGGCGGGCGGCAGGCGGCGGGCAGCAGGTGAGGAGGCACCATGGTGGCAGGGGAGCCAGGCCCCAGGGAGTTTAATTTTCTCCTCGTTTGAAGAAGGCGACTGGAAGGAACAAGCACATCCAGGGACGCAGAGCCAGCTGTGAGCCCGCCAGAGCCCCTGCCCATGGGCCGGCACAGCTGGGAGGACCAGACCCAGCTTCTGCCTTGGCCGGAGGGTGGAGGGCAGAGGGCAGAGGGTCCCCACCCTGTAGGCCCAGAGCTGTGTCTCCTCAGCCCCGCTTTCTGGGACTGGTTCTTGCCTTCCGGGTCTGAGAGGCTGCCCCTGTCCCCACAGTCTAAGGCTGGATTTGGCTGTGAGCCCTGGCTGGATCTCTCCTTGGGTTCACAGGCATTGCCAGGACAGAGGCCGGAGGAGACCACACCCTGAGACAGGGCGAGCCTAGACCTTGGCCCACAGCCCTAGGTTCTCAGCTAGGCCTGTAGGTGGGCAGAGCTGATCCCCCTTCCCCTGTGCCTCAGTTTCCTTGATGTGCAATGGAAACACTGCACACCTGCTCCCCGGGCCCTGGCTCTGCACACAAAGGCAGCCACTTCCCCTGCCCTCTTGGGCTTCAGTGACACCAAGCCCAGCCTCAGGGCCTGCTGAGCCCCTAACGCCTCCTGCAGAGCCGAGCCTGAGGGTCCCGTCTTCAGTCTGTGTGAGTTGACTGAGAGCTGGCCGTGAGCCCGAGGCCACCTGAACCAGGTGCTGCCCTGACCTCCATGCTGCCCACCCCAGAGTCCGCAGTGTCTCCATCTCATCTCTTTCAGCTGGAGGGGCTTTCTTGCCCTGCAGGCTGGACAGAGGCCCCAAGCAGGCAGGGCACCACCCAGCATCTCACAGGGGTAGGGGTGGGAGGCAGCTGAGTCCGGACAGAGCCCAGGCCCCGGCTTCCCTGCAGTGCACCTTCCATTCCTGCTTTCTCCATTGGCTTGGGGGAGCAGGAGGTGGCCCCCCTCCTCAGCCATCCTGCAGCAAAAGTTCCTTCACGTCTCATCTCCAAAGAAAACCATTTAGGTGGCCCCTGCCCCAGGGCACAGGTTCAGGAAGACACGGCCAGCCCAAAGACAGGGGCCACTATAGGCCAGGGTTGCTCCAGGCTCCCAGGCACCCCTGAGGACCTCTGTGCACTCGTGTGCATGCCCAGGGGCCAGATAAGCACTCCATGCACCAGCCTGCGTCAGGATTGCCAATTCTGAGCCCGCAGGTGACCCTGTGTTTGAGCACAAACAGCCCCAGAGAAAGCCAAGGATGGAAAGATGGAGATGCACATCGGGAAGACCAGAGTAAGGGCAGAGTGGGGAGGGGAGAAGCTCGTGAAGCCCCCCTGCCAACACTCGAACCCCATGGAAAGAGACTCCACCCCCAGGACTTCCCACAGCCCAGCTGCTTCTGAGCCCCAGAGCCCTCTCTTGGACAGTGGGCAGCACCCTGTGCCGCCAGGGAGGCCAGTGCCCTGGTCACACCCGCAACCAGCTGCCGAGCGATCCCACCGCACAGAAGCCCAGCACCATGTCCTCTGGGGCTGCCAGCAAGGGGTGCCCTGAGTGTGTTCCAGAAAATGCCACTGTAGACAGGAGCCGGGAAGGGCAGTGCTCCGGCCAGCTCAGGAGACCCCAGTTCACACCCTGACTCTGCCCGACTCTGTGTGCCCCATGGGAGTTCACTGCCTCTCCGGCTTCAGTTTCCCTGTGTTGAACCAGGGAGGACCAGCAGTTCTCCAAGGGCCTGGCCAGCTGGTGCCTTGGCTCAGGCCATGGGGAGGAGGGTTCCCAGAGGAGGGCAGTGGGCACCTTCAGTGCGGTCTGGCGGGGGACATTCTTGCACCAAAGGTCCAAGTGTGATATCCCCCTGGGTGGCCACTGCTGTGAGGAGGGGCTAGGAGCCCTGTTCTCGGGTCGCGGGCTCTGACCAGTCTCCGGGCTGCAGCTGTCTCCCAGCAGCCTCCAGGAGCAGAGCCCTGAGAAACCGCCTCCCGCCAGCGGTGTGGGGCCTTCGTGGGGTGCCTCGGTTTCAGCTTCCGAGTTCTGTCCTACATATGTCTCCAAGGAAACGCTTCCCGATGACCTGCTGCAGTAAACAGATTCTCGGCTGCAGCCCCGTTCAGCAAACTTCAGCAGGCAGGGGCTCTGCAGCCTGCCTACCAGCACCAGGGCGACCTGGGGACACAGCGAGGTCCCCCATGTGTCCCTGATTCTGCTCCTCCACCACCTTGGAATGTCTGAGTTCGACGGGCCCCCAGAGGCCCCTGGATCCAACCTCTTCACTTTTCAGATAGGGAAACTGAGGCAGGGGACTCTTGCCCGGGGTCTCACAGCCCAGCTGACCCTGCAGCTCCCCCTCCGGGGCTGGTCCACAACAGTCGCACTGGCCCTGCAGCCCCCTGGAGGTGAGCACCCCAGCCTCCTCATCGTGCACAGAACGTCCTAATTACCTCTCAGAGGTGCCAAGCGCACATTTAAAGACAGAAATGCAGGCCCCTCCAATGACGAGACGGTGCTGACAGCTCTGCGGCTGGGAGAGACACAGCCCAGAAGCCCATACCTCAGACATTTCATTAATTATTCAACATCAAAGCGAATTCCGTGTTGCTTTCTTGCCTGGTTTAAGAGTTCTATGGATGTTACGGCTTCGGTTAGGAAACTAAGCCCACTGTGGGGGCCTCGAAGGGCCAGATCCACCCCCACCACCCCGACACACATCTTGGCACCAGGATGGGCTGAGCGACCTCCTGTCCTGGGCAGTGGCTAGGGGGTGGGAGCACAGAGTAAGGCAAGGGATGCCCCTCTAAGGCCCTGCTGTGTCCCCAGCACAAAGATCCCCTACTGCCTCAGCCCCCAGGGCCCCATGTGAAACCACCCCAGCGATGCCCAGAGCCCAGAGCTCGGTTCTGGGGCTCTAAGGTCACAGAGGAGCACATCGCCTGGCTGAGGAGGAAGACAGACCAGTGAGGACCTGGCCAGACTGACCACGGGCCACCCAGACTGACCGTAGTTGCCCCGGATGGACCAAGATGCCTTGGGGTGACCACCTGACAGCAGGCCATGGGGACAAGACCACGCATCAGGCAGAGGGGGTGTCAGGTGGAAGGGTGTCAGATGGAGGGGTGTCAGGCAGAGGGGTGTCAGGTGGAGGGGTGTCAGGCAGAGGGGTGTCAGGCGGAGGGGGTGTCAGGTGGAGGCGGTGTCAGAGGGGCTGTCAGGCAGAGGGGGTGTCAGGCAGAGGGGTGTCAGGCAGAGGGGGTGTCAGGCAGAGGGGTGTCAGGTGGAGGGGGTACCAGGCAGAGGGGTGTCAGGCAGAGGGTATCAGAGGAGGTGTCAGGCGGGGGTGTCAGGTGGAGGGGGTATCAGGTGGAGGGGGTGTCAGGTGGAGGGGGTGTCAGGCAGAGGGGTGTCAGGTGTAGGGGTGTCAGGCGGAGGGGGTATCAGGCGGAGGGGTGTCAGGCGGAGGGGGTGTCAGGTGGAGGGTTGTCAAGCGGAGTGGTGTCAGGTGGAGGAGGTGTCAGGCAGAGGGGGTGTCAGGCAGAGGGGCTGCCGAGTGGCACAGCCAGTGCAGGCAGAGTTCCAGAGAGGGGGCGCCAGGGGAGGCAGCCCCAAGAAAGTGGGACTCAAGCAAACACAAGCTGATGGGACAGGGGGTCCCGGGTGGATGGCCAGGGAAGGCCAGATGCAGAGGCCCTGGGGGGGATGAGTCTGGCATCCCCAGCTGCCCTGCCCACCTTCCATGGTGCCATTCCCCAAACAAAGGCCCCAGCCCTGCTCCTGGTTCCCCCAAGCCTGGGGGAGTTGCAGACAGGTTCAAAGGGAACATTGTTAATGCCAAGGCAGAGGCGCAGAAGAAACAAAGAAGACAGAGCAAGAAACAGCTGGATTTGAGGCCCACAGAGGCGGGAGGCATGGGGATGGGGTGTCCAGTGGGCGTCACTGTCCCCACAGTGTTCCCTGTTGCGGGCTGGAGGGGAGCCGAGGCCCCAGGGCTGGGTAACCCAGCAGGGAGCGAAAGCTGAGCCAGCCACAGGGACCGGAGCTTCGGGAAGGCTCTGCCCTGAATCATCTCAGCAGGACCCACACATCCTAGCCTCCCAGTGCCCAGGGGCCAGGTCCCACATGGACCGAGCTCAGCCCGCCCTGCTAGCAGCATCCACAGTCACAGCAGGTGCCCACATGCCTCCCTCCTCCCTGCTGAAGGACAGCCTTGCCAGGGGGTTCAGGCACCACCAGAAGGGCCCTGGCCAAGGTCGGTGGGTCAGGTGTCCAGCCCCGGGCTGCAGAGCCCCACTGGACGCTGAGGGAGCAGGCACTGCCCTGGCTGCCCAGCCCTACCCCCCTGCAACAGCCTGACCTACATTCTGTGCCCGCATGCAGCAGCCATGCAGAGCCTTGGCCAGCCTGGCACGGAGTCCAGTGAGCAGGATTGCAGGACGAACACTGCCCCATGGCCACCAATGCAGCCACGTCCCAGGACACACACCCTCAGCAGGGTCTGTCAGGAGCTGCTGGCCACCTGGCCCCACCCAGGCCCTCCCCATGTGGGGGTGTGAGATCCGGCCCCAGAGAGGGGCACTGGGCACACTCCTGAGCCCCCACGCCACCAGGCTGGCACCCAGCCTCAAGGGCCTGCTGAAGGAAGGGCAGAGAGAGAAGAGGCGAACCCGCAGCTGTTGCCCTGCAGGTGGGGAGTGTTGCCGCTGCACTGAGGGGTCTGAGGCTCAGAGAAGCTGTGAGACCTGCTAAGTCCACACGGTCAGTCACGGTGAAACCTGAGCTCAGGTCAGCCCCTGGCTGCTGGTCAAAGGCCCCCACAGCCTTGGCCCCACAGGCAGGCCAGTCCCCACCCCCAGGACCAGGAGCCCCTTCAGCCTCACCAGCCTCCACCAGGGTCATCAGGCCCGAGCAGCCCAGCTTACACCTGGGTGCCGCCCCAGGCCTCCCAGCTGCTTGCATCGTTAAAAATATGAAAATCCTTGAAAAAGAAGCAGTGTCCCTTTTATGCCACTAAGCCCCTGCCTTTGGCTCCCAGGATCCCAGTCCTCAGACTCGGTTCTCAGGCCAGAGGGAGCCCACACGGCCCATGCCCCGGGGCCAAGACCTGCCACCCTCTGCGTCCTTCCTTGCCTGTCTCCAGCCCACCTGTTCCATACCCCTAGCCATCAGCCGGGGTTTACTAACCACCTGCTGTGTGTGGGCATGGCTTAGAGCTGGAGAGGAAGTGAGGAAACCAGAGGTAGGCCCCGCACCCAGAGGGCTTCTGGTCTGGGAGACACAGAGCAGTGGTCAGGGGTCCTAGCTCTTGGGGGAACCCGGCCTGGGACCCCGGGGCAGCATGGCCTTAGAAAAGCCCTGGAGAGAATGGGCTGCTTTCCTGGACAGCAGGGCCCCTGGGGACATGAAGGGCCAGTCCCATGGGGGCACGGGCCCCTCCCTTAGGCCAGGCTAGAGCAGCAAGGGGAGGAACCGGAGGGCAGAAAGGGCCTGGGCAGGGCTGGACAGCGCCAGCTGGAGCACAGTCACTGCCGGAGCAGAAGAGCGCTTGGCCCAGGTCCCAGCTCAGGGTGCTCGCTTGGAGCCAAACAGGCCAGAGGGGAGCGAACAGAGTGGTGAGGGGCCGATGGACGCTTCCACTGGCCGCATGGACCGGCCCCTCACGGTGCCAAGGAAACAGCCCCACCATGAGGCGCTGAGCAGAAACTGGCCTCCAAACACTGCCCGCCGTCCACGGCCGGCCGGTCCTGCGTGTGAATTACTCAGGAGCGTATTCCCCACGCGCCAGCACTGCATTCAGATAAGCGCTGGCTCAGTGTCAGCCCAAGGAAGACAGACCACAGGCAAGGAGGACCACCGGAAAGGAAGACCACCGGAAAGGAAGACCACCGGAAAGGAAGACCACAGGCAAGGAGGACCACCGGAAAGGAAGACCACAGGCAAGGAGGACCACAGGCAAGGAGGACCACCGGAAAGGAAGACCACCGGCAAGGAGGACCACCGGCAAGGAGGACCACCAGGAAGGAGGACCACCAGGAAGGAGGACCACCAGGAAGGAGGACCACCAGGAAGGAGGACCACCAGGAAGGAGGACCACCAGGAAGGAGAACCACCAGGAAGGAGGACCACCGGCAAGGAGGACCACCGGCAAGGAGGACCACCAGGAAGGAGAACCACCAGGAAGGAGGACCACCGGCAAGGAGGACCACCAGGAAGGAGAACCACCAGGAAGGAGGACCACCAGGAAGGAGGACCACCAGGAAGGAGGACCACTGGCAAGGAAGACCACCGGCAAGGCTGCAAGGGGCACGTGCATCTCCAACAAGACAAAATAAACAAGCCAGAGAGGGCTTGTCACCAGCGTGGCATTTGTCACCATGTCCCATGCAGGGCCAACGGGAGGCCCAGTGAAGCTCCTGGCGGATGGCAAAAACCCACTGACCACCTGGCATCACCAAGGCCGCCTCCTGAGCCCCACCTCCAGATGGGTGCAACCCAGCCACCGGGGAGCAGGATTCGGGGCTGAGTCTGCAATGAGGGGGCCAGGTCACTACGAGGCAGTGACTCAAGAGTGCCCAGGAGCAGCCACGCTGCAAGACCGGCGTGGCCCAGGCTGCTGAGAAGCAGCACCAGCCCCTCGGGCCCCCGTTTGCAGAGACGGCCAAGCACACATCACAGCGCACGGGGACATCCCCAGATGTAGTCACTTTTTACCATGGTTGCATAAGTGCAGATTAGAAGCCAGTGAGACTCGGGAGTACAGGAGGCTGAAGTGGGAATGAAACGTGGCCTCGAGATCATCCCTGTGCAGATGGGTCTTTGGGGGGCTGCCCATACTGGGGGCAGGCTGCCTGTATGGGCGCGGTCTGGGCGGGAGCGTCCCTGAGGGCAGAGCCAGAGCCTCCTCAGGCATCTCCTCCGGCCACTCAGCCACTGGCTGCTCCAGGGGCACAGATGGAGCCCAGCTTCTCCCCAGGCCCAGGAAGCAGGGGTCACACCAACCTTGCTGGACCCACTGGGTCCACCCGGCCTGCCAGTTCCTGTGAAAGCAGGAAGGCCACTCGGGCCAGCCTGGCACCCGTTCCCCGGCCACTCGGCATGTCCAGGTCAGGCCAGGCCAGTGCCCAAGGGGGACTGTCCAGCCCAGCCTCCAGCCCTTCCTGTGTCATGGGTCCCGGCTGAGGGCTCCTGCTGTAGGTGCCCAGCCCCCTGCTAGTGCCCTGCTCCAGGGTCTCTGCCATCTGCTCCAAGGCAGCTGGATGCCTGCACAAGGTCCCAGTGTCTGGACGGCAGGACACACCCTTGTCCCATCCTCAGCCTCACAGGGGCCGGGCACTGAGCAGGGCCTTACGGGGACTGATAGGAGTCCCCCCGCCCCAGGCAGCCCGGTGTCCTGCCCTGAGTCCCCACCCAGCCGGCCACCTTCCCTGTGCTGTCAGAGCTCCCGAGGACAGGCCTGGGTGCCCACAGTGACGGCATGGCCCACCCCCACTCACACACACAGCCTGGGGCCAGTCAGCCCTGCAGGGATGCACCAGTGAGCCCAGCGCCCACCAGCCCCTTGCCTGTGCGGCCTCCTTGGTGCCTGAGGCCCGCACGTTGCTCTCTGCCCTCCCTACCACCCGCCCGGTGGACAGCATGGGCCGGGTGGCCATCAGTGCTATGCTGGCAAATGCTTTTTTTTTTTTTTTTTCAGGTCTAAAACAGAAAAGAAAGCAGCCTGCCCATTAGGCAAGAGGAAAGATCATCCAAGGGCTGGGAGCCGCTCCCAGCACGCGCCTCCTGGGACCGGGATGGTTCATGTTCCACACGAGGCTGTGGGTACCAGGGTGCAGCCAGGACTCGGGGTGAGCCACCTTCGCCTTTGGGGAACTTGTGACTGCCCTGTGGTCAGACACTGAGGAAACCGCTTCCTTCAGGGAGTCCTCCCTGACTGCCTGCAGGTCGCTGTTGGGCCCCTGAGAGGCAGGAGGCCATCCAGCAGCTCAGCCGCTCCCCCAGGGTGGGTGCGGCCCCGTCCCGCAACACACAGGCCCCATCTCAGCAGATCTCAGAACCCAAGGAGCGTCCCGGGAGGAAGGCCAGGAGACATTGGGGAGCAGGCGGCTGGGGAACCCTGGCGAGAAGCTGCAGTGGCAGGAAGCTGAGGCAGAGGGCACTCAGCCCCTTGTGATCACGGCCACGAGGCCACTGGGAGCATGCAGCCCCCCAGCCCCTGGCCACTCACAGGTCCCAGCCATGGCTGGAAAGGCCCCTGAAGCCCAGCAGGGAGGGTAGGAGAGGTCCCCACTGAGTGGAGGGCGGGCCAGCCCAGCGTGGCCAGGCAGGCCCAGGCCTCATTCCTGTCCTTGCTGATGGACGGAGCTGCCAGCTGGTCAGTTCACATCTCAGCCCACCTGAGAGAGCCCTGGGTACCCCCCAGCCCCAGGCCATCCTGCACAAGGGCTGGCCAGTGTGAGAAGACCACCAGGGCCGGACCCAAAGCCACCACCGCCACACCAGGCGCCTGAGGACTGGAGCCCCGGGGGGTTCTGGAGGTAGGTGGCTCTTGCCCCTTTGAAAATGGAGATGACAGGTAGGGGCCCTGGCTGGACAGAGAGGACCTGCCTAAGGCCTAGAGGAGGTGCGGATCGCCCCTCACAGTGCCAGAGTCATGGTGTGAACCTGGGGTCCCTTCCCACCTGGAAGCCCCTTGTGGCTGTGAGACCTGCTCTCCGCAGACCCAGCACGGGCCCCTCCGCTGGCCCTAGAAGGGGCAGAAAAAGGTCCTACCAAGTGGGCCCATTCTCTCAGGAAGGGTGGGCACCTCCCACCAAGAGCCCTGGACAAACCAAGTCCAGAGGAAGGCCCAGCTCCCTGGCTTCAGAGGGGGAAACTGAGGCCCAAGGAGGGCGGCTCCCTCAAGTTACAGCCATGGCAGGAAGCCGACGGAGGCCGCGTCTCACCAGCTCCAGCAGCTCCCCCATGTCCCCCAACCCCAAGGGGTCGACGGGTCTGCCGGGGGCGGGGGCTGCACAGGACGAGCCACCCCGGTGACCTCACGCGTCCCCAGAAGCACCGGCAGCGGTGACAGTGACGGTGACAACTGAGTCACCACCTGCAGCTTTTTAAGGCACAGCTGAGAGCAAGGGGCAATTTAAGTCTTTTTGACGAGCCCCAGAGCGCGTGGCTAGAGCGCCACCCGCCCCCCAGGGCCGCCCCGCCTCCCAAGCTGGGCTGGAGCCCCTCCAAGACCCTGCGGGGCTCAGCGGCCATGAGGTCAGGTAGGAGCCAGCGCCCAGGGGACGAACTGGGGGGGCTGCGCTCGGAAGCCAGGGGAGGCCTAAATCCGACAAAGGCCCGGGAGAAACTGCCCACCAGGTGATCTGGTGCTGGCGGCTTGGTAACCCTGATAGCCCTGTGACAGGCCCAAGGGACAAGCTGGGCCTCCCCTCTGGGCTCCGCATCCCAAACGGCATCAACACCGCCACCCACAGCCAATGCTGCCCCAGGCGACGCTGTTTCCTTACAAACACGGAATCTAATAATTGCAATATTGCCAAGCCCAAAATAACCCACAGTGCACCACTTGCCGAGCTCCTACCAGAGAATGGAAGTGAGTCAAACACAGCTGCAAAGCCGCTTTAAAAATACACTTAAACACACGAGCACACAGGCACACACACGCACACAGCCCGCCCGCGGGATGCTCACCTCCACCCACGGCACGGCTCAACAGGTATGGAGGGTGAAGACCGGGGCACGGCCGGGGAGGGAGGCCCTGCAGGGGGGTGGAGGGCCCGAGGGGCTCCCGGTGGCCATACTCCCCGAACTGGGCCCTCTCACACCTGCAGCAGGTGCGCTTTGCCACCTGGGAGCCTCCCGCCTCCATCTGCAGCAAAGGCCCTGGGGCCGCTCCTCTGAAGCTTCTGACTGCTCCTGCCCCCGCCTGACCCCCAGGACCCCAGGGAACAAGCGTCGGCATCCCCCACAGGCAGCTGCTCCAGCTATGGTGGCCACAGAGCATCCTTCACACTCACTGAGTCTAACTCCACCTGCAGGAAGGCGGGCTGCCAGCCTCCCTGCGCCCCCAGTAGGCCCTTCTCTGGGGACCCTGTGCCCCTACGTGCTCTCCCTGAGGGGTGTCTCCCAACCTAGCACAGGCCCTGGGAACAGTGGGTGAACCGCCAAATTTGGGGACCCACACCGAGGGATGCAGAGGGGGCCTGGCAGGGCCGAGGGTCCTCCTGCCCCGACACCTTGGTGCTCAGGCCAGGCCGGGGAACAGGGACCTGCCGGGCCTCTGGGCAGCACCCAGCCTAGACTGGCCATCACGCAGCCAACGTCCAGTTCCAGGTGCCCGCCCGTCCTAGCTCCCACAGCCGAGGGTCCCATGCCCGGGCTAAGCCTGCAGATGGGTCGGCTGAGTTCCTATCTCAGAAAAGAGCATGGTCTCAAGGGTAAGGGGAGAGCCAGGTCCCGGCTCCGCTGGGGGCTCAGCATCATGGGGGTCTGGCCCATGGAGGCTTCAGGGAGGAGCAGAGCCTTCTGGAGCAGGTGGGGGTCAGAGCACAGCTGGGCGCATGTGCTCAGGCCACATGGGGGGCCGAGGCCTGGCTGCCCCCAGGCAGGGAGGGTCCAGCCTGGACAACAGGTTTCTGGGGGTGACGCACACTCCACTGGTGACAGTGAGAGGGCTCCAAGGGGCTCCTGAGCCGCGAGCCACCTGCTCTGTCTCACCCACACTGCCACTGAGCCCCAAACCTGGCCAAGGACATAGTGCACAGACCTTCGGAGACAGGCCCTGCCCCAACAGCCCTGCAAGGGCCAGGACACCGAGGGGCCGAGCCAGGGCGCTGCTCTCAGGGAAGCCACCATTCCCGGTTTATCCCAGACCCTGGGGGCCCCTGGGGAAGCCACTGGGGCTCAGGTCCTGGCCCCTCCCCACTCGGAGGCCTCACCTGGGAGGGGGCTCCAGAGGCCCTGCAGGGTCCCAGGCAGGAAGGCCTGGGGTCCACCATCAGGCCACCCCTACCAAGTAAAGGGACACGGTCCACTCGGTGCATTGCTGGTTCAGCCCCTGGGGAGTAGCAGGTCCATGGCCTTGAGCCTCCACAGACCATCCTCCCGGAGGGGACCACACCACATCATGTCACATCAAGCATGTCACGTGGTGCCGCCTCCTGCCATACCACACCATCAACCCCTTCCTGAGCAAGGGCCTGCACTTCCAAGGGTCCTGCAGAGGCAGCCCTAAGACCCTGTCTCGGGGCTGCCTGGGGATCCCCACGTGTCAGGGTGAGTCGGGCATGGTGGGCGGGGCACTGGCCATCGGGGAACTGGAGGGCCCAGGCCCAGGTCACCTCCAGTGCTGCAGGGCAGGAAGGGAACAGGCAGTTCCTGCCCTAGGAGCTCAGCCAGGTGAGCCAGGACATGCCCCGGGGAGGCCAAACACCCAGCCCGGACTGCTGGAGAGGCCAGGTGGCCCTCATGGCTATGCCCACAGTGGGCACCCATAGGTGGGTGACAGACTCGGGGTGGGGGTGGCTTGCGGCACCCCCGGAACCCCACTACCAGCCTTGGCTCTCAGAGGCCCCCACACACTCGGCTCTCAGAGGCCCCCACACACTCGGCTCTCAGAGGCCCCCACACTGGCTGGGGCCTGCCCTCTTTCCCCCACCCCACTCGGCAGGCGCAGGCCAGGCCCCTCCAGCAGCCCCCGCCACCGTTGCCCAAAGTCCTGGGGACCCTGGAAGCCATAGCAGCCCTCCCCACCGGGAGACGGGGACAGGCACCAGGCTGGACCCAGGGCTGGCATCTGCTGGAGTCAGGAGAGGGTGTCCAGGGGCTGCACACAGGAACAAGGACCCCAGAAAGAGGCAGCAGAGAGCAGGCACTGGGGTGCACTTTCCTCTGCTGGGAGGATGGGGCTCTGCTCCACAGGGGGTGGAAGGAAGGGGTGGTGGAGGGTCCTGCCCCTGCCAGAGGGGGGTGGCCCTGGGCAATGGGGAGGGCAAAGGCCACAGGGCCCTGTGAAGACACTGGCCCTGGACACGTGAAGGAGGTCCTGTGAGCCCCGTGTCTCAGCCCAGATCACTGTCAGCATTCCGGGGCCAGTGGCCCCCTTCTCCAGGCTGGGGAGGGCCTGCGGTGTGCACAGACGCTCCCAGTGAGCCCTCCAGATAGGACAAGGGCCTCCCCTGCACCGCCTGCCATCCCCAGCTTCAATGTCCTCATCTTTGCAATGGGCGATAACAGGGCGGACTGGAAACATATGCCTCAGGGGTCTTCACCTCCCAAGCAGCACCACACGGGGAAGGGCCCCAGGGAGCACGGCGCCCACAGACCACATCTCGAGCACAGTGGGGGCACTGGCGCTGTCGGGGGGCAGACTTGCGTTTTGGCAAATTGTCCCGGCTGCCCCACTGGAAGATCGGGGGACAGGCAGGAGGCTTGTAGCACGGTGGGGGATGGGCGGCCCAGGCCTGGGTGGAGGTGGTGAGGAGTCCCAGCTCTGAGAGCACTGAGGGGGCGCCCCGACCAGGAATGGATCCACGGGGAAGGGCGGGGTGAGCCAGGACTCTGAGAGCACTGAGGGGCGCCCCCACCGGGAATGGATCCATGGGAAGGGGTGGGGTGAGCCGGGACTTCCCGCCTGAGAAGCCAGGACCAGGTGCCAACAGGCACCCTTCCTCCAGGCTGTCCTCCTCTAGGCTCTGCTGAGCTCCGGGCAACAAAGGCACTGCCTTTGTTGTGTACTTGCTGCACCCGGGGCCAGGCCCAGCGGCGGTCAGCTGAGGACAGCGACTGGCCAAGCTCCAGGCCCTCCCAGGACCAAGGCTGACTGGGTGGCCAGGCGCCCCAGAAGGGAGGTTCATGCCCAGCCTCTGGTTGGGGAACCCTAGGCTAGCATCCCCTGTCCCCAGGGCCTGTGAATTATTTAAGCCCCTCCCTGGGCCCATCTGCTGCTCTCTGGGGCAGCTTGGGGTGGAGTGAACGGTGCATTTGCTCCCCGAATGCCTGCAAGGCGCCGCTGGAGGGAGGTGGACCCCACCTCAGCACCAGCCCTCACCTCCTGCTGCTCACGGTGGCCGCTCCCAAAGGCCAGAGGGGCTGGGGCAGGGAACAGGCAGGGAGGGCCAGGGCAGGAGGGAGAGCAGGAGGCAGGATCAAGGGCTCCCATCCCCACCAGATAGGCCCCCCTCCACGGGGCTCACTCCAGGACGGCAGCTGCTGCCTTTCAGCCAAGATGAAATACTTCCACGGGGCTGCTACCTGCCAGGCAGGGCCGGGGGATGGGGGGCGGCAGGGGGACCCAGGCCTCAGCGGCTTCTGGAGAACCTCCGGATTGCTCCCTGAAGCTCCAGCATCCTGGGTCGTGCGGCCCAGCTGCACTCAGCCTCCACCGTCCTTCTGCACACCTGGCTGCACACGGCGGCCACCGTGGTTCCAGGCTCAGCAATGCAGTGGGGGCTGCCCGCTGCCCCTACCAGCAAGGGAGCCTCGGGCCAGAGGGAGGGGGCGCCTTCCCGTGCACTGCCAAAGCTCGGGGCCCAGACGGAAGTCTCTGCTCAGCCTCCTCCGACAGGCCCACGGCAGAGCAGACCTCACTTCACAGGGTTGGCATTTCTGAAGGATGACAAAGATCCCGGGGCTCAGAACGTGTTTTCTGTGCAAACAGACACTTCCCCACCAGCATGCCGATGACAGGCATCCGTGACAGCTCAGCCTGAATCACAGTCCCCCCACCACCACCCACCGCCCCCCCGGCAGCCCAGACGCAGTGGGGGCAGGGCTGGGGCCAAGAGCACGTTAGGGTCCCAGGCCGGTGGGGCCAACTCGCTGCCCAGCCCCCAGGGAGGGGTCCCATTGGCCTGTCCTGCCCCCATTACCAGGGCTGTGGTCTGGGGGAAGGGCTCCCTGCTGCCAACGGTGGCTGACCCTCTGAGGGGTCAGAGCCCCCGAGAGCCCCCAGCCCACCCATGGCGCAGACTCCCACAGGGCTGCCCTCCACGGTGATAGGACATGTTGGTGGGTCGCGGCTCTCTGGCCTCACGGTGGCCCTTGGAGCCAGTTCCTGGGGCTGGAGTAGAGGGGCTTCCTCCAGAAGCCCTACTGGGGCTGCCAGGGGTTAGCTGGGCAGCACTGATCAGTCCAGAGGGGCGGCACTGATCTGTACAGCCCAGAAACGCACCTCCATCAGCCACATTCTCCGCGACAATCTCTGCCTGTCACTGCTAGTGGCATCCCTCGGAGACGCTACTGCGTATGATCTTCGGGGGCCGGGGAGGCACACACATCTCTGGCCCCAGACCCCACAATCGGGACACGAGGCAAGCCCACCACCGCCTGCCTTGGCTGGGAGGGGGAGGGCCCTGGGGAGTGGAGAAGCGCCCGGCACCTTGTTGACGTGGACACCAGCAACAGGCCTCCCTCCTGGAGCGCACTCGGCCCAGCTGCTGGCCTGGACCCCAGGCCCTGCCCCAAATTGCACCTCAAGTCCTATTTCCAGACAGCGTGTGCTGGGTGGCCGAGCCACAGCCCCTATGGCAGGGCCAGGGCCAGGGCTGTGTCCTGGGAGCCGACATCCCTAGCACAGGCGGGGGTCCCACTGCCGAGCTGTCCCTCCTTCTCTACAAGTCACCTGCTCACCCTCACAACCACTGTCACCCCCTTTTCACAGATGAGGAAACTGAGACCCAGAGACACAGGTATGTCCCCAAAACCCACAGTCCAGCAACTGGTGGGCGGACAGGTGGGGATTTGAGCCCAGGCTGGGGTCCCACGTGCTTGGCCTTGAACGCGCCTGGTCCAAGGGTCTGGAACCTGGGATGCAACAGTCAGCAGGCGGGGAGCGGGGGGTAGGCGGGGAGCGGGGGGCAGGCGGGGAGCGGGGGGGCAGGCGGGGAGAGGGGGGTAGGCGGGGAGCAGGGGGGCAGACAGGGAGCGGGGGGCAGGGGGGGAGTTGGAGTTGGAGGGCAGGCCGAGTGGGGGGCAGGTGGGGAGTGAGGGGGAAGGTGGGGAGTTAGGGGGCAGGTGGGGAATTGGGGGGCAAGCGGGGAGTGGGGCCAGGCAGGGAGTTGGGGGCAGGCTGTATAGGGCGCAGGCTGAATAGGGAGGCAGGCCGAGTTGGGGGCACTTGGTAACGAGCTCCTTTTCTGTGTTCTGAATGCCGCGGGAAACATCCCAGACGGCCCAGCCCATCTTCACTTCATGTAGAGCAGAGGCTCTGAAAAGTGGGGCACGTCCTGGTGAGCTAACGAGGCACCCAGAGGACCGGCCGCCTGTGCTGGAGGCCCACGGGGAGGGAGGGAATGGCTGGGTGTTTGAACCAGCTCTCGAAGGATCACATTTTGCAGACAAAAACCAAACTCCCTCCTGGGAGGAGGTGCCCGATATCTGCCCCCCCGTCGAGGCCCAGCCAAGAAGGGGACAGCAACGGATGAAGCCACCTCTGCCCAGGGTGCCTGTTCCTGGACAAGCCTCAGGGGACGGGCCCAGCTGGGAGGGGCCGGGGCTCCTTGAGGTGGCTCAGGAGACCCCAGGGGAGCCAGGGAGACACTGTATGCAGAGAAACAGCTTCATTCACCCACTTCCCCAGGGCTGAGCTTGGCGGCGGCAGCCCAGTCCGAGGCCAGCCTCCCACTTATGCATCAAAGACAACTGCAGCTACAGCTGCAACTCAGTTCTGAGGGCTGTTGGTTCCCCAGAGAATGACTGAGTTCCAGGGAGCGTCACGGAGCAGGGGCAGGACGGGGCGAGGCTGGGGCAGCCACTGTCCCTGAGAGGTGGCTAGGCAGAGCTTACAGGCAGCCACACAGCCCTGCCCATAACATACTACTGCTGGCTCATCTCAGCAGTGAGTCCATTGCCCAAGGCCACACAGTTGCAGATTTGGGATCCAAGTCTGCCCAGCTCCAGAGCCATGTCCTCCACCCCAGTGACACCACCTGGGCAGAGCTGCCCCACCCAGGCCAGGCAGAGGCTGCTGCAGACCTGGTCCCCCACCTCACCTGACACCACTCCCTCAAGTGTGGGCCTTGACACCCTGGTTTGCTGGTTGGTTGGTTGGTTGGTTGGTTGGTTGGTTGGTTTTGTTGAGACAGAGTCTCACTATGTCACCCAGGCTGGAGTGCAGTAGCACCATCTCAGCTCACTGCAACCTCTGCCACCTCCCAGGTTCAAGCGATTCTCCTGCCTCAGCCTCCCAAGTAGCTGGGATTGCAGGTGCTTGCCACCACACACAGATAAATTTTTGTATTTTGAGTAGAGACAGGGTTTCACCATGTTGCCCAGGCTGGTCTCGAACTCCTGATCTCAGGTGATCCACCCGCCTCAGCCTCCCAAAGTGCTGGGATTACAGGCATGAGCCACCGTGGCTGGCCAGACGCCCCAGTTTAAAACATGTATTTCTACTGAAATAGCTCCAACCTCTGGGTGGTGGGGGGCGGGGGGTGGGGGTGCTGAATCTGCATTTTCCTCCGTCCAGGGGGATGTGAAGCTGCTACAGCTCCGACCAGGACTCCCAGACCCATCTGAGCCTCCTCAGAGCAGCTGGTGGGGCCTGGAGCCTGCAGAGCCACTGATCCTGGGATGCGTTCCAGGGCCCAAGCCCACGGCCCTTTCCCCGCGCCAGCAAAGGAGCCACGTACAACAGTTTGACGAAACGAGCATTCTGGAGGCCCCAGGTGCCTTCCGGGGCAGCAGTGATGTGACTTGTGGTTGGGAACCAGGAGCAGCCGCTCCCTAAGAATGGAGTGAGGCCCGTCCAGGCCTCCAGTACCCCTCTTGGTCACCTGTGGAGCCAGGACCCCACCCAGGGAGAGACTGGATGGTGGGGAGCCAGGAGGCTGCACCAGGGGGGATGGTGGGGAGCCAGGAGGCTGCGCCAGGGGGCCTGTGGGACCTCAGCAGCGTGAGCTCCAGGGCCTGCCTCGGGCGGGGGTGCTGGGGTGGAGCACACGGCCACAGTAGGGGGCTGAAGGGCGACCCCCGACAGAAAACACATCCGCATCCCAGAGCCTGTGAATTTGGCCTTATTTGGAAAAAGGGTCTCTGAGGGCGTGCTCAGTGAAAGGCCTGCGCCGAGGAGATCGTCCCGAATGACCCAGGCAGGCCCCAGATCCTACAGGACAAAGGAGACTCGAGGCGCAAGAGAAGACGGAGAGAAGGGCGAGGGAAGACAGGCAGAAGCAGGAGGCGGCCACAACCCAAGGGACGCCAGAGCCACCAGAAGCTGGAGGAGGCCAGGAAGTTCCTCCCGGGGAGCCTGCAGAGGGAGCGCGGCCCCACCCACACCCTGACCTCAGACTTCCAGCCTCCAGGACTGCGAGAGAATAAGCGTGCGGCGTTTTTAGTGGCCAGTGCACGGCAGCCGGTCCCAGCAGCTGCAGGAAACACACCCCTCCATGTCGTGGTGCTCCAGACACCCGGGGCACCTGGCGCTCCAGGAGGGCAAGGGCAGCCCAGCTGTCAGCAAAGCGTTCCTGACAAGGGTCACCTTTGCCTGGGTTTGGCTGCCTGGAGGCCACGACCAGGGAAAAAGGACCACAGCAGCCAGGGGCACCATGCCCTCCACCCACAGGCACTGCGGCACAGCCTGGTCTGAATGATCTCACTGACTCTCCTGGTACCGCAGGGGAGGGAGGGATAAGCAGGGGCCGAGTGCCCTGCCAAAGTCCCGCAGCCAGGGAGGGACGGAAAGACCTCAGGCCTTGCCGCAGAGCACATGCATCCTCAGGGAATACATCCTCTGTATTCCCCGGTTCCCGGTCGGCTGGTCCCCGGTGGGCTGAGGGAAAGACCCCAAAGACTCAGAGAGCAGCTGCCCCGAAGTGGGCAGACCGGGCCACATCAGGGAGGAGTGAGGCCAGGTTACCACCGCTGAAGCTCCAGTCAGGCGTCTCCCTGGGCCCAACCTGAGAGATCAAGCTGGGGACATTTCAGCAACTTGCCCCCACCCCCAAGCCTTTCCTGCCTTCCAGTCTCTCCAGGGTCAGCAGCTCAGTCACAGTCAAGGGTCACAGTGGAGCTCCGGGTCAGCGGCCCCTCCCTGGAGCTGCAGGCCCTCAACACGGGGCCTCCCCTGGTGGAATCTCCACCCACTATGCATGTCCCTCCTTGCTCCCCAGTGGGAGGGCACCCTGGGAGCACAGCAGAACCTGGGGGAGGGGAGGGGGAGCCCTGAGAAGGCTGGCTTAGCCGTCTTGGGAGTGACTGTACAGCTGTGTGCAGGTGTGTGCGGAACACAGGTCCAGCGATCCGGGAGAAGGAGCTGAAGGCAGAGTGGTCCTGGAGGATGCGGGTGAGGTGAGCAAATGGGCCTCCCCCCACAGACTTGGGGCCCCACCCTGCAGCCACCCTAGCCCTGGAAGCCCCTCAGGTTGCTCGTTTCTGCCATCAAGCCTGGCTCCTCCTGGAGCCTCACGCACAGAGTCTGATCTGCACTGGGAGCTCAGAAGGCAGGCATGAGGAGCCTGCTCCCATCTGCGGGGGTGGAGACCCCGGAATCGACACCCAAAGGCTGCTGGGAGCACATGAGGGGGTGGGAGAGGAAGGCAGGAAGAGGAGCCCTGAGGGCGGCTCTGAGGCTGGGGTGGGTACCCTCTGCCACCTCCACCTCCACCAGGCCACCGTGCTGCCTGAAGCTGGCCCCGGAAAGGTGCTTGTGCATGGGCACAGAGGTGTGCACACACACACGGGGCTGCAGGGGCAGGAGGAGGAAGGAGCCCCAGCCCAGACTCAGCCCAGCCCTGGGGAGCATGAGGCAGTGAAGGGATGATCACATTCCTGCCGGCTCTGACCCCTCTGCAGGCCCCGACCCCTCTGCCAGCCCCAACCCCTCTGCCAGCCCAACCCCTCTGCATGGGCCCAGGTTGGCCAGCTCTCAGCTGGGCTGGGCAGCCGAGGCAGCCTCCTTTGTCCCTTTGTGCTGGGCGAGTGGAAAGGACAAAAGCTGTTCTCCCGGCTGGCTAGCTGCTGCCGCCGGAGACATCTCCAGGAGCCCTTCCTCCCTCTGCCTCCAATGTGCGCCTGTTACACAACAGACCTAAGAATAATCCGGAGGGCGGTCGGAGTCGGAGCTGCCCCGCCTCCTGGGACCCCTGCAGCTGGGGGGAGGGAGGGGCCTGAGGCACACAGCTCCTGCTTCTGCCTGGGGCCCCAGTCTGTCAAGGGCCACCCCACCCCCAGCCCCGGGAGACCTGGCTACAGGGTCTTAACTCCAGCCTCAACCCCCAAATCGCAGGCAGGGCTGAGCCACAAGTGAATAGGGGGGTGAGTGGCAATGGAACCCCAGAATCCAGGGCCACTTGTGCCCAGGGGCCATTGGAGACAAGAGTCCCAGTGGGGCCTGTGACAGCCCCAGAGTGGGCAGCAGCGGGGAAGCTGGGCCTTCAGTGGGTACACTGATGTCCAAGCCCCCAATGGCCACCCCTTCCTGGCAGCCAGGGGCAGCACCCTGGCTAGGACTGCAGTGGACAGGGAAGCAGGACGGGGGTGGAAGCCCGGCCAGGCAGCGGGAGGGACCCTCTGGGCTGGTCCTCAGCCCCCCTCCCGTCGGCGTGCCCATCACTGGAGCAGGTGGCAGGCAGCTCTTGGGGCTCTGGCATGGGGCTCGGGCCAGGCTCCCTCCGTTCCCGGACAGACGGCACTGTGGGTGCGACAGCAGCTAATGAAGCGGTCCTATTAGGCGCAGAGTAACAGAAGATACACAAATTGGTCCGAAGCTCTTCATGTGTTGTGGACATTAAAAATTAAAATCCAATTACAACTCGTATTGTCAGACCTGGCTGCTGCGGCTTACGGCAATCCGTGTGTGCCGTGCAGATTATGTCACCTGAACTCCAGCAGCAGCAGTGAGGGCCTCGGGAACCGGGCTGCCAGGCCCCCACCACCACCTAGGAGGGTCTGTAGGGGGTCTCTCCTGCCCACCAGCTCCTCTGCCTCCCCCCTCTGGGCAGGGTCCCTACCTGGTCACCCACAGGAGGGGCCGCTGCCAACCTGTCCCCACCCTCCCCCGTACCCCCAGCTGTTCCCCACCCACAGCCAGCTCTGCCAGAGGCTGGACATCAGGCCTGACCCCAGCCTCATGCTCAGGGATCTGAGGCCAAGGCCACCAGACCAAGCCCCGAGCCCCGAGTCTTCTACACACTGTCCAGCAGACACTCCCACCAGTTCCCCGACCACTGCCCAGGCCTGTTCCAGCCTCTTCTCTCACTGCCCTGGTTTCCCTGGGGACATGCCAAGCAGGCGCCAGTCTCCCTCCCTGCCTCGTCCAGACGAGGCTGCAGGCTCAGCTCTCTCACCTCCCAGAGGGCAGGGCCATCAGGCGTTCAGCCTCAGGGAAGGGGCCTGTGGGGACCCTCAGCACAGCCACAGGCACCCACTTGCCCAGTGCACACCTGCCTCCCTCATCCTTTCCAGACCCCAGACCCTCCCCTAGGGCAGTGCGGAGAATGTGGCCCTGGCTTAAGTGCAGAGGGAACATAGTGGGGGCCAATTTAGAGACGACTTCTCCCATCAGCCCAGGGTCCTAGGGGAGACCAACAGGCTGGCTTCTGTCCCCACCAACCAAGCAGGAGATAGGACAGTGGCCTCCGCCCTCTGACTTGCCCCTCCCCGGCCTCCCATGGTGCCTGAATCCCCTCTGAGGCTGCACCTCGCTGAAGGAGTCTCTAGGATCAGACACCCAGGCAGGCAGACACCATGGGCTCCCCAAGTCAGGGGTGTTGGGGCACCGTGACCCCGCCTCCCCAGACCAACGTGTCAGGGGACGAAGGGGACACCGATCGGGTCCATTCTCCTGGAGGGAGAAGGCCATGGGGGAAGGGCAGTTCCAGTGGTCTCAGTGGTCACAGTGGGGATCAGTGGCCACCTTGGCTGCCTCCAGTGTCACCAGACAGTGTGGGAGGCGGGGAGCGGAGGGGAGGGGAAGCCTCTTATCTCCTTGGCATCTTCCTCCACCAGCTCCAGCAGAGCCCATCTCCCTAAAGAATACCCTGTAGCTCTGCCGGCAGGTCCAGAGCCCAGGAGACCCCTCAGCAGTGGACACTCAAACACTTCCCCCTCCCGTGTCCTACAGACCATCCAGCAGGGCCGCCCCAGGGCCTCCGGAGCTCCCGCCTGCCCGGGCAGTGCCCGCTGCACCCCACCTGCTAGTGTGGGGAGAGGCCGGCTCCCCCCAGATGAGCACCTGCAGCCCAGGCAGATGTGCCATGCGGCAAGTCCACGCAGCACCTCCCGGACCCACACAGGGTGCCCTGCGGCACCATCCGGCAGGGATCGGGGTGCCCGGCCTGGGCTCAGCAGGGGTCATTCTCAGCACGGTCACAGCCCCAGTGCGACCTCCGCAGAAGCCCGGGGAAGGAAAGTTTGCCGAGGGGCGGCCCCCAGATCCCTCACCCCGCACCTGAGGCCATCCGGAGAGCTCAAGACCGCTCCGCCCGTCCCGCCCACAGTCCCGCGCCCGCACCCCTGCCCGTGCCACCGCGATCCGAGCCTCCGCTCCCGAGTCTGAAGCCCAGGCGGCTCAGCCCCGACCCGCACCAGGGCTGCGGCGCCCCCGCGCGTCCACCCGCGCATCCCGGTTGGCAGCGGCGCAGCGGCAGGAGCGGCACCTACTGTGCTTCTGCGGGGCGGCTCCCGCGTCCATTGTCTCCGTGGCGGCTGCAGCGAGGGCAGCGAGGGCGGCGGGGGCGGGGGCTGCGGGCCGGGAGGCGCAGTCAGCGGCCGGGCTCGGGCTCGGGCTGGGGCTCCGGCTCCCGCGGCATCGCCCCGCCAGCTCGGGCGGCCCGCGGCGGGCTGTGCGCGGTGACACTGCGCCCCGTGGAGGCGCCGCGCGAGGAGCGCGCTGTCACTCGTGCCGCCCGCACCACACCCCCTGCCCGCCCCGCGCCGGGAGGGGGCCGGGGGCGCGGGCTCCGCGGCGGGCACCGGGCTGGAGGCAGATCGGGCGCAACCGGGCGAGCGCGACGCACAGAACAGGTGGGGCGCGGGGCTAGCCGGCCCGCCCTGCGCCCGCCGCAGCCAAAGTACTTTCTCCGCAAAGATGCTCCTGCGGCCTTCCGCTCCCCACACCTCCCCCTCCGCCTCCCTCCGGCTCCCCGTGGCCCCAGCCGGCGGGACCGGGAAGGGGGCGGGGCCGAGAGCGCTTCCCATCTCCAGGCTGGGCGTTTGCCCAGGCGCTGGAAGAAGCCAAGACAGGGGCCCCGGCGACACTACAACCCACCCCCCACTCCCAACACCCTGGCGTTTGAGGACTGGGGCCTGGGCCATCCCTTCCCCATTTGAGGACTGGGGCCTGGGCCACCCCTCCCCCAACTAAGATGTCAGGGGCACATGCAGACCCTTGCAGAAGTGCCTGGGACTGCTGAGAACGGGGTACGGCCCAGCCCCAAGAGGGTGGCAGGGCACCCTTAGCTCCCATCGGGCGGCCAGCCCACCCACCTCTGGGGGGAGGGAGCTTGGTGCTGCCTCCTGTGCCCCCAGGGAGAACCAGGATGACCATTCCCCTGGGCAGGTCCCTAGCCCCACACCAGTCAACTCTTCCACTGTTCCAGACCCTGGAGGCCCAAAGCAGCCACAGAGACAGGCCCTAGACCCTGGGGACCCTCCCTGCCCACCAGGCTTCTCTGTTTCCAGGCACTTCGTCGGTTCCCCGCTCTGCTGCAGGCAGCCATGAAGGAGGAGGCGGGAGACAAGTCAAGAGAGACTGCCCAGCTCTGGCCTGTGTCCAGAGAGGCCTCAGCTCCCCCAGGTCTGCCTTGGCCACAGAGCCAAGAGGCAGAACTTTCCCAACAGACCCTCCTGGCAGACTCTGGAACAAGAAGGGCTCCTGCACTCAGAGCCCCCAGCTTACCCACAAGGCCAGCCTCCAGCCTTAGAGGGAAGCCACAGCGTTCACCCTAGGGCAGCCCCGTGCACCCACACCATGCTGCTTCTGCACCCAAGGGTCCCTGGACTTTGTTCTTTGGGTCTAATATGAGTGGTTCAGACTGAGAGGGGGTCCTCGCCAGAGCTGAGAAAGGGGCACAGGCCACTAAGGACACACACATCCCTGGGCCCGTCAGCTCTGCCTGCCAGGGAGAGGAAAGGCTGAGTCTGAGATGAGGCCCGAGATGGGCACCAAGCTGGGAGCCAGGGAGGAGGCCAGGGGTGGGGTAGGGGTGCGTGGGAGCGTGTCACTCAGGACCAGTGTTGCCGGAGTTTCTATTTTGCTCTCCAAAGCAGACCCTGCCCACCATCTGGCCCTGGCGTAGTGGCTGAAGAGGAGACAGAAGACACAGGTGCATGTCCTGGCTCCCCACAGATTCACGAGAGGCCTCAGTCTCCCCTCCAGACCTCAGTTTCCCCAGGAATAGACCTGCTGGTGTCTATGGTTCTTTCCTGATTGCTGAAGCCCAGGAGGTTTCTGACTCCCCCAAGCAGTCTATTGCTTGGCTGTGCCCCAGAGCCTGGGGCATGGTCAGGATTCCTCCTGGTGCAAAGCTCACCGCGGAGAGGCTACGTCCTGCCGCCTGCAGGGCCAGCTCCGCTCCCGAGGCTTTCTGCTTTCCAGGAGCACCAGGCAGTGCCATCTCCACACAGCCCTGGAGACTCTGTGCCGGGTGTGTGTTCCCGGATGTTTCATCTGGCTGAGGCTGGGCGGGCTCTAGCAGCCTCTGCCCAGGACCATGAGCCTGCAGTGAAGCCTCTGTCATCACTACCCTGAGGGGCTGACAGAGCCCTGCGCCCTGAGGTGTGGCTGCCTTAATGCGGGCTGTGGATGGAAGGCAAAGAGAGCCGCTCCTCCCCCAGTGAACCCTGCGGCAGCTCCAGGGCTTCTCCTCCAAGGAAAGGCTAGTTCCTGGCTCCCTTGGCCACACTGGCCCACGGGACTCCCAGACTCCACCCTGGCTTCCTCTCCCGGGGTGCTGGCTCCTGCAGCTTCTCTGCTTACCCCTACACCAGGGACCTAATGCCCAGGCCAGGGCAGAGCTGCCGCTCCTCCCTCTCCTTCCCAGGAGGAAACCCCACCGTGACAGCATCAGCTGGTCTGGGATCCCAAAGTGAGAGTGGACTCAGCAGATGAGTGGAGGATGGACGTGCCAGTCGATGCTCAGAAACGTGCAGGAGGAATAAATGAGGTGTGGGTGAATGAAAGAGTACCCACAGAGCTCGGTGCTGTGAATGAACATCCCCAGGCTCCTGCCCACCCCCATGCCCCCACGCTCAGCCCCTCCCAGTGCAGGCCCAGGAGCTGGCAGAAGCCAAACCCAGGCCGGATGCGACGCCTGCTTGGAGCTGGGAGTTGCTCTGGGACCATACGTGTGGTGCCCGCGCCTCTTCGCTTCTGAGGCTTCACAGCAGGGGCTGGCAGGGGCCGGCAGGGGCTGCCAGGGGGGCTCTCTCCACTTTTCCCATCCCCCGGCCCTCTAGGGGCTTTCCTCAGATGAAAGCCTGAGCACCCCTTTCACTGCCTGGCTTAGAGACCACCTGGAGCCAGGTGCAGTCAGGATGGGAACCCACCCCCTCCACTTCCTGGGCACCTGGAGCGGGCAGTGCCCTCTGAACCATGCCCATCTGCACCCCCTTTCCCGGACAGCATGGTCGGGGCGGTTTCCTGGGGGCAGGACCACCCGGGCACAGCCAGATCTTGGCAGTTGTGGAGCTCAGTGGCCTCAGATGAGGCCCCAGGAGGAAAGACCCACAGCCTTCCGTTCCCGGGGGGACGTGGCCAAGCACCAGGGACCCAGGGACAGAGGCAGAGAGATGACACCAACAGCAATGAGACAGAAACCTGGCCTCCTGCACGAAGCCAAAACCGAAACGCAAATTGGAAACTGTGAAAGAAATCTCCATCCTGAGCCAGAGGCTCAAGAATCCCTGGTCGCAGCATGCAAGATCCCCGGGCAGGCCGGCCAAGGCCAGCGACAGACATGGAGAGAGGATCCCTGGTCGCAGCATGCAAGATCCCCTGGCGGGCCGGGCAAGGCCAGCGACAGACATGGAGAGAGGATCACTGGTCGCAGCAATGCAAGATCCCCGGGCGGGCCAGGCAAGGCCAGCGACAGACATGGAGAGAGGATCCCTGGTCGCAGCAATGCAAGATCCCCGGGCGGGCCGGGCAAGGCCAGCGACAGACATGGAGAGAGGATCCCTGGTCGCAGCAATGCAAGATCCCCGGGCGGGCCGGGCAAGGCCAGCGACAGACATGGAGAGAGGCCTCCTCTCACGGCAGACTGTGTGGAGGCACCCACCACCATGGCCGGGTGCTCCTGGGGGCAACCCCGGCAGCCAGGGCACACCGCCTGCCCCCCACCCGAGATCCTCCCCAGCTCCAGCCCTCCCAGCCAGTCTTCCTTCCCGGGCGCTCCCAGATGGGCCACTTCCTGGGCCATACCCACAGACCCCATCTGGCCTGCAGGCCTCACTCCAATACACCCACCCCTGCAGCTGGACCACAGGCTACATCGGACCCCTCAGCCTGGCACCCAGGGCCCTGTGGACTGGCTGCAGCTGCCTTCTCTACCCTGTTTGCCCTTCCCTCATAGACACTCCACCAAGCCTGACTCCCCCTTCTCCACAGGCCCCCTGCCCACCCCTGCCTGGTTTCCAAGGTCAGGAACGAGGCACCTCCTCTGGGAAGCCTCCCTGGTTGCCTTGTCCCCCGCAGTGTCCCGGACATGACCTTGCCCTGATTTTGAGTCTGCCCTTCACATTAAGATCATGAGGTCCCTGCAGGCAGGGAGCCGCGTGCCCGCTGCCCTCGAACACTCCAGCCAGGCCTGGCTGCGGTGTCTCTCAGGCAATGCCTTTCCTCAGTGGAGAAGAATCCAGCTGGACTCTGACGGGCTCTCCCCACGGACCCCGGGACTCTCCCCCGAGGGTGGCAGTGTCAGCCCCAGGTGAACAGATGGCTCAGGGCCAGAGACCTGGGCGGGAGGTCTCAGAGGCCCTTCTGCAGCCTGAGGTCACCATGGAGGACAGACAGCCCGGAGAGGCACAGCTGAGCACTGCAGAGAGAGCACGTGCACGCAACTCAATCAATGGGCTTAATCGGGTAAACGTGCAATCCTCAGCAGCTAAATTTAGAAAGTGTGTGTTTCATTTTCCACCAGCATCTGGTCTGAAGACGTCCCGTTCTCAATCAGAACTCAAGACAACGAACGGGTGGGATGGGATCAGCTGCCCCTGGCTTGGCTTCCCATGAACAGGGCCCAGAACCCGGGGGCAGCCCTGGGGTCGGGGACCAGGTCTGGCCAGCACTGGGGTGGGTGGGCAGGGCTGAGCCTCCTGCTCTGAGACCCCCCAGGCACCTTGCTGCATGGGCTGGTGCCAGCGAGAAGGGTGAGGACACCCTCGGGGGGGCCAAAGGTCTTTATAGGCACTGCCTGCCCTTAGGAATCATTGAGGCCTGACACACCCTTTTCTCTGAGGGGGAAACTGAGGCACAAAGAGAGAAAGGCACCTGCCCAGGGTCCCCAGAGACATGGTATCCTGCCTTGAAACAGTTTCTCATTGGCAAGGGAGATATTTCCGTCCAGGTCTAGCAAGACAGGGACCCTGGGAGCTGGGTCAGGGCTGGGAGGGCGTAGTCAAAGCCACTTCTACCTGGAGCCACCCATGTGGCCAGAGCTGGGCTCCATCGGCCCATCCAGATCCCTGGGCAGGGCAGCCCACGCCGGCGAAGTGGGGCAAAACACTCAATGCTGCCGTGAATTGCCCCGGTTCCCCCCTGCACACGCTGCGCCCCCTGAAGGACCCTAGATCTGCAGGGAAGGTGCCCATGGGACCAGAGGCCCTTCTGGCACACAGGGAGGGTGGCAGACTGGTGGGCAGGCAGCGGGACGGGGGGTGCTCCCAGCTGGAATGATCCGAGCAAATTTGGAGGAAAATAGACTTCCAGGCTGTGGGGAGCAGGTGTTGGGAGGCGGGGGCAAGAAGGGACCTTCACCTGCCCTAGCCGCAGTGGCCGGGGGTGCTCTCTCTTGGGCAATCGGCAAAGACGATGTGGAGAAGCACCAGCCCCCTCCCCTTCCTGTGGGCACCCACACCCAGAGCCCTCATGCTGCCCTCTCTGATGGAGGCCAGGGTCGAGTGTGCACACCTTTGCAGGAGGTGAGCTGGAGGGGACATGGCAGGGGCATGGGAGACAGTACAGGAGGGAGTGCCTCCTGGACAGACCCTCCCCTGGACCTCCTGCTGACCTGGGCTGACCCTGGGCCCCTCGGCCTCACAGTCATGCCCCAGGGGTGCCAAGGGGCAGAGACTGGTGGGACCCAGGGACACTGGGCCCTGCCCTTTCTTCTTACCCCACGCCAGCCGGGCCCAGTGCACACTTCCTTGTAAACCAACTGTCGCCTGCACAGGGCCGGGCGCCAGCACACACCGTCTGCCGAGCGCCGTTCATCTCCGCGCTTGCTCATTTCCACGGCTGCCAACAGGCACGCTCTGAGCATCCCCAGGGCTCTGAGCCAGGTGGCTGGGAGCGCAGTGTGACCCTGCCCTGGGGGAGGCCTCAGCCCAGGGACCTGCAAAGCCAGCACACAACCAAGTTGCCAAGAACTTTACTAATGCTGAGGCAGTAGGTGCCAGGCGGGCCTGGAGGGACCTTGGCGGATGCTCAGTTGGGGTGGGGTGGCAGAGGCAGGCAAGGGCCAGATCGTGGAAGGCCTTCGAGGCCAAAGAGGAGGCGGTGAGAGGCGAGTTCTGGAAGACCACTGAGATGGACGGCCACGTGCGTGGGTGCATGTACTGTGTGTGCACGTGTGTGGTTTGGGTGCATGTGAACATGTGTTGTATGTACACATGTGTTTCCCTATGTGTGTGGGGGTGGGTATACATATGTGTGTGCACGTATGTGTGTGGTATGCACACGTGTATGTGCATGTCTGCACAAATGTGTGTGCCTTCGTGTGTGCGTGTGCATGTGTGTATTGCCTGTCCCTAGAGAGAGAGGCAGGGAGCAGGCGATCTGGCTATGGCCCCTGCTTAGCCAGGTATGACTTGAGGGTGGTTCTGAAGGGGTGGAGGCTGCAGGGGTGGAGCAAAGAGTGGGACATGGGACAGGAGAGAAACCCCCAGGCTGAGTCGGATGGTGGGCGGGAGGGTGTTCCCAGGATCTGGGCCCCCTAGTTGCGGTGGGTGCTATTTGCCCAGCAGGGAGGCCTGGAGTCAGGGTCTGAGGTTGAGTCCTCAGGGATGATGAATTTGAGATTTGGGCAGAGCTGTCCAGCTGGCCAGAGGAGGTCTAAGTCAGTCTTGGACAGGAGTAGGAGCTGGGCACTGCATGGAGCAACCCTAGAGAATGTGGGGGCCTCTGGAACAGGAGTCCGTGCTCAGAGAAGAGGGGCTCGCAGCCCACCAAGGCACCGAAATTGGCAGAGTGACCCCGGGCCATAACCCAAGCCTGCTCCCTCCCAGCCAAGCCCTCCATGACCCGGGGACCTGCTGTGGCCTTGCTGCTCCCTCACCTGCCCACTGGGCCCCAGGGCAACACTGAGCACCTGACCCATGGGGGCTGCCCTGCCCCACAGAAGGCGAGAGGCCTGGCGGCCCTGTCTGGGCTGGGGACTGTGGGAGGGTCTTGGGAGCAAAGCCCCGGGGAGGGGCCCCAGCAGCACCTCAGGTCCCCATGCTCACCCCCACCCAAGGTGCACCCTGGCCCCAGAGCTCCCCAGGAGGCCTCAGCTGGGTGGTCTCTTGGGACACTCTAACCAGATGGGCCATGCTGCCCACACCCTCCCCTGCCTGCAGGTCCCCACCTACCCTGGCCCAGGAAGACCAACCCTGCCCTCTTCACCAGACTCCAGGAGCCACAGTGCCCACGACAAGGCTGCATATGCCCACTCAGTGCCAGTTTCCAGGACACTAGGAGAAGGGACTAGCCTGACCCTCAGGCCATGCCTGCCAGCACAGCCTGCATAGCCACCCACCCCTGCCTCTCCAGGCCTCCCAGGAGACAGAGCCACAGGTGACGGCTAAGCCCTGGGGAGTCACCACTGACCTTGGAGGGAGGAAGGGAGGAGGGAGGAGGGAGGAAGGAGGAAAGGTGGAGGGAGGAAGGGAGGAGGGAGGAAGGAGGAAAGGAGGAGGGAGGAAGGAGGAAAGGAGGAGGAGGGAGGAGGGGAGGAGGGAGGAAGGAGGAAAGGTGGAGGGAGGAAGGGAGGAAGGGAGGAGGGAGAAAGGAGGAAAGGTGGAGGGAGGAAGGAGGAAAGGTGGAGGGAGGAAGGGAGGAGGGAGGAAGGGAGGAGGGAGGAAGGGAGGAAAGGTGGAGGGAGGAAGGGAGGAGGGAGGAAGGGAGGAGGGAAGAAGGAGGAAAGGAGGAGGGAGGAAGGAGGAAAGGAGGAGGAGGGAGGAGGGGAGGAGGGAGGAAGGAGGAAAGGAGGAGGCAGGAAGGAAGGAGGGAGGAGGAAACAGAGGAAGGAAGGAGGGAGCAGGGAGGAAGGGAGGAGGGAGCAGGGAGGAAGGGATGAGGGAGCAGGGAGGAAGGGAGGAGGGGAGGAGGAAGGAAGAGAGGAGGGGAAGAGGGAGGAGAGAGGAAGGGAGGAGGGGAGGAAGGAGAGAGGAAGGGAGGAGGGGAGGAGGGAGGAGAGAGGAGGGAAGCGGGAGGAAGGGAGGAGGGGAGAAGGGAGGAGGGAAGAAGGGAGGAGGGAGGAGGAGAGGAGGGAGGAAGGGAGGAGGGGCCCTCACTCTTTTCCTGGCCAGAGGGAGAGAGATGATGAGAGCCCAAGTCTCAGCAGCAAATTCAGCCCCACACTGGACAGACCAGGTGTTCCCAGCTGAGCCCCCCAGGTGTGGGGGCTCACTCCAGACTGAGCTGAGCCTCCCATCGCAGGGGCTCTGGACCCCAGCTGCCCACAGTTCATCATCTTCTCCACCCTGGCTGTACTCCACAGCCATCAAAGGACCCTGGAAACCCAGTCTCCCCTCCTGGAGATCACAACAGGCCAGGCGTGCTGTGGGCTCTGAGAGCCGTGTCACGCTGCACTCGGGCCCTGCCAGCCAGCAACTATTCCCACCTCTGTCCTCCCCAGGGACCCCATTGAGGTCCCTGGCCCCTTCCCCAGTCCCTGCAAAGAGAGGCCCCTGCGCCTGCTATCCCCGCCTCACTAACACATGCCTCCAGCCTCCAGCCTCCAGCCTCCAGCCTCCAGCCATTTGGAACCTAAAACAGCTTTGCTGGTGCCCTCTGACTACCCAGGGTGGTGTGAGAGCGCTGGTCAGCCCAGAGCCCGGGGACCCCTGGGCGTGAGCCTCACTTCCCTATCCTCTCTGAGGAAACACCCCGAGCCCAGGTGCCCTCCCTGCAAGAGGCAGCAACCGGGCCCCACCCCCCACAGCCCCTGCCCGGCCTCTGGCCTGCTCACTGTCCGCAGGTGACAGGGGTTCCTGGAGGAAAGGTCCTCACCCCCGGGACCATCTTCCACATGCTCTCCTTCGTCCTGGTGAGCTCCACTCCTCCTCCCAGCAGAGCTCCTGGACTGCCCACTTCTCTGCAGCCCAGGCAGGACCATCCAGGTCAGTGCACCTGCCTCCTGCTGCTGACAAAGCCAAGTCCCTGCGCCCCGGTGTTCTGCCCGGCCTGCTGCATGCTGAGGCTCGCAGGCCACGGACTTCTCAGAACAAATCCCCCCTGAGAAGCCAGCTCTGGGCCACGGGGACACACTTCTAGGGGCCTGCCTTCCCGTGCGGGCTCAGCTCTCCTGGGCAGCCTGGGTACAGCATGGGCGCCCGAGGACATACGCAACCCACAGCTGATTCTGCCCGGGGGTGGTTTCCACGGGGAGCCTCGATTTCCAGGTGAAGCACATCATCAGTGCACGTGGCACCAGGGAGAGGAGCTTGCATGGCCCCAGAGTGGGGACACAACCGGCGAGGCTCTCCCCACTTTTAGTGCGGCTGGCAGCCCGGGCAGCCTGGGGCTCCTCTGCTGGCTGTGGGGGGAAGGGGGTTGCTGGAAGCCAGGCCCTTGCCACACTTGGCCCTTCCGGGACTGGAGGGTCCCACGGCCCAGTGTCCAGGGTTCTGCATCTCAAAGGAGAGTCAGGGCCCCCGAGGCCAGTGACAGAGCTTGTGCCGCCCGCACCTGGCGGCAGCTGCTTTGTCTACAAAGGCAGTGTTTAATTTTGCTTTCCACAACCAGACTGCATTCTGGATACAGCTGAGGAGACAGATAAGGAACCTGTGCGTGGGGGAAATACGCCCCTGCCAGAGGCCCTGTGGGTGCCCGGGAGAGAAGGGGCCCCACGGCACAAGGAGCTGGGGCCACCTTCCCAGGTTGTAAACGGCTGTGAAGGTGAGTCCGTGTGTCCTGCCTCCTTCTAGAAAAGCCTCTGACCTGGCTTCAGGCAGGGACTGACCTGGGGAAGGCGCGGTGCCCCCTGCCCAGGCGCGGCCCCCGCCGGCCCCTGGCACACCCAGCCACCTCCCTTGGTTGCTCAGTAAGAAGCTGAAGGTGGGAGCCTCAAAGAGCTCGGTGCACATACATCAAACGCCACCCAGGGAGACCCGCAGCCTCCAAGGAAACAACGGGAGACCCGCCACGAAGCCGGACGCGCGATGCCTGTGAAGGAACCTCCTGCGATGTTGATGGCAGCAGCTCGTCGAGTTTCCTGGGTGCCCGGGGAGACTGCACTGCTGCCCTTCGGAGCATGAGGCAGACACTCAAAGCCGGGCTCCAGGGGAAAATTCAAACGTTTGAAGGGACCAAACGGCCAACATCACCCGGGACCCCCAGTGTGGGCACATCCGTGGAGGGAGTCGATGGCTCTGAGGGGGTTTGGGGAGCCGGCAGGGGCTCTGCCTAACCCAGGCACCCAAAGCCACGAAGGAGCGGGGAGAGGTGGATGGCAATGGCTGGTCTGATTTTCTCCCTTGTCTTTTTCTGTATTTTCCAAAGCATCTCCTCTGAGTGAGTCTTGCTTTCATGATCAGGGAAAAAAGAAACATACAAGAGCCGCCAACATAAGAGCCGGTGTAGAGTCCGAAGGAAAACGCAGATCTGAGTGCACTTTGAAGTCAGAAAGCCCCCGGGGAGGCTCCTGCTGTGCGGACACACCGTTCCCACCTGTGCCAGCCTCAAGGCACCGAGACTGAGCCGCTCCAGCTCCAGCTCAGTGAGAATGGCGGGGACACATACTCCAGCAGCCCTGAACCCCAAGAGCCACAGCCTCCCGCTGGAGTACTCCAGGGGACAGGAGCACACCGGCCCGGATGGGCCTCAGCAGCCCCCGGCCAAGTAGGGCCATGCTGCCAGCCTCATCCACATGGAGATGCCAGGGAGGCCAGGCCACCAGCAGCCCCAGGTGCACATGCAGTCAGCCCCACAAAACCTGCCTGCCTCTGCTCCCAGCACCACCACCCACACCACAGCACACTGGTCCTCCCCGGACACCTGAGCACGTACACAGCGGGGGCCGGGAGCCAATCTGGAAGGGGAAGAGTGGAAGGAGGACCCCCATTTACCTTTGCTGGCTCAGTATTAGGGGGCAGCCTGAAGAAGGCTCCCACCTCTGAGTTCAGTGGGGCCCCACATCCAAGCTGTTCGATCCTCCCAGAGGGAAACACGGCCCCAACCTCAGGGATGGGAGGGGGCAAAGGGTGGGCACTTGAAGCTCAGCCATGGGCACTGGTGGGTAACAGGCAGGCAGGGTGCCCAGGTTCTTCCACCCAGCCCGTGTGTGCACCGGGAAGAGAAGGGAGCACTGCCACAGACCCCTCCCCACCTGACGGACGGGAAAGACCTCCAGGCGCCTCCCAGGGGCAGCTCCTGTGACAGCCCCTCCGGACGGGGGAGTTGGGGACCCTCCCTGCTGTGGGAGGGCGGCGGTGTCCGTCCAGGCAAGCCTGCACGGCGGGCTCTGACCCTCCACCTCTGGCATCCGGCCCCAGGCACTGAGAGGCTCAGGGATCAGGAGTGAAGGCTCCCAGAGCCTGGAGAGTGCACTGTCTGGGCAGCTCAGACCCTCATCATGCCCAGCAGGGGCCCCCGGGCCCAGGGCGCTGAGTGTGGGGGCCGGGTGCACACCCCAGCCTGTGCCATGGGCCCGGCCACGTGCCCAGCAGTCATTTGCATTCTCCCCCACCCGTTAGCCCCAGGAGCTGGATCAAGCTGCTCTAAATGAAAGCCCGTTACCACGGATACACAAGAACTGGGGTAAGGCAAATTGCACAGGGGACGGGGTGTGCTGTCAGCCATGAGGGGCCAGCAGGGCAGGGGGCTGGCCCCAGTGCTGTCCCACGGCCCCCAACCTGGGCCCCCTGCTGTCCACCTGCCCCAGTCCCAGCCGGAGTGCTCAGTTATTCACCCCCAAGCTGCACTCCCAAGCGGACCTGACCCCCATCCCCATCACTGCCCACCGCTTCAGGGCTGAGGGTGTGAGCCAGGAAGATGAGAGAGTCGGCAGCCAGGTGCCAGCCCCAGCATTGTGGGGTCCTCACCGCCTCATCTGCAGAGTGGGGCCTGGCCTCACTGTGGGCAGCCATGGCCGTGAGTCCCAGAGGAGGCAGCACGAAGCTGACGCCTGGTAAATGCACGAGGCTCCATACAAGCCCCCCAGTCTGGGACCCCGAAACCCAACAGGCAGAGCCGAGCCTGTCCTGGAGCAGGCCAGAGGCCCACACCACCCGGGGCACCTTGCCAACCACCACCCTAATGTGCACAGGTAACTGAGCTGGCATCAGTGGGGGCAGGCACCGACTCAAAGGAAAGGGACACGATTCCGGCTCAACCAAGAAGGAGCCTCCCAGAAAGGCCCCCAGGATGAGGGTAGGCCCAGCACCCAGCACAAGACTGCCCTCCCTCAGCATCCACCACCCAGGCATGGGGCGGGGACAGTAACAAGGGGTAGGAACGGAGAGGCAGGGACTGTGATGAGGGGCAGGGCCAGCAGCAGAAGGGTACACAGCAGGAGTCCTCTATCCTGGGAACCGTTGCCCCTGGACCTGATACTGTTTCTGCATATAGGACCGCTGGCTCCTCCCGCCCCCAGGCCCTGCCAGAGTTGGAAGCTCTCCAGGACTCTGGAAGCTCTGGAGAAGGGGGCGCAGCTTGCTCCCCTCCCCCATCTGGTCTCCCCTTTCCCCGGTGTCCATTCCAGACAGCGCTGAAAGCCAGGGCCCCAAGCCCGGCAGGGGCTGTGTGCAGCTCCCCAGGCGCAGCTCCACCCTCAGATGGCGAAGACCTGTCTGGGCATATCTGGAGAATGTGGCATTGACAAGCCGGAGCCACCTCTGTGAGGCACAGGCATGCACAGAGCATGAGCACACACACACACACACGCACTTGGGCACACACCATGTAGGCACAGGTGCAGACCCTCACGAGTGCAGGCAGACACACGCACACACGCACACACGCTCACCACTGCCATGGTTCTTGCCTGGGAGCGGCCGCCCAGAGAGCAGCAGGGGCCCCCAGGGGGAGCAGAAGCGGCAGATAGCGGTGTGCACACACACACACACGCACACGCACACGCAGGGCAGCCAGCCACAGGCCTGCCACTCCAGGGCATCCCAGCAGAAGCTCAGGAGCTCAGGGGACCAGCTCCACACCCCAAAGTCTCCACACTAGACCCCAGAGCTGTCCGCCACATCGGGAGGCCTTCGCCCTTCTGACAGTGACAACACGACCAAGAAGGAAGCATCGTGAGCTGCAGGGGCACCTCTCCCAGACCCCCCCAGTGCAGCAGGTGGGCAGAGAGCCATCCCCCAAGAATGAACCCACCCCCTCTCTGCCCACACGAAGGGACACACACTGAGAGCTCTTGAATTGCACGCCAGGCTCCTCTGCACGTGGCGGCCCCACCTGCCCTGGGGTGCTAGCAGAGCCCCAGTTCTCCCCAGGTGACATCACGGGACATCAGGGTCACTGAACTGAACCCTGAACCGTATTGTCCCTGGGCTCCAGGAAACAGAGACGCACTCAGCAGGAGAAGAACAATGTTCTCTGGCTTGGTGTGGGTAGCCAGGGCCTCACTCACCCACGGGCAGAATGTTGGCGCTCAAGAAAAGCCACCTGCTCTCCGGATCCGGCCCTGGGTCCTCAGGCGGAAGAGCTGGGCCAGGAAGGGGGCCGGCTGTCGGGGGAGCCATCATGGAGGGACTGAGGACTGTCGGTGGGGGCAGCAACTGAAAGCTGGGACTGGCTGGGATCACCAGCTGGGGCCGGCCGTCCACAGGAGGCAGGAGGAGGCTGCTCTGAGGTCTCTCTGCTCCCGGGGCCCCCGGTGTCCCTTGTCGGGGTGTAGCCTGGGCCAGCAGCGCATCACACACCTAGAGAGAGCAAGAAGGCCAGAGGGAGTTGGTGGGTGAGGTCTGTCCAGGCAGGTGCATAACTCGGGGGAGGGAGCACAGTGTGTGCCCAGTGACCCCTGCTGGCAGGCGCTGCATTGCAGCCCAGCTTCACTGCCCCTCATAGGTAAATAGGCCAGCGCAGTGGGGCTGGGTAGCTGTGTCTGAAGAGTCAGGTGGGAAGAACCAAAGGGCAGGGGAGGAGAGCCACAGGACCCTGCCCTGAAACCCCAAGTCTCTGGGGCAGTCACAGAGGAAGCCAGAAGACCAGGGACCCGAGGCCACAGCTTCCTCCATGCTCCAGCTGTTTCTCTGTGTTGACACTTTCCCCACAGCTTGATGAAATTTAAAGGCAAAACAGGAGTCGCTTTACAGAAACCAGCCAGTCTCCCAGGAGCACATTTGCAAAGCAAGAGGTGCCTGGGGTGTCTCTGAGGCCGGCCCCCCCAGCCCCTCCTGCTGTGCTGGGTACAGGAGGTACTTGCCAGCCCTCACAGCACAAGGGGCCCCCACGGCCCCGAGGAGGAGCCACAGGCATGGCGGGCAGCCCTTTCTCCTTTCTCCAGCCCTGTGGTCTCACCAGTGTCACTCCTGAGGCCAGGGTCTCAAGCCCTTTTGGTCACCACGCACGCAGCCCATGCAGTGAATCAAGGCCCCTTTGGTCTCCCTGGTAATGTCTGCCAAGGGCAGCCCCGCTTGGCTGAGCTCCAAACCCCTAATTCTCACTGCTCCCAAGAAGGGGCCCCAGGCTCCAAACAGCCTCCTCGTCCTGGCCCAGGGGTTCCGTCCCACCAGCCTCTGCTCAGCCTCCCTGCCCAGAACCCGCCTTTCCACCACATCACCCGCCAACTCCTCACTCTCAGGCCAGCTCCTTTCAGAGCCTTTCTGGCCACCTTTTCCTTGGTGCCTGCCCCTCAGGGAGGTGAGTGCCCTCCCTGGGGAGGGGATTAACAGGGGCCAGGTGGAGGCCTTGGCCATTAGGCCTGGATTCTTCCCAGCCTGCCCAGCACAGATGGACATCAGGAGTCCTGGGCCCTCAAACACACAGAGCCATGCTCTGCCAGGTGGGAAGAACAGCCAGGGCTGGGAGGGGCAGGCTCCTGTCGGCATGTCTCTCTCCCCAGGGCCCTAGAAGGAGCCCTGGCAGGTAGGACCCCCACCCTTGACCTCGCCTCCCTCCTCGCACCCAATCCCCAGGAAGGAGGGCCCCTTGGCCACCTGTCCCCTCACCCTGCACACCCCAGGCCCTGGCCCTCCAGCCTCACCCACCCCCTCCAATCGGCACAGACCTAGACTTGGCTGGCCCGGCACCTCTGGCAGCCCTGGCCCCAGAAGATGGCAGGGAGAGGGCATTGGGCCACCACCCACCCCGGGGCCCCCAGGACTCCCAGCTCGCTCTCGACCAGAGGCCTCCCTCCTCACCCAAGCCTGGTGGTGCCCAGCCCTCTCTCCGGAGCCTCTCACCGCACTGCCCTGGCTCCAGGCTCACCCCCAGGCATGGGGTCTCCCAGCCCGGGTTCCCCGAGGCGGCTGGAATGAGCACTCAGCCCCTCAGCCTCAGGGCCCTGGAGGCTTGAGCTGATCCAGCCACCGTCCCAGCCGGAGACCGGCAGGTTCCTGAGCAGTTCCTGCGGCAGTGGGAGTGCAGGAGCCGTGCCCCGACACGTCTGCCGGCGCAAGGGCCGGGCGTGGGCTCCGCTGGGGCTGGCACAGTCCAACCTAATTAGGCAACAACGCCACGTCGGCTGCCGCAAGCCTAGGCGAGGCCACGGAGGACCATGAGGTCAGCCGTTGGCGTGGGCCCCACAGCACGGCACCGGGCGAGCCAGACGCAGGACCCCATGCAGGACAGATGCAGTCCACGCTTGCCCACCCAGTCCTGCCCTGAGAGCCACCGTGGTCCCAGAGTGGCGCCCTTACTTCCAGCCACACTGGTCTCTGCGGCTCCTGGAGAGCTGGAGAGGGCCTACAGGTCAGAGGAGCACTGGCTGGTCTTGTCATGGGGCCATCCCCAGCGAGGCCTGCTGCTCCCCGCCCTGGCCATGGAGTGCTGGCCGATCCCCAGGAGCCCAGACCCTGGCCTAAGAAGGGGACATTGCCGGTGCCAGGCCTTCAGCCTCTGCTCAGACCCTGGACCTGCTGCCTTGGGCAACTCTCACTGACAACGTCACTCGGGGCCAGGCTGGACCGGGCCATGCTGGGGACAGGGTGGAGAGGTCCCCTGGACCCTGTCCCCATTGAATCAGGAAGCACAGCCCAGGCCCAGGCCCAGCTCCGGGCCGAGTGCCCAGGGTGCAACGACCACACACAGACCAGCAGATCTTCCTCTAGGCAGGGACCTCTGCCCTCGAAGCCCCCGGAGGATGAAGTGTCACCCACTCAGCAGGTCCTACAGCCCTAAGTTCCCAGCCTGCCCGCCCACTGCTCTCACCCACAGGGAGAGCCCAGGTACCTGCTCAGGGCCAGCGAGTCCAAGCCGGCTCCCACCCCTGGAGGGCTCCCACCCCCGGAGGGCTCCCACTTCTGGAGGGCTCCCACTTCTGGAGGGCTCGCCGGCTGCTTCTGTTTCAATACCTGCGGTGGCCCCTCACGCTGTGTCCCTTGGATCGCGAGCTCCCAGCAGAGGTACCGGAGGCCCCCACAAGCCCCGGCCTGCTCCTCTGACATCCTCCCATCCTCCCTCCCACCTTCTGCGGCAGTGCCCAGGAAGTGGGGTGCCACACCCTTGGCTGGTATCCCCTGGCTCAGGAAGCCCCCTGAGGGCAGGTAGAAGTGGGAGCCTCAGCCTCTCCAGGAAAGATGTCACAGAGGGGCTCCCTCTCCCTCCTGGCCTGAGGCCCCACTGGCCACCCAGCCCACAAGAGAGTCCACTCTCAGGAGGGAGAGATTGAGGCCCAGAGAGGGCAGGACCCTATCCCGGAGAAACCACCAGCAGGGGCGGCTGAGCTGGGGCGGGTTCGGCTGCCCCCAGCACCTGACTCGTCCCAGACCTGCGGCCCCGGGCCCCCACGAGAGACCCAGAGGGTGAGGGGACAGCCTGCCTGCCCCAGCTGCCCTCCTGGCCCCAGGGCGCCCCACTGCAGCCCACTGCCCAGCTCCTCAACGCCCCCAGGAGCTCCACCCGGTGGGCCCCTAGCCGCCGGCACCCGCTGTCACACAGAGGCCACCTCCTGCTACTTCCCTGCTACCCTGACTTCCGTCTCCAGGCTGAACGTGGGTCCCAGGTATGGAGACCCCCGGCCAAGACGTCCTGGGCATAGGAGGCAGACCAGGCCCCATGCCAGTGAGCCTATGGCTGGGCCTCTGCCACTCTGCCAGGGGCCACTGGCTGCCCACAGTCCTCCCCACTCTCCCAGCCCAAGGCCCCTCTGTGAGGCCCTGCTCCCACCCCTGGACTTAGCGGATGCAGGGAACACAGACCTAAGGCCCCGGAGAAGCCACAGGCCCCAGCAAGCTCAGCCGCTGCCCCCAAGCTGGTGGGGTTGCTGGAGCCCGCCTGGCTACGCCCACCTGCTGGCCTGGCCGCACAGGGAGACAAAGAACCCAGCAGCCCCGACCCCACAACCGTGTCAGGAAGTGCGAGGCTGAGGCCAGGCCCCTCCATGCTCACAGCGGGCAGGAATGCCAGCCTGCACATCTGCGCTCAGGGGCCAGCTTCATGGAGGGAGTGGAGCCCGCCCAGCTCGCCGGCACTCTGGAGACAGAGGGAGGGGTGTTTGACAAGGGAAGGGAAGACCGCGAGGGGCCAGCCCTAGGTCAGCGTGGGAGCACTGGGCCGAGCTCGTGTGTGTAGGCCGGGGACTCCGCCACTCTGACCCGGAGGGAAAGGCCCCCAGGACCCCATGGGGACTCAGGAGGCTGCTCACGGCAGCCCCGAACCAGGGACTTTGGGAGGCCATGGGGTGGGGGACACCCCGGAGCCCCACTCAGTGTTAGAAGCAAGAAGGGGAAGCTTAGTGCCAGGTGGAGAAAGTAAAGATCAGAACGGGGTGCTTGGCCAAACACGGGGCCATAGACACTGCTCCCCAGAGTGTGGCCCACATAACCCTGGGGTCCTCAGAATCTTCCAGGAGCCTGCAAGGTCTAAGCTGTTTTTATGTAAAGGAGGTGTCCCTTCCCCGCGCTGACATCTGCACAGATGGTGAAAGGCTCTGATGGGTGACACCCTGGGCCTCGGCTCAGATACAGTGTCCTTCACCAGTGCGTGCTCAGAATTAAAGCAGAGAAGAGGCCATTTCCCTAAGAAGGTCTTTGTTGAAACAGCACAAATGATGAACTGTACCAAAGCTCAGTTCCGTGCAGGGAGCCAGGGAGAACAGAAAGCTGCCGCAGCAAAGGGCGTTTTCCTGGGAGGAGGCTCTCGAGCGACGGGGACTCCAGCTGAATTAGCCGGGGGACCCACAGTATAGTGGGGAGCAGGACTTTCCTGGAAAGACAGCTGAGACACTGTGGTGCTGCCGGCCGTGTGCTGCATAGGTATTTCCTCAAAAATGCATGAGCCCAGCGCAGTGCCTCACTCCTGTCATCCCAGAACTTTGGGAGGCCAAGGCAGGTGGATTGCTCAACTGAGGAGTTTCAGACCAGCCTGGGCAACATGGTGAAACTCCATCTCTACAAAAAAAAAAAAAACACACCAAAATTAGCCAGGCGCGGTGGTACGTGCCTGTAATCCCGGCTACTTGGGGGTCTGAGGCAGGAGAATCACTTGAGCACAGAAGGCAGAAATTGCAGTCAGCCAAGATCATGCCACTGCACTCCAACCTTGGCAACAGAGGCAGACCCTGTCTAAAGCCTGCCACCTAAAAACCAGCAGAGCAGATCCAGCAACCCCACTCCTGCATATACTCCCAAAGGAAATGAAATCCACGTGTTGAAGAGACCTGCATTTCCATGTCCACTGCCACACTGTTCACAACAGCCGAGTTACAGAATCAGCCTGAGTGTCCATCAGTGGATGAGTGGATACAGAAAATGTGTGTGGGGGGGTGTATGTGTGTGTATATGTGTGTATGTATATGTGTATCTGTGCATGTGTATATATGTGTGTGTATATGTGTGTATGTATGTGTGTGTTACATATGTGTGTGTAAATATGTGTGTGTGTGCATGCGCCCAAGCAACGAAATACTATTCAGCTTTTTTTTTTTTTTTTTTTGAGACGGAGTGTCACACTCTATCGCCTAGGCTGGAGTGCGGTGGCGCGATCTCCGCTCACTGCAGCCTCCGCCTCCTGGGTTCAAGTGATTCTCCTGCCTCAGCCTCCTGAGTAGCTGGGATTACAGGTGGCCGCCACCACGCACGTCTAATTTTGTGTTTTTTGTTTTTTGTTTTTTTGAGACGGAGTCTTGCTCTGTTGCCCAGGATGGAGTGCAGTGGAGCAATCTCAGCTCACTGCAACCTTCGCCTCCCGGGTCCACACCATTCTCCTGCCTCAGCCTCCCGAGTAACTGGGACTACAGGCGCCCGCCACCATGCCCAGCTAATTTTTTTATTTTTAGTAGAGACAGGGTTTCACTGTGTTAGCCAGGATGGTCTCGATCTCCTGACCTCGTGATCCGCCCGCCTTGGCCTCCCAAAGTGCTGGGATTACAGGCATGAGCCACCGCGCCCGGCCTAATTTTGTGTATTTTTAGTAGAGATGGGGTTTTGCCATGTTGGCCAGGCTGGTCTCAAACTCCTGATCTCAAGTGATCTGCCTGCCCCAGCCTCCCAAAGTGCTGGGATTATAGCTGTGAGCCACCGCACCTGGCCTCAGCCTTTAAAAAGGAAGAAATTCTGTCATTTTCAACAACATGGATGGAACTGGAGAACATCAAGTTAAGTGATATAAGCCAAACCACAGGAGACAAATACCACATCTTCTCACTTATATGTAGAATCTAAAACACCTGAGCTCATAGAAGCAGGGTAGAAAGCTGGTCCCTAGAGGCCAGGGTTTGGGGAATGGGGAGATGATGGCCAAAGGGTGCCAGGCCTCAGTTAGACAGGAAGGGTATGTTTTGTGGTTTGGGGGAATTTTTTAGTTCTGTTGTGCAGCATGGTGAATATAATTAATAATAGAGTTTCGTGCATTTCAAAACTGCTAAGAGTACATGTCAAATGTTCTCACCACAAAAGATGGTAAATATCTGAGGTGATGGTTATGTTAATTAGCTTGATTTAAACTGAAATGATTGTATTTAAAAATCATAACATCACTATCTACCTCATAAATATATACAACTATAATCTGTCAAATATATACTTTTAAAAATGAAATTTAAAAATAAACAGGCCGGGCACAGAGGCTCATGCTGGGAGGCCAGGGTGGGAGCACCACTTGAAGACAGGGTTTGAGGCTGAAATCACCCCTGTAAACTTTATAAAATTATTCAGAGAAGAAGGGAGGGGGAGAAGGGAAAATGAACTAAGCTGGTGGTGCAGGCAGCGTCACGACGAGGTGGGCTGGCTCTCTGACCTCTCCTCATAACTGTTGCTGCCTACTGCCCCAGAATCACACAGACCCCGTCCCAAGATCATAGTTCCCCTAACTACCATAGAGAGAACAACTTAAACATTGTAAAAGGTTGATTTCCATCTGAGATGCTCTTTCAGGTCCTGCATAACAGTAAAATTACTGATGCCAGCTGGTGGGAAGGACCTCACAGGAGCTGACTCACCAGCAAATGCATTTTCCACCTCCTGATTTCATCCCCCTTACCCCAACAAGTCAGTGACCCCAGCTTCTCCAGCCCCTCACCCTCCATAATCTCCTTAAGAACCCCAGCCCAGAACTCCAGGGGAGGTGGATTTGAGGGTCTCCTCCCATCTCCTTGCTTGGCACCTGCAATCATTAAGCTTTCTCTGCTGCAAACCCTGCTGTCTCCGTGTATCGGTTGGTTACTGTGCAGAGGGCACACCAACCTGGTGGCCTTGTAACAAGAACAGCAGGGACAACAGAGCAAGATCCCATCTCTTTAAAAAAAATAGCTGGGTGTGGGGGGATGTGCCTGTGGTCCCAGCTACTCAGGAAGCTGAGGCAGGAGGATTGCTTCAGCCCAGGAGTTCGAGGTTACGGTGAACTGTGATGGTGCCACTGCATTCCAGCGTGGGGGACAGAGCAAGACCTTGTCTCTAAAACAAACAAACAACAAACAAACAAACAAACAAAAAAACTAAATAAAACCCTCTCCAAAACAACACAAAACAGCAAATTGCAGGATCTGTTGCCAATAATAAAATTCAGGCTTAGGTAAAAATCAGCATTTTGGAAAACTTGTATTCATCACTGTGAGTCTATCAGCTTCCAAATATTTAAAGGCTTTTATCGTGAGATCGGGGTGATAGTAATGTGATTTTGGGATAATATTTAATAAAACGTGTCAAGATTTGAAAAATCTGCATAACTCAGTAAACCAATATTTTTCAAATTATTAATACCAAAACATGGTCTTCCAAAATTATGCACAGGTAAATTTCCACTCAAAGTGAAAAACAGGGCCAGGTACAGCGGCTCATGCCTGTAATCCCAACACATTAGGAGGCTAAGGTGGGAGGATCACTTGAGGCCAGGAGTTTGAGGCCACAGTGAGCTATGATGGTACCACTGCACTCCAGCCTGGGCAACAGAGCAAGACCCTTTCTCAAAACATAACAAAAACAAAAAACAAAGTAAAAACAGACCAACAGATGATAATGTAACACAACAGATGATAATGTAACAATACAAAAAGTCCATTGGCACGGTTTCAGATTCTGTTATCGCAACAACCTGTAAGAAACTCTACCATTCATCCAGTCCGGGTGTACCATCAGAGAAGAGTGTCCATGATTACCTGAAAAGGCGGCTCAGCCCTGTGAGGCCAGATCTCTTCACTGATTTCAACCAAAACACACTGCGACAGATGCAACGCAGATGCAGACAAACATTCAAGAGACTGCAAAACTGCAAAGCCACGTCCCTCTTCTCACTGGATTTTTTTGTTTTGAAAGTATTTTTCATAAAATGTTAACGTGTTATTTCTATTAACATGTCATTAGTTTATGGGTTTTTGTTTGTTTGTTTGTTTTTTGAGGTGGAGTCTTGCACTGTCCTCCAGGCTGGAGTGCACTGGCGCGATCTCGGCTCACTGCAACTTCCACCTCCTGGGTTCAAGCGATTCTCCTGCCTCAGCCTCCCGAGTAGCTAAGATTACAGGCACCTGCCACCATGCCCGGCTAATTTTTGTATTTTTAGTAGAGACATGGTTTCCATGTTGGCCAGGATGGTCTCAAACTCCTGGCCTCAGGTGATCCTCCTCCTTCAGCCTCCCAAAGTGCTGGGATTACAGGCGTGAGCCACTGCGCCTGGCCTTTTCTTCTTTTTTTGAGATAAAGTCTTGCTCCGTCGCCTGGGCTGGAGTGTAGTGGCGTGATCTTGGCTCACTGCAGCCTCTGCTTCCCAGGTTCAAGCAATTCTCCCGCCTCAGCCTCCTGTGTAGCTGAGATTACAGGCATGCGCCACCACGCCCAGCTAATTTTTGTATTTTTAGTAGAGACGGGGTTTCACCATGTTGGCCAGGCTGGTCTCAAACTCCTGGCCTCAGGTGATCCTCCTGCCTTGACCTCCCAATGTGCTGGGATTACAGGTGTGAACCACTGTGCCTGGCCCGTTGTTATTTTCAATAAGACTTCATGAATATTTTCATATTTTTTTATGAAGGTGGTGTAAACATGTGGTGTAAATATTCCCACTTGAGCCCACAGAGCACAGAGTGGGGAAGAGATGGACAGTATCATACGGCATTTCCACTAGACAGACACACACAGACTGCACCCAGATAACAGCGTGGATCACAGTAAGCTAGAAATAATTAGGAAGCAATACATTTTGAGTATTTATTTCCTTTGCTTTTTATAGTATTTCTGTGTTTTACATAATTTAATTACTTTAATTTGATTTGAATAATGGTTGTGTCCAACAACCAGCTGATGAGATTACTGGAGATGCTACCGTAGGTTCTGGTGAGCACGTGCAAGCCTGCTCCAGCACACACTACAGACAGCACCCCAAAACCAAAGCTCCTTGGGCTTCTCAACAGCTGCTAAGAGTGTTGGGGCCAGATGCAGTGGCTCACGTCTGTAACCCCAGCACTTTGGGAGGCCAAGGAGGGTGGATCATCTGATGTCAGGAGTTCGAGACCAGCCTGGCCAACGTGGTGAAATTCCGTCTCTACTAAAAATACAAAAATTAGCCAGGCGTGGTGGCGCATGCCTGTAATCTCAGCTACTCAGGAGGCTGAGGCAGGAAAATCGATTGAACCCGGGAAGCAGAGGTTGCAGTGAGCCGAGATCGCACCACTGCACTCCAGCCTGGGTGAGACTCTGTCTCAAAAAAAAAAAAAAAAGTGTGAAGGGATACTAAGGCCAAAACATTTGCACCCCACTAATAGTGATTAAAATACTCGCACCAGAACAACACAGCATTCTGGAAAATACAAAAAACGAGATACACACTCAACGCTCCTCAGAAGGAGTCCCAAGGGGGAAGAGATACTGATGTGGGTAAAGGCAATGAATCGATCGATCACTCACTCCACCCTCCAATCGAGAGAGGAGCGACTCCCACAGCCCTCCAGGCCTGAGGCCTGAAGAGGAGATTTTTCAAAATGGGGGTCTCTGGGTCAGAGGTCAGCTTGAAGCCTGCCCTTAAACTCTCCCTCTCTGACTCAGTTTCCTCATCTGTAAAGCGGGGTGCAAAGAGTGTGCCCCAGCCCTGGGGTCCTGAGAAGCTGGACCTGGCAGGCGGACTTGAGGCCCTTCCTGTGGTCCAGCTCCGGGACTCCCCAGCCCTCGGGGCTCTTTCTGCAGCCCCTACCTACCGGGACATAACCGTTCAGCCCCGCATCCCACTGTGGATCCGCAACCCCGCCCCTGCCTGGACCTTCTCCCCTTGCCAGCATCACTGGGCCCCACAGGCCCCCACACCCACCTCTCGAAGGAGGTGGAAGCTTTCAGACCTGCACCTGGGAAGCTTTGTCCTGAAATCACAGGGCAGGGGGCTGAAAGTGGAATCGAGCAGCGGGAGGAAGGACAAGAGGTAGGTGCTGCCTGGATGCCCCCCAGACACTGGCTCCTTTGGGATCCAAGTCTTGGGGAGGAGTTGGGGTCAGCTGAGAGGGATGTGAGGTAGGGGCTGGGGCGGGGGGCCTGTCTGAGTCCTTAACTCAGCACTGATGAGCTCCTGACCAATGACCAGAGATGGCGGGGAGTGGGGAGGCAGGTTACTGTTGCTGTGCCTGCCCCCACCCCCATAGCTGTACCCAGGCTACTGGGGAGGCAGCACAGGAGGGGGTAGTGGGGGGAGCGCACAAAGGGGTTGCCTGGGGGTGGGGGGGGGACTTGGCCTGCTATGCTTGAACTTTGAGTTGGCAAGAGCCGACTACGGGCAGCAGGTGCAGCAGTTCCGAGGCAGAAAGGGCCTGGCTGGCCCCAGCCCAGGGCTGGCTTGAGGGTCCCAGTCCAGCTTCTACGGACAGCTTCAGATTAATCCCCCAAGGATGAATATGGTGGAGCCCACAGGAAGAAGGATGAGCGGCCCCCAAGTCTCCAGAGCCCCATGTCACCACCTCCACCAGAGCCAGCAGCGCCTCCTCAAAGCTGGCCCCCGGGTCTGTGGATGCCAGGGTCAGGCACGGGGATCCCTGCATTGAGCTCCGGGCAAGAAGAGCCAGTGAGGTGGTGGGGTGGTAGATCTGGAGAGCCCCGGGCCCCTGCCTGCTCCCCTTCCGCCCTCACCGGCCTCACATCCCCAGGGGAGACCCTGCACCCCACTGCCATGGGAGGCGCCTCTGTCAACAACAAGTGGAAAACCCCCCCGACCAACGGCCGAGGCCCGGGCCTCAGAGTGTGGACCAGCTCCGCACAGGCGCCCCTTCGATCCCCTCTGGACAATTATTGTCTCTTCACAATCAGTGGGAAACTCAAGGACCAGCAAATAGGACCTCCAGGGCCAACCAGGAATGGCACGGCTGAGCCAGGGGTGCTGAGGGAAGGGGCTGGCAGGGGATAGATGGATTTACGGATGGATAGACAGACAGCAGCACAGCCCAAGGCCTCCACTGTGGATTGAAGCTCGACCGTGCAGACCAGGCCGGCAGCCTGGGAGGGGACAGATGACCGCAGGTGGGAAGGGTCAGGGCAGGCTCTCCTGGGACGGGCCCCACGCAGGGAAGGGCAAGGAGCTGGGCAGACAGATGGGGGAGCCTCAGACGCCACATCCTTGGCCAGGTGTCACATGCCCCAGCCAGAGGATGAGCCGTGCCAACCGCAGAGAGAGGCGTCGGGCACAGACCCCGAGGATGGGGAGGTGAGCAGGTCCTCTCTCGGGTAGGGGAGTGGTAGGAAGAATCAAGGGCTACTTGGCTGCAACCCCAATAAGCCAGGTTTTGCGCCAGCATTTCCCCACCCAGTGTGGGCTGAGGTGGGCAGAGACCTGGGCATAACTGGGCACTGGGAGATCAGCAGCCAGGGAGAGGGGGACAGCCAAGTCGAGGCCATGTGCAAAGGAGAGGCCGTCATAAGCGCACAGGTCAGGTGTCTGCGGAGCACACGGCTCACTCCCACTCGCACAGACAGGACCTGCGGAGGCAGGCGGGCAGGCTCAGGAGTCCAGGACGGCACCCCTGGAACTTGGGGAGCCTTTGCCTGACTGAAGATCCTGAGCCCTGAGGAGCAGCCTCGTGGGGAGCCCTTATTGTCCATCGGGCATCAAATGCCAGGTTCAGAACTCCTGAAGGAGGCGGGTCAGAGGAGAACAGGAGTGGATGACCCACACCATTCAGCCGTCCGAGGGAGGCAGTGGGTGGGGCCCAATGCCAGCCATGGCCCCGGGGCCCCTCCTTCTAGCACGTGGTGGAGCAGAACGACCAGAGCCCTGCCCCCTCCACTGAGACCCCCAGAGCTCGCTGCAGGAGCCCCCATGCCTGACCCTGGCATCCAGACCCGGGAGCCAGCTTTGATAACTAAAACACCCCCACTCCTGTCTCTCTCGGTCTAACTGAAGGCGCCCAGAGGAATGCTGGACGCTGTCACTGTCGGCAGCTGCTCATCGGTGTGAATCAGTTCAGTGCAGTTTCCAAAAAACAAAATTCAGAAACCAACTAGCTATGGGGCTGAAGACAGAGCAACGTGGGCTCTGCCCGGAATTCTCGGGGGCACCTGCCGTGATGGGTGTCTGCCTCGCACCGGTCACACGTCTTCACTGCGCTGACTCCACAGCTCCTGCAGGTTCCTGAGTGCCTGCGTGTTCGCGTTTGGGGGCAGGACACAGGGATGCCCTGGGCTCAGCCTCTTCTCACCAGAGTCTAAATGCCTGCAAAGCCCTGAGCTGGGGGTCCGAGGCAGGCCCCGGAGGGCACCCCACACATGTGCCATCCTGAGTCCTCTCATAACCCGGGAGGCAGGGGCCTCTATTCCCCCACTTGACAGGTGAGGAAGCTGAGGCCAGGGAAGACCAGGAGCTGCTCAAGGTCACACCTCAGCGCAGAGGCTGTAGCCCCTGCCCGTCCCCTCCTCCCAGGGCTGCCTGGCTCCCAGCCCTGACTCTGCCTTAGGGGAGGCTGTGTGGGGAAGGTGGCGTGGCAGTGCCTCAGGAGGTGGCTCCCAGGTGCCCTCCAGCCAGCACACAGCCCCTCACCGGCTGGCCACACTCAGCACAGCCCAGGCTATGCAGTGCTCGCAGGACAGGGCCGGACTCTCCACAGCCCATCCAGATGCCCACATCCAGAGTGGACGCCATTCCAGCTTGGGCCTCCCTCGTGGGTCCTCTCCGGCCTTGCCTAGTACCCACAGGTCCTGGGCTCACTCTCCTGGGAACCCCACCCTGTGTGATTCCAGACTCACCAGGCCCCCTCCCTCCGGCCTCACAGAGGAGGCTGGGAAGCTGGGCAGGGCCCACCCTTAGTGCCCCCCAACCCAACAATCCCAGCCTCCACTTGTCAGAAAAGGCCATGCCTCTCACATGGACAGAGCCCTCCCTCACTCTTACCAGTGCAAAGTCTCTTCCTCCAGGAAGTCCTCCCAGATCTCCTTTTTGGGGGACCCTTGGTTTCCAGCCCCTAGTTATCAGCCGGTTCACCCCAGATGACAGCTGCACACCAGGACCCCTCATTTCCTATCAGCGAGGTCATGGTGCCCAGCACCCCTCCCCAATCCCAGCGACAGGTAGAGACTGGGACACAGGTATGGGCAAACTGACCTGGGATTCACCTTGTGCCTGCCTTGGACCAGGCATGGCCTCTCTGGCCATCAGTTTCTCAACTCTGCCACAGGCCCATGCCCCTCTCTCCACAGACCCCTCCCCATTTCTCTTTCCTGTCCTAGCTCCCTCAAGGTCCTAAGAGCAGCCCAGAGCCCCAGAGCCCCAGGGCCCCCCCAGGCTGGCTCTGCTGTCAGACCCACAGTTCTGCCAGGAATTCATTCCTGCTGGTCCCCGGCCAACACAGGGACACAGGCAGAGCCCCGGACCACCTGCCCGAGCCCCAAAATCACCCAACATCACTTCCCAGGCCAGCCCATGCCCACACCAACCCTCTGCACTCTGCACCCCTGTCCTAACCTCACCTGCTAAACCCTGGCCCAGGCACTGTTTCCCACGGAGGCTCCAGGAGGCCTTCATCCACCAGCACTTCCTGCCTCTGGCTGCCGGGCCCCGCCCTCCCCATCTTGGCTCTGGGGCCTCTGCCTGACTGTGCCCACCCAGGGCTCACTTCCCCTCCCTGGGCCCAGTGCCGCCCGCTGCCCACCCTCCCCAGCTCACACTCTGCAGGTACCTCCAGGTCCTGGGTCTGCCACAGACGGGTGGAGTGCGGCTCCCAGGGCCTCCAGCCAGGCAGACGAACCCGTTCTCCTGGTTTGTGGCTGGCACTGCGAGGGGCTTCCCGAGGGCCGCACCCTACAGTCCCTGTACTCGGGGCCAGCTTGTGGGTGGCCCTTCCTCAATCCCCAAACCCATGTATAGCTAAAGAGAAGGGAGGGGACACTGCCACACCCCTGAAGCCAGAACTGCCATGCTGGGCAGGAGCCACTCCCCTCAAGCAGCACCAGCGCCCACTTTGCCCACCCAGGGACCCCGACCTGCTGCGTCCAGCTCCTGGGCCCACCCTGCCCTCCTCGGGGTCCTGAGCGACCGCTGGGTGCCAGGCAGCAACCCAGGCACAGCAGTCCCCTGTTCCGGTGGTGCTCACACCCCACCAGAGGGGGCACAGGGGGCAGCACCTGCTGGTGCGTCAGATCACCTGCGGGGCTGCCCACCGCACTGGGTGTTGGTGGGGGGATGGGGATACGAACCGTGGGGCTGCACCCCGAGCTCCCTCTCCTCCCCGGCCTCTGAGCTCCCCACAGCACCGGAACTGGGTTTAGCGGAGGAGCGCAGGCCCTCCAGAGGAAGGATGTCGGACAACACACCTGCTGCTGCTGGGCGGAAGTGGGTGAGTGTGATGGGCGAGGCTGAGAACCCTGCTCCGGCGCAGGCTTCATCTGGGAGCTTGTTGGAAATGCAGAACTGGACCTCGTCCCAGGCCCATCCACCCAGACCTGCACTGTGACCAGACCCCAGACGATGTGTGCACTGGGCAGGAGCAAAGCAGGCTCTTAATAAATACCAGCTGATTATTACCCAGTCCCATTCCACAGACCAGAAGACGGAAGCCCAGGGGAGTTCAGATGGAATGGGTGTGAGAGCCCCCTGTAAATGGCAGGGCCGGCGGAGGGCACAGCAGGCTGCGGTCAGAGGCCAGCCAGGAAGCACTGCTGTGCAGCGTCCCCAGCAGCCTGGTTTTGAAGCCGGGCGGCACATAGGCTGAGTGGCAAGAGATGGTGAGGCATATCGGGGCTTATTGATTCAAGAGCAGGCTCCTCCAGAAGGATGTAAGGCGCTGCCAACAAGAATAACGCTCGGTTTAAAGGCTGTGGTGATCCCCTGCTGGGGCCAGGCACATGGCTGTCAAGAGACCCAAGACTGGGGCTGGGCCCTGTTGGCCACTTCTGCCCAATGCCTGTGGTTGCTCTCCCTAAAATCCACAGCCTTGGCCAGGCACGGTGGCTCACACCTGTAATCCCAGCACTTTGGGAGGCTGAGGCAGGTGGATCACAAGGTCAGGAGGTCGAGACCATCCTGGCTAACAGGGTGAAACCCCGTCTCTACTAAAAATACAAAAAATTAGCCAGGCGTGGTGGCGGGCGCCTGTAGTCCCAGCTACTCAGGAGGCTGAGGCAACAGAATGGTGCGAACCCCAGAGGCAGAGCTTGCAGTGAGCCAAGATCCCGCCACTGCACTCCAGCCTGGGCGACAAAGCGAGACTCTGTCTCAAAAAAAAAAAAAAAAGAAAAATCCACAGCCTCCACCTTCCTGACCTCGATCCCCAAAGAAGAGAGGGACAGAGTTTGTGAAAAGTCCCAAGGGCTCAAGAGGAGGCTGCCACAGGGAGGCAAGGGTGCTAAGCGGCAAACGCCCCCTCCCCTGGCAGGACCCCCATGCCCCACCCCAGAACCCTGGAACCAACCAGAGCTCCCAGGTTGCCTGGTCAGCCAGGAAGGACATGGAGACCTGACTCCCGCCCCACCTCCCTGAGACCCCCTCCAGGCGCTTCCTTCCCTCCGCTGTTTCGGGCAGATGGTCGCTCCACTTCGCCAGTGGTTCTGATCTAGATTCGATTCCCTTTGGGGCAAAACTCACCGCCTAATCCCCTATAACTCTACCGGGGAGCCCGGTGGAGAGCAGACGGGCTGACGCTGCCACCTGCCGGCCATCCCAGGATAGGACCGCCGTATTCAAGTCGCCCTCAGGAAGGACCCTCGGGGCACCAGAGGCCTTCGAAGCCCCAATGAGTGAGGCAACTGAGGGTCGCGGGTGCCATTACAAGGCCCAGCCAAGGCCTAGAGCCAAGGCTTGAACCGTGGGGGACCCCCAAGCCCCACCTGCCCAGGAACAGCAGACACTGGGACACTTTGTTTCAGGTCCTGCCCAGGCCCCTCCCACTGTGAGGCTGGGATTTGTCGCCCAGGGTGCAGATGAGAAGAGTGGGGAAAGCAGTCCTGAGCCAGGACAGCGGTGGGGGATGCCTCCTAGAGCAGGCCCTCCCGTCAGGGGCCCATCATAGAACCCAGTGTGAATCCAAAGGAGCCGAAGCCTCCTCCTCAGAATCAGACGTGGAGCCATGAACCCAGGGGCCAGAGCGGCATCTCAAACTGTTATCTAAGCATTGACCAGAACACATGATCACCTCAGCGGCTCCACGTGGGCGATGCCGGGTTGCCTGGTCCACGGATGAGGGGTTCAGCCCAAGGTGCTCAACCCAATCAGAGGGCAGCCTCTGTGTCCAGGAGACACGGGTGCACCCGCGGGGTCAGAACTCCAAAGGGGCGCGGGGGCGCTGGGAGGTTTGGTAGCCAGAGGGCCTGCGGGGCGGGGCCACCCAGGCCATGCCCCTTCCCTGTAAGAGGGGCCATTCCTGCAGTGTGGGGCTCTGGCTTTGTGACTGGGCTGTGCCAGTCTGGGGATGATCCCACAGCTGAGCTCCTGTAGATGGAACCAGAGGTGAGGCAAGGAACTGGAGGCCCTCCCCACTGAGGTCAGCGGGGCGCAGACGCCCCCTTGTCGTGCCCTGCCTTCCTCCTGCAATCCTGCAGGACTCTCCAGGGCCAAGTGCTGCCCTTGGGGCCAAAAAACAGGGCCTTCTCCTTCACCTGCCCTGCAGCCATTCAGGTATGTACCAGGCATCTCCTGCCCTCCCTGGCCAGGCGGCCCCAGAGGCACAGGCCGCAGACACCGCAGGCGACCTGCGTGGGCCTCCAGTTCCCGCCCCAGCCCTTCCCACCCCCAGCTCAGGGCAGGTCCAGCTGTGGCCAGCGGCTGGGGAAGGTTCTGTCCCCTCCAGGTGTGCGGCCTTGGCAAGTGCTTCAGGCCTCCCTCCGCTCGTCCCCTGGGAGCAGAGGGATCGGAGCGCCTGCGATGTGGTTCCCCAGAGCACCTGCGGGGCTCAGGCCAGGCAGGGTGGAGGGTGGAGGGTGGAAGGCCACCTTCCGCCCGTCCTGGAACCACGCGGCGGCTTCCCGGCTGCCCCCCACCCGCCAGGCCCTGCCTCCCGTGGGCACCAGGGGGGCGTCCACACCAAGCCGGCCGTGTGCTTTTCGCGCAGGATTACTGGGGAAGGCGGCTGCTCGGGGCCTGGAAGGTCCCGGGTCTCGCCTCGTGCCCCTCTGGCCCCCAAACCGACCGGCTCCCCGGAACTGGCCAACCCGCGCTGAGAGCCCGCGCAGCTCAAAGGGCGCGAGGGCGGGACCGCCGCGGCCGGCGCTGGGAGCTCGGCTTCCCGAAGACCCAAGCGAAAGCCTCCGTCTCCCCAGCCGTAAATGGGCCTGCAGCGTCTCCACTCCGCAGCGCTGTCCCCAGTGGGAGGGCGGCCCGTGGACGTGCAGGGAGCAGAGCAGGGGCCCCTGGCAGCGTAGGACCCCGAGGTCGCAGCAACCACGCGGCCGCGAGCCCATCCCGCTGCCTCGCCAGCGCCCCTCGCGCGTGCCCCGCCCCCACCTCGGCTCGCGGGCCCCGCCCCGCTCCGCTCCGCCCTGCGCCTCCGACTACCTTCCCGCTGCCCCGCCCCGCGCTGCGCTGGTTCGGACTCCAGCCCCGCTTCCGCCCGGGCCCTGGCCCCGCCTCCAGCCCCAGTCCGGCCCCGCCCCAGCACCTTGACGCAGAGGTCTGCGCCGCACGCAGAGCCACGTCGTGCCGTCATCAGTTCTCGCCCGTCTGGGCGTGGGCGTGGCCGGCGTGGCTGCTCGGGACCACCCGAACCCGCGGCCATGGCCCCGGCCGCCGCCAGCCCCCCGGAGGTGATCCGCGCGGCGCAGAAGGACGAGTACTACCGCGGTGGGCTGCGGAGCGCGGCGGGCGGCGCCCTGCACAGCCTGGCGGGTGAGGGCCGGGCGCGGCCGGACGTCCTCGCGAGCGGCCCAGGGGGTGTTGCCCCTCATGGAGGCGGGGTGTCTGCCGTGTGTGGTCACGGTCGCCTGGGCCCGTCCCACAACCTGGGACCCGGCAGTCTCCTTCGCCTGCCCTGCGGCCATTCAGGGATGTGCGGGGCACCTCCTGCCCTCCCTGGCCAGGTGGCCCCAGAGGCACAGGCCGCAGACACCGCGGGGGACCTGCGTGGGCCTCCAGTTCCCGCCCAAGCCCTTCCCGTCCCCAGCTCAGGGCAGGTCCAGCTGACGCCAGCGGCTGGGGAAGACTCTGTCCCCTCCAGGTGTGAGGCCTTGGCAAGTGCTTCAAGCCTCCCTCCGATCCTCCCCTGTGAGCAGAGGGGTCAGAGCGCCCGCGGCGCGAACGCCTCATACCTCGGTCCGGTTCACACTGACCCCGGCCTTTCCTAGGCCTGAGCAGCAGCCCAGGCCCCTCGCCCTGCTGACCCCAGTGTAGGCTCAGCCAGGCCCTGCCTGCCTCACCAGGCCGGGAGCTGAGTACAGAAGCCAGTGTACTCAATGAAGCAGCACCTGTCATCCCAGCAGTTTGGGAGGCAGAGGCGGGAGGATCGCTTGAGCCCAGGAGTTTGAAACCAGCCTGGGCAACATGGCAAGACCCCGTCTCTACAAAAAATCTGAAAATTAGCCGGACGTGGTGGCGGCGTCTGTAATCCCAGCTCTTCAGGAGGCTGAGGCAAGAGAATCGCCTGAGCCCGAGGGATGAGGCTGCAGTGAGCCATGATTGTGCCGCTGCACTCCAGCCTGGGCGACGGGGCCAGACCCCATCACCGATTAAAAAACGAAAAAAAAAAGATGCCGGGTGTGGTGGCTCACGCCTGTAATCCCAGCACTTTGGGAGGCCGAGGCGGGTGGATCACTTGAGGTCAGGAGTTCGAGACCAGTCTACACAACATGGTGAAACCCCGTCTCTACTAAAAATACAAAAATCAGCAGGGCGTGGTGGCGCGTGCGTGTAATCCCAGCTACTTGGGAGGCTGAGACAGAATCACTTGAACCCGGGAGGCGGAGGTTGCAGTAAGCCAAGATCGTGCCACTGCACTCCAGTCTGGGCAACAGAGTGAGACTCCATCTCAAAAAAAAAAAAAAAAAAAAAAAGGCAAAGCCATCAAGTCTTTGGGGGGTGGGGCAGGCAGTCGTTAAAGGCATGAACTCCCAGCAGAACGTTTCAGGGAGCAGTGGCACTAGAGCCCAGTGGTGGGGGTGTCGTGGCCAAAGGAACAGTGCCATGGGACAGGAAGAGCATGGGTAAATATCAGAGGACAGCCAGGCTCCGTGCCGGGAGGCCCATGGGTGTCAGGTGGGCAGCCATTGGTGGATTCTGAACAGGAGAGTGACATGATGAGAATTTTTTGTGTGTGTACTTACTTGTTTTACAGTACACTTGGCACTTACCCCTGTGCCAGACACTGTTCCCAGTGTTTTACAAATATTGAATCTTCAAACATCCCTCCAAGTAGGACTTATTACTCTTCTGATAGATGAGCAAATTGAGATTCCAGAAAGACCTCACAGCCAGCAAGTTGGAGAGCTGCTTTTTGATGCTAGACAGTTGGCCTCTGGCCTGTAATCTTAATACCCCAGACCATCTTTCCATGTGGCCCTCATAGGCCCTAGAACAGTTGCTCAGGGGAATCCCGGAGCAAGAGATGAGCACAGGTGGGAGATTCTTCGCAGACTGTCTGCAGCTCACGCTAAGGCAAGTCAAGGTGGTGCCTCCGGAGACAGAAGCAGAGAGGGAGGCCAGGGAGTGAGTGTTGGCTTCATGGAAGGGGTGGGACTGGATCTGGGCCTAGACAACTGGGGGAGGACTGTGGTCCCTCATCCTCAGAGGATGCCCACCAGCTCCCCCGGACTAATACTGTTTCTCCTCTCAGGTGCGAGGAAGTGGCTGGAGTGGAGGAAGGAGGTTGAGCTGCTCTCAGATGTGGCCTACTTTGGCCTCACCACACTTGCAGGTAGAAGCTCCCACGGGACCTCAGGACTGAGGGCAGCCACACACACCAAGTCTGGGGACGGTGGCCAGGGGGCTGCCAGGCAGTGTGAGAAGCTCCTGGAGCTGGCCCGGGTGAGGTTGCTTCAGGGAAGTGCAGGAGGTACTGCTCCGAGGGAGGCGAGGCATCTGCTCCCAGCAGGGAGCCGACTTTTCCAGCCTTTGTGTGTCCCTGGGGTTCTTTGTTTAAGACTTTACCCCGGGTGCCACTGAGACCCATTTCTCAGTGGCCAGCCCTGGTGGCACCAGTGAGTCACAGTGCTGAGCCATGTCATAGGGTGCAGTGCCCGTGTGACAGTGCCCTGGTGGAGCAGTGGTGGGTCTGTGGCCCAGGCTGGTCACCACCCTTTAGAGGGAGTTGTTGACAGAAGCTCTCAGGCTCCCAACCCCAGCTCAGCATGTAGCAAGGACCACCGAGTGCCAGCCTGGTTCCCTACGAGGGGCTCGCCCCGGGCATCCTGCCGCCATGGAGAGTGTGCTCGGTGGGCGGGAGACAGATGTGGCTGCGTCACAGAGCATCTTGGGAAGTGAGGGGCTCTCAGAGATAAAGACCACGTCTTAGGGAAGAGCATTTTCCAGACCGGCAGAGCAAGCAGCCGGGAAAGGCCCTGAGAAGAACACGTCCTTGGCGGTTTGGGAGAATGACCCCGGGGGGCTCGTGAGTTTTGTAAGCCCATAGCTTTCCCTGTGCGAGGCTTGGGGCATTCCAGGGACGTGGGCAGGGGAGAGGCCGACCACTAGCTAAGACCAGACCTCAGGGGACAAAGTTGGGCTCAGGGAGACTACAGAGGCTGTGACAGTCCCCCACAGGATGGTGGTGGTACAGAGCAGGGGCGGCAGCGAGGGGGTGGAACACACAGGGAAGGTGCATGCAGGGTGCCCCTTGGGCTTGACCTCAGGAACCGGAGGCCTGGCGTTGCCATCCACAGAGATGGAAACGGGGAGCAGGCTTTTCTGGGTGGGGGCGCTGAAAGCTGTCTCGGCAGGGGTGGAATTGGGGTGCTCATCTGAGCATACATGGCGATGTCAGGTAGGTGGCGGACCTGCATGGCTGGCACTCACAAGTAAGGTCCAGGCTGGGCATAAATCGGGTGGTGCCAGCTGTGTGGTTGGTGGAGAGCCATGGGACTGGATCCGAGTGCTTGGGCTGGGGGAGGTGGCGGGGACAGCTAGGGAGAAAGGGGAAAGAGCAGAGACTCTTGGGGAGAAGCCAAGAGAGGGAGGGACACTGGCCAGCCAAGGCCCTGGGAGCCAAGGGCAGCCATTGGCCGGGCCTGTCATGTGCTGCCTGAGCTCACAGTGGGCTTAGCGACAGAAGGTCATGTTGGCCTCAGCCAGCACGGGGTGACAGTGGGCTCAAGGGCGACAAGATGGGGCTGTTGACAGGAGCCAGCAGAGGGTCGGCTGGCAGGGGCGCCGGGAGCCTGTCCCCGCGGCAGCAGTCTCAGGGTCCACATACCCATCCTCTTCCTCGCAGGCTACCAGACCCTGGGGGAGGAGTACGTCAGCATCATCCAGGTGGACCCATCGCGGATACATGTGCCCTCCTCGCTGCGCCGTGGCGTGCTGGTGACACTGCATGCCGTCCTGCCCTACCTGCTGGACAAGGCCCTGCTCCCCCTGGAGCAGGAGCTGCAGGCTGACCCCGACAGTGGGCGACCCTTGCAGGGGAGCCTGGGGCCAGGTGGGCGTGGCTGCTCAGGGGCGCGGCGCTGGATGCGTCACCACACGGCCACCCTGACTGAGCAGCAGAGGAGGGCGCTGCTGCGGGCGGTCTTCGTCCTCAGACAGGGCCTCGCCTGCCTCCAGCGGCTACATGTTGCCTGGTTTTACATCCACGGTGTCTTCTACCACCTGGCCAAGAGGCTCACGGGGATCACGTACGTAAGTAGCAGGCGCTGAGGGCACAGCTGCTTAGGCCGTCCTTGTCACCCCCACTGGACTTGGGTGCATGCACAGAGCTGGCCCTCCAGGCCTCTCAGCCAACAGGGTTCTACATCCAGCATCTGTGTCAAGGCAGGAACCCAAATCCTCTGCTTGGAAAAAAAGCAGATTTTGTTTAATTACACTTGGCTGAAAGATCCAAGGAAGTCCAGACCCTAAGTGTAGAATGAACTCCTGCTGCAGCCCCTCATGGACACCGGGCCCTGCGCTTAGCTCTTTACTGACCGGGGGGCCCCGGGTCACGCCTCACCACAGATCCCTGAACCTGGGCCCGTGACTGCCTATGTCACTGCTGTGGGGAACAAACAGCTTCTCCCAGACAGTGTGGGAGCATGGACTGCAGCCCCGGCCCCAGCCCCTCACCCCTCGCCCCTGCCTGGCCCAGCAGTCTGCCCCATCAGACGGCCGTTCCCACCTTCTCCCCTCCACAGCCGTTGGCACCTCTGCCTATCCTGACCCCCAGCTGATGCCCCTGCTTCCAGATTCAGCAACGAAGCCTCCCCCGTGGTCCCACCACCATGTCCACCTGCCACAGCGTTAGTCCCTGGCCCACCAGAGCCACTACTGCATGAGCTCCTTCCAGAACAGCCCTCTGAGGAACCCCCTTCCTTTTGTCCCTAGAGCTGCACTGGTCCCCTCAGCCCCTACTTGCCAGGCAACCCCGCCTCCACACACACCCTAAACAGGAGGCCACCGTGACCTCGTCGCAGAGCCAATGGTCAGGTCTTCGTCCTCAGCGTACCCAGCCTCACTTGCGTATTTGATGTGGTTTCTTGCCCCGTCCATGTTGGTGAGGGATTTGATGAGCTGCTGTGACAGGGGCATGGAAGTGGGGCTCAAACCAGATGGGAGGCTCCCTCTCTCCTAGGACAGCCAGGAAGTGGCTGGACACCCAGGGCCCATGCTGGCGGTGTGACCTGCCACCTCTGTATGTGGTTCCCGGCCCTGGGCCGAGGCTGTCTGGCTGTCTCCATTTCCCAGCCAGTGGAAAGTGACACGGGAAGCCGAGGGCAGCCAGCTGTCCTTCAGTGGCACGGTCAGAAGCTACCTGTGTCACCAGCAGGAGGGTGGCAGCAGTGTCCCTGGGGCCACGTGCCTTGTTACACTGGGGCTTCGGTCCCTGTAGCAGGGTAGCTGGTGGGCAGCGTCTGCAGCCCCACATTTCCGCTCCCCGCCTCCTTTTCTGAGAGGTGGTCCCTGGACATCCCCACATCCTCACCTGCTCTGCCAGCCTCATAGCTAAGACTCTTTCTGCACTGGTAATGCCAAGGCTGGTCTGGAGCTCAGGCCTCTCCGTCATGCTAGGCTACGAAGCAGGCACCTCAGACTCCCTGAACCTGCCCCCTGGCTTGATCGTTTCTGCCGGGCACTCCCCATGCCAGTGAGAGGCCTGGTTCTAACGTGCTCTGTGCCAACTGAACGTGTGACCCTCCCAGCAGGCGCTGAGGCCAGATCCCCTCAGGGTCCTGATGAGTGTGGCGCCATCTGCCTTACAGCTCCGTGTCCGCAGCCTGCCCGGAGAGGACCTGAGGGCCCGTGTTAGCTACAGGCTGCTGGGGGTCATCTCACTGCTGCACCTGGTGCTGTCCATGGGGCTGCAGCTGTACGGTTTCAGGCAGCGGCAGCGAGCCAGGAAGGAGTGGAGGCTGCACCGCGGCCTGTCTCACCGCAGGTGCGTGCGGGGGCCACACATGGGGGCTGGGGGTGTCCTGGGCACTTCACAAGGACCTGTAAGGTGCACCCACCTTGACGCTCTGCCCCACCTTCCCCAGGGCCTCCTTGGAGGAGAGAGCCGTTTCCAGAAACCCCCTGTGCACCCTGTGCCTGGAGGAGCGCAGGCACCCAACAGCCACGCCCTGCGGCCACCTGTTCTGCTGGGAGTGCATCACCGCGTGGTGCAGCAGCAAGGTGAGGTGGGAGCCTGCTGCCGTCCTGGGGTGGTCAGCGGCTGTGCCGGCAAGATGCACCTGGCTGCAGCAGAAGTGGGGAGTCTGGCTCTGAGCACCCTCCAGTTTTGAGGGTACAGAGGTGGGCATCTTTTTAAAGGCTCCCAGGTAGGTCAGATGTGGGTTCGTTGAGGGGGTTAAAGTTCCAAATTCACGTGTATTGAGGCTTTGCCGAATGCAGGTTGGGGTAGTGGCCAGCCCTGAAAGGCCCCACGCTTGCACCACGCATCCCAGCACACCCTTCCTCCCGGGGTCCTCACCACACTTGAAAACCCTAGCACACTGACTCACACCCACCGAAGATGCCGGCAGGGTGAGAGCGCACGCTTTCCCAGGAGCTGGGCTTCGTGGGCTGTGTCAGCTGCGGGAGCAGGAGGGAACCTCCCGGCCGAGCCCCACACCCTGAGCCCTACGCCCCCAGCCCCGCCCCAGCCCCCACTGGGACTCGGCCTTCTGAAAAAAGGCTGGCTTTCTTGGTCATTAGTTGAAGGAAATACAACATTTATGTTGTGTGTCATGTGCAGAGAATGTGGACAGGAAAAGAAATGCCGATGGGGATGGGCATGGCCCAGTGGCCCCAGCTGCTGTGACCCCCTTTCTCCTCTCCGCAGGCGGAGTGTCCCCTCTGCCGGGAGAAGTTCCCTCCCCAGAAGCTCATCTACCTTCGGCACTACCGCTGAGCCGGCGCCCGGGTGGGCCTGGACACAGATGACCTCTACGGGAGTCTGAACGCCAAGATTTAGTCTCAGGATTAACCTTGCTTGCACAGAAGTTAGAACACTCTCAGTTTTTTGTCATGTAAGATACTAACCTAGCCACCCTGGGAGAGAACAGAAAGCTGTCCCTGGCTGCGCTTTCTCAGCCCTGGGAGGGGCGCCTGAACCCAGAACATTTCCCTAACCCCAACCTGGTAGGACTCAGCCACTTCTTCAGGAATTTCACTTATTTGGACGGGATTTTAGGTTTCCCTCCCTTCCCCAAACCATACAGTTGAGAAGTAATTCAGAAGTAGGCCAGAAGACACTTTATTCGTTTATATTGTGAGAAAACAGCCCCATCAGGCTTGTGTTAAGGCAATGGACTGAATGAGTGCGTGCTGGGTGGGGTGGGGCACGGAGGCTGGCGGGTTGCTTCAGCCAGTGCAGTGAGAACAGCAGCCCCACGGCCCCATGGGAGGCGGCGCTGCTCTCCCCGAGGGCGGCTGGGCAGAGCACATCCCCCAGGACTTGATGACCACACGGGGCAGAGAGAAACCAACCAAGGCCAGCACCTCCGTCGGAAGCATTTGGCACACACACCTTCAATACACGTCAAGGTCGCTTCCAGTTTTAGAAAACAGAAATCTGCATCTCAGCCTGAGACGCACAGAGAGGTCTCTTCCTGACCCAGACGCACTCACGAGCCAGGTCCTGGGGGTATGGGGGCTGCCAGGGGCGCCCGAGCCCTCTCCTGGGGGGCCTGCTGGGCAGGCGACCTGCTGACCCACGGTCACTGCTGTGTTCAGCCCCTCAGCTCGGCCCCAGCCTATTTCCCGCCTCCATTTGATGTTTCCAGGTTTTCAAAACTGCATTTAACCTGCGCCAGAGAGTTCACCGTAGGCATCTTTAATAAACTAACTCCAGCAAAATGTGGGTACGTTACTAACACAAGATGGAACTTGAGATTTCCTGAAGCGCAGTGTTAAAATGCCTCGAGGGCGTGTGCCACATTTCCCTGCTGACGTAAAACACCTGGCCAGCAGGACCGGCTTCCGGCAAAGACCCGCGCAAACCATGTCTTGCTGTTTGACTTACTTAGGAATGAGGATGACCCTGTATTCCTGGGTTAGTCAAGGTCAGCTTGCCAGAGACGGAGGAGGGCGGGGGGGCCGTGACCCTCTAGACTGGGAGGACCACCAGGAGAGGCACTGGGGGCTGCGGCCGGGTGGGCAGATGCCGCCGTGGCTCCATCCATCAGCACCCAGTCCTTTGCTTCACTGTGCTCTGGCCAAGCGCGTGCGACTTCCTGTCACACCTTAGGCCTGAGCGCTTATTAAGAAAACAGTATGAAAAATGACAAACACTCCTGTCCACAGTCTGAGAATCCCAAGTGTCTCAACACGGTACCAGAAGTACCACCTGGGAGCAGCACTGGCTATCTTGGGTCAGGGACACACAAGCTTGAACGTGGCCTCTTAGAGGAGCTCGATGTCAGATATGTAAACACTGGTACAAGAAAATCCAGACACTAAGCATTCACCGTGTCAATTCTGAGACAGGAAACACCGCCCAGAGTGAGGAGCCTGCGCAGCCCGGGGCCCAGGAGGAGAGGCCTTCACTCGCATGTCAGTGTCTCATCTGGGACCACAGCTGTGATGTTCTGCTGTGCAATATGGGTCACCTTTCGAAAAGGCCAAACAAAAGGTGGGCTTTCCTGTGTCCAGCGACTGCCATGTTTTAGGTAAAGACTTTAGTAAAGGTGGAGGTAAAATCACTTGGTAAAACGTTGAGAGTATTTCTTTTCTCGAATCAAAAACGCTGACATGCAAGTGGGTTCCGCCTCTCCCGCAGTGGGGGGCCGAGTGCTGAACCTACAAAGCCAGTCTGCTCCCTGCCAGCTTCGCTGCCCCTCATGGAGGGTTGCATGAGGACAGATTTAAATTAAAAACAAAACACTCTACGTATCAAAGAAATGTGTCAAAATAATCTCAAACAATTAAAATATAATATATATTTATAATTCCGGGCCCTCAAAAGCAATCATGGTAGTTAAGAACCAAGTTTTGAGTCATTAGGATAGAGGCCAACTTTAAACATCTCCAGTGAGATGGAATTAGGAAACTGGCATTAGAACCCCACACAGTTACTTGACAATCACCTTTAAAACGTTAAGTTCTTTCGGACACGCAGGAATCAGGCTAGATCATCCCTCGGGCTCTGTGGAGTGGCTGGCACCACCTGCGGCTGCTGGGGAAGGCGGCTGGCGGGGAGCGGCCCGTTCCTCCCTCGCAGGCCTTGCTCCTGCCTGCCCACCTGGCACAGCGGGGACCGGCCACTCGCCCTTGCTCCCATGGGCTCCACCCGCCTGGCTTCCCGCCTGCAGCTGACTAGAATTCCATCCGTGAGAAACACTTGAACGTCACTGAAAAAGAAATCCATGCGATTTGGTTTAAGCGCCAGTTTCTTCTAGAACCTGATATTTCAGTTACAAATCATTGAAGCTCCTTTTTAAAAAGAAAATTTGACTCCCTCGTAATCAACTACTTTATGTGAAGAAAAAAGGCATTGTTAACAATGGCTCAAAACTGTTCTTGCAACACGTGAGGCAGCCTCAGTCCCGCTTCTAGCTGGCGAAGGCCTTGCCGGCATCCTCCTTGCCTCTGTACCTTCTCTTCCCATGTGTGAACGGGATGTACCGGTACTTAATCATGTGCTGGGGAGAGAAACACAGACTCAGTTACTGCACAACCGCTCTCCAGTCAGTCACACTGTCCCCAAATCTGAGCGGCCAAAGGTCCCCCATCTTTTCTATACATCAGACAAGTGGAATCGGAGCCCCAGTGGCTTCCTGCGCCCACATCAACACAGCAAGACCTTCCACAGCCCACGAGGCCTAGGTTTGAAACCCCATCAATCCCAGTGCTTCGTGAGCCTCCCGTGGAGGAAGGGCAAGGGGGATGTGAGGTGGCCCAGGGCCCTCTCTGCAGCCAACACCCCGGGCACAGAGTGAGGCCCGCAGCACGAAGGCCACACCGTCAAGGGCACAGTCCGCAGTCTCGGCTAACTTCCCCCTAACACCCTCCTCCTCGGGCAGGCTGGCGCGGGGCACTGGGCACCCTAAGAGGAGCCACCGGGACACTGCACTCGCCGGGGCTCTCCCACCCGGCTTCCACAAAGTTTCCACCAAGAGCCCGCCCGCTCCCACAGCTGCGCTCCCCGTTTAGTTAGCCGGCCGTGCTGGGAACGGAGCAGTGTCCTCGTCACACACAAGACGGTGCCACTTAGCTCCACATTCACACCAGGCAGACTCTGCCACCACCCACCACAGCCCAGCACAGCTCCCCCAATGCTGCGGGTAACAGAACAGCGATTGCGGCCGGCGTGGCGGCAGCGCCTCTGCTTTACCTTGATTTGCCTCTTCATCGTGATACAGAAGAGCATGATGAAGTACATCACCAGAATCGGCCAGAACACCGGGACGTTGAAAGCGTCGAAGAAAGTACAGACCATAGCCACAAGGATGCCCTTGGTAGCCGCATGCCTTCAAGTGGGGAGAGAAGGTTAGCGCCGCATCTGCAGCCAGCACCGGGCACCTGCCGGCCGCCTCCAGCCTTGCAGCTGCACCGACCGTCCCCGCAAACAGAAGCATCCCTGTGGAAAGGAGGGGTCTACCCTGGGCACAGCAGCAGCAGGACCCTTTGCATGTAGCTCACAGACATGTACTGCCCTAACCACAGAAACATCCTTCTCTTACTCCCTTGAAAGACACAATTCTTCTTAAAACTACACAAAGTATAAAGCATCAGTACTGAGGCTGGGGGCCCCATGCCTGCTGGCTGGGCCTGCGATCTGGAGAGAAACCCAGGCTGTGTCTTGTGGACCATCCAGGGCCTTCACCTTGTCACTGTGGCATGGCCACCAGTGCTCCCTCCCGTCCCAGCACATGGCCAACAGATGCCACGGCCCTGGAGGCTCAGCTCTCCCTTCCTAGTCCAAGCTTCTGGTGGCTTCCAGGGCCCCTGATCTTTCTGTACCACACTCCATCTGCGGCTGCAAAGTCAAGGCGTGGAGCCCCACGAGCTCAGCAGGCTCCTTCAGTTTACTGATCTAACAGACTTGGGTTCCTCCTGTGCTCCCAGAGTGGGGTATGAGGGACAAGACAAACGGATGCACACGCTCCCGTCCCTCTGACGGCTGCACCACCCACCTCTGCCTACCCGTGCAGACACGGACACCTCGGCTCAAACCCCTCTCAAAAATGACTCCAGGAGAAGGCTAGTCCCTCTGCCAGCCAAAAGGAGCCACAAGGCTGGGGATGGGAGAGAGGAAGGAGGAAGGAGGGAGGAGGAGGGAGGAGGAGGGAGGAGGAGGGAGGAAGGAGGGAGGAGGAGGGAGGAAGGAGGGAGAAGGAGGGAGGAGGAGGCAGGAAGGAGGGAGGAGGCGGCAGGAAGGAGGGAGGAAGGAGGAGGGAGGAGGGAGGGTGGAGGAGGGAGGAAGGAGGGAGGAAGGAGGGAGGAAGGGAGGAGGAGGGAGGAGGAGGGAGGACAGAGGGCCTGCCCTCCCCAGGCCACAACCACAGAAGCCGGTGCGCACTCCATCCCAGACTCAACCTCCAGGGCACTGGTGCTGACTTGAAACCAAGAGAATGCGGCAAGGTAGTGAGTGGCCTTCTACAGAGAGCCCCTGCGATTCCCCGTGCCCAGCCCAGCACAGCAGTCATCTTTCAGGTGACTTGAACAAAAATCAGTGTAGTCTCAGTCTCAGCCACCCTTGAGCACAATTCTCTTCAAATACCGTGAAGAATTAGCTCACCAAAATTTAAACTCTGGGAGCCTTCGAATGAAGGGGCGGAATTCCTCGTTCTGTTTGGTGGGTAGCGAAGGACCGTCATCTGTAAGGCAGAGCAACCATCAGGGAGGGCACCTCTTTTCATTCCCATCACAGTTCTACCTTTTCCCCTCAAGGCTTTGGACTAGCAGGCCTCACAAATCTAAACCGAGATTCATGTCATTTAACCAGAGAAAACGAGAAAACGGGGGTCTGTGGTCAACTGACACATCCAATTCACTGCTTTCAGAAGGTGCTATCAGAATGTTTTTAGACTTCCACACGTTTTCAATGCACGAAGAATTCAACCACATATAAACATCCAGGAACACGTCAGCTGCACCACGTAAAGGCACAGAAGAAAACAAAGGCAAATTAACATAAAAAGCAAGCGGCAGAGAACAGGGCGGGGCCGAGGATGCGCTGACCGTGGAACCCGGGCGCCAGGCCTGTCCCACCAGCAGCTGTGCCAAGCCCACTCTCACCCCGCCTCCCCCACTGGGATGGGTGCCGCTCCCCATTTACAGATGGGAAAACTGAGGCCTACAGGAAAGGGGCTCTTTGTTATTTTCTAGTCTCCTCCAAACAGCAACAACAGAGAGGGGCTGTGTTCCCAGCAATCTTTTCATCACATATCCTACACAGAAGACTCACAGGCTTCTGGCCACACAGTGAGAGCATACCCTACTCCCTGACAGCAGGTTCCCCCAGAACGAGGAGGGTCCTGGCAGGGAGCTGCGTGTGGGTTTTCCCTCAATGGCCACCACGTCCTGGAATGCAGTTGTTTGTTCCTCGCCTGGGGCTGGCCAGTCAGGCATGAACTCAGGGCCCCTACCTGGCCCAGGCAGGCCCAGGAGCTGCGTAAGTCTTCCAATAGTGGAGCACGAAGCACCAGGAACACTTCAGCTCACAGCTCCTCAGAAACCAGAGAAGGCCGCCCAAAGCCTGACCCGACCCGATGCTGGCATTAGAGTCCCGGCGGTCTCTGTGCACCACAGTGAGCTGCCTGTGGAACCCTCTGGCTACGGGAAAAGGTAACCTCGTCATGGCTGCCTCCGCTGATTCTGAGAGGGACCACTGACTGGGGTGGGACGGGGGCTGGAGTCGGACTGTCCACCTCAGACCCCTACTGTCTGTGGTGCCATGTGACCTCGAACACGTTACCTAACCCTGTATGCCTCAGTTTCCTCATCTGCAAAGTGGGAAAACAGAATGAACACCCACTTCGTGGCTGTCAGGAGGGTTTGAAGAGTCATTCTACAAACATATCCTGATCACCCAACATTACAAGTACATTTCAACCCCAAGAGAAGAGTCTCGGGTGTTTCCAGAGAACACTGGGCAATCCCATCAGAAAAGAAAGGCCCAACCTGCCCACACAGCCCAGTGCACAGCCGCTACCCTACCTGAGTCTTCCATTAAGGAAGGATCCACTTTGGGAGAAAGAAAAGCTATGAAAAGATTTAGATGGTAGATCCCCAAGGCATAGGTCACAATGTACCAACCCTGAAAGAGAAGGAAAGAGAGTCAGTGGTGCACTCTGACCGTCCATCAGCCTGAGCCAGTTCACGTTTGCACTCCGGTTCACTCTCAACTTTGTTAACTGATCTAACTTTGTTTTAACACAAAACTTACTCATAGCAAGGACAAGGAAATACAGTGAAATCCCATGGTAACAATTTATCTCAAATTATACTCTGTGGGAACAGAGACAAAGCGGACAAGCAAGGGCCCAAATGAGCAAAGCTCTTCAAGGGTCCAGTTAGACACATGTGATCCCTGAAGCCACAGACGCCCCACAAGGAGCGCAGCAGAAAAGGAGGCTTTTCTCAAGAAGCACATGCTCAAGCTACACCACAGGCTCGGGTGGCCCGGGCACCTGAGCGATGCTGGCCCAGAGCCCCACCCAGGAGCAGCTTCATCAGAAACAGAAGACAGACTCTCAACTGTGACTGGAGGCGTGCTGGCTGATGTTCCTCCAACAGACAATTCACATTGCCAAAAACACTCTGCCAGGAGGGTTAAACCTTTGCCCAGAAGAAATCCACAACTGGGAAATCCAGAAAAGTGTGCTTATGCCAAGCCTTCCTCAAGAGATGAAAAGTGGGGAGAATTTTGGCAAGATGCCTGAGTGCAGCACACTTATTTGCAACTAATTCATTTTTTAAAATGATTAAGCATATCCCGTTAAAAGCCAGAACCGCATTCTCAATTTCAAAAGCCTTAAATTTCTGTCGGGTGTGGTGGCTCACGCCTGCAATCCCAGCACTTTGGGAGGCCAAGGCGGGTGGATCACCTGAGGTCAGGAGTTCAAGACCAGCCTGGCCAACATGGTGAAACCTCGTCTCTACTAAAAATACAAAAATTAGCCAGGCATGGTGGCACATGCCTGTGATCCCAGCTGCTCGGGAAGCTGAAGTAAGAGAATCACTTGAACCCAGGAGGTGGAGGTTGCAGTGAGCCAAGATCAGGCCACTGCACTCCAGCCTGGGCGACAGAGTGAGACCCCATCTCAAAACAATAAATAAAAATATAAATGCTTTAACTTTCTTATACAAACAAGAAGTCTTTCTGCCTAAAAGCTTTTCCAGTCAGACGGCTGAACGCCAGATGTGAGGGCTAACTGATGTCTGTGTGTCCATCCCTGGCTGAACGCCGGATGTGAGGGCTAACTGATGTCTGTGTGTCCATCCTCGGCTGAACGCCGGATGTGAGGGCTAACTGATGTCTGTGTGTCCATCCTCGGCTGCAGGGCCACACCTGAAGAGACGCCAAATGAGGCACGAGCTTGGTTTCGAACGCAATAAAACTGACCTGTGGGTGCTGCACTCTTCCCGCCCCCTGCTCCTGCCTGAAGTCCCTGATTCAAGATTTCTAGGTCATTCTTTCCATCAGAGAATGGACCCAGTTCCAATTTAAAAACAAAAATAAATAAATAAATTAAGGTGTGTGCTTTAAACAAGGAAGTATCTTCTACAGTCCCCAGAGGAGAAAATAGCCCAGACAAGGCTTTCAACATGCCCTGCTCTGCACATAAGATTATGTAACCTCCTCTAAAGACCGACGAAGAATTCCCATCTTACAGGTTTGCTCCTAGAAACCCCGTGTTTACCAGCAAGTAAAGGAGCACCCAGGTGAAGTCTGAGACGACATCACCTGACCTAGGGGTGCCCGAAAACACACGAAGGAAACCCTCAAGACCCCCTTCGGTCACTGTCTCTCTTACTTGACTCGGCGTCTCAACCTGCACTGTGCTTTGGCCTCACACAAGGGAGAGCTCAGGAAAAGCTACATAAACCCTTTGGACGCCGAGTCATTCATGACACCCAAGGCATGGACTCTTCACCCAAGGAATGAGGCAGCCACAGAGCGCAACCTTGTCCTGAGCATCATGCAGCAGGGTCGGAGGGACACCAGCGGCTCCACTGTCCAGGCCTGGACGTGCCCAGGGCAGGGCCAGGCTGGGCTCAGGACGGCCTGGGTATACTGAGAAGCCTGGCGAGGCGACTCCGGGTGAATCATAAACAACCCTGTTCGTTAAAGACAGTCACTGAGATCTTTCTGACATTTGGCGTTTAGCTGAAAATTGATTACTAGAGACCACTTCCTGCAAGACAGACTGGATCAACAACATCCCCACAAACATCACGCCCAGGTAACGTGGACAGAGCCAAGTCTCGTCACTTCAGCCCACACCTACCTGCAGCAGGTAAACTCGAATCATGTAGACAAAGCTCAGGCCCAGTGTCACGACCCATCGCACAGCCGTGTAGGGTGTGGACTTGTCTAGCCAGGACTGATAAATCTAGAAAGACAAGAGTCCAAAAGCATGAAGCAGGTCCTGTAACTTCTGTACTGACCCTGCCACAAAATGTACCTTCTGCTAGGGTTGGCTTTCAATTTTTAAAACAGCTAAAAGAGTGAGTTAAAATAGCAAGAGATCATCTATGTATCAGCACAAAGAAGTGACTACAATTAATCCAAAGTTTATTTTCAATAATTCCTGAAGCAGGTTCATCTCTTAAGCAAGACTATTACAAAACAATCTCCTAGGAGACTGTGACATTGTGCTGGCCCCAAGGGATCACTATGGGGAAGACCCAGCCTCACCCCAAAGAGAGGACTGTGCATCTCAAAGTCCCCACCCTACAGCACAGCCCTTATCGTCACATCTCAAGTCAGCTCCCCCATCTGCAGCAGCCAGCAGCCAGCCTTGCCCCGCTCCCAGGCCCACTGGCCACAGCCTGAGCCCCAGCAGCCACACCCACATGTGTGTGCGTCCAGGCGGCTGTGGACATGACCGAAGGAGCCCTTAGTTTTATGTATTTATTTTTACAAATATACATATGTATGGTTTTTTATTTTAATTTAGAAATTTAATTTTCAAATTGTGAGAAATTTCCAAATTCACAAAAGTAAAAAGATTATAGAAGCTTACATATGCCTGTCACCCAACTTCATTAATCGCCAATCGCTTTTCATATGTGATTTAATTAAGGTGATGAATTTTTATTTGAGCCGGATCCTCAGCACCTGGAACTGCCGGTGACCCAAGCTTTTCCTGACAGAGGTTCGGACTCCAGCGTTCAAAGGCAGCTCTAGGTCCCTCACTCACCAAGCAATGCACACGCAGCCCACACAAGAGCCTCTCACCCTCAAGGACAGAACCGCCGAGCTGACACGGGGCAGGTGGGGCTACCAGCACCGGGGACGTGGGTGGCTGGGAGAGGGACAGCAAGAGCAGAACGGCAGCCACGGCCGCATCTGTCCTGCCTGGGAGCTGAGACTGGGTTTTATATTTTTAAAGCTTGGTAAAAGGAAAACAGAAACAGAAAACGCATATGTTTGATAGACCACGTGTGGCCCCAGAGCCCGATCTCTCCACAGCTGGCCCTTCACAGTGAAGAGAACGCTGTCTTCAGGAAGTTTGAGCCTGAGGCGAAGTAACTTCTCCATCAGGAACACCAGCAAACAGATCCTTCCCGAAAATGCTGGGAGTCCCGTTTCTTTTTCAAATATTTATACTCATCTACTAAAAAACCCACCAACCTGTCCAAGTCTTGTGAAAAATCTGTACACCACCGAAGGTTTCCCATGGACGGATTCTCCCACACTGTCCCCTTCAGACATTCTGTAACTGGGAGAAAAACACAAAATACTTTTCAGTAAAAAGCATTCACGGGTGTGAAATCCTGGCCCTATTTTCACCAACACTGTCAAGTAGGTTTCTTCCACATTCAGTATTTTGTCCATATACCATTTGTGTTTTTACCATGAATTGTTCGGGAAAAAGTAGCAGGTACACAGGCTTCCCTGGAGAGGAAGGGCAGCGTGAGACGCATGGGCCCAGGAGCACAGGCCGCATTTTCATTCCCACACTGGCACCTCAGTCACCTGCGTGGGCGGGACTGTCCACCCCACTGGCCCCAGGAGCAGCCTTGCTGGCCATGGGGTCCACTGGCTGGTCCATGGCACGTGGCACTGCATGTCCTCCCTCCAAGGACCGCACCCTCTGTGGATCCCTCAGGGTTCCCCCGCCCAGGCACCTTGTCTGCTCCACGCCCTGTCCTGGGTCTCTGGTCTGGCAGGAGCAGGAGGGATCCTGTCCTCTCAGGGCCAGGTCCTCCACCCCATGAACAGGAAAATGTTATCTACAACTCTCAGGTAGTCCATCCATCTGCGTCCCAGTTTCTTATCTGGCAAGCGGAGGTAACGTATCTGCTCCTATTTCAACACTGCTGTGATGCCATGAGGAATTCACCTGAGAACCCAGGTGCCAGAGGTCACATTGTTCACCCACTTAATTCCCAGATGCTCAAGTGAAGGGCATCATGACCCCCATTTCACCAAGTCTCAAACAGTGGAAGCCACGTGTCCAAGGTCCTGCCACAGCCCTGCTTCTGGGCAGGCCAAGCCAAGCCTGACTGCCACCTGGCTCCTCAGCTGAGCACGCCGCCACCCCACTCCTGAGAGGAGACGGCGTCAGGACCTGCCGCTCTTCGGTAAAGCACAGCTCAGTACCCAGGGCCTGCCGGTTGTCATTCCTACTTTAAAGATGAGAGGCCTCCTGGCCCCTGAGCTAGAGAAGACGCCAGGGGTGACGTTCACCTCCCCCACCACCCCCCATCTGCTCCCTCGGCAGGGCAGTGAGGAGAAACAGACTCTGGTCTCAAGTTTGGCTTAAAGTCCCACCTGTGCTAAGCGGCTGTGAGGCCTTCAGCAAACCCTCTGAGCACGCAGCCAGCCTCAGTTTCCTCATCTGTAAAATGAGGCTCTAAGAAATACCAGACATGAAAGCAAAGACATCATTCCTCAGCAACAGTTGGGGTCAGTCTTATTGTTCTCATTTACAGATAAGAAAACTGAAGCTCACAAAGACTAAAGAGTTGCCCTGGCCCATCAGCATGTTCGCAGTGGGCAGGAGCCAGAACCTGCACCTTCCTGAAACCAACGCTTTTCCAGTCCCATCCTCACTGTGAGCACTGGGGAAATCTTCCCTTCAGGTGGAAGGCAACAGGTGGCCAGACGCAATCCCGCCCTCAAGTGCCTTGGCTCTCCCATCACAACTGATGCGCTGAAGTGATCCAGGCAGCTCCCTCCACATCATCAAGTCTGTGCAGAATGTGGCTCCATGACACCGTTCCTGGATCCTCTGTGCAGAGTGCCAGGCTGCTCAAGGAGACCGAGGGGCCCTTTGGTCTCGCGGAGCCGTGTAAACCAGACACAGAGGAGGAGCACCTTTACTCTCCACTGAAAGAACTCCATATTTAAATAGAGGCTACACTAAAATGTGTCACCTGGAATGGCCACCCTATTTAGGCCAAAGCCAGGCCATCTGAAAGCCACCCGTCACATTGTTCGTCCTATAGCTCCTTGTAAGTTTCCCCGTTTTACTCAGACTGTTTCCCATTAAAGCACTTTTACTGGACTGGAGGTGATGAGAGTAATGTCAGGGAGAAAATACCCAGCTCTCCCGCCAAAGGGTGTTCTCTAGGCAAAGCTCAGAACTTCTCACTCTCCAACTGAACATGTAGAAAACCTACTCAAAACGCCATCAGCCAATCCTGCTTGTCTGACACACACAACACGTATACCAAACACACACGTATACCAAACACAGCTTGCACCCTGACTGAACGCATTGCCAGGAATAGCCTGAGGCAGGGCGGCAGGAGCAAGAACGTGAACTTTGGACTCCAACAGCCTGCTTTCAGATCCTGGCTCTACCACTCTCTGCCAGTGTGACTAGGACAGGCTATTCCAGGATGCCTCAGGTTCCAGTCTGTGAAATGGGACAACAGCACCTCTCATGCCTTCTCCACAAGGCTCTCGTGAGGAATCAGTGGGCAGCCCGTGGAGCACCCTTGGAGCCGGGCAAGGCAGTGCCAGCCCTGTTCCTGGATCAGGGCCAGCCCTCACACCAGCTGCCCCCTCTGCAGTCCTCTTCTCTGCTCAGTTTGAAGCCCACCTCCTCTTCACAGGCCTCCGTTACCGCCCACACTGACCCCCAGTCCCTTACATCACATCACCCTATTTTTATTTTGTGTACAACTGTTTCCTGATACCTTTCTGGTTTACTTCTCAATTTTCTCCTGCTAGAATGAAGCTCCTTGAGGGGTCCCTTGTCTGGTTCGGGGCTGGGCCCTGCCACCTGGAAGTCCATTACATAGTAGACAGCCCATCAATTACCTGTTGAAGGTGACTGCTTTATGCCTGGTCACAAACAAAACAGAAAGGGAGATAAAACCAGTCCAAGCAGAGACCATGAGGACGTGCCAGAAAGTGTAAGACTCTCTATGTGCCTTGTTCCAGGCCCGTCACATTCATCCACATCTGTGGTCCATCACTCTGCACGTGGAAAGGATGAAGTCCTCTGCCTGGCGTCCGGGAGCATTGACAGTCTGGCTCCCACCTTTCTCTTCACGTCCCCATCCCCAATTCCTCCGGGACTAAGAAAGCCCCCGGCTGCCGTGCACCAAGCTTCACGCCTCTGGTGTTGTTCAGTCCTCTGAAATGCCCTCCCAGACCCCGTCTCTTCCTCCTTCCCAAGGCCACATTCCAGCCTGGGCTCCCCGCTCCTCTGGGCCTGACCATCTTATATCTCCACCTGGCTCTGACACACTGTTACCGCCGTCGCCGTCACCTCAGGCATACGGCAGAAGCCATGTGAGAGTCTGAATTACTGAGAACCCTTTATCCACTTACGGGGATAACTGCATCTTCCTGGGAAATGTCAACTCAACTAAAAATAAAGTGCTTCCAGGACTAGCGGCCAGTCTCTACTCTTCATAAAGGGAAAAGGGCAAAAGCCCACTGAAGGTACTTAGGCTGAAAGCAGCCCTCTGTGCTGTGAGACACCTGGCAGAGAAACGAACGATACCTTTATCAGTGGGGCCACAGACCAGTACTAAGTCAGCCTGGAGAATTTATGATTTTATTGCCTATTTAGAATACGATCAAAACCGATGTAACTAGTTTCCCTTCAGCCCGTCAGTAACGCCTTCACCCCAGAGCTTAACACTAAATCCTACAGATAAGCGCTGACCTGGACGCAGGATGGGGACAGGGCACATTACTCTGGAATACAGCCCAACTCGCAGCGCTGTGGGGGCCGCGACTGCCCGCTTCCCCCAGATGCCAAGCAGGGGATGCGGACGAGATGCGGCCCGGGTGGCTCGAGGGCTGCAGCCCCCGCCCGGCCCCTCTCCCGCTCCCCCGACCCTCGCAGGCCCCAGGGCTCCGCCGCACCCCCCAGCACCCCGTCCCGGGCCCGACCCCGAGGCGCGACCCGTACCCCTCAGGGCCGCGGGTCGGGAACACGGTCCCCGCGGCCACCCGGGCCCCGACGGCCCTCCCCGCCCGGCCCTCAGCGCGGCCCCGCCCGCCCGCGGCCTTGACAGCCCGGAAGAAGCGGAGGCGGCGCTGCCCGGCCGTTCCCGCGCCACGCAGCCCTTCCTGGCACCTCGCAGCTCCGCTACGGCCGAGCCGCGGTCTCCCTCACGGCCGCGGGAAGGAGGACGGCGGGGCACGGGCGGCCGCAGGCGCTGCGCTCCGGCTCCGGGAAGCTGCAGCGAGCACTTCCGCTCCGTCCTCCGCGGCGCCGCCTCCAGGGCCCCCAAGATGGCGCGAGGGCGGGGCCAAGGGCTCCAACCATTTCCGCTTCCGGCGCAGACGCGCAGGCCGTTGGCGGGCGGGCCTCCCGGCGGAAGAGACGACAGCGGCGGAAACGCGCACAGGCGCAGCTGCGTCCTCTGGCTCCGGGCCCGGCTAGCTTCGCTCCAGAGATTGCGCGGGCTCAGGGACTAGGCCCGTGGCCACACCCCCCCTTGCGACAAAGACCAATGGAAGCGGGCGTTGCTGGTCGCTAAGAGAACCCTCGGCGGCAAGATGGCAGCGGCGGGCGAGGGCACCCCGAGCTCCCGCGGGCCGCGTCGGGACCCGCCTAGGCGGCCGCCCCGGAACGGTAACGACTGCGGGCCACGGGACAGGTCGCTGGCTGCCCTGGGCTCCATTCAGGGTGCGATCGCTCTACGCCCTCGACCCCCAAATGCTCACCTCGGAAAGTAGAGGTCCAGGTGCCGCGGCGGAGCCAGGGCCGCCCCCGCGTCCCCCACTCCCACAGGACTCGCCGTGCGCCTCGGGCTCGGCTCGCACCCTTCCCCGAGCCCTCCTCCCGCAGCAGGCCAAGCCCTGCAGGGGGTCGCCCCCCGCGGGCTCCTAGCCGGGAAGACCGGGTTCCGGCCGCAGCCTCACAGCCAGCGGGACCTGGGGTTGCCATGGGGATCCCGAAGCCCAGGACTTGGGGCGAGGGCAGGCGCAGGAGCAGCACCAAGCCTCCTGACTTCCTGGCCGGTGCTGTCCAGAAACGCTAGGACGCGTTTCAAAAGCAGTTTTTGCCTGTACTTCCAGCACTTTGGGAGGCCGAGGCGGGTGGATCACCTGAGGTCAGGAGTTCGAGACCAGTGTGGCCAACATGGCGAAACCCGGTCTCTACTAAAAAATACAAAAATTGGCCCGGGGTGGTGCCTCCTGTAGTTCCAGCTACTCGGGAGGCTGAGGCAGGAGAATCGCTTGAACCCAGGAAGCGGAGGTTGCAGAGAGCCGAGATCGCGCCGCTGCACCCCAGCCTGGGCGACAGAGCAAGACTCAGTCTCAAAAAAAAAAAAAAGAGCAGGTTTTGATAGGAACTGTTTCTAGAATCAAATAAACGGGTCTGGAATGAACTCAGAGCTAACACTACTATCTTCAGGTAGAACCTGACCCTGATTTGGGACAGATACAGTAGCCTGTAGTAACCCCCTGCCCTCCTCCCCGACATTTTCCCATAAACCCTGCCCACAAAATGTGCCTGAGGAGCTGGTAGGGAGGGAGCCCTGCCCATTCCTGGAACTGCAGGAGTTGGCGGGTGGCACACCCAGCAACTAGGAGGAGATGAAGCCGGCCAGGCCATCCTTGGGTATGAGTGTGGATTTTCTCCCCAGCGATAGGAGGCCACTGAAGGGCCACGGCAGGGGATGGGAGAGTCTGCTCCTCCCCTGTGTGCCTCACTGACACTGCCGCTCTGCCTTCCCCTGGCTCACTCATCTCCTGCAACAAGGCTCCCAACCTGCTCCTCACCACCTCCCGAGCACCTCTGGTCTCTCAAGGACCTGCAGTTGTTTCAAGCCAGCCCTCCTCTTACTGGGCCTGTCTTCTCTGCACCAAGTAGGTCCTCATCCTTGTCACATAAACAAATGAGCAAATGAATGGCCCAACAGTCGACAGGAGAGCTCATGAGCCCCACAGGTCGCCTCTGGTCTGCTGAAGGTGACGTGTACCAACCCCTTGAAGGCCCTCAAGGGAGCTGCACTCCCTCCTTCAGCACTGGAGAGCATCCCTCATCTCTGTGTCTGTGCTTACCTGTGTGTGTCTTCTCAATACTCAGGTTATGGTGTCTACGTATACCCAAATTCCTTCTTTCGATATGAAGGAGAATGGAAAGCAGGGAGGAAGCACGGTGAGAAGCATCTGTGGTCTCTTCTTGCAGCTGCTGCCCCACAGCTGACGAAACCAGTTTCTCCCCGGGAGGTTGGGTGGGCAAGTGGCATTTCCTGTAGCTTTCGAGCCCATTGTACCCTGGTGCTTCCCTGGCTGCTCAGGGTAAGGCTGGATGGGCAGGGGAAACAGAGGCCTGGGAGACCCCCCTGGAGGGCCACCTTTAGCAAAGGAAGCTGCGACTTTGAAATTCTCCCTAGAGGTTGAGTTCATTTGTCTTTTCCAGACTGAAAACTGGCTTTATGGTTTATTTCCTATTATAAAGAGAACCTACTCTTGTAGTAAATCCAAGTAATAGAAGAAAGAAAGTGTAAAGTCAAGCCAAGCGCAGTGGCTCACGCCTGTAATCCCAGTACTTTGGGAGGCCAAGGTGGGCGGATCACTTGAGGTCAGGAGTTCCAGAACAGCCTGACCAGCATGCTGAAACCCTGACCCTACTAAAAAGACAATAATAGCTGGTTGTGGTAAGGCACACCTGTAATCCTAGCTACTTGGCAGGCTGAGCCAGGAGAATCCCTTGAACACAGGAGGCAGAGGTTGCAGTCAGCTGAGATTGTGCCACTGCACTCCAGCCTGGGTGACAGACTGAGACTCCGTCTCAAAACAGAACAAAAAAAGCAAGTATAAAGTCGATAACACCTGTACCCCCACCAACCCCAGGCAAGTGCCGTGAACCTTTGGTGGTGTGGACGTTCCCGCCACTGTACTCCTCTCACGCAGTTTTGTATCTGCTCTCTGCCAGTTTTGTTTCTTTTTTCTTTTTTTTTTTTTTTGGAGACAGAGTTTTGCTCTTGTTGCCCAGGCTGGAGTGCAATGCTGCCATCTCGGCTCACTGCAACCTCCGGCTCCCAGGTTCAAGTGATTCTCCTGCCTCAGCCTCATGAGTAGCTGGGATTACAGGCACCTGCCACCACGCCCAGCTAATTTTTGTATTTTTAGTAGAGATGCAGTTTTGCCATGTTGGCCTGGCTGGTCTCGAACTCCTGACCTCAGGTGATCTGCCCACCTCAACCTCCCAAAGTGCTGAGATTACAGGCATGAGCCACTGCGCCCAGCCACTCTGCCTAGTTTTCTTCTCTCTCTCTCTTTTTTTTTTTTTTTTTTTTTTTTTGAGACAGTCTTGCTCTGTCGCCCAGGCTGGAGTGCAGTGATGCAATCATGGCTCTCTGCAGCCTCAACCTCCTGACTCAAGGGATCCTCCCACCTCAGCCTCCTGAGCAGCTGGACCCACAAACACGTACCACCACACCTGGCTAATTTTTAAAATTTTGTGTAGAGACGGGGTCTCTCCGTGTTGCTCAGGCTGGCTGCCTGCACTTCGATTCCTGTGCTTGTTCTGGCTGAAGGCGCCGGCCGCTCAAGCGTGTTTCGGCAGATATTTTTGAGAACATTTTTTTATTTTTAAATACATGTATAGCATGAGTGATGGAGCCAAACACAAGTTTTGAAGCCAAGCTCTTGGTTCTGAGAAACAGGCCCAACACTGCACAGTGTCATTCGCAGTCAACCCAACCACTGTCTGAGTTCACGTGACGATTTCTCCTGCCAGGTCACGGGAAGTTGTTATTTAAAGATGGCAGTTATTACGAAGGGGCGTTTGTGGACGGAGAGATCACGGGAGAAGGCCGCCGGCACTGGGCCTGGTCAGGTGAGCTCTAGCTGGGATGGCACATTCACTCCTTTCTCATAACCCATCGGGCTCAGTTGGTCCGCCGAGTCTAGATGCAGAAGGCGTGACGTGTAGACGGGAAGCTTTGTGCCGTGAGAGGCCTGGCCTACCGAGAAGCCCTGGGGACCTGACTGAGGCTCTGTGGTCACCGCTGAGAGCAACTCAGGCTTCCGGAGACACTTTTCTAGAATAAAGATTTATCTGTCCCAAGTTACACTATTTCTTTTTTATTTAAAGCTATTTCAGCCACATTGTATCCCTAGATGGGAAACCAGCTCTGGGGATTCGTTGCCGGGAGCTGTGTGTCCAGGAACCTCAGACCCTCACGCCAGAGGGGTCGGTGGGTTCTCAGTGGAGGTGTTTTCTCTCAGGCTTGGCTTTCAGTTTTTAAAGAGCCAGGGAAAAACCTCACCCTTCACCCTGCAAACCGACCAGAGGGTCCTTTGCCCTCGGGATAGATGCCCAAAGAGAGTGTCTGCCTGGGGCTGTCTGCATGCCCAGCTGTTGGGGAGACCAGACCTGCTTACCATGTTTTCCCTCATGAAGCAGACTGAGTAGTATGATGGAGGCAGGGACGTCCATTCTGGAATGGTTCCTGCGTGTCATGGGCCAGGGACAGAGGAGAGCCGACTGGGGCCGCAGCCCTGAACTGAACCTCCTGTCTCCCCTCCTCCTTGTCCACATGCAGGAGACACCTTCTCTGGACAGTTTGTTCTGGGAGAGCCTCAAGGCTACGGCGTCATGGAGTACAAAGCCGGCGGATGTTATGAAGGGGAGGTCTCCCACGGCATGCGGGAAGGTCTGGCGCCCACAGGAGCCGGGTGCTGTGAGGGTGGGCGCTTTCAGGACATGGAATCCTACGTCCACTTGGGTTCAGGAACCTCTGAGAGGGCCTGCCTGACTTCAGAGGGTTGGAAAGGAGGTAGGGGGCCCATGCCCTCTTCTCCGCACCACCAGGCCATGTCCTATGCCCGGCATACACCAGTATGCCCAGCGGGTCCTGCGGCGCTTGATGCAGCTCTGTCATCCGCTACCGCGGAACAGACGCCCGTGGCTTAGGGGTTAAAATGGCCACTGCTTTATTAACTGCTCCTGATCCTGGGGTCAGTAGGTTGGCCTGGGCCCTGCAGGGAGGGGCTTCTGGTCTGGTCTATGTGGGGTCACTAAATGGCTATAGTCACAGCAACTCTGCCAGGCCTGAGGGTCCCTGAGGTCCTCATAGGCCTGGGAAGCCCAGCTCCTTGCCCAGTAGTCTTGGACAGCTTAGCCACTTCCTCCACATTCTGTTGGCCCAAGCAAGTCAGGAGGCCAGACTCAAGCCAGGAGGGGGCTGTGCCCTGTCCCTCTACCCAGCCAAGCCAGGCCCAGCACGGGCCGTAGTCCCACAGCCAAAAGGCCACCCGCACCCGAGACAGGAGTCAAGCACATAATACCCTCCACCACAGACGGAGCTTCTTTTTCCAGTGTTTTCCTTATGTTAAGAAGCAGAGGCCAGGCGTGGTAGCTCACGCTTGTAATCCCAGCACTTTGGGAGGCCAAGGCAGGCGGATCACCTGAGATGAGGAGTTTGAGACCAGCCTTGGCAAAATGGTGAAACTCCGACTCTACTAAAAATACAAAAATGGCTGGGCATGGTGGCACACACCTGTAATCCCAGCTACTCAGGAGGCTGAGGCAAGAGAATCACTTGAACCCAGGAGGCAGAGGTTGTAGTGAGCCGAGATCGTGCCACTGCACTCCAGCCTGGTGACAGAGCGGGACTCCGTCTCAAAAGCAAAGCAACGACAACAAAAAAAACAAAAGAAGCAGAAATACTCTCAAATTTCTGAGTTGTCCAAAATCTGAAAATGCCGCAGTTTACGAACCCCCATCCTCTTTTGAGTTTCTCCTCGTTCAGGTCAAGCCCTGCCCTCCTCACTGTGAACTTGAAGTTTCTTGTGAAAACAAACGACAGGCCCAAACTGCACCCATCCTCACCCCAGCAGCACGCAGAGCCTGTGCAGCCTCAGATGGCAGTCCGCAGGGCCCCTCAACCGCACCTTTCAGAACTGGACCCCAGGGCCATTTTTGCTGCCCTGTCAGCTCACCGACCTGTCCCAAAGCACATCTGCCCTTCCCGTTCAGAGCCTCACCGAGCCGTGCTGAGGCCTCTGTGTAGCCAGGTCTGGAGGGTCTGTCATGTTCCTGGGGGGCCCTGAGCCCCATGCCTCCTAGACTTGCTACTTTGCTCCTGCCCGCCCTCCAAGGAGCGGAGGGCAGATCCCTTCTCAGATGCAGGAGGAGGCACAAAGCCAAGTCTGTCTCTCGGTCCCTTCTCCAGGACACGGGTTTCTGGTGGACCGGGATGGACAAGTGTACCAGGGCTCCTTCCATGACAACAAGAGGCACGGCCCTGGGCAGATGCTCTTTCAGTGAGTATGAGTCTTGTGGGTACTGCCTGGCGCATGACAGATACACAGGGCAGGTGTGAGGCCATGTGGCCTGGGGGTGTAGACAGGACTGCCATGGGACACCCCGGGCCTGTTCCGGCCCCTGCTGTCTACCCGCCACCCCCCCAGTGCCAAGTTGTTGAACCACATTCTGTGGTTTCGGTGTTATTCTGTAATTTTCCCCTTGTTTATTGAAATTGACCAATTGTGTGTTTAGATAAAACATCCCCCCCCCCCCCGATTAAAATACCTCCTGAGAACGTCAGGCTGGCGGCAAAGTGGCACCACAGGAGCGTCTCCAGGTCTAAATGAGGATGGGGGTGCTCTCCGGCCAGCAGAGCCTCCCGCCTCCGCCTCCCAAGTGCTAGGCATCTTCAGCCCGTGTGGAAATTCCCACGGCGGAGTCTCAGCCTCACTGGCTGTGGAGACTGCAGCCCCCTCCCGTTGCCTCTCCTGGGTCATTTCCCATTTTGAGTAGCGGAAGCTGAGTGCGTCCCGAGCAGGCCTACCATCTAGGGTGGGGGTGGGCGGACGTGTCCCCACCGCCTGTCGTCGGCCCCCAGCTGGCCCTGGCGAGGCAGGAGCTCTTGGGGCCATCTGCTCGGGCCTATTTTTGCCTCGGTCCCGCAGTGCCTGCGGAGCCCGGTGGGAGGAGCCGGTCTGAGTCACTGCCACCACCCGGCTCCCCCTGTTGAGAGTGGACTCCGTGCGTGTGTCCCCCAGGAACGGTGACAAGTACGACGGCGACTGGGTCCGGGACCGGCGTCAGGGACACGGGGTGCTGCGCTGCGCCGACGGCTCCACCTACAAGGTACCCGGGGGCGCGCGGCACCTGCTGCCCAGAGGGTACAGGCCTCGTGGTGGGCAGGGCGCGTGGGGTGTATGGGGAGCCTCACCCTGGCAGCTTCTCCATGTGCCAGGCCCTGCGATTCCCTGATCCCGTGTGGGAAGATAAGTTTCTCTCTCCCCTCACAGTTCCCTGTTGGGAAAAGAGAAAAACAGGAGTGTATTCATATGTGTGCCTTGTGTATACTCAGGAGGTACGCGGAGAGGCAGGGAAGCTCACAGGCGGCTCTCACTTTTGACTTAAATCCCATCTTCAGCCAAACCAAAGGAAGAAGGGTGCTGGGGGCCAGTCACGGGGATAAGACTGGTGGCGCAGCTGAGGCGGGGCCTTCTCCACCGATGGGAGCCTCTGCGCCTCGGCGATCTGGGGCCTTTCTCTTCCTGGTACGGAGAGGAGATGCCCTTACCGTGGAACTTCCTTTACGGATGCAAATTTTTTCTTACAAAAGGGAGCTTCTCCTGTGTCTGCAGTTTCTCAAAATAATCTGCTCAAAATAGTGCTGATGCCAAAGAGGCAGATTTGGGGGTGGTACATTCTGGTCTGTGACAGGCCCTACAAGGCAGGGACTAGGATTGTTCTCGGGCGAATGGGGCAGCGGCCCCGTGAGTGCAGAGAGCAAATTTCAGGATGTTTGGAGGAGAGGACACCAGACTTGTTGACAGGTTGGATGTGCGGGCAAAGGCAAGAGAAGAGTCAAGGTTGGTGCCTGAGCTTTCGGTCTGAGCATTGGATGGACAGTGGGGCCTGGTTCAGGACACAGTCAGGAGGCAGAAGCAACACCGATCACTCCAATGGGGAAAAATGTAATGAAAAAATCACTAACAAGGACGACTCAGGAGACAGAAACCACACCCATCACTCCAATGGGAAAAACGTAATGAAAGAGTCACCAACAAGGACGAGGCAGCTAGCTACCAAAAAGGGCAGGAGAAGGAAGAGCAACGTCTCAGTGTCAGGAGGGGGCCCGGAGACAGACCCTCTGCGGTGGAGTCTGGGAGTGGTGTGGTTGCTGCTTGGGCTGGGCTGCAGGCCTGAGCTCCTGGCTGGTGGGAAGGGGAGGCTGCTGGTCCACAGTGTGGGGGTGCTTCACGGTTAACCAAGCCATCCCCCATGCTGGGCGTGAGGCACTAGCGGAATTGAGAGCCTCAGAAACCCAGGTGCTGCTGTGTGAGGCTGTCGCAGCCACGAAGATGACCATGACTGCAAGGGCTGTGAGGGGCCCCCTGAGCGTCCAGCAGCACTAACAGATAGGAACCACGCGTGCAGGTCTCTAAACGCAGCGCAGGTCACAGCCTGAGAATCAGGACTGCTGTGGCCGTGGAGAGGAGTCCCTCGTTCCTTAGAGCCTCGGGGCTGCTTTGATGAGAAACGCAACATTTAATTGTGTGGGTCGCAGAATTACAATGTCAGTTGAATTCCCTTCCTTGCCAAGATTCTCCTATGAAAGTTGGAGCAGTGGTTGGAGAGAATGGTCCCTGGAACTAGGAGGAACCCAGCACCCTCCTGAGACTCAGACCTCCACAGAGAGGGTGTGGCTGCCAGCCCAGGTGGTAGAGAGGTTTTCTAGGGTGCCAGGGGCCAAAGCTACTTCTCAGGAAACTCCCCCTGAGGTGCAGGAGACGCTTGCCAGAGACCAGACTCTGGGGTGTTCCACAGGCCACTGGCCCTGGCCATAGGAGTTAAAGTAGAAACACTACCTCCCACAGTCCCGCCTTGTTCTCTGTTGACAAAGCCTGGCATTGCACTTGTTGGCAAAGGAGAAACGTTGACAGGGTCCAGTTCCCGTCAGGCAAAAGTGGGCAAGGAAGGGGGGTGCTGGGAACTGAGAGGTGATGGGTTGGCAGTTGGCATGGGGCCACATGGGGATGGAGGAGTTGGGGGTGGGGATGGGAGACTCATCCTGGCTGGCACAGCTGCCCGCAGCAGGGCCTCAGAGGTGGTCAGATGTGGGGCCCCTGGAGGGGTGGTCAGGCGGGAGGTGCAGTGTGGCTCCCCTCCGCATGCATGTCCACCCTCCCTGCTCTTGAAACAGCATCCTGCTTGGGTAAAAGTGCCACCCATACCCACTCCGGGGTCTGCCAGCCCTGCTCAGGGCAGTTGACCATTGGCAGTGTCCTTGCTGGACCACGGGAGCCCATGTCAGCGTCGTTGCTGCCCCTGCTGGCCTGGGCTGGTGCTGCGGGTTCTCACCTGAGCCATATGCAGGAGATGCTGTAGCCTCTTCTCCCCTGGGGACTTGTGTCCATCCTACAGGACCAGACTTCACCACGTGCTGGGGCAGCCACTGCTCCCTTGTCTTCACTGTCCAGAGTGGCAGTGGGAGAGTGCGCCTAAGGGAGTCCCTGGGCAGAATTCTCTTCTGCCCGCCCCTTCCCACCCGAGCACACCCGGGCCCCCACCCCACTGCCACCATGACGATTCCCTCGCCTTGCAGGGCTAGGGCAAAGCTGGGGCCGGCGCTGGTGCACAGCTCTGGAGCTTGGGCTCGGGTGTGTGGTTTCACTTCCTGGGTGCCAGGCGCTGCTGTCAGCCTTTCGGTGCATTGGCTCATGATCCCCACCAGTCCGAGCAGGGCATAGGTGAGGAAGCTGAGGTGCTAGGATGGCAGGCTCCCTCACCAGGGCAACACAGCCCTGGGGGCCCCCAGCCACTCACCCAATCCTCATGTTCCCTGAGATTCAGGAGGACCTGGTCAGGGCCTGTCTCATGGCCCAGGGACACAGAGGTGCCGCCTGCTGCCAGACAGGGCCATCCCCTCCGGCCTGGGCCGGGCGAGAAGCAGCTCCTGTTCTTCCAGAGGACCATGGACAGCTTTGTCCTCCCCACCCCCACTCCCAGCCTAGCCCTGTCCCCAGAGGCTGTTCTGTCCCACAGGTCCCCTGGCTACTACCCAGGCGCCAACTCGGGTCCACACTGCTTGCTGGTCACCAGCGCCCTGGGCCAAGAGAGAGGACCAGGCAAGGGACGGCGCCCTCCCTCCTGGGCTGACAGCACCAGGGTGCTCAGCGCATCCACCAGGGGGCAGCCCAGCCCTGTCCCGGCACCACACTGGCCCGGGCCTTGCTGGAGGGAGGCAGCTCCTCCCCGGGAGCCCAGAGCTTATTCCCAAGCCATGAGTTTGGACGGGGGAGGATGGCCTGGGATGGCCACTGGGCCCAAGGGCTGGCTGGGTACTCCTGAGAGCCGGGCCCCCAAGCGGCCCCCCAGGCCTTTCTGCTTGGGATGGTTTCTCCCCTTGGTGGTAAAACCTTGAATTCTGCAGAGGGTTTTGCAGAGGATTTCTGCGAGAGTCTTGGTGCCAAACCCTTCGCGTGACCTACATTCCCTGGGGTTATAACATGACCTCCCCACTCCTCTGCCGTCCAGGCCCAGAGGACTGGGAGACCTGGGCAGGCCCTGGGACCGCCTGCCAACCGAGGCCCGCACACCCTCCCCAGGCAGGCCCGTGGCTTGAGCTCCCTGGGGACACTGCTGTGTGCTGGTGCTTGCTGCCCCACGGGGTGCTCTGGGCAGTGTCACTGGTGGCAGCAGTCCCCTGGCCTCGTCCACGCTGCTGACACCTGCAGGCACGGGCAGACCATGGCCAGTGAGCTGCCTGCTCCTCCAGCGCCTTCTCCAGGCATTCCTCCTGCCCAGACCGATGTAGACGCTGAGAAGGGCGCCCGAGGCCAAAAGGACAGGCTGGGCTCCCATCCCCTCAGGTCAGGACTGGGCCGGGGCCGCCTCCCACGCAGCACAGCCGTGGCTGCCAGACCACGCTTCAGAGGCAGGAGGTTTTCACATGGCTGTTTGTGCAAGAAGACATTACCAGGTCTGTCCCTTGGACTCTGGATAATGAGGAGAAGCGAGGCTCTCTTGGCTCAGCTGCTCAGTTCTCTGCTCTGCATCTTAGCGCTGGGCCCTCCGGTCACAGTGCCTCTCCTCCACCTTCAACCTGGAGAGAAAACGGCATCGACCCGGAGAGGCAGCAGCCGCCAGAGACGGGGGTCAGGCCGCACATCCCGAGAGCTGTCCAGAGTGAGGGGACAGCCGTTGCTTGTGGTGTCATTAGTCAAATATTTAGCCCGCTTTAAAAAACATTTTGTCGACCAGGCACAGTGGCTCACACCTGTACTCTCAGCACTTTGGGAGGCCGAGGTGGGAGGACTGCTTGAGCCCAGGAGTTCAAGACCAGCCTGGGCAACACAGGGAGACCCTGTCTCTACAAAAGAAGTTTTAAACAATACAAAATTAGCTAAGCATGGTGGTACACACCTGTGGCCCCAGCTCCTCAGGAGGCTGAGGAGGGAGGATCGCTTGAACCTGGGAGGCAGAGGTTGTAGTGAGCTGAGATCACGCCCACTGCACTCCAGCCTGGGTGACAGAGCAAGACCCTGTCTCAAAAAAATAAAAAACCAAAACACTAACCATTTTGTCATGGTAAAATCCATGTAACGTAAAACTTAGCATCTTAACTACTTTTTGTTTTGAAGAGGCGAGGTCTCACTGTGTTGCCCAGGCTAATCTCCAATTCCTGGGCCCCAAGTGCTTCTGCCTTGGCCCCCAAAGGGCTGGGATTTCAGGCGTGAGCCGCTGCGCTGGGCCGTGACCACTTTTAAGCGTGCAGTGGCGTGGCAGGAGGCACGGGCACATTTCGTGTAGCCACAACCACATCCACCTCCAGAACTTTGTCAGCTTCCCACCCGAACCTCTGTCCCCATCCAGCACGAACTCCCCACGCTCCAACCCCTGGCAGCCACTGTTCCACTGTGTGTTTGTAGACTCTGCTGATCTCAGGGCCTCCTGTGAGTGGTGTCCTTTCGTGCCAGGCTTGTTTCACCCGGCGCGGTGTCCCCAGAAGCCTCCATGCTGGAGCCTGTGCCAGCTCCTCCTTCCTTGCTAAGGCTGAGCCGGGCCCGCACCCCCCACCACCACCACCCCGTGTGGACAGACACGCTTCTCTGCCCATCTGTGGGTGGACTCTGGGGAGGCTTCCCCTCCTGGGTCCTGTGGGTGATGCTGCTGTGAATACGGCTGCACAGAGAACTCTTCAAGGCCCTGTGGGCCACAGCCCCAGAGGTGAGACTGCTGCATCGGATGGTGATTCTGTTTTTAATTTTTGAGGAACCGCCATGCTGTTCTCCACAGCGGCCTCACCCTTTTACCTTCCTGCCCACAGTGCACACAGTTCCAGTTCCTCCCCAGCCTCACCAACACTGGTTATTTTCTGTTATTTTTGTAAAAGGTTACCCTAATGAGTTTAGCCCTCTTAACAATAACCACAATTGAGATGCAAGCCCACCCACTGTCAGCCGTGGCCACCACTGCGCACCCGGTCTCCCCCTCTTTGACGCTTCTTGGCAGCTGTAGTCTCCCCCAGTCCTGGCCACCAGCTGCCCCCACCCGTGAGCACCTGCCCCTCACCATGTTTGGTGCTGCCAGGCTTTGTGGAGTGCCTTTGTGCACAGGAGTTTGGCCTTTTGACTTCTTCCCTGGGAGCTTAAACCATCGATCAGGGCCACGAGGTAGGCGCTGGGACCTTCTTGGACACTGAGTTGCCTCTTAGAACTGCCCTGCCCCTCCAGCCACACCCCAACCAGCGCCGGCTGTTCGTTTATTTTTAGAGATCATTTTATGTTCTGAAAAGACTAGAAAGTGGTAAGTCCTTTCTTCTCTCTCTCCTGGCCTTCACCTCTGCCCACCTCGGATCATGCCCTTGGCACCTCCTACATCAGCTCTGATCCACCCATCTATAGTAGGAGAAACTCAAGGAGACATCGGCTGCTACCCAGGCACCATGAGCTCAGGGTTGGTGAGGCCCCTCCGGGAGACCTGTTCTCCCTCTCGACAGCAGGTGTGTTTTCTGCAAACCGTGTCTCCTGCCTTGCAGCCAGTATTCCTTAATGCAAAGCTCTATGAAGAACCTTTTTTTAAAAATGCATTCTAGAAAAAAATGCATTCCTGAAAATAAACGTGTTACAGCTTCTTCTGACGGAAAATAAGAACAGCGGATCCCAAAGCAGAGAAGGCTCCTCTTCCACAGGGACAGGAGCCACGCGGCTCAGGCCGGTCCCGGAAGCCACAGAGGTCCTGGGCCACGAGCACCCCCACCAGCCTGTGACGCCTCAGCCATCTCCGTCCCCCACACTCCTAGTTTACAGCTTACTGCTCGACCTCCCAGGACCCGAGGGCTTGGGCAGGCCCCACACGTCCTCCAGAACATCCTCGGTGGGAGACGGAGCAGACAGAGTAGAGGCCACACGTGTGTGTGCACATCAGAGTGTCTCCTACCCATGTTGGCAGCAGCGCGGCCCTCCGGGCATCCCTGGCTGTATCAGCTGCGCCGTGAGTGTTGGCTGTCTCACACGCCAGCTTTCCCGGAGTTGCCGCTGGGTGCCGAGCACCTGCTCACTGCACGGAGCAGGTGGCTCCTTCTGGGCGGCTTTGCCTGCCGCAGTCCCCGAGCCTCCTCTCCTCAGCTGGGCGTGTGTGGGAATGCCCAACCGGGGGCCTCCACGGGGCCTATAGCCTCCACGTTTGGGCCTACTGCCCTTGGACCCAGGGGTCACAGTCCAGGAAGCCTGGGCCAGTGGGGGACTCCTGGGGTGCATGTAACACTGAGAATCATGTAGATAATTTGGGGTGTTTGAGCACGCATGGCCTGTGGGGAGTCTGGCCGGCTTGCCTCATGTGGACCCCCCACCACCCTGGGGCAGAGGAGGGGGCCGGCTGTTGGGGCCGTCATGGAAGCACTAGGGTTACACTAGGGCAGGCCCCATGTCCCCTCTGGAACTCCTCACAGTTCACACCTTGAAGCCCAGGCACTTGCGATGGGACCAGCGAGGTCAAATGCAGGACCCCTGGTCCTCACTGTTACCATGAAGTGATGCAAATGGCCGGTCTTCAGAAACCAGAGCTAGCCCCACCCGTGCCACCAAGGCACACCAGCCCCTGAGCAGTCGCAGGGCCCAGGCAGAAGGGTCCGGCAGGCTCCTCACTCATGACGTGGCCTGAGGGGGCTGGGCAGCTGGTCCTCGGAGCCCCCACCTGGTGCACCAGGCCGTGAACCTCAGCAAAGGCCCCGTCTCTTGATGCCCAAGGTTTGGCAATGGTTGGGGGTTACTTTCTCCAGACCACAGCACCCTCGAGGCCAACACTGGGGAAAGCTGGAGCCCCTGCTCTTCACCCCCACCTCCCAGGGCTGTTGAACCCCAAGGAGCACCAGACCCAGGACCCCCCCAGGAGGGCCAGAGGCAGGAAGTGCCTGATGGTGCCAGGGGAGGGTGGATGCCTGACTAGGGCCTGAAAACAGAGGGCATAGCTTCCAATAAAGCATGGAAAGAAAACAGCATGAATGGACCAGAAGTGCTTCCCATTGGGAGAAAGAAGAGCACTCACAACCTCTTCTGCCCCAGGCTGCTTGGAGTGGGCCAGCGCCAGAGCAGTCCCTGCACCAGCCGAGCCGTCCGAGCTTGTCGACTATCAGGGAAGGTGTGAGCCTTCGGCTGAGTGGTGCTGGGAGCTGGGGAGAGCCGAGCACTGCCCGGGGCCTCCTGAGTGCTCTGCCACCCGGCTGGGCAGGGAAGGGAGGGCCCCTCACAGAGGACACCCTTGTGGTCCTGGGGTCGCCTTTGTGACCGAGGGGGACGTATGTGTGTCACCATCATCCTGCACGACTGCTTCCTGACTTTGGAACCGCTGTTTGCCTCTGTGTTTTGGGTGTGGACCTGGACCCCAGTGGCCCTTCCCCAAAGGTCGTGTGACCACCACCACCTTCCCGTGTCCCGTACCGCACACCTGTGCTCACCTGGGTGCCAGGCAGTGGCCCAGCAGGGAGGAGGAGGGTGAGCAGGTGGCAAAATGCCCATTCCTCGGTCCCAGCCTGTGTGTGGCTGAGGCCCCGCACGTAACTCTCCACGCTGGGCATCGGCCTGGACTGTGCCTGGGTGCTCCCTGAGGCCCGGGTGGGAGGCAGCTGCTCCAGGACTCTCAGTGTCCCAGTCTGTGCCGTCAGCAGGAGGATCAGGAGCCTCCCCTGCACCCTATTTAATAAGCTCTTGCTCGTTCCTGCTTGGGGTACATGAAACAGAAACAGCCGAATTGTCAAAGGTGTGATTGATAACGTGAATTAGACAAGACCGGGCTATTGGATCAGTTGAATTGATCACTCAAATGTGCTTGGACTGACCAAGTGCTGCATGAAAGCTTGCCTGGCTCAGCCCTCCCACCCGGACACCAGCGGTGGGTACCGAGGATGCCAAGCCCTGACCTGATTGCTGCGCACCCAGGGAGGGGGATGCCAGGCAGGCTCGTGCCACATACGTGAGCCGCAGCCCCAGACCAACCATGGGAGGAGCCACTCACCCCAAAGGCGGGCTCTGCACCTCTGCATTTCTCATGACTCGAGTGTGTCTGGCTTCCCCTGCCCAGCCACAGCCTCACTGGGTACTCACCCTGGACGCCATATTGCAGCTGGTGTCAGCCCTGCCCCGCAGCTCCACCTCCCTCCTCCTGAAAGCCCGGGGCACCTTCCAGAGGCCGAGCAGGTGGAAGGGGGCAGAGACCAGACATCGCCATTCTCATCACTGACGGTGACGGGGGCCCCGGACGCCCTGAAGAGCCCTCAGCTGTGCGCTGACTCGCGCCTCTCCCCGTCCAGCGTGAATGAGATGAGAGACAGTGAGGACAATGGTCCCAGGAAGGGACCCTCAAGAGATGCCAATCAAATGCGTTGGACTCTCACCCAGTTTGGTGGGAACGTCTGGAGTCATAGGACAGAGAGCTGAGGGGGCAAGGCTGAGGGGAGGTGCTCTGTGGATGCAAGGGTGCCCACGGCCTCCAACAGGGCATGGCATGGCCTCCAGGCATGCCGTGCAGCAGCAGTCAGGGCAGCCCATGGACTCTGCGCCAGTCCTTGGTAGCTGAAGCCCAGAACCACTCTCACCTGACCCCACATGTGGTCAGCTCTGGGGCCCCCATCCACTGTAGTTGCCAGTGTGGATGGTGCTTGCCCAGAGCCCAGGGTGGCACGGTGAACCGGACTCTGATCTTCAGGGCAACTGTCTAGGCCGATGGGGTGACGTCAGTGGTGCGCTCAGCTTGGAACACTGCAGGAATGCAGCCGGGTGGGTGCTGGCTGGGATCTTGGGGTCTGGGAGCTGGAGGAACAAGAGCCTCAGGAGCAAGGGCCCTGTCCAGACAGCAGCCGGGCCTCTGCCCACCTGGCACCCCGAGCTGGCTGCCCAGCCTCTCCTGAAGCTGAGAGCTGCCTTTTTGCTGCCTCCGGGCACCCACGCGGGCTGCCAGTTGTCTCGGATCGGAGCCCCCTGCCTGGAGGCGTGAGCCGTGCTCCCAGCCAGCAGCTGTGAGTTGCCCCCACCCTGCCCCAGCCCTTCATGTACTGTGGCTCTCCCTGGCCTTTGGGGCAATCCAGTCGCCTTCAGGACTGTCTGCAGAGGCCCTGTCTCCCTGCAGCCAGAGAGAGCTCCAGCGCCATCCACTTGTCCCTGATCTGCCACACTCCTCAGCCCTGGCCCTCGGCCCTCGCTGTCTCTTCCCACACATCCCAGGGCCCAGGATCCGTGGAGAAGCCCCAGAAGGCACACGCTGCGCCCTGCAGACCTGCCACCGCTGCCTCGGGGTTCCCCTGGGAAAGGCACCCAGGGAGGGCCGGGCAGGGAAGCAGGAGCCCACTTGGCTCCTGCCAGAGAGTGAACAGAAGCAAAACGTGCCTTTGGTTAATTTTTCTTCTAATAGAAGTAATTCAGAGTCAAATGAAATACCATTTAAATTTTCCATGAAAATAATCACCCTGCTATTTCACATGATTTTCCCAGGCTTTGTTGTATGACTTGGAAACCAGGCTTGTTATGAAGGAGGCAGAGTTGGGGTGTACAGCGAACAGGCATTTCTCCCAAGCTCACGGGCACATTTTTTCAAACTGTGTTTTTTAATTGGCCTCTTCATGTATAAATGAACAGTGTAACGGACAAGCAGGGCACCTTAATCCCAACGCCACAGTCGGCCAGTTTGCGGGTTCAGGCCTCCTTTATGATACATGCCACAAACACAATATCTTTGTATTAAAAGGATTTTTTTTTTTTGCTGAAATGTGCCCCTTCGAGGTTTTGTTTGCATTTTATATACTGTGCCGTTGTTCCCATACCTCCTGGCATCGTTAAAATTCCAAAGGGAGTATATTTTGCAAAGCAAATTGGATTGCATTCTAATGAAACAGTTTCTCACCACCGAGGGACAGGCTGCAAGGACCCTCGAGACGATGTGGTTTTCTAGCAGCCTTTGGTCCTGGGGCCCTGCTGTAGCACCAGGAAGCTGCAGTGCCATGCGGGGACCCACAAAAGCCCCTTGGGAGCCACCAGCCTGAGCCTCACCCTTCTCTCTGCAGGGACAGTGGCACAGCGACGTCTTCAGTGGACTGGGCAGCATGGCCCACTGCTCAGGGGTCACCTATTATGGGTTGTGGATCAATGGCCACCCAGCAGGTAGGTGTCCCTGCCTTCCTGTGGGCACTGTGAGGTCCACTGTGGGGTGTGTCCCTGGCCCCCGGGCAGCCATATGGGAAACACTGACCAAGAGCACACTGGGGAGGGGTGGGGCAAAGTGGAATATAAAACCCCACCCCTTTTAAGGAAAAACATGTTCTAATCTGATGTCAAAAGTGGTCCTGCTGCAAGTGGGGCTTCCCGGACTTGGGGCCTGAGTGTCTGGGGGTGGCCTCGTCATGGCTGCGCTGTCCCCCAAGTGGCCTCTGTCCAATTTCCCTGAGCCCTCTGCACTGTGATGTGGCCACAGGGTGGCCTCGGCTCACAGAAGGACCAGCCAGTTGGGCCTCCTCTGGGGGCTGCCTCCCGAGCCACCCTCCCTCTCCCCATGGTGTTCCTGGTGGCCTCTGGGTGGCCTCTCAATAGATTCCAGGATGAGGGTGCCACCCCAGGGGTCAGTCTAGCCAGGGACACAACACTCATCCAAACCTCGGGGCCAAGTTCACGACACAGGTGCAGGTGCCGCCAGCACCGACTCTGGCCCTGCGCCGGGGCACCTGCAAGGTCTCAGCCCAGGCAGCCCCACACATACCTCCTGGGTTGGAGGACCTTGGGGGACCAAGACCTGTTAGCTGGGAGAGGTCACAGGGGTGACGGGTGACAGTAACTGCTGCCCTCAGCACAGACCCGCTGGCCCCGGGCTCCTCGTGGAGGCTGAGATCTTCGGGAAGGCAGGAGTGGCCAGGTGCCTGGGGAGCACTGAGAGGTGGGTCCCAGCACCCGCACGCACACAGTGCACCCTGCAGGGGATCCTGGGATGGAGGCCGAGCCTGGGTCCCGGCCCAGGTGCTTCTCCCTCAGGTGGAGTCTCCGTGAGGGGCCCCTGGATCCTCAGCAGAGCCCTCCAGGAGTGTCTTGGTGACCTCACCTCAAGGGAAAGAATCCAGATCCCAGCCCCTCCTCCCAAAAAAGTCTCTTGGCCCTTGTTGAAATTTCTAGGTGGGAAAAACGGGGCAAGAGGTGCAGGACGCAGTCTGGCTTCACCCCGAGGAGGGTCTCCCTCCGAGCCAAGGTGGGCTCTGGCTTTGCCCCCAGAACACAGCAGGAGCTCCCACAGGGGCCAGAGCTTCAGGCCCTTCCCCAGCCCCACCATTACCATGAAGTCCGGGGCACCCGCCACCCTGTGCACCCGGCATCGCCTGTGCTGCCTTTTGAGGCAGCCTCAGATCCCAGGTGTTCTCTCAGCATCTGCTTTTAAAGCCCCTCCATTGTGCTTTGCTGGAGGCCAATCCATAGGGGAGAGTCAGGGATGGCAGGTGGGGGCAGGGGCGGTGGGCAGCAGGATGCGGTGTGACGACACCACCCACAGCGATGCCCTGCAGGCCCCGGTGGAGCAGGGGCGGCCCTGGCTGCCAGGAGGCACTGGCCAGCCGGTGGACCCACCCTTGCCAGGCCTTGCCCTAGTCCCAGGTCCAGCACCTCAGGGTGCTGACTCAGATGCAGGGAATGCAGGGCCTAAATCCCGACCAGCGGGAAGACGTGCGGGAACATTCCACGGGCAGGAAAACCCAACAGCCCCACACCGCCCACTTGTGTCTCTTGCATGCTCCGTGGCCCCGGTGGTCCACTTGGTTCGATTCCACAGTGCTCCAGGCCAGCAGAGCCGAGCCTCACGGTCTGAGTGTGGACGACTGCCCAGGTCGCTGCTCTGCAAGGTGGTTTGCGGAGGGTCGGCCCCCGCATGTGCTTGTGTTCCAGCTGCCACACTGGGCTCTGGTCGGTTCCTGGGGTGCCCACTGCTGACTCAGCCATGGGGTGGGTGGGGGACCATGCCAGTCACCGCTAAAGCCACACTCTGTCCTCTCCCAGAACAAGCTACGAGGATCGTGATCTTGGGTCCGGAGGTGATGGAAGTGGCCCAAGGGTCTCCCTTCTCGGTGAACGTTCAGCTGCTGCAGGACCACGGGGAAATTGCCAAGAGTAAGCATCTCCAGGGGGAGATGACCTAACGTTTCCAAAAGAGAAACAGGCAGCAGGTTCTTAAGCAGTGAAGATGCGGACGAGATGTTGCATGTGGCTCCTGAGGCACAGCAGTGACTTCGTGCCCAGAGCCTGGCAGAGAGGTCGCAGGTGTGCCAGCTTCCCTGCCAGTCAGGGCAGCCTTGGGTGTGTGTGCAAGCATGTGTGCACATATTGTGTGATGTGCGTGCTCCTGTATGTGTGTGCATATGTGTGTATGCCTTGCACAGGTGTGCACAGGTCTGAATGTGTATACGTGTGGGGGGGCACGCGTGCACGTGTGTCAGAGTGTCCTTCCTTTTTAGGAGGAACAGTCTTCCATTCTAGTGAGGGGCTACTTTCTGCTTCCCCACTCATCCGCTGCTGGCCATCGCAGTTGTTTGTACCTTGGGCTGTTATGAATAGTGCTGCTGTGGACATGTGTATACAAGTTTTTGTGTGAATGTGTTTTCATTTCTCATGGGTATGCACCTATGAATGGAATTGCTGGATCACATGGTAGATTTATGTTTGAACTTTTTTTTTTTTTTTTTGAGATGGAGTTTCACTCTTGCTGTCCAGGCTGGAGTGCAGTGGTGCAATGTCGGCTCTCCGCAACCTCCGCCTCCCGCGTTCAAGTGATTCTGCCTTGGCCTCCTGAGTAGCTGGGATTACAGGCATGTGCCATCATGCCCCACTAATTTTGTATTTTGAGTAGAGATGGGGTTTCGCCATGTTGGTCAGGCTGGTCTCGAACTCCCGACCTCAGGTGATCAGCCCGCCCCAGCCTCCCAAAGTGCTGGGATTACAGGCGTGAGCCACCGCGCCTGGCCTAAACTTTTAAAGAAACTGCTAAACTGTTTTTCCAAAATTGCTGCAGCATTTTACAGTCCCACCAGTAATGCATGAAGGTTCAGATTTCTCTGCGTCTTCCCAACACTTGGAATTGTGTCTTTTTGTAATAGCTGCCCTGTGGGTGTGAAGTGATAGCTCCTCGTGATTTTGATTCGCATTTCCCTAACGAGTGATGACGATGAGTGGCTCTCGCTGTGTTGATTGGCTGTTTGTTTATCTTCTTTGGAGAAATGTCTATTCAAATATTGTACCCATTTTTTAAAAATTAGACTATCAGTCAGGCACAGTGGCTCACACCTAAAATCCCAGCACTTCGGGAGGCTGAGGTGCGAGGATCACTAGAGCCCAGGAGATCTTTCTTCTTGGTGTTGTTGTTGTTGTGGTTGTTGTTGTTGTTTGGAGACAGAGTCTCGCTGTGTCACCCGGGCTGGAGTGCGGTGGCACGATCTCGGCTCACTGCAAGCTCCGCCTCCCAGGTTCAAGCGATTCTTCTGCCTCAGCCTCCCGAGTAGCTGGGACTACAGGCGCCCACCACCACGCCCAGCTAATTTCTTGTATTTTTTTTTAGTAGAGACGGGGTTTCACCGTGTTGGCCAGGATGGTCTCGATCTCCTGACCTCGTGATCCACCCGCCTTGGCCTCCCAAAGTGCTGGGATTACAGACGTGAGCCACCGTGCCCGGCCAAGTCCAGGAGATCAAGACCAGCCTGGGCAATATAGTGAGACCCCATCCCTAAAAAAAAAAACCAAAATTGTTTTTAATTAGCTGGTCATGGTAGTGCATGCGTGTGGTCCCAGCTACTCGGAAGGCTGAAATTGGGAGAGTCCCTTGAGCCCAGCAGGTTGAGGCTACAGTGAGCCCCGTGACTGCACCACTACACTCTAGCCTGGGTGACAGAGGGAGACCCTGTCTCATTTAAAAAAAAAAAAAAAGAAGAAAAAAAAATGAAAAAAAGGTTGTCTTCTTATTTTTAGCTATAGAGTTCTTTACCTATTGCGGATATAAGTCCTTTATCAGATATGTCTTTGCAAATGCTTTCCGTCCACCTACGGCTCATCTTTTCATTTGCCTAATGCTATCTTTGGAACAGCAAAAGTTTTTCATTTTGCTGAAGTCCAGTTTGTCCATTTTTTCTTTTATGGAGCATAGTTTTGGTACCGTATTTAAGAATTCTTTGCCTAACCCAAGTTTCACAAAGATTTTCTCGTATCCCTCCAGAACTCTTATAGTTCTAGCTCTTACATTTAGGCCTGGGATCCAGTGTGAGTTATTTTTTATGGAAAAGATAAAGTTCTAAATTCATCTTTTCTTCATGGGGATGTTCAATCATCCCAGCATCATTTGTTGAGAACACCGTCCTTTTGCCGTTGAGTTGCCCTGGCACCTTGGTTGAAAATCAGTCAGCCCTAAGAGTCAGGGTTGATGCCTGGACCCCCCGTCTGCTCCACTGATCTGTCTATCCTGATTTATCCTCAGTCTATGCCAGGGCCACGCTATCTGGATTCTTGTTGCTTTTAGCACGTTTTCCAATTGGAGAGTCCTCCAGTTTTGTTTTTCCTTTTCAAAATGATCTTGACTCTGCTGGGACCTTTACATTTCTGTATAAAATTTTAAGATCAGTTTGCCAACTTCTGCAACAACAACAAAAGAAGGCTGCTGGAATGTTGATGGAGGTGCGTTGAACCCCTCTGGAGAGAATGTCCAGATGAAATCTTACCAACACTGAGGCCTCCATCTCATGAACACAGAAGCATCTCTCCATTTAGGTAGAGTTCTTACTTTATCACCAGCGTCTTGTTCCTTTCAGCACACATCTTGCACTTCTTTGTGAAAGCTATTAATACATAATAATGTTATTTATTAGATATTGAATTATAATTATTTTATTAATTATTTCTAAATGCTGATAAATTTGTTTATTCTTTTTATGCCATCATGAGTAGAATTTTCTTAACTTCATTTCAGAGGTTGCCGTAGACTACAATTGATTTTTACATATTGACCTCATTTCCTTTGACTTGCTTTACTCATTTATTAGTTCTACTAGTTTCTTAGAGGATTCCTTAAGATTTTCTCTATATACGATCATATTGTTTATAAATAAATACAGTTTTACTTCTTCCTTTTCAGTCTGAACATGAAAAGCTGCAAGGTTTTTACATTACCTCCAGCAATGAAAGAGGGTTCCAATGGCTTTACACCCTCCTCAGTACTTGCTATTGTCTGTCTTCTTTTTTTTTTTTTTTTTTTTCTGAGACTGAGTTTTGCTCTGTCATCCAGGCTAGAGTGCAGTGGCTCAATCTCGGCTCACTGCAAGCTCCACCTCCTGGGTTCACACCATTCTCCTGCCTCAGCCTCCTGAGTAGCTGAGACTACAGGCGCCTGCCACCATGCCCGGCTAATTTTTTTGTATTTTTTTAGTACAGACAGGGTTTCACCCTGCTAGCCAGGATGATCTCAATCTCCTGACTTCTTGATCCACCACCCTCGGCCTCCCAAAGTGCTGGGATTACAGGCATCAGCCACTGCCCCCCGCCTTTTTTTTTTTTTGAGACTGGGTCTTGCTTTATTGTCCAGGCTGGAGTGCAGTGGTGCAATCTCAGCTCACTGCAACCTCTGCTTCCCGGGCTCAAGCGATTCTCCTGCCTCAGCCTCCCAAGTAGCTGGCACTACAGGCACCCACCACCACGCCCAGCTAATTTTTGTATTTTTAGTAGAGACAGGGTTTCACCATGTTGGCCAGAATGGTCTCCATCTTCTGACCTTGTGATCCACCCGCCTCAGCCTCCCAAAGTGCTGGGATTACAAGCATGAGCCACCGTGCTGGCCTGTCTGTCTTTTGGATGTAGCCATCTTTGTGGGTGTGAAGTGGTGCCTTCTTGTGGTTTGGATTTACATTTCCCTAAAGGCTAATGATGTTGAGCATCTTTTTGTGTGCTATGGGCCATTTGTAGATCTTAGTTGGAGAAATGGAGATAAGAGGCAGAACTTGACTCCAGAAGTGGGGCTCAGACACAAGACCAAATTGAGGACTAGATAAAACAGGGTCAGGGAGGAAGCAGCCTTCCATAAGACACGCCCACCAACGCATCATGCCAGTTTACCATCACCATGGCAACACCTGGGAGTTACCACCCCTTTCCATGGCAATGGCCTGATGACCCAAAAGTTACTGCCGCTTCCCTAGAAATGTCCACATAAACCACCCCTTGATCTGCACGCAGTTAAAAGTGGGTATAAATATGACTGCGACACTGCCCTGAGCTGCTGCTTTCTGCCTGGGGGGCAGCCCCGCTCTGCAGGAGCTGTAGCCCTGCCGCTTCCATACCTCCCATTCACCCTTAAATCCTTCCCTGGCCAAAGCCAAGAACCCTCACAGGCTAAGCCCTGCTGTAGAGCTCACCTGCTCTGCATCAAGATGTCGTAAGAGTTCTTGACATATTCTAGACACAAGCCCCTTATCAGATATCTAATTTGCAAATACATTTTTCCATTTTGTGGGCAGTCAGACAGTTTCTTGCTGGTGTCCTTTGAAACACAAAAGTTTTAAGTTTCGATGAAACCCAATTCTCTCTTTTTCTTTTTGTTGCTTTTGATGTCATATCTATGAAGACTTTGCTTAGTCTGGAGTCATGGAGATTTACTCCTGTGTTTTCTTTTAAGAATTTTATATTTTTAGGCCAGGCACGGTGGCTCACGCCTGTAATCCCAGCACTTTGAGAGGCCAAGGCAGGTGGATCACCTGAGGTCAGGAGTTCAAGACCAGCCTGGCCAACGTGGCAAAACCCTGTCACCACTAAAAAATACGAAAACTAGCTGGGCATAGTGGCGGGTGCCTGTAGTCCCAGCTACTTGAGAGGCTGAGGCAGGGAGAATTGCTTGAACCCAGGAGGCAGAGGTTGCAGTGAGCCGAGATCACGCCACTGCACCCCAGAGCAAGACTCCATCTCAAAAAAAAATGACATATTTTTAGCTCTTACATTTAGGACTGTGAACCGTTCGGTATTAATCTTTTTGTTTGGTGTAAGGAAGGGGTCCAACTGCTGTATATTCCTTTGAATGTGGGTATCTATTTGTCTTAAGATCATTTGTTAAAAAGAGTATTCTTTCCCCAATTATCTTTTTGTTTGTTTTTGTAATTTTTTTTTTTGTAGAGACAGAATCTCACTATGTTGCCCAGGCTGGTCTCAAACTCCCAGGCTCAAGCGATCCTCCCACCTCAGTCTCCCAAAATACTGGGATCACAGGCATAAGCCACCAAGCCTGGCCTTTTTTCTTTTTCTTTTTTTTTTTTTTTTTTGATAGAGCAATGAATTATCTTGTCCTTCAGTTTGCTAAAGTTTTTTTGGGAATTTCTGCATCCCTGTTCGTGAAGGATATTGGCATGAAATTTTCTTTTCTTGTAATGTCTTTGTCTAGTTTTGCTATCAAGGTAATGCTGTCCTCATAGAATGAGTGAATTGGGAAAAATTCTCTCTTCAATTTTCGGGAAGAGTTTGTGTGCACTTGAGAAGAATGTGAATTTTGTTGTGTACAATATTTTATAAATCAGGTCAATTTTGTTGATATTATTGTTTTTCTACGTATTTTTCTATGTATTTTTCTATGTGTTTTTCTATGTATTTTTCTATGTATTTTTCTATGTATTTTGTTGATATTATTGATATTCTGTGTATGTATGTATACTATGTCCTTGCTGATTTTCTGTCTGCTTGTTTTATCAGTTATTGAGAGTAGCATATTGAAATATCTGACTATGATAGATTTGCCTTGCTGGGTGCAGTGCCTCATACCTGTCATCCTAGCATTTTGAGAGGCTGAGGCGAGCACATCACTTGAAGTCAGGAGTTTGAGACCAGCCTGGCCAACATGGTGAAGCCCCATCTCTACTAAAATCTCTACTAAAAATACAAAAATTAGCCAGGCATGGTGGTTCACACCTGTAATCCCAGCTACTTGGGAGGCTGAGGCAGGAGAATTGCTTGAACCTGGGAGGCGGAGGTTGCAGTGAGCTGAGATCGCACCACTGTACTACAGCCTGGGTGACAGAGCAAGATCCTGTCTCAAAACAAGCAAACAAACAAAAGATTTGCCTATTTCTGCTTTTATTTTTTTTTTAATTTTATTATTATTATACTTAAAGTTTTAGGTACCTGTGCACAATGTGCAGGTTAGTTACATATGTATACATGTGCCATGTTGGTGTACTGCAACCATTAACTGGTCATTTAGCATTAAGTATATCTCCTAAAGCTATCCCTCCCACCTCCCCCCACCCCACAACAGTCCCCAGAGTGTGATGTTCCCCTTCCTGTGTCCATGTGTTCTCATTGTTCAATTCCCACCTATGAGTGAGAATATGCGGTGTTTGGTTTTTTGTTCTTGCGATAGTTTACTGAGAATGATGATTTCGAATTTCATCCATGTCCCTACAAAGGACACGAACTCATCATTTTTTATGGCTGCATAGTATTCCATGGTGTATATGTGCCACATTTTCTTAATCCAGTCTATCATTGTTGGACATTTGGGTTGGTTCCAAGTCTTTGCTATTGTGAATAGTGCCGCAATAAACATACGTGTGCATGTGTCTTTATAGCAGCATGATTTATAGTCCTTTGGGTATATACCCAGTAATGGGATGGCTGGGTCAAATGGTATTTCTAGTTCTAGATCCCTGAGGAATCGCCACACTGACTTCCACAATGGTTGAACTAGTTTACAGTCCCACCAACAGTGTAAAAGTGTTCCTATTTCTCCACATCCTCTCCAGCACCTGTTGTTTCCTGACTTTTTAATGATTGCCATTCTAACTGGTTTGAGATGGTATCTCATTGTGGTTTTGATTTGCATTTCTCTGATAGCCAGTGATGGTAAGCATTTCTTCATGTGTTTTTTGGCTGCCTATGACAAACCCACAGCCAATATCATACTGAATGGGCAAAAACTGGAAGCATTCCCTTTGAAAACTGGCACAAGACAGGGATGCCCTCTCTCACCACTCCTATTCAACATAGTGTTGGAAGTTCTGGCCAGGGCAATTAGGCAGGAGAAGGAAATAAAGGGTATTCAGTTAGGAAAAGAGGAAGTCAAATTGTCCCTGTTTGCAGATGACATGATTGTATATCTAGAAAACCCCATTGTCTCAGCCCAAAATCTCCTTAAGCTGATAAGCAACTTCAGCAAAGTCTCAGGATACAAAATCAATGTACAAAAATCACAAACATTCTTATACACCAATAACAGACAAACAGCCAAATCATGAGTGAACTCCCATTCACAATTGCTTCAAAGAGAATAAAATACCTAGGAATCCAACTTACAAGGGACGTGAAGGACCTCTTCAAGGAGAACTACAAACCACTGCTCAGTGAAATAAAAGAGGATACAAACAAATGGAAGAACATTCCATGCTCATGGGTAGGAAGAATCAATATCGTGAAAATGGCCATACTGCCCAAGGTAATTTATAGATTCAATGCCATCCCCATCAAGCTACCAATGACTTTCTTCACAGAATTGGAAAAAACTACTTTAAAGTTCATATGGCACCAAAAAAGAGCCTGCATCACCAAGTCAATCCTAAGCCAAAAGAACAAAGCTGGAGGTATCATGCTACCTGACTTCAAACTATACTACAAGGCTACAGTAACCAAAACAGCATGGTACTGGTACCAAAACAGAAATATAGATCAATGGAACAGAGCAGAGCCCTCAGAAATAACGCTGCGTATCTACAACTATCTGATCTTTGACAAACCTGAGAAAAACAAGCAATGGGGAAAGGATTCCCTATTTAATAAATGGTGCTGGGAAAACTGGCTAGCCATATGTAGAAAGCTGAAACTAGATCCCTTCCTTACACCTTATACAAAAATTAATTCAAGATGGATTAAAGATTTAAACGTTAGACCTAAAACCATAAAAACCCTAGAAGAAAACCTAGGCTTTACCATTCAGGACATAGGCATGGGCAAGGACTTCATGTCTAAAACACCGAAAGCAATGGCAACAAAAGCCAAAATTGACAAATGGGATCTAATTAAACTAAAGAGCTTCTGCACAGCAAAAGAGACTACCATCAGAGTGAACAGGCAACCCACAAAATGGGAGAAAATTTTTGCAACCTACTCATCTGACAAAGGGCTAATATCCAGAATCTACAATGAACTCAAATTTACAAGAAAAAAACAACCCCATCAAAAAGTGGGCAAAGGACATGAACAGACACTTCTCAAAAGAAGACATTTATGCACCAAAAAACACATGAAAAAATGTTCTGCTTTTCTTTCTTTCAATTTTTGGTTCATGTATTTTGGGGCTCTGTTATTGGGGGCATACACATTTAGGATTTTTATGTAGTTTAATCAGTTGATCCCTTATCACTGTGAAATTACTTTCTTTATCCCTAGTAACTGCCCTTACTCTTACATCTACTTTCTGTGATATTAATATGGTCACTTTTTATTTCTTTTGACTAGCATTAGCATGGTGTAGCTCTATCCATCCTTTTACTTTTAACCTGCCTATGTTTTTAAAGTGTACTTTTTGTAGACAGCATATCGTCGTCTTGCTTTTTATCCAGTCTAACAATCTCTGCCTTTTAACTGAACTGTTTATACCATTCACATTTAATATGGTTATTGACACAGTAGGATTAAATTTACCATTTTACTATTTTTTAATTTGCCCCAGCTGTTTGTTTCCCCTCTATATCTATTTTTATCTTTTTTGAATTGGGCATTTTTTATGATTCCATTTTATCATCTCTGATTTTTTTTATATATATATATATTTTTTTGTTTGTTTGTTTGTTTGTTTTTCTAACTGATTTTTTCTTTTTTGAGACAAGGTCTCACTGTCACCCAGGCTGAAGTACAGTAGTGAAATCATAGCTCACTGCAGCCTTGACCTCCTGGGCTCAAGTAATCCTCCTGCCTCAGCCTCCTGAGTAGCTGGGACTATAGGTGCACACCACCACGCCTGGTTAATTTAAAAAAATTTTTTTTTCTTTTAGAGATGAGGTCTCACTCTGTTGCCCAGGCTGCTCTTAAACTCCTGGTCTCAAGCAATCTGCCCACCTGGGCCTCCCAAAGTGCTGGGATTACAGGTGTGAGCCACCACGCCTGGCCCTCTGTTAATGTATTAATTATAACTCTTTGTTTTGTTATTTGAGGGATTACTTTAGGGTTTTACAACTCGTTAAGTAAAAGGGGATCATCATAAATGTATTGGAGGAGGAAGGGTTGGTCTTGCTGTGTCAGGGGTAGCAGAGGTACATCTTGACTTACCACAGTTTCTTTCTTTCTTTTTTATTTTATTCTTTACTCCTGGCAAGCTGTGACACAGTTATTTTCAAGAGATGTAATATACTACTTCATGCGTAAGAACTGTACAATTATATACCTTTTTTGCCAGTCCCAATTTTATGCAGTTGTTTTCATACATTTTATGTTCATATATGTAATAAAATTAATAATACGTTGTTATTTTTATTTAAATGACCACTTAGGTTTTAATGTGTACTTAATAAACAGTAAGCAGTCTCTTCTGTTGACCCACATTGCTGTGGCTTCTGGTTCTTCTCGCTTCTTCCTGTGGGTCCATATTTCCATCTGCTCTCATTTTCCTCTGCCTGAAGGACTTAATCTTTAACATTTCTTGTAGTACAGGTTTGCTAGTGATGAATTCTTTCCGCTTTTGTATGTCTGGAAACATCTTGATTTTAGTTTCTTTTTTTTTTGAGATGGAGTTCTGCTCTGTCACCCAGGCTGGAGTGCAATGGCGCGATCTCGGCTCACTGCAACCTCTGCCTCCCAGGTTCAAGCAATTCTCCTGCCTCAGCCTCCCAAGTAGCTGGGATTACAGGCGCCCGCCACCACACCCAGCTAATTTTTTTTGTATTTTTAGTAGAGACAGGGTTTGGCCATGTAGGCCAGATTGGTCTCAAACTCCTGACCTCAGGTGTTTTCATTAAATTTGGAAATTTTTCAACCATTATTTCTTCCAGTAATCTTTCTGGCACAGCCTCTCCCATGTGTTACCCATGATTGGGCTACTTGAGGTTGTCCCACTGTTTGCTGGTTCCCTTCCTTTCTTCCTTCTGTTTTTTCTTTTTAACTCTTTTTTTCCCTCGATGGTCCACTTGGGATGGCTTCTATAGCTGTACAGTTGACCCTTGAACAAAAACAGGTTTGAACTGTGGGATCCACTCATACACAGGTTTTCCTCTGCCTTGGCCACCCCAAAAACAGCAAGACCAACCCCTCTTCTTCCTCCTCCTCCTCAGTGTATTCAATGTGAAGACAGCAAGGATGATCTTTGTGATAATCCACTTCCACTTAATGAATAGTAAATATGTTTTTTGTTTTTTATTTTGAGTTGTCTCGCTCTGTCGCCCAGGCTGGAGTGCAGTGGCATGATCAGAGCTCATTGCAACCTCCACCTCCCGGGTTCAAGTGATTCTCCTGCCTCAGCCTCCCGAGTAGCTGGGACTACAGGCACCCGCCACCACGCCCGGCTGATATTTGTATTTTTAGTAGAGACGGGGTTTCACCATATTGGCCAGGGCGGTCTCAAACTCCTGACCTTGTGATCCGCCTGCCTCAGCCTCCCAAGGTGCTGGGATTACAGGCGTGAGCCACTGTGCCCAGACTTGTTTTCTTTTACTATGATTTTCTTAATAACATTTTCTTTTTTCTAGCTTACTTTATTATAAGAATACAGTGTTTAATAGATATAACATACACAATATGTGTTAATCAACAGTTTCTGTTATCAGTAAGGCTTCTGGTCAACAGTGTGCTATTAAAGCTGTGGGGAGTCGGAATTGACATGTGGATGTTCAGCCGCATGGAGGGTCAGCGGCCCTCATCCCCACGTTGGCCAAGGGTCAACTGCATTTCCAGGTTCATAAATCTTTTCTTCTGCGATGTTTAACCTGTTGTGAATCACATCCAGCATATTTTTTATCTCATACATTATAATTTTCATCTCCAGAAGTTTGACTTTGTTCTTTTTTCTTATTTATTTATTTATTTGTTAATTTTTTGAGACAGTCTCACTCTGTCTCCCAGGCTGGAGTGCAGTAGTACAATCTCGGCTCACTGCAACCTCCACCTCCCAGGTTCAAATGATTCTCCTGCCTCAGCCTCCCAAGTAGCTGGGATGACAGACACGTGCCACCACACCCAGCTAATTTTTTGTATTTTTAGTAGAGACGGGGTTTTGACATGTTGGCCAGGCTGGTCTCAAACTCCTGACCTCAGGTGATCTGCCAACCTTGGCCTCCCAAAGTGCTGGGATTACGGGTGTGAGTCACTGCGCCCGGCTCTTTGTTCTTGTTTATATCTTCTGTGTGTCTATTTAACTTTGGAACATGGAATACAGTTATGATCACCATGCTTGAATGTCCTCTACTGCTGATTCTAACATCCGTGTCAGTTTTGGACCGGTTTCAGTAGATGGATTTTTCTCCTTGTTATGGGCCATACTTTCCTGCATTCTTTGCATGCCTCATAATCTTTGATTGGATGCCAGACATTGTAAATTTTACCTTGTTGGGTATTGGATATTTTTGTATTCCTATAAATATTCTTGAGCTTTGTTCTGGGGCACAGTTCAGTGACTTGGAGACAGTTTAATCCTCTTGGGTCTTGCTTTTATGATTTGTTAGACAGGTCTGCTGGAGACCCGTCTGCCTCACACCAATGGTTCCCCATGACTGTGGCAAGACCCTTCTGAAAGCTTGCCCCCGCTTCCTGTGACCTCTGAGTTTTTCCAGCCTGGCTGAGGAGAACAGGCACCATGCCCAGTCCTGTGTGAGGCCCAGGTCCTGGTCCCTCTTAATTCTTCAGACGGTTCTTCCCCAGCCTCGTGGAGTTTTGTCCCAGGTGTGCTGAATGGTGCTCTGCTGAACACTCCAGGGCCTCCTGCGGGCTGCAGGGTCCTCCCTCTACTCAGGGTCCTCCCTCTACTCAGGGTCCTCTCTCTCCTCTTCGCTGCTCTGCCCTTTGAATTTTAAAACTCTGACTGTGTGCCTTGTTCCCCAGATTCTCTGCTCATTTTCCTCAACTGAGGGGTTTGTTGGGCTCTGCCTCAGTTTCCCCTCTCTGCAGCTCATCCTGCACGTTCTTTTAAGGCAGCAGCCAGGGCAATTATAGAGTCCACGCCGTTTGTTTCCTTCTTTCAAGGATCTGTCCTGAGTTGCCTGGTGTCCGGGATCCTGATATCAATTTCATTGCACTTTGTCGGCTTTCTTGGTTGTTGGAACCAGGGGTGTCAATCGATCCCAGTTACTCCATCCCCATACAGATGTCCAGCAGGCTACGCTAGTGTTTTTACATTTGACATCTTTGCTTTCCCAATCGTGTCTCCTTTGCCAGATCTTAGTAAGATGAGAGGCTGGGTTCCTGTTAACCTGTCCTCCATAGGACCTTGACCTCAGAGTCCGCATGACCAGGCCCTGGACCTGTGCCTAGTGCCAGGGGTGCAGGGCGTGATACATCATCCGTGATGATTGGGGGTAGCCCCAGGCTCTGAGGCGACCCCTCCACGGCCACCCCAAGTGGGAGCCTGCCTGGGCCCTGCTTTGTCCGAATGGCCCATGTTTGCTGAAGTCCAGTCATTTCCCACTTGAGAGCCCGTCCCAAAGCTCGGCATCCACTCTGGGGCACCGGACTGGTCTCCTTCCTCTTCTTCTTTTGTTTCCCTTTTTTTTTTTTTGAGACGGAGTCTCTCTCTGTCGCCCTGGCTGGAGTGCAGTGGCATGATCCTGGCTCACTGCAGCCTGCGCCTCCTGGGTTCAAGCGATTCTCCTGCCTCAACCTCCAAGGAGCTGGGATGATTGCAGGTGCTGCCACCACACTTGACTACTTTTTGTATTTTTAGTAGAGACAGGTTTCGCCATGTTGGCCAGGCTGGTCTCAAACTCCTGACCTCAGGAGATCCACCCGCCTCGGCCTCCCAAAGTGCTGGGATGACAGGGGTGAGCCACCACATCTGGCCTCCTTCCTCTTCCTCTTTGCTCCTCTCGGCACAGCCATCTTGCCTCCACCCACGGTGCCCAAGCCACTCCTCCCTGCTATCCAGCACTCCCACGTGGGGTCTTCTGGGTGTGGCTGAACACCCAGCTCCGCCACCTCCACCTGCCCAGCGGGGCCCAGAGCATCTGCACTCAGCAACTCAGAGGGACAGTGGTGTCCACTCCTTGGGCACAGTCCTCTGGGGGCCACCTGCAGCCTAAGGTTCCCAGGAGCAATGGGGTGCAGGATGGAGCAGCTGACTCAGCAGACACTTGGTGGGCACCAGCTGTGTGCCAGGCCCTGTGCTGGGTACCTTAGTGGAGGGGGGAGCCCATCCCCCCGGGTCAAGGTGGGAGATGGGCACGGAGAGCCTGCTATCTGCCAGGGTGATGAGGACCACCATGGAGGCCCCGGGAGCTTGTGAGTGCCAGTGCCACCCCACGCCCCTGACCAGCCCAAGGCCTGGGTGTGCCTGAGGTGAAGCCCTGAGGCTGGTCAGCAAGGAGATGCCTTCCCATAGTGTGCCAGCCCCAGGCTAGGGCAGGGGTGGAGCCAGGGGTCCCCGAGGCCTAGAGCTGGAGATTCAGGATCCAGGACCTGAGGCAAGGGGTACAGGGGTACAGGGGTATTGGGGTGAGTGTGGCCAGCACCAGAGATCCCAGGGCTGGGAAACTTCTGCAGGGCATGGGAGAGGAGCAGAGAGCCCACGGAGGGCAAGCCGGGGTCCTCAGCCCACCAGGGTCACAGCCACTGGCAAATGTGGCCCCGCTGAGTTATAAACACAGCGTCCCAGAAGCCTGCCCCGGGCCCGCGCACCCCGCTTCTGGGTGCCTGTGAGTGTTCACTGCCTGCTCCTCTCTCCTGGAAGGCGAGAGCGGCCGGGTCCTGCAGATCTCAGCGGGCGTCAGATACGTGCAGCTGTCAGCCTACTCTGAGGTCAACTTTTTCAAAGTGGACAGAGACAACCAAGAGACACTCATCCAGACCCCATTGTGAGTACGTGTGACACCAATGAGTTAGTTCTGAGTTTGTTTTGAGTTCATTTAGGTCACATTAATTCCTTGTCCTTTTTTCCCTAGAGACCTGGGCTAAGTCCTGGTTATGACAAATGAAATATTCGATGTCTGTTCTAAGGAAACAGCTCCCTTGAATTTCAGTACCTGACCCTCTGCTGTGGCCCCTCTTGCCTTCTGAGACCGCGAGCCCCTGGTCAGAGCCCCTAGTCTCCCCCAGCGCTCGGCCCCCAAGCCTCTGGGCCTGGGTCCGTGTCTGGAGTGGAGACATCAGGACTCCGGCCCTCGGGTGCTCCTGGGAGGAGGGTCGGCTGCAGAGATGCTCAGGCCTCTCTTGGTGCAGCCAGGAGGGGAGTGGCCCTTACCAGCCAGGCCTAGTTGGGCGCCACTCCCCACGCACACATCACCAGGCCTCCCAGGAACACGCTGGACCAGGCCAGTGTGTGCACAAACCCACACGCAAACAGAGGCCTGAGCTGCAGGACTCCAGGAAGAGGCCTCACTCTAAGCCCCGCAACATGAAAATCCATGCATTTTACCATTCACAGTCAGAACTTAGCAGTGCCCCAGGCGACCAGACCTGAGTGTGACGCCACAGCTCTCACACTCCCTTTTCCCACCGGCCCTTCTCCTGAGTTAAGGACTGTCTGACATTTGGGGTAAACTTGGACCCACTGTGAAGTCAGAACGCACCCGAGAGGTGACGCTGCTGGAGTTGTCATAAATAATAATGGGGGCGGCAGGCAGCTCTTCCTTCAAGCCAAGACCTGCTGTCTTCTCCCTGGCGAGTCTTTTTTCTCTCTGGGCCTCAACTGGCCCCATCCCAGCAGGAGACCTCCCAGAGAGGCTGAGTAGCGCTCCCTGGACTCAGTGTAGGCAAGTCCCAGGGTCCAGGGCGTGGGCCACGCTGTCTGCCTGCACCCTAGTTTGGTGTGGGGTGAGTAGAGCCAAGCTGCCCCCATTCCTTTGCAGTGGGTTCGAATGCATCCCTTATCCTGTGTCCAGCCCCGCAGCTGGGGTGCCGGGGCCCAGAGCTGCCAAGGGAGGGGCAGAAGCCGACGTGCCCCTGCCCAGGGGAGACCTGGAGCTGCATTTGGGTGCCCTCCATGGCCAGGAGGACACCCCTGGTGGCCTGCTTGGTAAGTGGAGCTCACAAACCAGTTGGGGGTGGGTGGGCCCAGGCCCAGCAGTCAAGGTGGGGGTGGGGTCATGGGGACCCAGAACCAGGCCAGAGCAGGAGCAAGCCGCACCCAGGGTCAGTCATCACGCGTGGGTGAAAGGAGGCAGGGCCGGGCAGCCCACATCCCCAGACAAGCAGTCACGGGTGGCTGCGGAGGCTCAAGCCGATTGTTCGTCTGCCGTGAGCCTGGCAGGGGCTGCAGCCTCGTGGGGTCCTCAGGGCAGAGTTCTGGGTCTACTTGGCTGAGGGCAGCAGACTCACCCAGGCCTCGAGGCCAGTGGCCAGCCTGGACACGGCCCCAGCCACTCCTGCCGCCCGGGAGCCCTCACAGCAGCCGCCGGCCATGGCTCTGGGGGCCGCGGCGCCGACTGCTCTCTCGAGGTCAGGGTTTCCCGCTGCTCCGCTTCTGCACGGGTTGCCTCACGTTTCTTCGTGGAGATGAGGCCCAGGTGCTCCGGCAGAACCCCCCAGCCCCCAACTCTGCCCCCCAAGGCTGGGGCCAGTGAGAACTGCACTTCCATAGAATGTGCGGCCTAGACTTCACAGGGATCATTCCAGAGTTACTCATGGAGTTGAATCAAAGCTTAATCCCTCCGGTGCAGCGAGCAGTGCACATCAAACCCTCCTGTGCAGTGAGCAGTGTGTGCGATTCAAACCCTCCCGCGCAGCACAGTGTGCGTCTCAGTGCCGGACTGAGGGAACAGTCTTGACAGCGTTGGGAGGCCCTGGGGTGCTGCCGGCCACCGGGTCCTTCTTGCCACAGCCCTGCACCCCAAGGCTCAGTAAACGGGGGTCGGGCGTGGGGGTCCCCACTGGACAAATGCCTGGCACTTTGAGTTTGGGGGCCTTTGAAGAGGGCCCAGCTGACAGCTGAGGTTCCCGGTCCCCAAAGCTGGGATCTGAGCCTGAGGTGCTGCTTGGGGAGGACACAGGCCGCAGGTTCCTGGGTTGAGGAGCACAGGGCAGATCTGAGAGGCTGTGCTGAGCCCAGATCCACAACTTAGCAGGGGTGGGCTGTGTGCCACCACCTTCCACATGCAGATAAATGTCCCAGGTTTGACGAGACGTCCCTGGTCATCCCCAAATGCGCCTCATATGCCAGCCCTTGTCACCTGCCTTGGCCGATGCGAGCTCAATCCCTGCCATGTCCCTGCCCAGCCCTTCCCACCACATGCAGCCCCAAGTCCCCTGAAGGCCTCTCCCCAGGATTTGCACAGATGGCACCACCAGGCGGCCGTCGCGCCGCCTCCCCAAGTGCCAAGGCCTCTCTACTCTAGACCTGAGCCCCACCTGCCGCCCCTGAGTCCTCACAATCCCCCGACCTGGCTGCCGCACTGGGGTGATCCCCCAACTCCAACCCTCCAGGCCCCTGGGGCAAGCAGGCAGGGCCAGCCCCTTCCCAAGCCGGAGTCCGGTGAGCCTTGGCCTGGACCCCCCTTTCCTGTCCCTTAAGCCAGCCTAGCAGGCCCCAAAGCCTCCCTCACATCTTCCTGCCCAGGGTGTGCCTGTCCCAAGGGTGCCGCAGACCCCAGCCCGGCCAGCCACACTGCCTTGTGAGCTCAGCTCAGCTCTGGGCTCTCCTGCAGTGAGACAGGGCTGAGGGCTGAGGGGCGTGGTTGGCAGGCTGTGCCAGGGCCCTTTCTCCCGGGCACTGTGTGGCCTGTGACCCTCCTGGTCACTGTCTGCAGCAGTCCCTCTCAGCGGCCAGCACTCCTGGCCGGTCACTCGGCCCCGAGTTCTCCCTAAGGTTCCGTGACTCACATGGCTGAAGTGGGAGAAAGCGGCAGCGGAATGCCCCTGGCCGCCCTGGGAAGAGCCTCCGCCACCAGGGCCACCTCCATGCCCGTGCCCCTGCCCCCAGAAACCTCACCCAGCTGGTGGCTAGAAGCCCCAGAGCCTCAGAGCCTCGGGGGTCTGTGCTTGCAGGGAGCTCACTCTTCTAGGATCAGACGAGTCTCCTTCCAGACAACAGCTGTGAGAGGACCAGCAAGCGCAGGCGTCATTCATCATATAAAAGAGCATGCAGGCATCCCAGGTGGGGCAGCAGGGCCCGGCGCCACTCCACGGGAGGCCAAGGCGGCCAAGCCTCAGGCCAACAGGCCCACGGGGGGCCCGGCCCGCGCCCCCTTGTCTGCCTTCACCTCAGTTGATAGAAGCAGTTCCACACCGCATAGGTGGAATAGCTCTCATATTTCTGCATAAAAATACTTACTGGGCGCCATGCCTTCTACTTGGAGAGATTTTCAGAGCCAAAGTCTCGATTGAAACCAGCCTCGTGCCTGCATCGCACCCTACCCCGCGCGGGCCCCCCGCGCCGGCCCCACTGCCTGAGTCTGGGGCGGATCCTACCTGGGGGGCCTCCCCCGACTCTCAGCCCGGCTCAGGCTGTTTCTGGCTTGACGATGATGTGAGTGTCCAGCCGTAAATTCTCCAGCACAAAAGATATTTCCCTTGGGAAACCTAGAGGAACGTGCTTTTGTTTTTGTAAGACCCGCTGGGGCTTGAACCACAGACATTTGGAGTTGGGTGCCGAGCTCTGCCTGGGCCTCACGGGTGCATCCGACACCAACCCTGGGAGGCTGGGCTGCTGCTTTCACTCTGATGTGAAGCTAAACCTCTCTGTGCCTCAGTTTCCTCATCCATAAAGGGAGGGCAACAGCAGCGTCCACCCCAAGGACGGATGACTGAGTGCGCATGCTGGCCTCCACCCAGGCCTGTGCAGGGGGCGCCCCGGAGGAGAGGAGCGTGGCCTGGGGTCTGGTGCAGTCAAGTCCACACTGAGAAGAGGAGGGGGAGGCCAGGGTCAGGGAGGGGCACTCCCGTAGGCTTCTACTTTCTTTCTGTCACCCAGGCTGGAGTGCAGTGGCGTGATCTCGGCTCATCGCAGCCTCCACCTCCCGGGCTCAGGTGATCCTCCCACCTCAGCCTCCGGAGTAGCTGGAACCACAGGCACGAGCCACCGTGCCCGGCTAATATTTTGTATTTTTTTGTAGAGACAGGGCCTCGCCATGTTGCCCAGGCTGGTCTCAAACTCCTGAGTTCAAGCAGTCCTCCCGCCTCAGCCTCCCAACGTGCTGGGATTACAGGCTGCTTTTACTTTCCTTTTCTTAAAACTGTATAACCCCTCACGAGAAGGGGCTGGTTGGGCAGGTTTCCCCAGAGCACGGTCGGCAGGGTCCTTGCTTTGTCTGTCTCCTGTCTCAGCGACTGGGCCAAGGACCCAGCAGGACTAACCCTAACACCTCGCCCGACTAATTTTTGTATTTTTAGTAGAGATGGGGTTTCGCCGTGTTGGCCAGGATGGTCTCGAACTCCTGACCTCACGTGATCTGCTCGCCTTGGCCCCTCAAAGTGCTGGGATCACAGGCGTGAGCCACCATGCCCGGCCTCTTTAGTCTTTATCTTCCCTTCTTTACGTAATCCGTAATCCCATTTAGGACTGATTTATCGGGCTTGCTGCTTCCCAACCATGATCCATGAATTGTTACCCTTCATTCCATGCAGGAGTTGACACAAACTTTTCTTCCCAATTCCCATCTCCCATTGAAAGTCTGCCCCCAACATGTGGCCTTCACAGCACCCTGGGACATGGTGGGGACATGTGGCCTCCCTGCCCCGGGACAGCAGGGTGCTGGGCAGAGGGCCTCTCTCGGTACCTGGAGCCCTGCCAGGCCCCCACCACAGCCCTCAGGCCCCTAGGGGATCGGGGACTCCGGCCAGGAGCCCTGCAGAGGAAACGGAATCATTTCTAAGTTTCAGTTCCAGCCAGGACAGCATTCATCCCCAAGTAGGAGAAAACTAAAGTAATCATGGCTTCAGCAAGAGTATTCCTGGCCGGGAGGCCCAGAGGTGTCAGCCTCACTGTCAGGAACACAGCTCTGTCTACCTGGACCCACCAGCATCACCCCGAGGTCGGAGGCAGCTCCCGGAGACCCTCTCTCAGTCAGCAACCCCTGCTCAGGCCTGGAAGGGTGGGCCAGTTCCAGACAGGCTCAGGCCCAGCTGCACGGAGGCCCTAGAATCAAGCAAGACCTCACAACCAGCCAGCAGGGACAGGGGGGCCGGCTTTAGCCATCATCCTGAAAGAAAACAAAAGGGTGGCGTTCTGAGGCTGTCCAGCGTGTCCAGGGAAAATACACTAGGAATCATTTCCTTGTAAGCATGAACTTCGCATTCTCAAAAAAACGAAACCGAAGTCCCTTGCTCACATTTGTCCCTGGCCCAGTCACAGCGCTGCCTGCTTGGCTCCCAGACAGGCGTCCTTCCCTCTGGCCAGACCCATGCAAAGAGGTGGGCCCCGTTGAAGCCTCTGGCCTGGCCTGCAGTGCGTCCTGGGACCGCAGGCAGCTGTGCTGGTCCCAGCCTCAAGTTTCCACCTCTGTGCTTACCTGGGAGAGGGCTGGGGGCCATGGGACGCAGGGTGTCTCTTGAGACTCCTGCCCCGTGGCTGCAGAGACCGCACCTGCAGAAACCTGCCCGCCTGGCACCGACCGTGACACGCCCTCCAGCCACCAAGCAGGATCTCCTACCCAGACAGCCACTCACCTACAGGGCACAGACATCAGGCCAGAGAGCTTCAGGCCAGAAGATAATCCAACATGAGGCCTGAAAGAAACTTGGGCCAGAAAATCTCCAGGGTACCTGCCCGCCGAAGTCCCTTCCGAGGACTCTCCTGAGCCAGTGGCTGAGACATGCACATCCATGGTGGAAGCTCCAGGTCTGGGCAGCCCTCTCCCTGCAGTCACAGACTATGCCCACTAGGAACACCCACCTGGGACAAAGCCTGGCCACAGTCAGAGAGCAGGACGGCTCTCACCAAGCCCCTCAGGTGGCTCCCCGCCGCTGACCCTGTGCTGCGTGGCACAGGCTTCCCCAACGCCCTGCCACATTTGGCTTCCTCCAAGCAGGCTATGTGCTTAGGATGAGATGTGGCTACTTTTAGCAAACAACACTAGAGTGGCTTCAGCCCAGCCACGGTGACTTCTCGCTCCCATAAGAGCTCAAGAGGGAGAGGTGATCTCCCTCCCCAGCCACTGGGGACCCCAGTTCCTGTTGCCTATTCTGCCACTGTCATCTTCCTGCACCACCTCATGGTCCTGGATGGCTGCACAGGCTCTAGCCGTCATGCCCCTATTCCAGCTAGGAGAAAGGGGGAAGCATAAGTGGCAAGGAGAAGCACCCTCCCCTTCTTCTTTTTTTTTTAATTGCTCTATACATTTATTATTAGCTATTATTAATGCAGAACCAGGGGACAAAAAGCTCACAAACACTCTACACAATTTCACAAGACACATTGCAGGGGAAAAAGTGACTGAGATGGATCAACAGTATGCTAGGGTCTTGGTGGACTCATTCCTAGGGGAGGTGGACCTCTAATTCCTGGTGGAGGGGGTCTCATTCCTGGAGGGGGCATGCCTACTGGTGTCCCTCGAGCAGAGGGAAGCCCAATTGGTGGGCCCGTGGGTGGCCTCATACCAGGTTCAGAAGCTCCAAGTTTAACTGTGGACATTGGATCTGGGGGAACGGCAGTCGTGACCGTGGGCAAGAGTAGCAAGATGCTGCCACACACGGACCACAGAATGAGACGTATCCTACAAGATGGCCGAGTCTTCATTGGCACCTTCAAGGCTTTTGACAAGCATATGAATATGATCCCCTGTGATTGTGATGAGTTCAGAAAGATGAAACTAAAGAATGCGAAGCAACCAGCACGTGAAGAAAAGCGGGTTTCGGGCCCCTCCGCTTCTAAAGAAGCTTGCTGGGGGCGCCACACTCACTGCCATTGCTCAGAGCTTGGTTACACGGCCCGGCCACACCAGGCCACACAGAGACAAGAAGCGCAATGTGCTGGCAAAGACTCTTACCGGAGGAGAAGGGGAGAATGGCTGTCTTTGCCAAATAGCCCGTCACGAACGTACCCCTGCTGGGCCCCCGCAAGTGCACCAACCGACTCGAAAGTCCCAGAGAGGGCTGGCGGGCAAGGACCTGAGTCTCCAGCCACCCCTGCAGGAGGAGCCCAGGGACCCTCGCATCCCTGATAAGGAAGCAGGTGGCGTGCCCTGCTGTGACCCCGAAACAGCCTGTAGTCTCACCCTCCATTTCCACGAGACTCTAAGTCTGCCGCTTTTGCAGCAAAAGCCCAGTGCTGGGGGTGAGCGTGTGGGGAGTGTGGGAGACGGGCTCTGACCCGGCCACCCTGGGCAGCTGTGCTCACGCAGCACCCCCGCCGTTCCCAGCTGGACTTCACCTGGCAGGACAGCCAACAGGCCTCACCGTGGCCTCCGTCCCGGGGGTCGTGCATGGGGGACTGGGCCAGCCCGAGCAGTGGGACATGCTGCCTTCCTACCCTGCTCCACCTGCCACAAACACAAACTGGAATGTTCTCAGCCACCTCCAGACTTCACACCCTTTGGGCTTTGGGGCACAGAGGTCGGGCTGCCCTGGGGAGAGGAGGGAGAGAAGGAGGCTTCGAGAGAGCACGGACATGAGTCAGACCTGAAATAAAGCAAAGCCACACCGCCTCACGTTTTAAAGCAATTGCCAATGTCTCAGCGTGTTCTGAAGCTCAGGGCGACAGCCGGGGGCGGATAAACACCTGCCACAGATGCCCAGCATGCCCGTGCCACCCCCGTGCCACCCCTGAGGTCTCTGGACTGAAGGAAGCAGAAGGCCCTGGAGGGCACCTCCTGCTGGGCCAGGGCCACTGGGGTCTCCCAGGAGCACCTCCAGCCCTGCCCCCCATGCCCAGATTGTGGGGAGCACAGGGCTCGCTCCACTGTCCATGGAAGAGGCTGGAAATTCAGCCCAGCCATCCCCACCCCAGGGACAGGCCTCCCAGGAGCTCACACTCAACCCCCACAAACTGACGTGGACTTGGGGTCCCAGGCATCTTTCCTCCCAGACCCGAGAGCAGCCAGAAACAAACCCTCCAGAAACCTGCCTTTCACTGGTACAAATAAATCGACAAAGAGGGCAAATCCTTTCTCTTTCTGGAGGCCTAATGTCAGTGATACATAATTGCACATCACAGTATTTTATTATTTTGTTGATATGAAATATTTCAGTTGTTTAGTTGTTTTTAACTTTCAAATAAGGATTTGCATTTCGTTGAGAAGAAAAGATGATTTCCAAGACATGGACTATTGCCAGATATTCTAAACCCTATTTTGGTTAAATTACAGCACCCAGATTTTAGTAACAAAGCACATTGATTTTATATTCAAAGCATTTTTATATTTAGTCTCTTAACCTTTTGTAATTCCCACCCACAGCTTGCAGTGCAGAACCCTTTTGTGTCCCTTGTTGTCAGTGGGGTGCCTGCCTGGGCCCAATAATTTGGGCCATTGAGTTGGAGTGCAGGTGCTGCCCATGGCGGGTGTACATTGTCAGGCCGGCTGGGCCCCAGCGCCTCAAACAATCCCCTGTGAATTGGATTTGGGAACGTAGAGAGGCCGCAGCCGTGAGAGGACGTCAGGTTGCTTTTCTTTTCTTCTTTTTTTTCATGCACAAAACCCTCCCAGTGAATATTTTCAACGGATCTGAGTGGTTTCTCTTACACGTGTTGGACAAATGGTTTTGAGTATTCATCAGATGGGATCTATGAAGAATCAATCGTGATTGTAAGATGATTTGAAAAATCAAGTTGCCCTCTGCCACTAATTCAATCTTGCCCGTAAAAGTGTCTGAATGTGCAGCAGAGAATTTCAGGGAATTTCATTGCCTCGTGGGGTGATAACAGCTTTAAATATTAATTGTCTATGGTTAATTATGGCAGAGTAGCATGAAAGAGCCATATTTTTAAAGGAATGTTTGTGCTATAAATTCTTTTTCTAGGAATCACATCATATAGAGGGACTGTCCCAGAAAAATACAGTATAAAAAGATATCATGTTGCTTCCAATGCCAGAACAGTAGATGAAAATGGAAATGAACTCAGACTTCGGGATGTGCGTGTGGCTAAAACTAAGCAGGGATGTCAGAGGGGCCGGGACTGGGAGCAAGGCTAATTCTCTGCCTTCAGGCAGCCTTGTGGGTGCTGAGGGGCTCTTTGGTCGGCAGGCGGGTGGAGCACCCCTCCCTTGGGGTTAAGCAGCCTCCTTGGAGGTGGCTGCTCTTTTGGGTAAAAGCTTAAGCTTTCAGGTTCCCTCCTCCTCCACAGGTCCTTTTCTCTTCTCTGAGGTTCTTTCCTGTTCTTCCCTCCCCTTCCCGCCTGGAACAATTCAGTCCCAAAGCCATCAAGTCCTGCCAAGTGGGGTGGCCAGCGGGGTCTCCGAGCCCCTGCTCTGGGCGTTGGGCCCAATGGAGCAGGGAAGCCCCCAAGCACAGGGCCTGAGGGGGTGATGGAGGCAGCATCCATGGGGTGTCCCTGTGCTGAGGGGTGCAGCAGGGCCTGTGGACACAAAGAAGTGGGGACAAGAAGGAACCCGTGGGCTGGCACTCAGGGGTGTGGACTGGGGGTTTGCATCATAGAAAGTGAACCTGTGCGTTTGTGTGCATGTCTGCGTACACATGGCTGTGTGTGCGTGCACATGACTGTGCGTGCCCGCGCAGGTGTGCGTGTGCGTGCGTGTGTGTGCGTGCCCGCGCAGGAGTGCGTGTGCGTGCGTGTGTGTGCGTGCCTGCGCAGGTGTGCGTGTGTGTGCGTGCCCGCGCAGGTGTGCGTGTGCGTGCCCGCGCAGGTGTGCGTGTGCGTGCGTGTGTGTGCGTGCCTGCGCAGGTGTGCGTGTGCGTGCGTGTGTGCGTGCCTGCGCAGGTGCGTGTGTGCGTGCGTGCCTGCCTAGGTGCACGTATGTGCGCATGCGTGTGTGTGCACTCTCCGGCTCTGGCAGGGCCCGTGGGCAGCGGCTCCCCAGCAGGCAGGAGCGGACACAGTACCCAGGTGCGCGTCTGAAAAGAACCGGGGTTCCCTGGAGAAGCGGCGGATCCAGGCTGGGGCAGGATGGAGGCACTTCCCCCATGGAGGGCAGAGGGAGGAGGAGTCAGCTCCCCACGGAGACGCGCCACCAGCCTCACGGTGGACTCCACTGGTTCTGGGTCAGTGAAAATCCTGCCCCACCTGGCAGCGTGGGCTGAGCAGAGCCATCCATGAAAGGCATGAGCGTCGCATCCATGCCTCTCCTGCCAAAGATGCGTAACCCGGGTCTCTCTGTGATGAGACCTCAGACACGGCCACACGGGGGAACCTTCCCTGAAAGGCCTGGCCTGGAAGCTTCGAAGACGCCAGGACCATGGCAGTCAGGGAAAGGCCCGGGAATGTTCCAGACCGACGGAGACTGAAGACACAATGAGAGCTCGCTGCAATGTGTGGTCCCAGGCTGATCTCCTTCCTGCGAGGGACATCACTGGGCCACGGGGAAGCCCAGGCTGGGGTCTGACCCCGAGGCGTGCCCTGCCCCGGGACGGCTGTGCTGGGTTACGTGAGGCGAAAAACTTCCCGGTTTGTAAAATGCACTCGAGGATGTGGAGTGAGGAGCAAATTCAGCAGCGGACTTTCAGATGGCCCAGCGAAAACATTCTTTGTACTCTACCTGTGACTTTTCTGTAAATGTTTGATTAAACATTTACCCCAAAATGTAAAATACCTGTGCACCCGGCACGCAGGGTGGCAGGGGGGTGACGGGGGCAGCGGGGGCCGAGCAGGAGCCTCAAGGCTGCAGCAGCCGTGCAGTCCACCTCCCTGTCCCGCAGTCAGAACCTAACCCTGAGGCCACTGGGAGCATCGCACGGGCAGCCACGGTGGGGAGGACACCTGCGTGGCCCCGTCCCCCCTGCACCGAGACTATGGGGCCAGCAGCTGGCCTGGTGGTTCTAAGTCATCTGGGGCCTGTCCAGCAATGGCCTAGACCCCTGAGGTCATGGGGTGTGTGGGCCTGGGGGCGCCTCTGCAGATGCCAGGGTCTCAGCCACTCGGGATCCTCCTCCCTGGTGTCCCCTGGAGACAGCCTGTGCCTGACCAGTGCCCTCCATGGAGTGCCCCATACCCTGCTTCGGGATGGGTGATCGGGGGTAGGGGGCAGCCGCAGCCACACAGCACACACACGGGCCATCTGCCACCTGCAGCTGGGGATGGAGCCTTCGTGGCACATTAGATTCTTTCCTTTCTAGAGGCGCTTTGGCACTGGCACACAGTCGCAGCCTCTGAACAGACTCAGACTGGCCACCAGCTGCCCCAAGGGGACGTGTCCCCTGCCACTCTAAGTGGGAAACCACCTCCCCCAGCAAAGCTGTGTGGGGGCGGCATCCCAGGTCCTGGGGCCATGGGGCCAAGAGTGCAGCTGGGTAGGGTGCTTTGAGTTCCCCATCTCCCAAGAGCTCCCCATCTCCCAAGAAGTTCCCCATCTCCCAAGAGTCCCCATGTCCCAAGAAGCTCCCTATCTCCCAAGAAGGACCCAGGAGTCCCTCTCCTAGGAGGAAGGGAGCACCCACACCAGTCCAGCCCTGGCCAGCGGGACGGTGGCCTTCAGGGCTAGTGGGAGCTGGGCCGGGGGTGGGCAGGGAGAGCTGGGCCCCACCCAGACTAGGAGGACAGCTCCTGCTCCCCAGGGCAGACCCCAGCAGGGGTGACCGGCAGGAGCCTCGGTACTCGGACCGGCTGGGGGCTGGAACACCCTGAGGGGCTGAGGATGCACCCAAACACCCTTCTTAGGTCGAGATGGGGGAAGGAGAAGGGGGTGCTTTTTTGTCTTTTCCTTTAAAATTTATCTCAGGGTGGGCGCGGTGGCTCACGCCTGTAATCCCAGCACTTTGGGAGGTCAAGGCGGGTGGATCACCTGAGGTCAGGAAATCAAGACCAGCCTGGGCAACATGGCAAAACCCCATCCCTACTAAAAATACAAAAATTAGCCAGGTGTGGTGGCGGGCGCCTGTAATCCCAGCTACTCAGGAGGCTGAGGCAGAAGAATCGCTTGAACCAGGGAGTCGGAGGTTGCAGTGAGCCGAGAATGCGCCACGGCACTCCATCCTGGGCGACAGAGCGAGACTTTGTCTCAAAAAATAAAATATACATAAAAACAAAATAAAATGTATCTCGAGGCCAGGTGAGGTCCCTGTAATCCTCAAACTCCTGGGCTCAAGTGATCCTCCTGCCTCAGCCTCCCAGCACTTGGGAACCTTCCGGGGCCTTTCCCTGACTGCGGGCACCCTGGCGTCTGTGAAGCTTTCAGGCCAGGCCTTTCAGGGAAGGTTCCCTGGTGGCTTTGTCTGAGGAAGGTTCCCTGGTGGCTTTGTCTGAGGAAGGTTCCTGGTGGCTTTGTGTGAGGAAGGTTCCCTGGTGGCTTTGTCTGAGGAAGGTTCCTGGTGGCTTTGTCTGAGGAAGGTTCCCTGGTGGCTTTGTCTGAGGAAGGTTCCTGGTGGCTTTGTCTGAGGAAGGTTCCTGGTGGCTTTGTCTGAGGAAGGTTCCTGGTGGCTTTGTCTGAGGTCTCATCACAGATGCAGGCTGCATCTTTGGCAGACGTGGAAAAGGGGAGACAAGATAGAACCCATGGGCCTGGGGCGTGTGAGCTCGGGGTGTGCGTCATAGAGATAAGAGCAAACATCTGTGTGTGTGTGTGTGTGTGTGTGTGGCCGCATACATGTGGCTGTGTGTGTGCTCTTGCTTTCCCCTGGCAGGGCCTGTGAACAGTGACTCTGCTGGCGTGAGCTTGGCTGGCATGGGCACCCAGGCACCTGGGGTCAGAGCTGCTCACCGCAGCCTGGCCCTAGGCCCTCAGGGCACAGTTTCTGTTCCTCGAGGAGACCCTGGGACACAGAGCCCCTATGTTGCCGGCTAGGGTGCCTTCGTCTCCGTCTCTGGTCAGTAGCAATGCTGCCGGCAGCCTGTGTCCACTGGCGAGGGGCAGGTGCTGGGACTGGCCCTCTGAGCGGCCTGAGGGTCCGGCTGGCAGGGCAGGGGGTCCCCCGGTGCAGAGCCTGGCCCTTGTTGTTCAGAGCCACGTAGGGTGAGCCCGAGGCTCTCCAAGGAGGACGGAGGCAAGACAAGTGCCCCGAATTGTCCTGTGTCCCCCAACAAGGCCGGCCCATGCCTGGCCGCCAACAGGGAGCAGTGGGGGAGTGCGTGGCTGCTGCCCCAGCGGGTGGTAGGTGGCAGGTGTCCAGGCCTGGCCCTGGCCTGGTGGAAGGAATGGCTTGGAGGTGCCGGGGCACAGACAGACCCTGAGTGTGGCAGCCTGGGGACCGCCCATGCCTGTGCGAGGGTGCGGGCACATGTGGCCATCCATGAGCGCAGGTGAGCACACGTGGACCCTCGCGGGGGCTGACGTTGTCTTCGGGGCACATGTGGCCATCCATGAGCGTAGAGCGTGAGCACGCGTGGACCCTCCTGGAGGCTGACACTGTCTTCGGGGCACATATGGTCATCTATGAGTGCTGTGAGCACGCGTGGACCCTCCCGGAGGCTGACGCCGTTTTCAGGGTGTGTGTGGCCATCCATGAGCGCAGAGTGTGAGCATGCGTGGACCCTCGCGGGGGCTGACGCTGTCTTTGATGCTCTCGCTTTGTGCCAACAGAGAGACGGTCATGCTCCCTCTGGCAGAATTCTGCATTCGGGGACTTGGCATTTGCTGCTGGAAGGTGGAGGTGGCCCCCAAGGTCCTCCATGGCCAGCTTCAGCCCTGCCCCCAGGCTCTGCAGGCAGCTGTTGTGGCTCGTAGAGCCTGTGAGTTGGCACAGCGCTCCCCCTTTCCCTTCCCACTGGGGCGGCCGGGCCCCATCTGTGCAGCGCAGGGACGAGGCCCCCAGGGAAGGAGGCCGGAGCAGGCCAGGGTCCTCACGCTTGCCCTGAGAGGCCAGCAGGGACCAGTGTGTCCTTTGCACAGCCCGGCCCACACGGGACCCCCCTCCAGAGGAACTGCCGTCTGTGCGGTCCCCGCTCCTGGCCTCCTCAGCAGCATCGGCCTTGGGGCTCCTGCACCCCACACCCCGTCCCCCAGGCCTTTCCCAGACCCCACACATGCTCCTGGTCGCTGGGCCTTCCTGCCACCCCAATAGTGAGAATGTGGCCCTGTGGGGGACGCTCGGAGCCAGCTCGCCGCACCACCTTGTCGAGTGTGCTCACCGGAGCTTCTGGGGAGCAGCTGCCTGGCTTCAGAACCATGTCTCAACCTGCCCTGCAGATCCCTCCCAGGCCCGCCAGCCCCTTGTGCCTGGCCACGCCCAGCCCTCAGGTGATGCCGCTCTCGCAAGAAGGGCCCCTAAGGCCGCCTGAGGGCAGTGCCCCTGGACATCCTCCTCAGCCGTGGCTGTGGGGACTCACATTCTCTGCTTTGTAGGGCATTTGTGGCCTGATTCTGGTGGGTCTGGACCAGGCCCTCCCACACTCCTTTCTCTCCTGCTCCAGATGGGAAAGAAGGCCGATGGCCGGGAAGGAGGTCCCAGGGAAGTTGTCCCACCCCCACCCCACCCTGCCCCTGGCCCCAGCCCCAGGCCCAGTCCCGCCTCAGTCACCCCCACAGCTGGCAGCAGGGGAGGCCTACGGGAATCCCGCCCAGCAGACATGGGACCACGGTTTCCTCCATTCTCTTCCGGAAGAATGGGGCCGTGGATTGTTCATCGTTTTGCTAAAAGAAGTCCAAACCCCAAGCCAGAGGCGGGTGCCATGGTGTTTAGAAGCCTGGGGAGGCAGCCAGTCCCCGGGAAAGCTGGCCTCTGCGGCTGTGCGTCCTCCTGCCACCCTGTGAAGCTGCTTCCAAGGCTCCGCGAGGCCTCTGTCTATCTGAGAGCCCAGGACAGCTGTGGCAGGGTGGCTCCTGGCCTGTCCTCCCCAGGAAAGCTTCAGAACAGCTCGTGGGAATGCAGTGGAGGTGAGGAGAACCCTGAGGACAGCAGCCGCAGGGAGCCCCGGACCTTGGCCAGGCCCCCAGGCCCGAGTCTCAGTCCTCGAGGGGCCACTGCTGCTCAGCACAGCACCCCCAGAGGATCAGGAGCAAGATGAGGGGCCTGCCCCACACCCGCCTGGCTGGAACGGCACCCGCCTGGCCCCGGCAGGGCTGGTGCCCCGCAGCGTCATCCCCAGGGCCCGGCGGCTCTGTCACAGGGCCCAGCGGCTCTGGCAGCTACACAGACAGCTTTGTGGGGGGCTCCTGGAGGCGAGGAGCGGGCGGGCACGGAGAGAGCCCAGAGCAGTCCTGTCTTGGCAGCTTTACCAGCAGAGGTGCCCGCAGGTCCCAGAGGCAGGTCTGAAGGCAGCAGTGGAGAAACGTCAGCATCATGCTTGCCAAATACGCAGGAGCAGCCACGACGGCCCAGGCCCCAGGAGCTCTGGAGTGTCTTTTATTTTCTGAACGTTCAGGAAGGATGGAGGCTACTGGAGATGGAGGCTTAGGGTCAAGCGCATTTTCTATGCCTCAGGAAAGGCAGGGGAGCTGGCGCGGGGCCACGCCCGTGATCCCAGCACTTTGGGAGGCTGAGGCGGGAGGATTGCTTGAACTCAGGAGTTCAAGGCCAGCCTGGGCCACAAAGGGAGGCCCCATCTCTATGATTAAAATAAAATAAAATAAAATAAAATAAAATAAAATAAAATAAAATAAATAAAATAAAATAAAATAAAATAAAATATAAAATAAAATAAAATATTTAAAAAGGCAAAGGAAAGGCCAGCCCAGGTCCCTTCTCGGTGACAGTGCTAGGGCCCATGCTGGCTCTGCTGAGGGAGGCCAGGCACAGTGCTGGCCCAGCCTACACCTCCTCGTGGATCTTGGGTGGCTTGGGTCAGCAGAGCCATGTCTGCGGTGTGGGAGGTGAGAAGGGTGAGGGAGGTGAGGACGAAGCCCGGGGCTGGGGACAGCAGGGGAGTCCGAGAGGCCCCCCATGTGTCTTGTGTGCCCCCGCGTGTTCCCGCTGACTTCTCCAGGCCCCACCCTGCGTCTCTAATGAGCCGCGCTTCTCGGCTGACTGATGGACTCTTAAAGACTAATGCCCTGTGTCTGGTCACCTCCAAACGAGACTGTTCTCGTCCCCTTAGGGCCAATAACGTTTTATGTTTTTAATCCACTTAAACGAAGTCAACGTTTCTGCTTCGGCCTGCCCTCCCCCTGGCCAGGTCCTGCGCCTGCCGCGGCTATTCTTGGGGCTGGCCTGGCCCGAGCAGCCTTGTTGATTCGGGCAGCATCCCTGCCTGCTGCCTGGTGCCCTACACAGGTGACTAGGGAGTCTAATTGAGTCCGCCGTAAAAAGATAATGAATTGGAATTTCCCTCCAGAGCGGTCAAGCTGCCCGATCCCGTCCCGGGCTGGCTCAGCCTCTCGGTTCCCGAGGCCCCCGAGGTCGTACGGTGACCTTTATCTTGCTTATAAAGCTGTAACTGATGTCATTAAAACTGGCATAAAGGCTTGGAAGGCACTCCTGAGAGCTGGGGAGGGGCATGCCTGCCAGGAGGTGACAAGCATGGCCTTGGCTCGGGAAGTGCCCCAGACACTGCCGGGGACCCTCACTCTCCATCACGAATGGTTCCTCTGGGGCCCGTGGAGCCCAGAGTTTGATGAGCTGACACATCCATCACAGAATGTGTCTCCCTGAGCCTTGGAGTGAGGCCCACTCGGGCTGGCGGGCACCACTCAGACGGGGAAGAGAGGATCTCCACTGACGGTGGGCGCTGCGCTGTCCGAAGGTGTCTCTGCACCTCGGCTTTTCTGAGTTTAATGCCTTTGGGGGGCACTTGCCATCAGACTTTTAGCCTTTTCTTTTTCTTTTTTTTTTTTTTTTTTCTTGAGACGGAGTCTCGCTCTGTGGCCAGGCTGGAGTGCAATGGAGCGATCTTGGCTCACAGTAACCTCTGCCTCCCGTGTTCAAGCGATTCTCGTGCCTCAGCCTCCCGAGTAGCTGGGATTACAGGCACCTGCCACCACACCTGGCTAATTTTTGTATTTTTAGTAGAGACGGGGTTTCACTATGTTGGCCAGGATGATCTCAATCTCCTGACCTCCTGATCCGCCTGCTTTGGCCTCCCGAAGTGCTGGGACAGGCATGAGCCACCACGCCCGGCCCCTTTTAGCCTTTTCTTTTCAGTGGTTTGGCCTAATGGGAGCAAGTTTGCAGACGGGGGCATGAGCAGGGTGATGCCCAGGAAGGGGGTGATGTTGGGGGGCAGGTACACTGTGACCAGCAAGTTGGCTCGGCCAGGCACCTGGCCATCGCACGGTCAGCAGCATGCCCAGGACCAGTTGGGGACCGCTGGGGACAAGACAGGGAAGTGTGCTCTGCTGGGGACAGATCCACAAAGGGGAAGCTGGGCAGCAGGCAACAGGTGGGACACAGCAGGGCTGGGAGAGGCTCCGTCGGGAGGAGCCACCAGACCGAGGTGGTGTGGGGACCGGGACAGAAGGGCAAGGCCAGCCTGCACCAGACGAGTAGCAGTGCCAGGGCCAGAGGGGCCGGGTGGAGACGTGCAAGGAGGAGAGGACCGTAGGACAGCCCGCGTCGTGGTCTCGTGGCTGGTATCACGGTCTGCACTATGGGCCCCATGTTTTGGCTTGTGTGGCAGCCCTTGCCATGGCCTATGTGGCCGTCTGTGTGGCGGCCACAGGTCGTGGCCTTTGTATGGTAGCCTGTGTGGCAGCCTCACATCATGGCCTGTGTGGCAGCCTGTATGGCGGCCCTCATCGTGCCCTGCGTGGTGGCCTGTGTGGCGGCCCTCGCCGTGGCCTGTGTGGCAGTCTGGTGTCCTGTGTGGTGGCCCGTCGTGGCCTGTGTGGTGGCCTATGCTCACAATGCAGGAAAAGCCTCTGGCCACGTGGAGCCGGTGAGTGACAAGGTCCACCTGCTGCCTTGAGTCCTCCATGTGCTGGACACAAGCAGTGGGCGACAGGACCAGGGGTGCTGGAGGCCTAGGGACCCACTGCAGTCCTCCGAGCCACAGATGATGGCCCAGACCCCAGGACTGCAGCCAAGGAGGTGCCCACAAGGAGGATCCGAGAAGTTTGGGGAGACTTGTGTGGGTGGAGGGGTGTCATGGAGCGAGGGGAGGAGTCAGTGGCCAGGGGCAGGGCAGGCCCCTCAGCAAGGGGAGGCTGAGCTGGAGGAGGGACTCAGGTCTGCTCTGGTGTCTGCAGGGAGTGGGATGCGCAGGACACAGCATGAGGGGGCTGCTGGCCGCCAGGGCTGGGTGTGTGGCCCCTGAGGAGGCAGGTGAGAGGTCATCTGGCTGAACGTGGTGCTTGTGTCCATGGGAAGCGAGGTGACCACCCAAAGAGGGGTGTGAACAGAGGAGGGGCAAGCCTACCCCAGGGACAGCAGCCTCCGAGGTCTCCCGGAGGGCCCAGGGGCAGGAGGAAACAGGGCCTGTGGGGACAGTGGCCATCTGTAGCCGATGACACCGGGGGACAAGTGGGGGCTCAGGCCAGGGCCACCCTGATGTCAGCGGCAGAGCCCAGGCGCAGCCTTGGAAAACCTGCGTCTTCAGCAAACACGGAGAAGCCGCGCGGCGGAGGCGCCTGTGTCTGCACAGAGGGTGCCCTGAGCAGGAGCGGCCGAGGGATTCCAAGCCGTGCTCCACGGGGAGCAGCCCCGCAGGACACTTTGGCTGGGCCTTCCCGTGCCCTCGTTTTCTTTAGGGGATGCGCAAGCTTGTGTGGTGTTTCTGGCCCAGCATCAGGCCGGGGCCAGGCTGGGCTGAGCTCCGGGCCCTCGGCAAGGGAGGGACTGACCTGGCTTCCGTGTGAGGGTCCCGTGTAAACAATGGACTGAAGGGCGAGGGGGACCCAGGAGTTAGGCTGCAGCTGAGGGCAGTGCCAGCGACTCGGTGGGAGACACTGGGGCCTGGCGGGGGTGTGGCAGGGCAGTGGGGAGCCTTGGGGGTCCAGGTACAGATATGTTTTGAAGGCAGCTTTGATGTCAGCCTTGTTGCTGCAGCTGCAGAAATTGTGGGTGCACAGGATATGGTGCAGGGGCAACGAGGCTGACCCCCAACTTTCAGCTTGAGCACCTGGCGGGTGCGGTGCCGGCCTCGGGAAAGGCGGTCACAGCCAGGACCCAGGGGCCGCTGCGGTCAGCCTGCAGCCCCGACTCAGGGAGTGCATGGCAGAGGTGGACCGCTGTCTCTCATGGTCAGGCAGTCCCCACCGTGTGGCAGCAGAAACGCCCCCTCCGTGGACCCGTGCCATGCGGCGGTAAGAGCCTGAGGGAGGGGGAGGTGACATCCAGAAGAAAGACACACGGTGTGGGCTCCTGGTCCAGATGCGCTGGGATCTAGAAGGCTCCTCTGAGGCCAAGGCTGGGGACGACCCTCCCCTTCCGCTTTTCACCATTTCTCGTTTCTCTCGCTTGCAACAAAAAGCGTCTTGGCCAACCCGGAGGGCCTCCTCTTCACTCTTGGACAGGGACCGCACAGAGGAGAGCTTCTGCCTGCACCTCCAGGGGACCCCACGTGTCAAACCCACACAGGCTCAAGGAACCCGGCTTTATAGGCCCTGGTGTCCTCTGTCCTCTTCCTGCTGAACTGAAAGCCGTTAATTTCTGTTTGTGCTGCGCAGGGAGGGCTCCCTTTACCTGGCTGAGCCTCGGCTGCTGATCAGCCAGGGACAGTCACGACAGCCTTTACTCTGAGGAGAGCAGGGATGTCGTGAGAACCTGCCTGAAGGTGCCTGGCACCAGCCATTGTGATCACCAGGCAAAGGAGGCTCTTCAAACAGCTTGGTCAGAACCCCCAAGCCTCAGCGATGCAGACACCCTCCAGGCTCCATGTGGATATATGTTTATTTGCACGCCAGGAATGCCTGCTGGGCTTCTAAAAATACCTTTTCTAAACTCCCACCTTGCCCCTGCAAATGGCACGTGGCAGGTGGAGGTCTGAAGCCCCCGCCACCGTGTGAACCATGTGTACTTGGGGCTCGGGATCTGGGCCCACTCTGGAGCGGTCACCTTGCCGAGGGTGAGGGTGTCCGCATGATTAGGATACAGAGCTGGTGTCTTTATTGTCCAGGGGGTGTCGATAAAAGACGCAGTCCAAGTTAGCTCCAGTGCAGTCCACGTGGAAACCATCGGTGCGTTAAGAAATGGAAATTATGCCGTCAGCAGTGCAGCTCCCAGCCATTGCCCCGGACGTAAATAGTGCCGGGCCAGCAAAAGCTGCTGGGAGAAGGATGTCAGTTAAAGAGTGTCCTTGCAGAAGGGAAGACTTTCTCTCTATAATGCACCATAATGATTAAATTAAGACACCTCTGAGAGAGATAATTCTCCCACCTGTAATTTGGAAATATTTCTGAGGCTGGCTCTCCCTAGCGTCTCTGTCGCTCCCTACAGAAGCTGGGCTCCGGGAAAGGGACATTAATGCCTCCAGCCCCAAGGTCCTATCCAGCGCCCCTCCACTCACTCAGAGCCCCACAGAGGGGGCTGCCCCGGGGCCCCATGTGAGGGTCCCGCCTCCTGGGCTCTGGCCTCAAATGAAGCTGAGCCCAAACAGACCCAGCCTCCTGTGCACCCCTCAGCAGCCCCTGACTCCTCCTTCCCTCCTGGGCACTGTCTTGGCTCCACCCTTCTATCCATCCTGGAGCTGGGTCTCTTCTGTTTTTTTGATGGTGTCACTGCCTGGTGGGGACACTCATCTGTGGCCCTAAAGCCACCGCCCCAGCCCCTGCCTCCCTCTCAGAACTCCCCTGTCCAGCCAGCTCTGGTGCCGACCTCCAGCCCTCACCACATCCCGTGGCCTCCTGCTAGCACCTCCTCCCAGTGGTGTGTGCAAGTGGGGGGCCCTCGGGGCAGCGGTGTCAGGACAGCTCCGAGCTGCTCGTAGGAACGTGGGCTCTGATGTGTGTGTGTGGAGGGGCTGCACTGAAGTTATCTCCTTCAGGCTCAGCCACTGACCATCCTTGTAAAAGAGACAGCAGGGTGGGCCCTGGGGGCTGCAGCTCCATCTGTGCGTGGGGGAAGCCAGAGGGGAGCCCCCATACCTCGCACCCTGGGACCCCGGGAGAGGGGCTGGAAAAAGCTAGGTTGGGCAAGGGCCTGCAGGGGTCCCACTGAGGGATGCACAGGCTGAGCCCGCCCACACCCGCCTCTGATGCCCGAGGACCTGGGGTCTGCCGCCACGTGGAGGGACTCGCAGCCACCCTCGGTGTCTCCCTCCACGCCTGTGGAGAACGGGTCCTGACGCCAGGTCCATCTTGATGGGCCGCTGGGGCAGAACCATCTTCCTCCTCATGCTGCGCTCCGAGGAGGGCACACAGCTGTACTGTTGAGCGCCAGCCTCTCCGGCCAGGGCCCCGGTCCCGGCCCTACCCTGGAAGCGAGTGCCTCGGCTGACGGGGGCTGCTGATGGGAGACCCTTCCCACTGCAAAGCGCTGGGCTCCCTGGCGCTGGGGTGGACTCAGAAGGGGGCGGGGGCGTCAGAGGCCGTGGACACGGAGGACCCCCACCTCCCCTGTCGGCGGCCGGAGGGAGCACCCAGGATGGACAGTCCCTGCCCCCTGACCTGCCCCCACCAAGATGGCATCGCGACTGGCGTCTGTGCCCGCTGCCCTGGCCAGAGCCACACTTCAGCACAGCCCTGTGGGGCTCCCTCCGTCTCCGCCCTGAGCCCCTCATAGGGTCTTTCTTCATTCTGTCTCCTCAGCCAGGGGACATGCGCCCCATTGTCCCGGGGCCTGTCAGCGAGTGGAGCAGGGCTGTGCCGAGTTCACAGATGTCCTCCTGGGGCCGCCCCCGCCTGGGTACCACCCCTTCCTGTTCCTGGACAGCCTCCACAAGGTGGGTGCCCACGGGGGGCGGGGAGGCCACCCCACATCACTCAGACTATCCCTGCCCACCCACCACCTCAACACCCAGGCCATGTGTGCCCCAGGGGGGTTGGAGCAGAGCTCCTAGGCCCACCTTCTGAGCCTTTCCTTCTCCCCTCCTCCTGCCCAATCTTTCTAGAAGGCAGGCGGCAGATCCAGAGGCGGCCTGCACCCCAGGGGGACACCACCCACGGCACAGGAGCCTCCTGGAGGCAGCAGGTAGGATGAGCCCACCCCACCTGCAGGTGTTCGGAGGGTCAGCTGTGGCCTCCTCATCAGCTGGGCCAGGAGGACGGGGAAGGCCCAGGGGAGCCAAGGGCCTGGTCTGGGAAGACAGTGAGCCTACACGGGCCTCGCTCCAGAGAGCCCCCCCGCCAGCCAGGGTCTCGCGGGGCTAACAGCTGCCCTGCGACTTGCCTGGGCTGGCATGAAGTGGGTGGAGCTGGAGCCGGTCCATCTGCTTCGATCACCACAACTCCCAGACCCGCCGGGCGGACCAGGCTGTGGGCATGCAGAAGCAGAGAGGCAGGAGGGGTGCGGGGCCTCTCAGAGGAAGACGGCTGGTGGCCAGGGTTCAGGGCAGTGGCTTGAGGGGACTCTGTGAGCTGGAGGACAGGAGTGGGACCAGGTGCACACCGCGGCACGTGCAGGCGGGGACACCGTGGGGGGTTTGTGGCCGTCACATCTCACCATCCTGGGCCTGGCAGTGCTACGGGCACAGCACATGCAGGGCCGTAACCGGCCGGTTCTACCAGGAGGAAGCTGGGGCTCGGGGCTCGGAGTCCAGCAACAGCTGCCACCTCAAATCGGGACTCTGTCTACAAATTGGGGGCAGCTGCGCGCTGGGCTGGGCTGGGCTATGGAGGCGAGGAGGCCCCCGCTGATGTGCCCTGGGGACCCGTCCCACCAGCCCTCGCCTGGCCCCGCACACTGTGGAGGAGCTGCTGGGTTGCTCGCAGAGTGACCAGCACCCGCCCCGCTCCCACCCGCCTGCCAGGCACTCGCTCTTGTTTCCTTGGGTGGAAGCTGTGACGTTTGGGATTCCTGATTGGAGCAAAAGATTTTGGTGACGCGGTGCACAGACCCTGCAGGAAAAATCACCTGCTCTTGAGAGACATGAGCCCTCCTGGGACAGGGGTGGCACCGGGGGCCTTGGGCAAGGCAGGTGGGTGGAGAACCAGACCCCTGTCGCCGCCCTAGAAGGGCTTCAGGGGCAGAGGAGGGCTCCAGGCATCCCCAGCGCCTGCCTGGGACCAACACGGGGTCTTGGGCCCTCGAGACCTCCTCTGCCTCTGCCCATCCGGCAAACAGAAGCGGACGTGAGTGTGAGTGTGAGTGTGCCGGGGCCGCCTCCTGCTTCCGCCGGGGGTGGGGCGGGTATGGAAATAGCCAAGGCAGTGAACACAGGCCCACCGGTGGAGCTCCAGGGAAGAGGTCCGGCAAGGTGGGAGGAGGGCCTGCTGCAGCCCCCTGCAGTGAGGCCCCTCGTGGGGAACGCTCGGGGGCTGCCAAGGTGCTGGCACTGGCAGGCCTTCGATGCCACTCACGCATGGGGGAGGCGCCGCCCTCTGTCCGGCTCTGAGTCATGGTTTGTGAATTAAATATGAAACTCACTTTGTACGATAACTTCAGAAGCAGAGACTAAAAAACAGCCAAGATCCTGCAGGTGCTGGGGCCCTGTTTGCCCAGTGACTCGGCCTCAGGAGCGTCTGCGAGAGCCAAAAGCCGAGACATTCTGTCACTCCCACAGACTCACACAGACCCGAACGCCCAGGGCGGCACCTCCACTTCGCTCCAGAACCGTGGCAACCTCCGCGCTGAGGGTGATGTTGGAACGTCTTATTTCAGCAGAAAGAAGGCTTTCGTTCTTTTCCACCTGAGAGAACGGAGGGGTCGGCGTCTGCTCCCAGCCTGGGCCTCCCAGCCAAAGGGCTCGCACTGTCCTCGAGTTAAGTGTCGTTGGACTAGGATTGTTTCAATCCCAGGACGACCTGGCCGCGGAGTCGGAGTGTTCAGTGTTCAAATGATGTCGTCTCTTCGGGGCACACATCTGTGACCAGCGGCCACTTCCCCTGCCTCCTGCCGGCTCCACGGCCACACAGCCAGGGCCCTCTCGTCGTGTTGGGACAGGCAGCCCAAAACCAGGCCTGCTCCCCCAAGGGAGCCCCGCCTCTCCATGCAGCTGGCCTTACTACGTCTTCTGGGTGCGGAAACCCTGGGGAGTCTTTCCCATCGGGAACTCTCCGTAAGCTCTGCCCGCTCCTGGGTTGAGAACCCAGCATGGAGGTGAAGGGCTGCACACTTGCAGGCCTCTCCGCCATGGATCATGGGGCGGCAGCGACTTAGAGACAAACCTGGGCCTGTGCCTCTCGTCCTCCATGGAGCCTGACCCCCACCACCAGTTCCTTGTAGCCACGTGATCCCTTACCGTTCTTACACCTGCTGCCCCCCCACCACCCAGAGGCCCTCAACTGTGGCTGACCGGGGCGTCGACCTCACGACCTCTTCCAGGACCTCCCCAGCTCTGTCCCCGCCAAAACCCCCCACAACCCATCTGGGTGTTTGTGTGATGGCCCCCTCTTAGGAAAGAGTGGGGGACCCTGCCTGAGGCTCCCCCAGCTGTGACCCCCATGCCTTCTGTCTGCTCTGCGGTGAGGAAGAAGCTCTGGGGTCTCCCATGCACCCCTCCCTCTGGTCTGGGTCCCAGCTCCCCCAACCAGCGTCCAGACCTGGCTCTGGGCCCAAAGAGCCCACTTTTCGGAATTCTAAGAAAGCTGTTCTTTCCAGCAGCCAACCTGGCTCTGGCAAATCCAAAGGCCTCCAACACTCAGTCGGCTGTGTCTGGTTTGCATTCAAGGAACCCTCGCTGTGTCGTGGCCGAGTGGTTCCAGGCAGGGTCCTCAGCCCGTGCCAGGCACAGGAGAGGGCTCACTGTCGGCAGGCAGGGCCAAAGGAGTGGAAGCTCCTGGCACCGTTGGGGCTGCCGCTTCCGACAGACATGCTTGTGAATGGGGTGGAGAAGGGCAGGGGCAAGGGCCGGCTCTCAGCGCACCCTCAGGCTCCAGCCTCAGCAGCAGCACCTTGAGCCAGGATCCTGCCGCTAGCACCCTGGAGTCCCAGGAGACCCCTGAGGTCCGAGACCTCCCTCGGGTCCCCCTACAGTGTGGCCCTGTGACTGACAACTTTGTTCTGCAGGAGCCATGGCCCCTACCCTGGCACGGTCCTGTATTGTTCCAGCGTCTCCAGGCCCGAGGCCACTCACTGCACTCAGCTGTCACTCACTCACCAGCTGTCCCCAGTTGCCATCGCTGGGGACCCCCTTTCCATAATGGGGAGGAGGCTTCGGGAGCTGGGCCCGGGGCTGACCCGGCTGCTGGGTCCCAGCTGGCATCCCCACTGCTGGGCACAGAGGATGTGGGGCCTGTCCCCGGCCTGTTGCAGCGGGGCCAGCCCAGGCCCTGCTAGACGTGCCCACTGGCTGGCATAATTACGCACCAGGAGCATCTCCAGGCGGGAGCCCGATGCTCACTGCACTTCCTGCCTGGAACATTCTGGCCACCCCCAGTCACGCCCCCCAACACCTGGTCGCCTTTTTATCCTTCCTAAGGACCCCAACGATGCCAGCTTCCTGGGTTCCGTGTTTTTATAGTCCCACTCTCCAGTTCCAGAGCAAGCCCCTTGGGGGACCCGTGGGGGTTGGCCAGAGGTCAGTTGGGTGAAGGCTCGGAGGCATCCTCGTAGGCAGCCTGGTGGGCTGCACCCCATGGAGGTCACGGAGCCCCAGCCCGAGCCCCAGTCCCCGACAGAGCTTGGCCCCTCGAGGCGCAGCCTGGGGGCCCCTCTGAGACCCTGGGGTCCTGGCTCCGGCTTCTCCCCTCGTCTCCGCACAAGCCCCAAAGCCTCACTCACTCATGGAGGTTTTCACCCCTCCCAGGATCCCAACAGGAGCTAACAAAGGGTTCTCCTGGCTGCTCCAAATCTCGAGGCACAGACGAGATTCTGCAGTGTGGACAACAGGAGACCAAGTGAGACGGGAGTGTGACCCCTTCCATGTCCAGACGCCACGTCGCGCCCTCCTGGCCCCCAACCTGGGCCTGTGCCGGAGGTCTGCCGTGCCCCTCACAGCACTGCCCATTCCCCCATCATAGAAGCCCAGGTCCTAGCGGCCTGCGTGGGGTCGATGTCAAGACAGAACTGCCGAGGGGGACAATGGGAGAAGCAGTGAGTCCGGGGCCAGGGGTCGCCCATCCCACTGGAAGAACCTGAGTGTGGACCAAGGACAGGGAGCATTCCTTCCGATGCTGGAGTCCGTGAGCAACAGTCAGGGTGGCCGGGCTATGCTCACCAGGGTGTGCTGAGACCGGGGCTCTAGGGGAGCCCCCTGTCCCTCAGAACAGCCACATCTGTGTCCCCTTCGTGCAGCTGCACAACAGGAGCTCCTCTCAGCATCCACTGGGGGACGCCGGTGCCCTCAGGAGGACAGGCAGCCCCGCTGGGCACCTGGTGAGCGTGGGGTCACCTGGTGCACCCCCCACCGGTTGGCTCCCTCAAAGCCCACATCAGAGCCTGTCACTGTCATCCAGGAGGCTCCAAACAATAGAAATGACTGAAAAAAAAATCGACAAAGATGAAAAGTGACACACCAGCCTGTAATTTCGGGAGAGGCGCAGCGGCGGGAGAGGCGCAGCGGCGGGAGAGGCGCAGGGGCGGGAGAGGCGCACGAGGGAGAGGCGCAGGGGCGGGAGAGGCGCACGAGGGAGAGGCGCAGGGGCGGGAGAGGCGCACGAGGGAGAGGCGCAGGGGCGGGAGAGGCGCACGAGGGAGAGGCGCAGGGGCGGGAGAGCCGCACGAGGGAGAGGCGCAGCGGCGGGAGAGGCGCAGCCGCGGGAGAGGAGCGGCAGTGGTTACATAAGAAGGACGGCGCATGCGGGAGAAACGCGCGCCTTTGTTACAACTCTCAGGCAGGATCCTGCAAAGTCGTCTTTGACTGTTCCCTAAAATAGGCAGAGGAAAGAGGAGCCAAGGTTCCTTCACAAGCTGTGCCCCAAGGGAAGCCCGGGTTTCATGGGCACAGAGGCCATGTCTGCCCTCCCAGAGCCCAGCCAAGGCCACCAGGTCCCCCTCAGGCACGCTCTGACCCTGCGAAGCCCTCCAGGGCTTGGTCACCCATGTGCAGGGTGGCCAGAAAGGAGGGTCCTGCTGCGAGGGCCCTACAGACACAGCCAGAGGCTGAGGCCCGGCATCCGCCTGCCAGGGCACCCCCAACTGCCCCAGCAGGTCCAAGGATGTCAGGGAGCCCCTGGGAGAAGCCCGCCCACCCCTGTGGCCACGTGGGGCCAAGTCCAGGCGTGGAGGGCCAAGGCTGCCCTGGCCCGTGCTGCCTCTGGCAGGATGACAGGGAGAGGTGCTGACCAGGAGAGGGGTCCCGAGTGGCTCTGGGGAGGCTGCACGAGGGGCTCCTGCGCCAGCCGCTGAATCTGGCTGCCAAGTCGCTGCCTCACCATGTGCCCCATGTCCACCTGGGGCTGAACCCCAGCTTGTGGGAGGGGAGACAGGGTGGACGGGATGGCCCTCCCTGTAGTGGGCGGTAGACACAGACCAGACATGAGGGCCCCGCACGTGCCCGCCGCCTGCTGCCCTGGGAGGGGCCGCGTTTCTGAGAGGGCCTCTGGCTGCGTTCCTGCAGAGACATTCCAGGCGTGTTACGGAATTCCACAAAAGGACAAAGCCCTGTCGGTTCTGAAAAGATGTGAGATTATGTCAGCTGCAGAAGAAGGACTCGGTTTAATCAACGTGGCCATGACTTTGCCCAGCCACACAGGAGAATTCCACAGGAACGGTGGGGGTGGCCCTGGCCCCAGAAATCCTCATTCCATGCTTCATGATAGGAAAACGTGGCCACCCGAGCCCCATCAGCCCGGGACGGGGTCCCTCAGCCCGACCACAGGCACGGGTGTGCGCGGCGACCTTGTGTGTCATTGCTCAGTGGTGGCTGTCGGCATCCAAGCTCCTCCTCCCTCCTCGGCTCCGAGAAAAATGGGCTTAATTAAGACTTCTGCGATTAGTCATTTAATCAGTCATTAGGCCAACACAGATGGAGTCAATTAATTTTTTTTACTTGAAAAGATCGTGGATGCTCCACAGCCCACCGAGCCCCTTCCTGGCTCTGTCGCCAGTGACCGCAGAGTGTCCCACACAGGCCTTCATCCCCTTTGAAAGGCCACCGGTGGGGACAAGCCAGCACCTGGGCTCCTCACCTGTCCCAGGCCCAGAGGACGAAGGACACCGACCCGTTCCTCCCTCGTCTGCCACAAAGAGGTGACAGGAGCCAGGAGAATGGCCTTGGAGCCAGCAGCCACCACTGGTGCCTGGAGACACATGGGGCGAGAGCCTGGCCACCCACTGGGCCTATCGGGGTTGGCTGGGTCTGAACAGGGACAGGACTCAGGGTGGCAATGTGTCCGTTCTCTGAGCGTGAGTCCTGGCCAGCACGCTGTGGCCAGTTAGGGGCAGGCCTGGCCAGCAAAGCAGCCTGTGACTCGCAGCCCAGGTGGGGAGGCCTGTGCCGCTGGCTTGCTCAGCCGAGGGGTGCAGATTAAGGAGGCACAGAGAAGCCCAGTAACTGCTCCCACCCTGGCCCCAAGATGGGCAAATAGGCAGTTCCCATGGGCACAGGCCAGGGTCCCCCCTCACCCGGAGCTCCCCCCTCACCCGGAGCTCCCTCTAGTCCTCTCCTGGGCACGCTGGTCTCCGCCATAAACACACAAACACAGTCAGCCCAGCAGCCCAGCCTGTCCCTTGGCCTGAGCCTGGCCTGCTCACGGCTGGTGCCATCTCTGAGCATTCTTGCTGGTGCCTCCTCCACGCTGTACCTGCACGGGGCCCAGCCCAGTGGGGCCTTGGGGAACACTATCTGAAATAGACCCTCGACAGACCCAAAGGGGCCCACGTGATGCGGTGGTGACTCCGGCCTGCTCGGCTCACCTGCCCACCCTCCCCAAGGGCTCTGCCTCCTCTCTGGGCCTTGCCACCTGCTGACCCCGTGGCCAGGAGGCCCCACTCAGCCCAGCCCCTCCATCCCCAGGCACCCAGGAGACCCACTGGGCAGTGGGTCTCAGGCTGCACCTGGCTGTGGTCTTCATGGGGCCTGGCCCCAGGGTGGGGGATTGGTGTCCCGCAGGCGGGGGGCTGGGCCCCCAGGGATGAGAACTCCCAGGACAATGGGATCGGCTGCAGGGAGGGCACTGGGAAGCTGGGGGCACCGGGTGCCCTGGCCCTACTGCTGGAAGCGCCTCCAGGTGGGAGTTCAGCCACGAGAGAAAGGGATTGACTGGGTTCTTCTTTAGAAACTTTTAAAGGTTGAAAAATGAACCCTGTCTTGTCCAAGCAGGGATACTAAACCAAAGCAGGTGTGAGGGCCGGGCGGGAACAGCTGGGCCTGCAGACGTGCCCAGCGCTCAGCGGGGATGTGGAATGATAACCCCACAGCAGACGGAGGGGCTGGGGCAGGGCGGCCGTTAACTCTTCGCACACCCACACCGGCAAGGGCCCACAGGTGAACAGGCTCCCCCAAACAGGGAACACCCCTCAGGCTTTTCAAGGCCTGAAGCTGACCGCCCACTGGGGACAGGGCACCTGGGTGTCCACGGTGGGCACCTCCCCAAGGCTTGGGCCCAAGAATCCAAGCTCTGACCTTCTTCGACCTGGGAAAGCAGTCACAAAACCACCGTCATCTCCCTGGGCTGCAGATGCCTGCGGGTGCAGAGGGGCCTCCCTGGGCGGGTTCCCTTGGCAATGTGGCCCCCAGTTCCTCGGCCCAGGCAGGAGGCAAGAGGCCTCCCTGGTGCCGGCACATTCTCCGGGTGTTCCATGGGGCAGGACACACAGGCTGTGCTCCCCGGGAGAGGAGCTGGGGCTGGCGTCTGCACCCATCTGTGTCTGTGCCTGGGGCTGTTACAGAAAGCACTGGCCCCTGGCTCTCATTTCTTGGGGTTACTAAGGAGGTGACAACAGTTTCCAAGCTGGCCCCAGATCTGCGGCCAAGGGCCCTGATTTTCAGACTTTCACAGGGGCTCCCGGGGCTGCAGAAAGCCGCAGGGCGTGCCTCCTGCACAGCAGGCAGGGGAGCCTGGGCCCTTCTCTGAAAGCCGCACCCGGCCACCTCCAGGTGACAGGTTCCTCCTGATTGTGTCTTCCTTGACTCTTGCCTCACTGGCTCCCGGCACATCCTGGTGGCCCTAGAGGCCACGTGGAACCCCAGAGCTGGGCAAAGCCTCCTGCCCCTTGTCACCAGGATCTGCCTGGACTCTCTGACTCCCAGGCATGGCCCTTACTGCACCAGTGGGCGCCCTTCTCCAGGAGCCCGGACACCAGGCCAGGCTGCAGGAAGGGGGTCCCCTGGGCCTCACAGCCCCGCTGCAAACCGCCCTCCCTGGCCTGGCAGCAAACTGGCCTCAGGCCCAGCTCTAACTTCATGCCCAGGTCAAGGCACACCAAAGCCGTGCATGAGGAACGTGTCCGCGTCATGGACTGGAAGACTGAGGACAGCAAAGGCCGAGCCTAGGCCCGAAGGGGTGGGTCCGGGTAGACAGGGTCAAGGGCCACAGGCTGCCAGAGGTCCCTTGCTCGGCCTGCACTCGGCCAAGGCCTCTCTGATGCCGCTCCCTGGAGCTCTGCTCGGTGGCTCGCTGCTGTCTGCACACAGAAGCCTGTGACGGGCTCCTCGGGAGGCCTCTTGGCTTCTCGGAGCATCTGGCCTGGGAAGATGCAGTAAGGGGGTTGCCAAGACCAGGAGCTCATGCGGGGACGCCGAGGCGCGATGCGGGGCCTTGGGAAAGCGGCCCTCACCCGTCAGGGCGGCCAATTCGGCCAATGGGCCATTCTGGTCACCGCCAGAGGCACAGGCAAGAGGAGGGAGCCGGGCGCAGCACCTTGTTAGCCTTGCAGAGGTGGTGCCGCCTGCCCGCCGCGCCTGCCCCTCCTCGTGGCCCTCCCCCTGTGCCGCCTCGTCCACCCCATCTCCTGTCTGTGCTTCTAAAAGCCGCACGGGCCACTCGCAGCCGTCCACAGCCTCTGGGCCTGGTGACAGCGATGGAGCCTCTGCAGCCTGGACACCGCCCACTGTGTTTCAGTGTTTCTGTGTGTTTCTGTGTTTCTCTGTGTCTGTGTGTCTGTGTCTCTGTGTTTGTTTCTGTGTTTCTGTTTCTGTGTGTTTCTGTGTTTCTGTGTTTGTGTTGCTGTGTTTCTGCGTCGCTGTGTTTCTGTGTCTCTGTGTCTCTGTGTTTGTTTCTGTGTTTCTGTGTGTTTCTGTATTTCTGTGTCTCTGTGTTTCTGTGTTTGTTTCTGTCTGTGTGTTTCTGTGTGTTTCTGTGTCTCTGTGTTTGTTTCTGTGTTTCTGTGTGTTTCTGTGTCTCTGTGTTTGTTTCTGTGTTTCTGTGTGTTTCTGTGTGTTTCTGTGTCTCTGTGTTTGTTTCTGTGTTTCTGTGTGTTTCTGTGTCTCTGTGTCTCTGTGTTTGTTTCTGTCTGTGTGTTTCTGTTTCTGTGTCTCTGTGTTTCTGTGTTTGTTTCTGTGTTTCTGTGTGTTTCTGTGTGTTTCTGTGTCTCTGTGTTTGTTTCTGTGTTTCTGTATTTCTGTGTCTCTGTGTTTCTGTCTTCGTTTCTGTCTTTCTGTGTGTTTCTGTGTGTTTCTGTGTCTCTGTGTGGGCGCCAGTGTGTCCACAGCGCGCGTCTGTGGGGACGACACAGGCCTCAGACGTCCAGCGCTGCAGAACAGCCACACACAGACCCTGGGTGAGGCCCGGGTCGCTGTGTCTTCACCCTGATCCCCAGACACCAACCCCGACGGGGAGGCCGAGACTGCCAGGCCGATGCCAGGCCAGGCCTCCGAAAGTCAGGAGGGAGCAGGATGTGTCTGCGCGGTGGTGGCAGCTGCTGCCTCAGGCAGAACTGGCAGGAGATGGCGCCGGGGTGGTGCGGACTTACTGGGGCCTCCAGAGGGCAGCCGGTGCCAGGGCCGTCATGGCCAGCGCGTGAGGGACAGGAGTGAGGGACCAGCACCCGCATGAAGGTGCAGTCCCAGGCACGCAGTGGGTGCCCAGACGCACCCCCAGTCCACCGCCCAGGGCTCCTGCACCACCTCCCCATGTGCGGTCCCTGTGGACACTGGCCTCGGGCCTGCTCGCCGTCTGTGGGGCACCGATGCCTGCAAATCTGCACCACCTCCTCCCTAGGCCGAGACTCCCGAGCTCCTTGCTGGCTCTGCCCGTTCTCTCAAAGCCCTGGGGGTTCTGTAAAAGCTCTCAGGATTCCTGTAATCCTGCCTCCTTTCTCTTAGGCTGGCAGCCTGGCAGACTAGTTCTTCTCGGTGCTGAATTATGTACCCCGCTTCCCCAACTCGCCCGCACTCCTGTGTCTTACGTGGGTCCTGGGGTCCGGCAAAGCCTGTTCTCCCCACTCGAAATGAAGTCATTTCAAAGTCTTGTCTTTCATTCTTTTTCACCCAGTTGCTGCCTGTAGGATTTAAGTTTGTCGACGGGTAGGAACCTGGAGAGTCAAGGAGCCCTTGGCTCTCTCCGAGCTCTGGGTGGGCTGTTGACCCCCTTGAGCCACAAGTGACAGGAACTGGCCAGCCACAGCGGGCAGGACGGCGGGAGGAGGCCGCGGGAGGGTGCCAGCCCAGCAGGCCTCCCCAGGCCCATTTGATGGGTAATTCCGGACACAGCCCAGCCCGGCACACCTGGGGCTTCACACAGAAAGAACATCTCAGCTGGGCACGGTGGCTCATGCCAGTAATCCCAACACTTTAGGAAGCCGAGGTGGGAAGATCATTTGAGCCCAGGAGTTTGAGACCAGCCTGGGCAACATAGTGAGACCCCATCCCCACACAAAAAAATTTAAAAAGTAGCTGAGCATGATGGCACGTGCCTGTAATCTTAGCTACTTGGGAGGTTGAGTCTGCAGTGAGCCATGATCAGGCCACAGCACTCCAGCCTGGGCAACAGAGTGAGACCCTGTCTCTATTGCTAAAAAAAAAAAAAAAAAAAAAATCAACAAAGGCCAGGTGCAGTGATCCCAGCACTTTGGGAGGCGGAGGTGGAAGGATTCTCCTGAGCCCAGGAGTTTGAGACCAACCTGGGCAACATAGTGAGACCTCCTCTCTAAAAATTTTTTTAATTATCTGGGCATGGTGGCACACTCCTGTGGTCCCATGGGCATGGTGGCACACTCCACACTCCTGTGGTCCCAGCTCCTTGGAAGGCTAAGGCGAGGGGATTGCTTGCTCGAGCCCAGGAGTTGGAGGCCGCAGTGAGCTGTGATTATGCCGCTGCACTCTAGCCTGGGTCACAGAGCCAGACTCTATCTAGAGAAAGAAAGGAGAGAAAAAGAGAGAGAGAGAGAGAGGAGAGAGAGAGAAAGAGAGGCAGAGAGAGAGAGGAGAGAGAGAGAGGAAGAAGGAACAAGAGAGAAAGAAAAGAAGAAAGAAAAAAAAGAAGGAAGTGAAGGAAGGGAAGGAAGGAAAGGAAGGAAGGGAGGGAAGGAAGGGAGGGAGGGAGGGAAGGAAGGAAGGGAAGGAAGGGAAGGAAAGGGGAGAGAAAGAAGAAAGTAAGATGTATTTCCGAAGTGCATCTCACTGCCCGGGGAGGAGGGTGGGTGTCCACACAGAGCCAGCCCCTCGTCCTTGCAGCAGGAGCATCGGAGGCACCTGCCGGGCCCAGCTTCCTCACGTGCAGGGACTGCCTCCTCCCCGCCAGGGCCATGGCCACGTCCTCAGGGCCCACCTGCTTCCCTGACCCAGATCCTGCCTGGCCATGGCCCTGCCCCAGCCCGTGGGTGCCCCGAGGCGCTGTCCAGGCAGGAGGAACAGGCCCATCACTTGTTGCAGTTCAGAAACCCTGGTGGGTGGTGGGCCCCCCCAGAGACTGCCTCAGGGCAGGAGCTGCACCCCTCAGGGAGCCAGGGCAGTGAGTGTCTCCACGGGGAGGCCCCGGCAGGACCCCTGGGCCCCTCCCATCCTCACTGCTACCTCTCCTTTCCCAGTCATGGCACTCCCAGGTGACACTGGGCCTCTGTTCCTCCAAGGGGGCACCATACCACCGCCGGGCCTCCTGGTCCCTCTTGCTGAGACTTCCGCCGCTCCTAAGTCGCTCCCTGCAGGCTCCAGCCTCGCCGTCTCTCAGGGGCTCAGGGTCTTTCCCGCCCTCCGGGATCTTCTCAGTTGCACCCTGGGAGGCCTCCGCCTTGTCAGAAGACTGTGGAAATGGGGTGGTCGGTCCCACTCCTGCTCCAAGGCCATAAGCACATCAAGAATTTAGACAAAGAGGATTTGCACAGGGCAGCCCACGGTTCCGAGGTGCAGAGAGCTGGGTGCAGGCTGCCAGAGGACTCTCCCCGTCCTGCCCATGGCCCCGAGGTGGGGTTCGCAGGCCTCTGCTGTGCTGGGGCCCTGAATCTGCCCTGGAGCCACTAGCCCTGGTTCAGGTCAGGGATGCCATGTCGTCGGGGCCCAGGCAGGGCATTCAGGGGCCTCACTGTGTCGTCTCCACAGGCCTGAGGGGAGAGCCACGGAGGAGCAGGCTGCGGCAGCACACCTAGGTAGGTGGACAGGGCCCAAGTCCATCGCCGGCTGTGCCACTGTCTGGAGAGGCGAGGCCGCAGCCCAGGGCTGGAGGTGGGGTTGGGGGAACTCGGCCCGGGGCCCCCAGAGGTAGGTGGCAGTGGGTGGGGGACTGGGGAGCAGCCAGGCCCTCCCAGGGACCTGAATGGGAAGGGGGCTGGTGGCTTGGGGGCTGGGGACGGTCCAGAAAGATTTGAAGCTGGGCCGACACAGCCCTTGATGTGGGGAATGTCCTAGAAAGGAGGAAGCCACGGGGGCAGGGAGCACGGGGACTCGGAGGCCTTGGGGTCCAAGGGGAGCCGAGGGGAGCTGTCAAGGCCCACAGTGGCTGAACCATGAGGAGCTGCTCCCCAGCAAGGCCGGCTGCAGGGCTTGGTGGGCCTGGGCTGGGCGGAAGGCTCCTCCCAGCGTGGGGGCTGCTGTGGGGACAGCAAGGAGGGGTGCAGCGAGGGCCTGGAGAAGGCTCAGGTGCAGACCCTCAGCCGTGGGGCCTCCTCCAGTCGCCCCACAGCCTGGGCCTGGCACCCCCCCACCAAGCCAGAGGGGCCGAATGCCAGGGCACCTCAGCTACACAAAGGCTCGGACCCCTAGCAGGACCTGGGCACCGCGGCTGACTGGCTGCCTGACGGAGAATGGAGCCTCTCTGTCACCTGGGCCAACATGAATGACCCTTCGTCTGGTGTCTCTGGGGTTCTGGCTGGAGAGCCAAAGGCTGGAAGGTCTGGACCCGCTGCTCACTGGGGTCTGGATGCCACCGTGGAGCTGCCTCTGGCGCAGCGGGAGAACAAGCAGAGCCACCCTGGTCGTGGGGACGGCACCCGTGTGGCCGGGGCTGTAGCCAGTGAGGCCTTGGTGACGGGAGCGGCTGGAGTGCCACGCGGTGTCCCCCGTGGTCCCACAGCAGCCCTCACACCATCAACCGGTCCACCGCGTCCCAGCCATCCCAGGAGGGGGCGGGGACATCTCTGCAGTGACAGGAATCGGCTAGGCGCTGGCACCTGTGCGCAGCCGCTCGGCCAGGGTTTATGTGCTCGGCGGAGACAGCCCTGGGGGTGAGGAGCGAAGGGAGATCCGATTCAGGGGCCACTTGGGGCTAAGCCATGTACGTATGGCCGAGGCCCTAAGTGAGAGCTGGCCCAGGGCTAGATCACGTGGCCGTCGAGGCCCGGCCTGCCGCACGGTGGCCACCAGCCAGAGCCCTTGCCGCCCACCCTTCCCATCCGCCGGGACGCCAGCCTCAGGAGTGGGGTCAGATGGGGCCTGTGGCCGGGCTCCTCAGCCACTGCCCACTGAGCTCTCGGCCCCCCGGCCAGCGCCTTGGCCACCACTGGTATAGCTGGATTCCTGGGAACACCTAGAAACCGGGCTGCTTGGAAACACTGTGGCGTTGCCATGTGGGGCTCTTCCTCCGCCCGCCAGGGAGGCTGTCCCCGGTGCCCGGTGCTGTGGCCCACACCCGCCAGGTTGCAGAACGTGTGTCCCCCTGGCGAGGCCCCCCAGAACCGTGTTTTTTTTTTTCTAAAGGAGCTGACTCGGGGCCAAGCACATTCCTCCCGGCCCCCGAGGCTTGCTCTTGTCCAGCCCTGGGAACGCACAGGCGGCCGAGCCCGTGGCCTGGCCGAGGAGGCCGCCGCTCTGCGAGGGGAGCGCTGTTTTCCAGGCCGGCGTCTGGAATGTTGCTCTGCCTTGCGGTGTGAGCCGACTCCTGCCCCCATTTCAGCTGCGGCCGCATTCCTGGTGTGAGCCCGGGCCAGCCGAGGCGCTTTTTCCACGCTCCGGTGCCAGCCCCGGCAGGCTCAGGGGAGGGGAGAGGATGGTTTCTATGGCAACCTCACTTTTTGTTATTTCTTATTTTCTTTTTTATGGTTTCTCCAACTTTGAAGCTCTCCAGACAGTTTACAGACTGTGAAAGGAAAAGTACTTTTCCTTCTCTGCCGAGTGCCCCCAGCAGGGCCGCCCTCCAGCCCCACCCGGAGAGCCCCAGCGCGGGTGTGGGGAAGGGGCCAGGGCGGGGCTTCAAAAGCAAACCAGACACACCAGCCTTCAGAGGGTTCGTTATTTTTAAAAACAGTTTATGGAGGGAATGAATTATTTTTCTCCTAAAAAAGTAGGAAAGTATTTGCAAAAGAATCCTTCAGGGACCTGTAGCCAGGTCAGCAGTGGGGGCTTGAGAGCGGCCACCATGCGAGGGTCGTGTCCATCCTTGCCAGCCTCCGAGCTGGAGGCCATAGCTGGGCTGTGGCCTGAGGTCAGAGGTGGTTTCCTTTACCCCAAATTAGTTTATTCACCTATGCTGACTGTGTGTCCAGCCCCCCAGGACCGGTCCGGTGGCCAGTCCTGTGGTTACAGTGCCAAGAATCCCAGAACCCAGGCAGAGATGACCAGGGTCGGGGGCACAGGGGCCAGCGGGCACATGAGACAGTGGGCAGTGGGCTGAGGCCAGGGAGGGGAAGGGACAGGAGCCTGCTGAGGACCAGCCCACCCGCCCCTTGCAGGGGAGTACGTGCTCATGATCCGCGACGTGACCACCCCGCCGTTCCTGGGGCGCAGGCTGCCCCCGGCCTTCAAACACCTGCGGGTCGTAGCGAAGAGGGCTGGCCAGCCACCCCATGTCCTGGAAGAAGGCCCTGAAGCCTCAAGCAGCTGGCAGGCCGCCCACAGCTGCACCCCAGAGCCGCCAGCGCCTCGGTGAGGCCCCGTGTCCACAGGAGGCCACCTCGGTGTGAATGGAAGGAAACGCTGCCTCTGCTTGCGTGACTCTGCTCCCCGATTCTCCAGAGCCCCGTGGTTGCTGGCTTGAATAAAATGCTCAGTGGCGGCTATGGAGGGCACTGCTCCTTGGGCCCCACGCCAGCAGCAAGGCCCTCCCCATGCACCCGCACACTCATGGGCGAGGCAGCGGGACTGGAGCCCACGTCCCTGCTCACTGCTGTGGCCCCCGATCTGCGCAGAGCCCTGGGAAGCCTGTGGGGTCAGGCGGGACACATGGGGTGGCTCGTCTCAGTGCCTCAAGACCAGGCCTGTAGCAGTCACCCAGGCACCCTGCGAGGCCAGCACGTCTGTCCCACCCACACTGTTCCCAGGCCCAGCCGCGGTTGGTGCTGGAATTCCCCTGCCAGGCTGGGGCTGGGAAGGAGGGTCCCTGTCTCCCTGCCGCAGAGCTCTGCAGTGAAGCCCGGCCAGCCAACCTCCTGGCCTCTGCCTGGCACTACCCACTCCAGGCAATCCTGCCCGCAGGACGGGCTCCCATGACAAGAGGCAGGAAGCATGCAATCAGCTCTGCTGACCAGGTGTCCTGCCTGCCTGACGCCCCCACCCCGCATTGACCAGGGAGGATGGTCGGGGACATTTTACAGCTGCCTCCGGAGGGCCCCTCAGCCAGAGAGGGGCCAGAAGGTTGTTGGGGAGGGGGCACTGAGATGGCCCATGGGCAGCCAGCCACTCGGTCAGCACAGAAGGCGGCCACTGCAGAGACCCTGCCTCCTGGCCCCACCGCACCTGCCCTGGCCCCTGGCTTCACCCTGCCCACCTGGGGCCTGTGCAGCTTGGCTGGTCTCACCCTCTGCCCGCCCAGCGCTGGGCAGGGAACCAGCCTCCTCAGGCCCTTGCTCTCCTTGCTCTCCCTTGACCCACCCCCGTCCTTGCAGCCCACCCTCTCAGAAGACCACCGTTTGCAGCCCTGGGGAGGGGGCGTCCAGGGCCCAGCCCCAGCCCCACACCAGACCCATGCCCCCTGATGTTTCCCTCATGCTGCTGTCCCCGGCCCTCCCACAACTAGCACCGACCTCCTTGCGTTGCGGCCAGACCCACCCTCCCACTGTCCAGGCGCGCTTCCCTGGGAACACACCCATCTCCCAGGCCAGCTGCGGCCGGGGCATCTCTCCAGACCTGCACAGGGAGCTGCTCCTGCTCGGCGGAGGGAGGCCGTGGACAGAGGAGCTGCGTTCACAGCAGTGCAGGAACCCGGGGCAGCCCCTGGGCACATGGGGTGAAGATCCACCCAGAAGCTGGGATGCTCCACGGTGGGGGGCCCTGAGGAGCTCTCAGGGAAAGCCTGGTTGGGGCCAGGTCGGGCGCAGCGTGGTGGATGCACTGAAGGCGGCCTGCTGCCCGGGGGCAGAGGGGCGGGCGGGGGGGCATTGCAGGGAGGAACCAGGCCGGATCGCGGGGTGCCGAGTCCCCCATCCTTGGAGGTGACAAGCTGGAGGCCACTGGAGCTGCAGCGAGGGGACCCTTCCTCTGCCAGGGCAGAGTGTCCCCAAGGCCCCCTGGGTCTGAGCTCTGCCACTGGGAGGCCGAGTGCATGTGGGGGGCTCTGGCATCCCCGAAGCTTCCCCAGACACCCAGGCATCCATTCCAGACAGCAAGGCAGGCAGCCACTCTCCCACACCTTCTAGAAGCCCAGAGCCAGTGGCAAGGCTGCGTCTCCCAGCTGCGGCCATCCTCGAGGCTCCCAGAGCCCAGGGCGGCTTCATCACAGCCATGGCTCCAGCCTCTGGTCCCTGGGAGCCCCGTGAGCGCCTGGCGGTTCTGACACTGCCCCTTACCCTTGGGGTTGGCTACGCCCGTCGGAGGGGAGGCTCCTGGCCTGCCAGGCCTGCTCCGACCTGGGTCACCAGCCTCCCAGGAGGCCAGGCAGACATCGGCCAGGCCGGGCCCACAGAGGAGCCCCCGTGAAGGACAGATACCACCGCGTCACGCTGACCCTGATCGCTGCGTGTGAGCGGCGCTCACCTGGGCCTGCCCCTTACATTTGGCAAATTGCTCTGTAGCTGTTTTTCACTTCAGGATGAAACCACATTTGTGTCAGAAGAAAAATAGAAAATGATGTTTCAATTTAGAGAAAGAAAAATTGCTGGGAACAGCAGCAGCTGCTGGGTTTCCAGTGTGTTGAGCGGCGTCCTCTGGGATTTAATTCCCAATCAGCAGCCTCGGCTTTCAAAGTCACAAAACCCACGACAGGAAATCCAGCGCTGTTTTCTCCACACGGGTGCGGCGGATGTGGGGATCTGCACCTCGGGGGGCTCCTTCGTGGCTGACAGGTGCATCTTGCCGTCCATCGAGGCTGACTTTTCTGTAAGCTCTCTGCAAACACAGAAGCCCGGGGCCGTCAGCTTCCTTGGTTATCACAGCAAAACCCCGGGCAGGCATCGGTGTCCCCTGTGCTTGCTGCCAGGGCCACTGAGGGCCCAAGAAGGTGGCCAGGTGGCTACCTGGCCATGCTCCTCTCCCCATGCGCCACCCACCAGGACAGGCCCTGGGGACCCTGGGAGGGAGCAGAGAGCCGTGGCTTCCTAGGGCTGCTGGCGCCTCTCTGGCCAGCATGCCTGGGAGCTAACGGGCAGCCAGCCTTGGAGAGACGCAGCGCCTGGGCCTCGCCTGGACTCCCGCCCCGGCCCCACTCACCCTACTCCTCACACCACATCCCAAAGTTAAAATACGCAGGAAATTTGAATTCTTTAAAAAAAAAAAAACCACTGCGGGAGAGAGGCTCTGTGGAGACAGCCTTGTGGCCACAGACACGACTCTGGAGGGCTGGACGTGGGGTGAGGAGCCGGGCGGGAGAGGGAGGGACTGCGGGGCGCAGCATCCAGAGACCAGGAGTGGCGAGGCGGCCGCAGGCCAGGCTGCACCCAGGGACAGTGACCCTCCCCTCAGACTCTGTTCAGGCAGCCCACCGTGGGGACAGAGTCCTCGGGACCCGCCACAGAACACAAGGCCTCCCGCGTCCCTTCACCCTGGCTTCTGGGTCTGCCAGTCCCCATGGCCCTGGGGAGGCCACAGAGACTGGCCCGTCTGTCTGGTCCAGCTGACCTCCTGGGCAGAGTCCCAGGACCCCTTGCTCTCTCGGGGTGGGGAGGAAGATCCTGGAAGGAGGACGCAGAGCCCCCGACACGCGTCTCCCACCAGCACACGCCCCCACTCCGGGGTGTGCCCGTCCCCCTGTGAAAGATCCTTTCCCATCGCCTGCCCCACGCAGGCCAGAACCAGTCCCTGAGTGCCGAGCCCGGGACGGGGTCAAGTGGAAGGATGGGGGCCCGTGGGCTGACCTCGGCTCGCCTGCCCCTGCTCACTGGGCCTGCGTCCGGGACTGGGCGCTGATTCCCGGGCAGCAGCCTCACACCCGGCACTGGGGCCTCAGTGAGTGGACAGACTTGCTGCCGCCGAGCAGCGTCCCTGCGCTGAGGGCGCGGGCCGGGGACAGATGTGGTCCCAAAGGCCTGGAGCAAGTGGTGACGGCCACCAGCCCCGCCCACGGCAGCCATGGTCTCCCAGGCTTCCCGGGCCTCCTCTGCGTGTCAGGGGGAGGGCGGGCAGCTCTTGGTGCTGGAGGTGGAAACACACCGGCTTTGGGGCCAGGGTGGCCATGCCACGTGACCGTCTGACTGCCAACACAGCGGGACATGAGCTGGGCTGAGGCCTCCTCCCAGGCTGGGCAGGGGCTCTGCTGGGCTCCTCCGGACCTGGTGGGCATGGTAGGGGCTGTGTCTGCCTCTGGCCTGCAGGCCACGGCCTACTGGTGCCACCCCTGGGAACCTGAGGCCAGGGACCAGGTGGCGGCTCTCTGGCAAGCTCACAAACACAGTGTGTTGGAGGTGGAGCCCCCAACCCCAGCCAGCCCCTTCTCCTGCCCCAGGAAGAGTCCTGGGGAGAGCTCCAGGTCCCAGCTCCGCCCACCTCCCTGTGCCCCTCCTACCTCCCTGTGCCCCTCCTGTTCCTTTGACCTCCAAACAAGGGAGCAGTGGCCATTCCTCCTTTCCTCCCACCCATGGTTACCAAGCGAAGATGACACCGAAAGAGAGCATCAAGCCAGTTGCTGCCATGGAAGATGGAGTCTGTGAGCCAGAGAAAGACAGAGATACACAGAGAGAGGCAGACACAGAGAGAGTCAGAGAGAGACACACAGAGAGGTAGAGAGACGGGGTGGGGATGGGGGGGGATGCCTGCCTCACCCCTTCAGCAGGGCCTCAGCCAGGACACCCTCCAGACCATGCCCAGGCCCCTTTGGCATTAGCAGAGGACAGCGTAGCCAGGCCACAGCCGGGAACCAGACAGGACCCACCTGACCTGTGTCTCCTTCCCAAAGCCTCTCCCTCTTCGCTCCTGGTGCCTAGCGGAGGGTCGAGACCCCTGTGCAGAGCAGCTCCTCGCAGGCAGGCCTTCCTGGAGGGCCAGGTGCCCAGCCCCATAGGCAGGTTCCTGCACAGCCTGGCCTGGCCTTCCCTGGGAGCCTCAGGCCTGGGCTGAGTAAGCCAGGAGTCGCTGGGCCTGTGGGCTGGCTCAGCAAGACCACAGCTCAGCAAAGTGCGCTCGGGGCTGACCACAGACCCATCAGCCCCTTCGTGTCCTGCCTCCAGGCCCAGGGGCAGCCGGCGAAGGTCAGGCCCAGGGCCTCCCGGATGACAGAGCCCCCAGCTGGGGCTTGCAAGGGGAGCTGCCAGGCCCAGGGCTGCCGGCCCTTCAGCGAGCCCTGGGGAGTCTGCCTGGGGCCAGGGTGGTGCCTGGCTGCCCTCTTGTCCTCAGCTTGACCTCTGGCGGTGGCACTCGTGAAAATGCTGGACACTCCTTCTCCTTGTACTTCCACCTCCCGCCCACGGCAACCAGAGCCAGGAGCCAGGCTGTGGGGGCTCCGAACACAGCTCCAGGGCCAGCAGGGCCTCCTCAGTCTGTGGCGCCGCCTTCCTGAGGACCCGTGGGGAACAGAGGTAGCTGCCCACACCAGCCCCCCAGCCTCCTTGGCTCCTGAGGTGGACCACAGCCAGGGAGGGCCCCCCAACAAGGGTCCAGGCCCTGCCCACCCCTGCCTTACAGCCCAGGAGTCCCCAGGGGGCAGGCCAGGACTCAGCCCCAGCTCTCTCTGCCCCTGCGCCCAGCTGCCCAGCCCAGTGGCTGCTCCCTGGAAACCCCTCGGGGACTGCATCTTGGCTCCCCAGTGGCCTCAGGGAACCAGCAGCCGTTCTCCGGCCTATCTGCAGCCAGGCCCCGTCCTGGAGACCCTGTCCCGCTGCCCCAGACCTGACCCCACTGGGTCCTCATCCACCCACACGTCGAGCATGTCCCCTGCTAGGGCCCCACCTGCCGGCTTCCATCTGGGGACAGGAGAGAGGACACGCATGGGCTCCACGGTCCTGCCCAGGCAGAGAGAGGCAGGCTGAGCACCACGGGGCTGCTATACCCCTGATGGGGTTAGCGGGAGGGGAGGCTCAGTGCCTGGGAACCTGAGGGCATTTCCTTCCACGGAGCTCCAAGCAGAAGCGGCCTGGGGCGCAGCCAGGCTCCCTGCTAGGAGGGCGGGTTTCAGGCCCACAGCTCAGAGCATGGGTGGGGTGCCTGGGCTGGGGGTCCCTGGGCTGATGGCCTGAGGGAGATAGGAGGCCAGGCCTGCAGGGAGCCAGGGGGCCCGTGAGGAGGAGAGACAGCTCTAAGCGGCAGGCCTCGGCGAGACCGCCTGTGTCTCATGGTCTCCTGTGGTTGGATCCACCGAGTCCCCCAGGTCCCTGCGGGTTGTGGCGAGTGGGCTCACGGAGAGAGGGCGGCCTGCGCCCACCTCCCCAGCAACGACTTGGCGGCTGGGGCCTGCGGGCCGGGATGGGGGGTGTGGTGGTTCTTCCCGGGAACGGACCCCCAACTGAGCAGAACAGGGAGGCCGCGCCCCAGAGAGAAAAGCACCCGAACCCGCCAGGCTGGGACCTTCCGGGAGGGCAGGGTTGGCAGGGACCCCCCAACCCCGAGCTCGGCCGAGCTGCAGTTCCCGCTTCCACCGCTGGGGGTCGCACCGCCGCCCCCGCCCCCGCCCCCGCCCCCACCGTGCCGCGGGCGGCGAAACCCGTGAAACGCGCGCCGCCTCCGCGGGGCCTGGGGTGGGGAAGGGGGGACGAGCGGGGGAAGAGGGGTACGGGGGGGAAGGGGGAACGGGGGGGGCGCTTCCTGCCGCCGCCCTGCTTCCCGCAGCGGCCTCTGGGGGCGGCCGCGCCCACCGACGGGAGGAGCCGCAGCCTCTGAGACCCCCGCACGTAGCCCGCCGGTTCGGGGGCGGAATTCCCACCTCGGGAGCCGCCCCCACGCTGCAGGAAGCTCCCAGGGCCTCCCGTCCCGCCCCCCAGCCCGGGCCTGCTGCTCGGACCAGCCGCCCCCGGGCCGGAAGCCCCCGCCCCACCCCGCCGGAATCCAGCGCTGGCCGCGAATCTGGGGGGCGCCGCCCCGGACGGCAGGGAGGGTGGGGTAGCGGAAGAGGCGGCGGGGGCGGGGGGGAAACTGAGGCTGCGGGGGGGAGCCTGAGGCTGCGGGGCTGCCCCTCCGCGTGGGGAAGTGGGGCCCGGCGCGCTCCGCCTGACTCGGGGCCCCCAGTGCCCCCGGACTGGGAACGGAACGGGCGTCGGGGAGGCCGCCCCGGCCCTGAGGACGCGGCGCGGGGCCCGGGACGTGCACCCCTCCCCACCCCCCCAGCGCGGCTTCCGGCCCGGGCGAAGGAGCGGGATTGGGAAGGTTTCGGAGCCGGCGCTGGAATTCCTGGGTAGTTCCTCCGCCACCGCCCTTCCCCCGCGAGGCCGGCCTCCGACGGGGCCTCTCCAGGGTGAGGGGCAGGCCCTGGCCTGGAGCCAGAAACAGGATTTCCCCGGATGCCAGGACAGCGCCAGGGCCGGGGACAGGCCGGGGCCCCACTGCGGGTTTTCTGTCCTGCGCAGCAGTGACCCCGCAGACTTCGCGCACGGGGCGCAGGATGGGGTAGGGGGCCCAGAGCCTTGGTCTGTCGGACCCTCAGCGGCCAGCGCAGGTCGGTGGTCATTTCGGAGTTCCGGCCACTGTCCTGTGCAGGAGTGACCCTGGAGGCCGCCTTGGTTTGGCCTGGGAGGATTCTAAACACGGAGGGGCCAACACCGAGACCCGAGAGACCCCGGCCTAAACCTGACCCAGTGCCGGCCACACCAGCCACGGCCCTCCTGGCATCCCTGGGATCACAGAATGGGACAGCCTCCCCACCCACAATCCCCCCAGGCCCTGGCGAGGGCAGCTCCTCCGACGCTACAGCCTTTTTCCTAGGACTGTTTTTCCTTAGAAACAGGAAGCTGGGGCATGGGCATCACGTCCCTCGGGTGCAGGCCCCACCAGGGGCAGGGCAGAGTGGGGCTGGACCACAGGGCACACAGTACCTTGCCCAGCTCCTGCCCCAGGGTGGGCACAGCAGGGCGCAGGGCGGTGTCCATCTGCAACTGGTAGCCTGGCCTAACCTGGGCATAGCACCGACCAGGGTCATTTCACCCAGCTGGGGGCATCTCCATGAGGGAGGACACGCAGAGCTCCATCGTCTGTCCCTGGTTCCTGCTTGCCCTCCACCAAGACCCCAGCCTGGCCAGGCCCACCTTGCAGGAAGGGCCAGAAGGTTCCGACAGCAGAGAGGGGGACAGGGCTGTCAGGGAGAATCTGGCAGGGCCAGGCCAGGGGGGCAGCAGCTGGCACTGGCCAGGGTACACGGGACCCTCCAGGGTTCGGGGCTGGTGGCCTGCCCGGCCCCCACCAAGGCCTCTAGACGGCCCTCGACCCTCCACACCCCTGGTCTCTCGTTCTAGATCTGGATGGCACCCAATCCTGGTTTCTGGGCTGAGCTGGGCAGCCAGGAGCCCACCCTTCCAAGCCAGCCAGTTGTATCTCCACGGGGCCTGGGCACTTGGCACCCCTATACCTAAGAGTGTCCTTGGGACAGCTGCGGGGAGGGGCAGGAGACTGGGAGACACTGCTGCCTGGGCTGACCCAGGGAGCCCCTGCCTCCAGCCCCTACCTCCCCACCTCCCCACGGTTCCCTGTCCCTGGAAGTTTCTGGAACAGGCCTCCTTTGCAGGAGGAGCCATGGAGGCCGAGCCTGGGCTGCACTTCTTGCCAGTAAGAGCTGCCAGGCCCGGCCATGGGAGAGAAAGGTCCGTTCCCAGCCCGGCTGGACACCTGGCCCAGCACAGGACACTGCAAAGACAAGCCAGGCTGGCCAGGCTGCCCCTGCCGGTCCTCACCCGCAGCGGGGCCACCTGCTCCAGGGCTGGGTGCCCCAGCCATTGAGGCCCCCACCCACCTGGCACAGGCCAGGCACAGATGGCCATGTGCGTCACTGAGACCGGGGGGTGGCAGGGCTGGGCGGGCATCCAGTCCCCAAATGTTCTGTCCTCACCCCCTCCCCAGGGTCCGCTGTGGGTGGAGTAGACAGGGCAGTTTCTGTGGGGAGGGTCGGGACCCCCCCGGGGCCAACACATCAGGGTCACGACCCCATCATTTCTGGAGGGCAGGCGGCCCTGGCCTGGGGGTGTCCCTGTGGGCTCCGCACCTCCTTCCAGCGGAGGCTCCGTGGGGTCAGAGGCCGGGTCGCCTGGAGCAGGACCAGCAGCTGTGCAGAGGCTACGAGAACAGAGTGGGTGGGGGCTGCCTCTTCCTGGCCAGAAGGAAGTGGGGGAGTCAAAGCAGGTGCTGGGACGTGGGGGTGGCCAGGCCTGGGCCAGGATGGGGTCGGGGTCTGGGCCTGTGGGCTGGGGCAATGGGTAGAGCCCCTCATGCAGCCATGAGGGGGTGTCCAGCTTGGGGGCCCCTGGCCATGCCCTTGGAGCACTGCGCTGGGGCAGGAGGGCGGGTTGGGGGTGAAGTGAGGGAGGAGCCGGGTCCCTGCTTAGGCTTAGGGCTGGGGCCGGACACGCGGGGCTGAACCAGTGGCTGCAGTAACTGGTCAGCAGTCTCCACTCCCCACCTAGGACGTGCTGGCCGCTGCCTCCCCAGACAAGGTCAGGCTGCTCAGCCGTTGTCGGCCCCCTTGACCACAGGCTGGTGGGTGAAGGCTGGCAGGACTGTGGCTCCAGGAGGAGGGGGAGACCAGCACAGCTGAGACCTAAGGACAGCTGTTGGTGACTGAGGCAGAAATGGGTGGGGCACAGGGTGGGGCAGAAACTAGGGAGGTGGGGGAGCCCCCATCCCCTTCCCTGAGCTCATCTTCCCCAGACCCCAGCTCTTGGGGGCTTGGGAACAGGCACTGCCAGGAACAGGGGTACTGGGAGCTGCCCTTCCAGGGAGCTGAGGCTGGAGGGCTAACCCGTGGTCCCTGCAGAGGCCCAGGCAGGTGTGAATGCTGGGAGTCCTGAGCCTGAGGATGCAGAGGTAGGGTGGGGAGGGCCATCTCTCTCCCCCCACCTCTGCCCTCCCCTGGCATGGAGGCAGGGAGCTTCTCCCACCCAGGCCTCCTCTCCCCCAGCACTCAGGAGACCCCTGGATCCCTTCGGAACAGCTTTGGGAAGAGGGTTCTGACCCTGGGTGACGGCTGGCCTAGCTCAGCAGGTGGCCAGAGCCCTTTAAAGCTCTAAGTTTATACCCAAAGGTAAACACCAAAGAGAAGCCTGGGGCAGCTTGGGGAACAACTGAGCCCAGAGCACCGCCCCTCCCTGCCCCCACGTGGCTGCTGGAGGCAGTGCCTTTGAGTCTCCGGGAGGGTCGGGAGGGCCGTCATCAAGCCCTGCGGTGCTCAGCTCCGAGGCAGAGTGCCCATGTGGCCACAGGGACGGTCCTCGAGGCCCACCCAGGACCTCGGCCCAGCCCTTCCCCAACTCCTCCCCACTGCACTGGACCCCGGGCTGGTCCTCTGTGCTCACAACTGACTCAGTCTCAGGGTCCTGCCAGCGGCACTCTGGAGCCGCCCATCCTCTGCCCCCCAGAACATGCACGTGCCCAGGACCAGTCCACACCCACTCCTGCTGTGGCCCATGTTCCCCTCGGCCCACGCCCCTGCCCACTGCCCCCAACACCCAGGGGCCTAGCCTGGATGGAGAAGCCAGGCCCATGTGGAGTGGGTGTTTTGAGGCCTGCTGGGGTAGGCCTGTGTGGTCTAGAGGCCGCCCTGTACCCTCCGTGGGGGCTCTATGAGCCCTTTGGGGCCCTGGGCAGGGAAGAAGGAAGCCCCTATGTGGCAGTGAGGGGAGGGCCAGGTCTGCTCTAGCCCCAAGCTTGGGGGCACTTCCCGAGGGGTGGAGAGAAGAGATGGGGACCTGGAAATTGTGCCGGGAGGCTGGGGGGAGGGGCCGGCTGGAGCCCCTACCAGCCCATGCCTTTCTCGGACCACAACCCAGATGACCTATGAGGGCCTGGATGGGCTGGAGATGCTGGATGTGATGGCCTAAGGAAGCCTAGAGAGGTGGTGGCCTGGCACCCCAGGGAGCCCACCCGGGGCTGTGCCTCCATGAAATTGGCATGCGGCATGGCACCTCCAATCCCCAGAACAGGGGTCTGGGAAGGCCCCCCTGTGAGGTCAGGTGGGGAGAAGGGACCTCTGTGTCTCCCTCGGGGCAGCTCGCTGGGGTCCAGGGTTCTGATGCCACCTCCCCTCTCCCCCGCAAGTAACCCAGGAGCTCCTCAGGGAGCTGGCGATCCACCCCTTGGGGACAGGTCTGTCCGTGCGGGAGCTGGACCTTGGCCAACCGCAGGTGCGGCCTCAGAGGCCCCCGTGGAGGCCCAGCCGGGAAGGCCCCATCCCATCTTCTGTCCTGGCACTGCACTCTGTGGGGCTTCCTCCCAGCCGGCCCAAGGCCACGGTGGCCTCAAGCCAGGGCTCCAGCCACATCCAGTGCTACAAGCAGGGACTGCAAGCTCCCTGAATCGCAGAGGAAACCGTGGCCTTGCCCAGCTCAGAGGGGACGGGGACTAGGTGAGAGGGCAGTTGTGCCAGGGCGGCCGCCTGGACCCCACGTGCCCTCGGGGTCGACGGAGACTCCGAGGCCCACAATCTGACCTGTGACAGCACCCCCACCCACGATGGCCTGAAAGCGAGGGGGTCCCAGCCGCCCGTGTGTGGCCGGTCTGGGGAGGGGCTGTGGTGGGCGCACGCACAGCTGTCCCGCGGTCCTCTCAAAGTCCTTTATTGTACAATGTCATCTGTTTCGGGGTCGGGGAAGGACTAACAGGTACACAGCGAAATAGATAAATATGCCAAGCTCTTTTCTTTTTAAATCAGGCATTTATAAACAAGAAAGCATACATTAATTACATAAAAATAGTTTCCGAGTAGCAGAGTAAGCATCATACTGTCGTTAGCAGCAGCGTGGGGCACGGGCAGGGGCGGGGGTCTGGGTGATGTTAAAGGTAGAGATGGAGCTTTTTCCTTAATTGAAAAAAAAAAGTCATTTGTGACTCCTGACTTAAAGCGAGAACGAACATCTCCCTGGACCCTGGTGGGCTGAGGGAGGGGTGGGGGGGCCGGGGTTCGGACCCACAGGGAGGAGGGGGTGGGGGGGGGGCCGGGGTTCGGACCCACAGGGAGGAGGGGGTGGGGGGGGCCGGGGATCGGACCCACAGGGAGGAGGGGGTGGGGGGGCCGGGGTTCGGACCCACAGGGAGGAGGGGGTGGGGGGGCCGGGGTTCGGACCCACAGGGAGGAGGAGGTGGGGGGGGCCGGGGCTCAGACCCACAGGGAGGAGGGGGTCACATGGGAAACGCACATGGGTTTCTCCGTCTCCCCTGCCCCCCGGCAGGAAAGCATTTTTTTTTTCCTCAGTTAAAAACAGCCCAGAAAACAAGACAACTCTCAGGTAAGAAAAGAGTTTCTGAAAAAGGACCCAGCATATACATGTATAATACAACGGTGAAAAAGGAAAAAGTATTTACAGGTGAACTGTTTTTACATTGGCTAGTTCTGTACGAAAAGCAGACATTACGTGTATGAGTTAGCTGCTCCAGAGATATGAATGTTATTGCTGTTGTTTTTCCCTTCGTTAAAAATCTTCTTTCAGTATAGAAATATAATGAGAATTAAACTGAATACACAATCACTTAGATGAAGGGCCTCACACACAGAGGAGTCAGCAGCCCACACAGCGGACACCTCTTCCCCCTTCTGCTGAAAAGAAACGGACTCGCACCTGTGCCAAGGGGAGCCAGGCGTGCACCCCTCGGGGCCTGGGACCCCTCAGTCCAGAGCAGCCCTGCAGCCACAGCTGCCCCCTCAGGCCCCTGACAGTGGAAGTGACCCTGGTGAGCCGAGGCAAGAGCTGTGGGAACTGCCTGGGAGGGTCCCGAGCTCGCCTGCCCACGTCCGGGTCCCACTGACCGCACGGGCCTGGCAGCTGCAGGAAAGGGTGGGCCCAGGTGACACTGGCTGGACCCTCCCAGAGCCGAAGTGGGGAAGGGCTGCCACTGCAGATACAGCGCTTTCCGTTTGGGGCAAGATGGGGCGGTGGAGGCGTGGACCCAACGGTGACCGTCGGGATGGAGCAAGGGCAAGGAGAGGCTCTGGCCCAGACACAGCTTGGAAAAGCTCATCTCCCTCTGGGGTCTAAAAACTCAAAGCAAACGGAGCAAGCCTGGCGGCCCTGGGGATGGGGCAGGGCCTCTACCTCACTGTGATCTTCGACCTGGCGACACAGGACAGCCACACAGAAGCACGCCAACACACTTAAAGCTTTGCTCCAACTAAATCATTTAGTTTCCCTTGAAGAAATAACTGAAAAAAAAAACAACTCTGGTAAAACAAGGCTAAAAACAGCATTCTGCATGTTGCATAACAAAACCGACCCTTTACAAGACACGGTAATAATGCCCGCTGACGGATCTACCTACGGCAGAGGTGTGGAATCCATGCACACAGAACAACCGCAAAGAAAACAAAAGCAAAGAAAATTCCAAACAAACGCTGCATATACATGATGTCCCTTTTGCATTGCACTTTAGAAGGGGTGGGGGGCTTCAGCAGCAACCAAGACCCCCCTCAGTAAACCAAGGGCAAAACCCCGCAGGCAATTCCGCCACCCAGATGCGAGGGCTCAGCAGTCTCTGGTCTTTGCTCGTCACTGCCCCGAGGTCGTCTGTACCTGGGCAAGTAACCTCCACCTTCTGTGAGCGCGTGCAGCTGCCGCGGGTGTTAGAACGGATTCAAGCAAAGAACTCCTGTAAGATCTTCTTATGTAAATAAATACCGTAACTGTAGGATAGGTAGCCGCCTCTTGTCTACTGGGAAATCATTTTTCAAGCTTGGGCATAAGAAACCTTATACAATTTGCATAAACAGGTGAGAGTAAACGAGATTATTTGGAATAAATGCAAGGAACTTATTCTGAGAGTGGCAGATTCAGTCGCTACTGAAGACAGATATCTTGGGGGTAAAAAGACACGAGTCAGGATTTGCTGTACAAGATGCTGGAAGGCACAGAACGACCCCCGAAGTTCAGTTTTTGCATTTTCGTTTTCTTGTGATTCCCTTGTTCAACCAAGCACCAGAGGGGGTTTCTAAGCACTCGAGCACTTCGGATTTGACTGCTCTATAAATCGGTAAAAACCTCAGTTCACTGGGGAATAGAAAGAGAAGGGAAGGTTGTGGACAAAGTGCAGTTCTAAATATACGTTTAAATGAACGAACAAAAAAAAAGAAAGAAAAATTGAAATAATGCTCTTTTGTTCCAATGCTGCAGCCTCAGTCCCAAAATGAAGGGAGCGACGTTTGCCGAACTGAAAAGGGTCGCCCGGTCAGGCGGCACGTGTGCCCGGAGGGGCTGAGGGCGTGACCGCCAGCCACGGTCACCACCCGACGCAGGTCAGTGCCTCGTGGTGGAGGAGCGTGGGCAGAATCACGGGGTGCAGAGGAGCCGAAGACCGTCCCCTCAGCTCCGGGGCAGCTCCTGTGCGGCTCTGCACTTCCTGGTACCCGTGGGGACAGCGCTGGCATCGACGGCGGCGTGGCGGGCGGGGTAGGCGGCAGTAAGGCGGGCAGTGTTCGAGCTCATCTCGCACGCGGCACTGTCCCTGCTCTCCCTGGCAGCAGCAGGAAGACCTGGGTCCTTGTCGCTGAAAAAATAGACTCTGAAGAAAAACCCCTGCTGTCCTCACGCAGCCGCGGGCAGATGAGCTGTGATGGCTTCCCCGGGTGGGGAGGGTGGGGCGGCCGCCACCCCCACTCCGTTGCGGGTCTTCAGATGGCGTCATGTGTTGGGGCTTTTAGAAGTTAGTCATTTAAAAATGTGTTGATTTTCTGAATTTCAAGTCTCCTTACTGGTTTTAAATAGCTTATAACAAAAGTGTAAATGTTAGAATGTTCCAGCAAGCAGAGGACCAGCAGGCCGCCGAGCTGGCCCCGTCTCCAGCTGTAGTTGGGGGACGCGGCTTACTCACTTGAACTTGGCCAGTAGAAAATTTTGCAGTGGGTTCCAAAACTACATGGTTACAAACACTCGCTTGGTAATAGGCACGGTAAGACGTTGTGCTGTGTGGGCTGCAGGGGCGGAGCCGGGCGGAGCTGCACCGCCCAGCCGCGCCCCCCTGCACCCGCGTTGTCGGCGGCGCTGCGGCGGCAGGCACGGAATCTACGGCTCCAGCTCCGCAGCGCCCTCGCTGCCCGCAGCCTCGGGGCGGGCCCGCGGCCACAGCTGTTCCTGCAGCTCCTTCACCACCTTCTCCAGGTGCTCCCGGGCCTCGCGCTCCCGCAGCAGGTCGGCCCGCAGCTGCTCCCGGTCCGCCTCCGCGTGCTGCAGCTTCACCTGCAGGTCTTCGATCTGAAAGGGAGCCGAGTGGTCAGCGGCGCCTGCTCGCTGCCCTGCCCCGGCCCGACGCTGCTTCCCCCACCCGAGGCTCCTGCGCCGCTCCCTGTCCCTCCCCAGTGCCGCGTGCCGGCCCCTCCTCCACCTGCTAGGACACAGGCTCACGAGACGCAGGGCCCAGCAACCACCCACCCTGTGCCCGTCGGGGGGGCACGCACGGAACGTGGTCCCGGGCCTGGCTTCTGCTCCAAGGCCTTTCCGGCTGGGCAGGACTGGCCACCGGGGCCCACGGCGGCTCCACGCCCACCGTGCTGCGTGCCTCAGTCTCCCCACCCGCATACCTGGGCCGAGTACTTGGCGCGCAGGCGGCCCGCCTCGCAGCCCTTGTCGCACACCCGGGCCTGCCGCGCCTGCTCCAGCTCCCGCTTCAGGCGCAGCCGTGACTCGTTGGCCTCTTTCATCTTCTTCTCGTTCTCGGCGCGGAGACGCTCGATCTCCTTCCGCAGGTTACGCTTGGCCTCCGTGGCCTCCCGCAGCTTCTCCTTCTTGGCCACGCGTAGGAACTCCAGCTCCTGGGGGCCGGAGGCGGCTCGGGGTCACTGCCCAGCCGGTCCCAGCACACCCCTCACCATGACCAGCAGTCCTCAGCCCACCCCGTGGGGTCATCTATCTGACAATGTGCCCTGGAGCCCCGCCCCCAGCGCGCCATCAGCCCAACCCGTGTGGTGCCCCGACCCCACAAAGGCTTTTCAGACCCCCATCCGGAGTTTCCGCCAGGCCTGTGGCAGCTGTGCTAAACCTGGGGGCCTGAGTCAGTCACTTGAGGCTGCGGCGGGGCCTCCCCCGGTATCTAGGGCCACGTTCCCCTTGGGGGCAGCAAGCCAAGTAGGCCCTGGCTCCCATCAATGTGAGGAGGGCAGCCTCAGACATCGCACCATCTGAGGGCCCCGGGTCTCCCCACGCAGCCAGATGGACACGTCCATCCGCCCGGCGCCTCCGCAAGCCCCCCCACTCTCCCCATTAAAATATCCGTGTGACTCACACCCCACGCTGCAAACACACCACATGAATATGTATGTGGGAAATCACACCTCCAACCAGAATCAAGGACAACAGTGGCGGGGGACGTGCTGGGGCGAGGGACTGGCACGCGCAGGAGGGCACGTCGGCAACCCTGCAGCTCTGAGGGCCGACGGGGTTGTGTTGTGCTAAAGCCCACGCCGCGGAAGCTGCCAGACGCCGCCGAGGTGTGAATTTAGCGAGGCCGGGGCCCGGTGAACAACGGGCCGCCTGCACACCTCTCTCCCCAGGCAGCTCTGCCTGTGAACCGCACTTCCCTCAGTCATGTCAGAAAGAAACCTAAACAACGTAAAAGGAGGCGCGAGACCGGAGCTGCAGCGTGAGAACCGTGAGGCAGAGCCCAGAGAAGCAGCGTGTGCAGGTGGGTGTGTGTGTGTCTGTGCGGGCCGAGCCCTCTCCTTCCTACTCGGGAGGCCTGGCGGGAGCCGCCTTCTGGAACACCAGGCATTAGTAAGCACGCCCCTCACGCCTGTGTTTTGCAGACGCCAGGTCTTGCTGGCGGAGCGCGTGAACACCCACTCCTGGAGCACACAGAGCAAGGAACTGTCTCCATGCAGCTGCTCCCAACTCTTTCTGCCACTAAAAATAGCCCGGCCTCCCTTATACCAGAGAAACATGGCTACTTCCTCAGTGGGGCCACCACGCAGGGTGTGTGATCCTGATGGGGAAAGCTGTGGTCAAGCCAAATGTAGTGGCCTCCTGGGATGTCCATCAGCCTGGGGACACTGAGGGGCTCACCATACCCAGGGCTGCAGCTTTTGGGAGACGGACCCCCAAGGTCCCAGGCAGGCCCACTGAGGTGGAGGCAGAGAGGAGCGCATGGGGCAGCCAGGAAGGGAGGAGGCACCACCTGTGCCCGTTCACCTGGTGCAGGCTGTGCTCACTGCCCGTGCCCTGGACCTCCCAGCACCACTCGCCCCGCTCACCTGGTGGAGGCTGCGCTTGGCCTGCAGGGCTGCGCTGAGCTTCTCCTCCTGCTTCACGCGCATCTTGACCACCTCATGCAGGAACTTCTCTTTGGCTTCCTTGGTGTCCAGGCCGCCCTCCAGTGCCTGCCGCAGGTGCTCCAGCTCCGCCTCCAGCCCACTGGGGGCGTCGGCAGGGGCCGCAGCATCAGGGACGGCCGAGGGCAGGGCACGCGCACCCGGGGAGCCCAGGTCCTTGGCGGAGCTGGATGAGGTAAAGGACGGGGAAGAGAGCGAGGACAAGGAGGAGGTGACTGAGGAGGAAGCAGAGACAGAAACAAAGTCATGGAAGTGCCCGGCAGCTCCACACCAGGGAGACGCGCCGCTCCCGGAGGAACCTGCGAAACATGGGGCCACCAACGCACCCCCGGCGACCAGCCCCCCTCAGCCAGTGCCACCCCCACAGCCCACAGGGAGGAGGCACAGAAAGCGACTCACACGTACATTCCTCCCTGCTTTCAACTTCCACCTCCGCCTCCGAGTCCTTGTCCTCCTCTGGGGCAGCCACGGGCGCCAGCGTCTCTGGGGCTCCTGGGGTGTCCACAGTCAGCTTCCGCTTCCGAGGCTGGGTGCAAGTGGCGAGAGGCTCGGGGGCCCGGGAGACGGCGGCGGCACACGGAGGGCTGCTCACAACCTTCTGCTGGGCCGGCGGTGCGAGGGCCACGTTGGGCGCCACGGCTGTCTCAAAGCTCTTGTAGGAGTAGAAGCTGGAGGGGCAGGCGGGTGTCGGGAAGGTGCCTCTGTCCCCAAGCACCACCCAGACACATCCTGGCGCACACCCCCTCTGAAGGTGTTAAACAGGAAAGACTTTCCCAGCTCCGAATCTTCAAGTCAAGCTTACAGTTCCCTAAGAACCCGTAAGCGTTTTCTGCTTGCTGGGTCTCTTGCGAAGGCCAGACACAGGCCAACACATCAAGAAGCTGCGCCCAGCAGACAGGGCTCCACCCACGACTCCACCCAGAACACAGGGAACGCTCTAGGTGTGCTCTCCCTGATGCCAGCCAAAGGAACCAACACCGAGACTGCCCTGACCAAAAGGCGGCAGGTCTGGGCACCCAGCCTGCAGAAACATGGGCGCGTCCGCATGCACAGCCCTCGTGGAGCCTCCCCCGTGATCAGAAACACCTGTGAATGGCGCCCACTCACCTGTCTCGGATGAGGGCCGGGAGGTGTGGGGAGAGCTCTTTCTCACTCGCTGACACTGCGGGGGACCAGGGTCGGAAAGCAGAGAGGCGCTGGCGAGGGTGAACACAGCCCAGGCTCTGTCGAGAAAGAGTTGTCTGTGTGAGTGACCAGGAGAAAAACAAGCCACTTCATGTCCCTGAGGCTGCGCCGGGTGCCAGCCCTCAGTAGCGGGCAGGTGGAGCTGCCAGCCGCTGGGTCTGCCCAAGGAGAAGGGCCCAGTACCCACCACCCCAAGGACCCCGACAGGCCCCACAGCACCTTATTGGAAGAGCCGGCCAAGGTCCGCAGCCAGCTGGACGGCTTGTCCTTTTCGGAAGGCGCGGGGGACTGGGAAGAGGTGTCATCTGTTTTGGGTCTTATGGAGGCCGGAGGCTCAGAGGAGACCTGCGATCAATGAAAGGTTTTGTTGGCACCTGTGGTTCCCAGGGCAGGGTCCCTCCACCAGCCCCGTGGCTGGCACATGGCAGTCAGAGCCCCATGCACTCCGGCCACAAACGACCCTGAGTGGCGCAGAAGGCAGATTCCAGGGCACCCCCCAGGAGACCAAGTTCACTTTGCATAAAGGCCCTTAGGCCACGCGCAACAGGCACGTGGAGGCTGTGCTGAGGGACAAGTCATCTCCGAGAGAACAGAGTGGACCTTGTCCTGCCATTCCGGGTGACCTCACCCACGGCTGCAGCAGGTTTGGGATGGAGCACCAAGACCCACTCTCCCCTTCCACAGCGGCTCAGCCTGGCCAGGAGTCCCTCGTCCTTCTCCTGCCAAACCCCTTTCCTAGAACCCGAGTGTGTCCTCAGAGGGTGCCCAGCGCTGGGCACTCAGCTCAACCAGCCACAGCACGGCGAGAGCCACTCACGACGGATGCGTCTGGGAAGGGCAGCTGCGGCACAGGGGTGGTCGCGGGGAGGGGACACCGTGTCCCTGTGGGCCACTGGCACAGGTGCATTAAAGAGTGGGCATTCTGGCTGCCCCCTCCCCATGGGAAGGAAACATTTTCAAAATGAAGGACACCATCCCCAAGGAGCCTGGCTCCTACAGGATGGCACCACACACACCTTTGCCTCGCTCCTTGCCAGCCCCGGTGCTGGAGGAAGCTTAGCGAAGGTGCCCAGACCCAGCCCACCCAGAACCAGGTCCCGCTGGTGGAGGAAGCTTAGCGAAGGTGCCTGGACCCAGCCCACTCAGAACCAGGTGTTGTGTGTCAGGTGCTGAGGCACATCCCCCAAGAGCCAGTGAGTGATGTGGGTTGTGTGCTGGGGGCCTGAGCCGGTACATCCAGCCTCAGGCAAACGTGAACTCCCACAGCCCTGCGGCTGGAAACCCCTGAGACGGTGCTGCCCGCAAGGCACAACTGAGACCCAAGGTCTCTTCCCAAGCAAAATCACAGGGCAGTCTCCGTAAAATGGGCCATTCCTCTACTGCCAAAGACCCCACAGGACAGCACAGAGTCTCCAGGGCAGCTGGCACCAGGTCTACACCACAGGCCAATGCAGAACAGGCCACACAGGGCAAGGGGCCCTTCACAGGGGTGAGGTCCCACTCACTCTGCCGAGGCCAACCTCAAGAGGAGGCAGCAAAGTCGGGCGGTGGGGGCTCCGCCCTTGCCCTCAGCCAGGAAGCCTTGGTGGACAGAGCACACTCAGGGCCGGGGGCTCTTCCCACCTCCAGGACTCTAGGAGAAGACGCTGCATCAGGAACCAGCCTCCTGGAGGCAGCAGGGACCCTGCTTCCCTAGGGGGAAGATGGGGCGCAGGGCAGGCTGTCCATCAAGGTGCTCCAATTATGGGGATGGAGGGCCCTGGGGGAAGATCTGGCCAAAGCCCGTGGCCTCCCCTGCAGCACGTGCACCCACCCTGCAGCCCTCAGGGAACAAGCAGGGTGGGGCCAGGGGAGGGGCAGGTGCCTGGCTCTGACCTGGGCCCAAGGGAGAAAGATAAGTGCTCGGGCGCACAGGGCCGGGGACGCAGGGCAGGCAGCCCCTGAAGGCTCACGGCTGTGGATGGTTTTTTTCAGAGACACTAAAATAGCTGTTCAGGAAAAAAGACACTGAAAATACCCCCTCTATGTGGCGGCTTTCGAGGGGAAGTGAGTGTTGATGACGTCTGGCGGAGGCCCTGACCGCAGGGTGCTGTGCCTATGCCTGGCAGGGGCGGGTGCCATCCTAGCTGCAGCAGAGCCCCTTCCGGAATCATGCGGACCCTCCCGAGAGGCACAGAAGGCCGAGGACGCCCGGCTGGGTGGAGCTTCCTGTCTAAGCAGCCACTGAAGCGGGCGCGGAAATTCGGCTCAGTTATCACCCGGGGAAAAGCCACAACAGCCGGCGCTGACTCCGGGAGACTCAGAGACTCCTTGAGGGGAAAGAGTCAGATGCCTCAGGCCACCTCCATGAGAGCCAACGCCTGAGAACACGGCTCTGCCTGGTGGGGCCCCAACAGCCGCCCCGTGGAGGTGGCGGGAGGACCGTAGGCCCGGGGCCCCGAGCCCAATCCGCTCAGTGGGGGGTGGCCGAGGACCCTGCAGATCTGGAGGGTTGAGGCAGATGGGCTCAGGGCCATCCTTGGGGCCAGGGACGCTCCTGGTCTTCAGGGAGCCAGGACGAGCCTTCGGAGACATGACTCCGTTAAGACCCCTGCCGACCCCTCATCAGGCGACTCCCGGCTCTCAGGGCGGGCTCTCTGCAGCATCAGAGAAACGGAGAGAAACGTGTAAAATAGAAGGTGTCTGCGCCCCTGTGGGCGGAGGAAGTGACACTCTCAGAGGGACTGTCACCTGAGCAGTATTGGTTTCTCAAAGCCCCAGGAAGCAGACAGCCGTCTTCAGGCCTGGGATGCCACCCGCCCTACCAAGGCCCCTGGGGGCCCCAGTGTCAGCTGTCGGTCAGGGACAAAACCACACCCAGTGACAGACGGCTGAGTCTTACTCTGGGAAGAGCAGCTACGACCGCTTGCCTCTGGTGTGACCCTTCCTGGGGCTTCAAAACCCGCCCTTGGAGCCCACAGGCCACGAGGCAGGAGCACGGCTCTGGACCTGACACACCAAAGCAATGGGGCTGGGCCTGGATAGGCCTGCAAGGGGCTGCCCCATCCCAAAGCCCTTCAGGCCACTGTCAGCTTACACAGCGGAGGCCAGACGACACACCGCGCTGCCCCGCGGCCACTTCCCCTCCTGGGGTCCTTCCCCACACCCCGAGGATGACCAGGCAAGCTACCTGGCCAGCAGGCACCCGGGCAACGCGTGTGAGCTTGCACCCAAGGACAGGTGCCCCCCTGCCAGGGCAGGGCAGGGCTGGGCTGAGGAATAGCGGGCCCAAGACTGTGGACACCCTAGGCCCTCTGACGGAACAGTTCCTGAGCAAAGCCCACAGGACCTATGCAGAGGCGGTGGCCCAAACAGGTGAGCCAGCAGTGGATGCCTGCCGAGGACTGGGCAGCCACAGTACACTGCCACAAGCAAGCCACCAGCTCCCCATGGGGGAGTCTCAGAAAAGACGCTCTCCAAAAATGCACACCCCACCCTTGGGGGCCCTGCGTTTCAGGCCTGTAAGGTGCCAGGAACAGAGAAGAGCCATTGAGAAGGCCTTGGGGACCCTTTCCTGCCTGACACGTGCAGATGCTCAGGGCGAAACGCTGGCCCATCCCCTGCAATAAGGAAAGGGAGTCTGGAGGTCACAGAACTGCCATCTCCCTTCCCCAGGCCCCTGGCACAACATGAGTGGGGGCTGCTTCTCCTGCCAGATCCCACAGGGTCCAAACACAGAAGACCTCAACCCCCCAGAGCAAGGAGACGCTCCATGTCCCCTACCCTGGCAGGGAGGCTGGAGTCCTGGACAGCTGCCGAGGGAGACGCCGCAGAGGCGGAGGGCACTGAATCCAGAACCGAGTGCAGCAGCGGTTACAGCTGGCCTCTGTCCCCAGGCACCTGAGCCACTCCAGACAGGCTGAACCCAGTCTGCACATGTCCTAACAACAGCTCCTCCCAGGGCACCGAGAGCCCGGGTCGTCAGCTGGGCCACTTCCCCCACTGTGGCCTCAGCGCCTCTCACTTCCAGAGTCCGTGAGGAGGACATGGGCACAAGCTGCTGCCCCGCCTGCCCGTGTGGCCCCCCCCCTCCCCGAGGCAGGGACAGTCACTCGGGTCCCCGAGCTGATGCCCACAGCTCCGGGCCTTCTCCACACTGAAGCTGAATGACGGGGCTCAACGCCGCATCCCCGCCCTGCTGGCCACTCGGCGCTGACGGTCGCTTCCTTGAACCTTCTGAACACTGGGGTCTGAGTCAGCCTTTGCTGAGAGAATTCACACCCCAAATCCACACAAAACAACCACATAGAGCCTGCTGTGAACCTCCACGACCACCCGGCATCCACCCACCCAGGGCTCACAGGCACCAGCAGGCAAGGCTCCACCCAACTAGAGAAGGCAGCTCCCACACCAGGACCCCCCAGGGCAAGACTCCGGGGAGGCGGGAGTGAGTAGTGGGCAAGCACCACAGGGTGAGCTCTGGGCACCAAGGAGCCCACGGCCTGGAAGCTGGCACACGCGCCCGCCCACCACAGGCACATTCTTGCTTTTGACTGATGATCAAAGAAGGCCCCATTTGGTGGGCGCGTTGATACAGCAGCCAGGATCGGCCACGTCTGTCTCTGAATGTCTGCACCTCACCTGGGATGTGGTCTGCCTGGAAGCAGCACCCAGACCCCAAGGCCAGACAGGCCTGCCTGTGAGTTTTCAGCCTCCCCTTAGACTGGTCTCTTTGCCCTCATTGGTAAACGGGACCCCGTATTAGGGCCAAAGGATACAAGGGGGAAACAGGACCCGGGCAGGGTCCCGCCTCTGCTCATGCTGCCTCAGGGAGCTGCTGAGAAAGCCATCCGGCCCGGGGACAGGCCACGGCCACACCCCAGACCATCCTGAGCATGGGCAGCCAATCCAGGAGCCGGGGACCACACCTGCTCCAAGGGAGAGGCGCACAGCAGCAGCCATGATGATGTCAACACAACTCCCTCCAACCCCAGGGACAACCACAGGGAACTTCGCAGAGTGAAGAAAACCAGTTTTCTGTTCAACTTGCAGCCCAGCAACCTGTCAGGAGGGCACCAGCCTCAGTCACCCCGGGACCCCAGTGTCCAGCGGCCAGTGTGCCCTCAAGCCCCCACGAGGGCGCGCATGTATCCAGCTGAAACAGACATTGAGGCCTTTGTGACGCCGGCTTCACATGTGAACAACGCACAGTGGCAGAGCGGTTGAGCAGCCCACAGGTCAGTCCAGGGGCCACCACCAAGCTCTGTGGGTCAGGCTTCCGTCTCCACACCTGCATGGATGCTCGGCCCATGACCACCCGGTGTCAAAACTGCACTCTGGTGCGGGGGGATGGACCCACAGCTTGCGGCTACACCCCAAGGCCTGCCACACAGCACAGCCCACCCTGCAACCCCTCCCGTGCGTCCCCTCAGCGTCTTCTCCTGCCAGGCTGCAGCCACGGGGCAAGGGGACCCTCCAGGGGAATGCATGCGCCATGGGAGTGGCCAGTCTCAGACCTGCCCATGCACACCGGGCGGGCCCACGCCTCCTCTCCTCAGCATGCAGCATCCGCAACCAGGCACAGCTGCCATGATGGGAACTGGAGGGAAATGTGCGGCCAAGGGCCGGGAAGTCCTGCAGACGCAGATGCTGCCTCGCAGGGTGAGTCCGTGAGCGCCAATTCGTCTCTGTACAGGGGCCACGGGCTTATGGAGGGGATGGCTGCCACCAATAGGCAACGCTGTGGAGTGGCGCAGATGTTGTAGGCACCAAGAAGCCTCCAGAAGCTGCCAGCCACAGTCCACATGGTGGTGCAACCCTGGGGCCACAGCAGGTGGAGCGGCAGGATCGCCCACAATCTGGGTTCCGAGGAGATCGCCTGTGCTGGTGTTCTGACATTCCCAAGAGGCCGCCCACAGCGTGGTGAGCGGGCTGGGCACTCGAGGTCCTGCCTGTGGCCCTGCTCCTGAAGCACATGGCCCAGCAACACTCTGCTACGCTGAGGTTCTCTTCGGTGTGGCTGAAAACCCGTCTGCTATTCCTTAAAAGGATACAACCCAAACTTCAGCCGTGGGCCCGGCGTGGTGGCTTATGCCTGTAATGCCAGCTCCTTGGGAGGCTGAGGTGGGAGGATCACTGGACCTCAAAAGGTCGAGGCTGCAGTGAGGTATGATCCCACCACTACACTCCAGCCTGAGCAACACACTGAGACCGTGTCTCCAAACACAAACTTTGTGGTTTTCAGACCATCTTGCCACATTCTTCAAGTGGAAGACGGCCTATGCCCACACCAAGAGCCTGTGCGGGTGCCTGGCACCTCCATTCAGTATTTTCAAGGGAGGCCACCAATTCTCACCTGCAGAGGCCACGGGCCTTGTGGGAACAGCACGGTATGCTCTCATGTCCCTGGCTGCAAAGACTGTTTCTGTGCACGGCCTCCTTAAACCATTTCCCGGACTGAACCGTCTGTAGAGCCGAGGCTGCGAGCGCACGTGAAGGTTTTCACAGCAGGAACGTGGCGGCCTCAGTCCAGACTCCCGCCCCCGCAGAAGTGCTTCCATGACACCAAAGCACAAGGAACAGAGAGAAAACACAACAACAAGGCTTCCCAGAAAACAATCACGACGTCTTTGTGCTTCAAAGGACACCATCGAGAAAGGGAAAAGACAGCCCACAGGATGCAAGGGAAAACGTGCAAACCCGGTAGCTGGTAAGGGACCAGATTCAGAACACATGAAGAACTCTGCAAGTCAGCAAGGAAAACACAAAACACAACCCAATTTCCAAATGGGAGAGAATTCGAGTAGCCATTTCTCCAAACAGGATACTAACATCCAGTAACCGCATGCAAAGCTGCCTGACATCATTCACTGTGGAAACGCAATCACACCGCAGGGAGACGTCAACTCACGCCCACAACGATGGCTAGAACTGGGTTTGTTTGTTTTTGAGACGGAGTCTTGCTCTGTCACCCAGGCTGGAGTGTAGTGGCACGATCTCAGCTCACTGCAGCCTCAACCACCCAGGGCTCAAGCAATCCTCCTACCTCAGCCTCCTGAGTAGCTGGGACTACAAGCATGTGCCACCATGCCCAGCTAATTTTTTGTTTTTTTTTTTTTGTTTTTTTTCCTAGAGACAAGGTTTCACTTTGTTGCCCTGGCTGGTCCTGAACTCCTGAACTCATGCAATCTGCCCACCTTGGCCTCCCAAATTGCTGGGACTACAGGCATGAGCGCCTGGCCTAGAATTTTTTAGTTTGGACAAGTGTTGGTGATGACATGGAGACACAGGAACCCCTATGCATTGCTAAGAGGAACGTACAATTATTTAGCTGCTGTGGAAAACAGTCTGGCAGGTCCTCGGAAGCTTAACACAGTTACATCGCCCAGCAATTCCAGTCCTCGGCGTACACGCAGGTTACTGAAAACACACATCCACACGACAGCTTGTGCACAAGTGCTCACAGCAGCAAAGTGCAGCCACCCAAGCATCCAGAGACAAATGACGGGATAGATTGTGGTCTGTGCAGACAATGGAGTATGATTCAGTCATGAAAAGGAAGGAAGGAGCCTTGAAAATACTGTGCTGAGGCCGGACACACACAGTCACACGTGGCCTGGACACATAGCCACACGTGGCCCGGACACACAGTCACGTGTGACCCGGACACAGTCACGCATGGCTCTCATACACACAGCCACGCGTGGCCCAGACACACACACAGTCACGTGGCTCTACTTCTATGGAATGACCAGGACAGGCCAATGGCCAAGATCAGTGCTGGCTGGGATTTGGGGCCTGGGGAGTGACGGACCATGTGCATGGGGCTTCTTGTTGGGGGTGACAAAAATGTTCTCAACTTAGATGATGATGGCTGCATATACTGAAAAACCATTAAACCATATTCTGTGGAAGGAAGAATTTTATGGTACGCAAATTATATCTGAATACAGTCTTAATTTTAAAAATCAAAAATATGACAGTGAATTCTTGGTCGAAAGCCAAACTGTCAAGGTGAATGGTTTTCACTGCAGCACGGCCCTCAGAGCCAGACAGGATGAGATGCCTGGGAGCCAGAGGGGCGCTCGGCTGGCATGGATGCTGCCATGACATGCAGGGGCAGCTCCTGGCGCAGGGCTGCCACACTGGCACACCTGCGTGGACACACAGGACACCAGGAAGGCTCCAGGTCTGAGTCTTTAGCAGCTGTTCAGGGTCAGGCAGCGCTCACCTGCCACAAAGCCCACAGTGCAACTTCACCTCTGGAAGCCTAGTTTTTCACCTTCTAAAGCCCATCAAGAACAGAAAGCTCCATCTGAGCCAGGGGCCTGACATCCACTTTAGGGAACATTCTGGTCCCTGTCACCAGGGGCATCCCACAGAGCCCTGCCACCACCCTGAGGTCAAGTCTCCTTTCCAGAGGGGCCCCACTGGGTGGGCGTGGCCTCCAACCCAGGCACAGGGGATGGCAGTAATGATAACGTGGAGGGTGGATCCTGCCCTGCTGTGGGAGTTGCCTGGCGCAGACCCCAGCCCAGGTGCCAGGAGACTGGCAGACGGGGGCCTGAGGGCCCTGGGAGAGCAGGTGGCTCTCGGGGAGACAAAAATGTGAGAAGCAGCTAGCGGGGGGAGGGCCAGGCCCCCAGAGGCCTCCCTGCCATGGGGACAAACATGCATAGCCATCCCTGGCAACCAGCACCTCCCACAACTTCTGGGCAAGACCAAGGGGCTGGCATCTACGTGGACCCACGTTCAGTGGAGGACGTGACAAGGTGGCCCTGGGCTTACCGGTTCCCCGAGACAGCTAACGGGCTCAAGGGAGGAGGAAACGGCACGACGTGGTCTTCTTCCTGCCAGAGAGGTCAGGTGGTCTCTGGGGCCTGCCCTGGTCCCCACATCCCCGCACGGGGGAGGCCAGCGGGAGTCGGGGCTCTGGATGGGGGCAGCCATTTGCTTGTTGAGGAGAGCAGCCACACACAGCCAGCCTGATGGTCACTGAGTGCCAATTTTGTGATTTTCATGCCATTTAGCAGATCACCAGATGAAACCTTTTCTAGAAATGTCGCCCTGCCCGGCATCAGGCCTGCCTTAGACCTCTCCATCCTGGCTGTGACTCACAGCAGCTGAATCCTGCGGAGCTATCAGGCTCAAACCCCATGGGCACCAGTGGGAGGGAGGCTCTGGAAGCCCCCGCTCAGGGGAAGAGGAAGCTGCCGCACCTATCACATCGGCTTCTCAGGACCACCCCGAGACCCTCGAACCTTCCTGCACGACATCCTTCCAATATCTGACATGAGATGAGCACCCCTCCATGTTCTGTGCACCTCAGAAAACATGGGGAGCCTCCGAGGCCACAGATGAAAGGAGAATGAAAAGCCCAGAGTGGCCCCCATCACATGACCATCCTGCTGCCTGGACCCCCATGGTGGCGCGGTGACCACCGCCTGCACTGGAAGGGACAACCCAGAACCCACGACAGATTCCGGGAACCTGCAGCCACAGGCCTGCTCACCTGGCACGGAGTTTCAAGGTGCCAGCTGAAGAAGCGGGGAAACGGGGGCTGGGACAGGTAGACGGTCCCAGAGGCCGGGCAGCAGCCACCAGACCCAGGGGCCTTGCACGGGGATCCCAGACAGAACACAACGCAGTGCCCAAGAACAGGGGCAGCGGAAACACGAGGACACGCAGCTTAAAGCAAGACACGGGGGAATGAGAAGGAGACATCCCAAACACCAGGGAGATACCAGATGCTCGAGCAGAACTTTCCAGAATAAAAACCGTTCAAAGAAATCATCCAAACGCAGTCCAGAGAAGAAGAGGGCACGATGGTGGGGACAGACACGCAGAAAAGGGGACGGCCAAATGTGCCTGGAAGGAGAGGGCGACGCAGGAGAACCTTCCAGATGTTGGGGGGGGGCCTCGCCCTGGCTTCTCATCTTCAGAGAAGCGACATCCGCAGGCCCCAACCCTCGGCTGGACCTTCCAGGCCCACGGGCAACACCACTCAGGGCCCGTGACTGCTCCCTGAGCACACAGGGCAGCCACCCAGGGCCACGCCGGTGGATCCCACCACGAACCTCAGGTCTAACATGGTGAGTCCCGATCGCCAACCAAAGCAACAGAACAAAAGCCCTGTGGTGGCCAGAACCCCGCTCCGCACAGTGGCCTGCCCCAACCCCCAGCTCACACTGGCCTGCCCCGCTCAGGCCCGAGCCCTACTGAGCCTCCGTCCTTGTGGGACTTCAGGTTCAGGTTTATTGACAAATTTGCCGGGTTCCTGCCAACCCCTGCTCTCCCGTGCACCCTGCCCAGGAGTGAAGCCCCACAGAACAGTGGCTGCTAGACAACAGCAGGCCCCACTCACCACCACCCAGAGACTGGAGGAAGTCCACGGGCCCAAATGGTGCCGACATCCTCGGCTGGGAGAGGGTGCCACTGAGACACGGCCTTTGGCTCAGCGGCCCCGCCAGGGACAGGCGTTGCTTCCTCCGAAGGGGACTCTGCACAAACTGTGCCTTCCTGCACCTTCAGGAGCCCCGCCGGCGTCAGAAGACCACCCCCACCTCCTCAAGGTTCCTAAAAGCCACAGGCCCTCACGTCCTCCCCAGCAGGGGCACAGGCAGAGGACACTGCCTGGTACCAGGCCTTCCTCTCTCCCTCCCTTAGGCAAGGGTCATGTCCACACACCCAGGTGGGCACCGCATCTGAAAAGGACCTGTGGGTGATGACCACAGCCCAGAGACAGCTGTGGCCAGGTACACACCCCTCCATCAGAGCTGCCCCCACACTGCTACGGCTCCCCAGGGGGTGTGGGCTACACAGCTAGGAAGGAGGAGCTCTCGAGGTGGGGTCTCCACCTGGCTGCAGTCAGTTCTGAGTGTGACCCCAGCCTGGCCCACAGCAGGTCCCTGATGAACGTCTGCTAGATGAAGGGTCACCCCACTGCTCAGTCCTTCATGGGGCACCCAGGGCAGCCCACTGCGGTCACCCTACCATGCAGCACAGCTCAGAGCTTCTACAGGCAAAGCCCCACCCCAAAGCCTGGACAAACTCCAAAAGCCCGAACCCCAAAAGCCCAAGGTGGGCTGTGCTCTCCTACGTGGCAACTCCCGTGCAGCCCTGAGCAGGGCAAGGAGGCGTGGGGACTCCTCTCCGGGGACTGGCAGAAGCTCGCGCTGAGGCACTCTAGAGACAAACCCTGCTGAGACCATCGCTGTCTCCTCCAGGTGCACCCCCAAATACCCTCACTCAAGAATCGGCTCACGTGAGCTATGGGCCTTCTCTGAAGATTTCACGGTTCAAGAAATTATAAAGCTATTTTTGTAAGTGCCATTAATATTTCACACATGATAATTCACTTTTCATATTGGGCTTAAATTAACCTATTTTCTGATTATTGTGGCACAGAGGAAACAGATTGAATCTGCAAGACAACCCCAAGCCCCAAAATGAAGTGAGAATACCAGCTTTAAAGGTTCACTCGGATTTTTCTTTCGCTTAAGTAGGTCATCTTTGCTGTTACTTTAGCGCTGTTGATGACAAAAAGCCAAATCTTTCTAAGGAAACTGAGTAGCAATTAGTAGCGCTCCCTCGGGGCCTTGGCACTGGCCCTCTTCCTCATGCCCCAGGGGGCCCCCCCACAATGCCAGAGCCAAGGGGCATCAAAACACAAAGACCCATCCATCCAGGGGGGAAGGTGCTGGAAGGAGGGTGGGGGCTGCAGAGACTGAGGGGGTGGGGGAGGGCCCAGCTTCTGTTCTGGTCCAGCTGCTGTCCCGGGGAGGGCTCCCTCTGCAGCCCCAACCTTGCTGGGGTTCTCCTGGGACCTCGGTCTGAGGCGTCCACCAGGGGCCAATGGCCAGGCAGTGCTGCCATGGGCTCCATGACGACCCTAGATGTGTGTGCTGACCCCGGGAAGTCTGGCCCCACTCTTCTCACCCTCCCCATCCAGCCTGAGCCCTGCACTCAGCCTCGAACCACAGACCCCAGATTTGAAACCAGCCTGATGACACTGGGGCCGACCACAAAGGAGTGGCCACACAGCCCTGCAAAACCTCACTTTCGGAATCCGAAAATTAGCCAGAGGTCCCCCAGGGGACACACTGGGGCGAATGTATCGTTCTTTTCCTCCGATGCTACTGAAGGTAAATGCTGAAATAGCTTAAAAGAATAAACAGACTCCCAAGAACAGCAAGCTGGCATGAGCATCCCCAGCGCCTGCATTCGCAGCTCGTCTGGGTCCCCTCGCTGCTTCAGTTCTGGGGTGAGGGTGAACGGGGTCTGCTCCCTCCCCGGACGCTCCTGCCAGCGACTGGCTGGTGGGAGGCGCGGCCCGTAATGGCCGCCTGGCTGCCTGCCACCCTCGCCAAAGATTGAGGGAGACAAACAGGCCTTTCCATCCAGAATGAGAGGAAACGCTGCAGAAAGAGAAAAATGCGGAACACAGAAGCGGCACAGGATGCTGCGGTCGCGGTTCTTGGAAGGCTGATTCACCAAGAATCGGACTCAATTAAGAGTGTTTCGTAAGAGCGGCAGGAGGGGGTGACAATGCGTCCTGCCATCCCCGGCTTTACAGGACGGCTCCGCAAGCCCAACCCTCACCCAAGCGCTAGCTGGGGCAGAAGGGGCCCTCAGACCAGTGAAGTATCTCAGCAGGTGCCCTCTTCCTCCTCCTCCTCCTGCCTACAAGACCTCAAACCACAGAAGGCATCGCTTGCCCCCAGCGCTGGCCCAGACACACGGCAGCGCACAGAAAACTCTGGGGGAGCCCCTGATGAGGTCAGAAGCTCTGACGACCCCAGCCCACCCGCCAACTGTTGTTCTGGGGCTGGTCTCTCTCCCCTGGTGTCTGGAAGCAAAGGCCCTGGGGCCTCATCTCAGATGCCCAGAAACACGTGCAGCACCAAACAGCCAGAGAGGTGCTCAGGCTGAGCAGTGCAGGGTGGCGGCTGTGTCCCCTCAGTTCCCAAGTGTCCCGCACAGAAGGCTGGCCTACCCCCAATCAGCTCACATCCACACTGCAGTCAAGAGTCCCCATCACAGCCACACCCTCACAGCTGCTCCCTGCCTGTGCCCTGGAGGCCCTCTCAAGAGGCTGAGAAGTAGCCTCTTCCCAGGAGCCCCGGGACTTGCCTGGGGCAAAGGCTCTGCCGGGGGCAGCCCAGGGCTGCCCTGCCTGATCTCTTAAGACCAAGGACTCCACCCCTTACAACCAACATCACCCTTGCCTTACCGACTCCCTCCCCACTCTAGGAACATCCCTGACCAACAGGGACCCCCGGCGCCACACAAGAGGGCAAGGGTCTCTGTGCTAGGGCACAAACAGCCATCCTAAGACCTTGAGGAAAGACTCCAAGGAGGGGGCTGTGGAGGTGGCATGTCCTGGAGCAACGTGGCCTGGAGGCGCCTCCTGCACCCCCTCTGTGGAGTGGCAAGCACCCCATGCTCACCCTGGCCAGGCCACCCCTTCCCTCTGCCCAGTCAGCCCAGCCAGGTGCTGCCCAGAGGGAGGCCAGGCCAGCCAGGCTCTTGGTGGAAGAGGACAACCCCTTCTCTGCTGTTTCCAAACCTCATCAGGGACGTCAACCCAGATGCTGCTGTGGGGCCAAACTGAGAGCTGTGGTCATCTCAAAAGGCTGGACAAGAAGCACACGGTGGGCTCGGGGGAGGGGAGAGCCGCTACAGCCAGCCCCGGGAGCACGACCTGTGCTGCACCCCCACCCCCACGATCTTGGTTCTCCTGCCCTGCCCTGCACCCCCCCACCCCCACGATCTTGGTTCTCCTGCCCTGCCCTGCACCCCCACCCCGATCTTGGTTCTCCTGCCCTGCCCTGCACCCCCCCACCCCCACGATCTTGGTTCTCCTGCCCTGCCCTGCGCGGGGCTCGGGGTTGGTGTAGCTCTGCAGTGCCACATTTGATCTTAGAGGAGGGGCCTCACAAAGTGGCCACGTGGTGACCAGCCCTCGAAGACTGGCTGGCAGGAGAGGTGGCCTGTAATGGGCATCTGGCCGCCTGCCACCCTCACCGAAGAGGGATGAAGACAAACAGCCATGGCCACTGAGACAGGTGTCAAGTCCTGACAGAGAGGAGGCAGGAGGGCCACCTCCGGGTCTCTGAGCTCCCTGCCTAGAGAGGCTCAACATAACAGAGGAGCTGCATCTCTAGCCTCTGCCTTCTGTGTGCTTTCTCACCAACCACTGCTCCTCGGGGAGGGGCAGCTGGGTCCTGAGGGCCTGAGCCACCAGGTCTCCTGCAGAACATGACCTTCCCCCAGCTCCACTTCCCGGGTGGGTGCAGCAAGCTGACCACACTGACAGCTCAGTGACAGGTGCATGCGATTCGGGAAAACCAGGCGGCACCGGGGACCTGCAGGAAGAGCGAGGCAGCTCCCGTCACCTGGAGGGGACCTGTCACCCAGCAGGCCCAAGGGTGGCTTCTGTGCACACCACTGCAGGCCTCACACACGTGGCGGGGGGAGGGGGTAGTTTTTGGAAGAGGGGATCAAAGGATGAAGACGAACTTGGTACCTGAGACAAGGTCCCCACCCCCACTATCACCAGCCTGAGGGCACTGCCATGACCCCAAAAATGCCAGCAGGCCAACAACAGCCCACCTCAGGCTAGTTTCATCCATGTGTGGAGGTGACCCACAGACAGCCACTGCCAGCTGACTCTGTGGCCAACCAAGGCCACTCAGGACAAGGGAAGGGAGCAGAGAACACATCCCACGACTCCCAGAGCAAAACCACCTGGGGGTCTCACGCGCATGCAAACAAATGTGCACGCACGAGCAAAGACAACTGTCTGCCTCTGAAAAGAGCCACTCCCACAGGAAACGACGACAACCAATCGTGTTCTCACTCCTAACCTCAAAATAAAACCGAATTCAGGGATCGGAACATGTACCTTTAAGTAAACAGCCCTGCTGGGCACAGTGGCTCATGCCTGTAATCTCAGCACTTTGGGAGACCAAGTCAGGTAGATCACCTGAGGTTAGGAGTTAGAGACCAGCCTGGCCCATGTGGAGAAACCCTGTCTCTACTAAAAATACAAAAATTAGCTGGGAATGGTGGTGCACACCTGTAATCCCAGCTATTTGGGAGGCTGAGGCGGGTGGATCACCTGAGGTCAGAAGTTCGAGACCAGCCTGGCCCATGTGGAGAAACCCCATCTCTACTAAATACAAAAATTAGCCAGGCGTGGTGGCACACGCCTGTGATCCCAGCTACTTGGGAGGCTGAGGCAGGAGAATCACTTGAACCCGGGAGGTGGAGGTTGGGGTGAGCCGAGATCGTGCCATTGCAGTCCAGCCTGGGCAACAAGAGTGAAACTCCGTCTCAAGGAAGAAAAAAAAAAAAGAAAGAAAAGAAAAAAGACAGACGAGAAACAGCCCTGAAAGCAGCCCTTGAGTGCCAGGCCAGGGCCAGGAGCGCCCAGGGCTCAAGGCGGGGCTCAGGGCTCGGGGTGGGGCCGGAGGGCGGTGCCATGCAGGAAGCTGGTCCATCGGGGACACACTGGAGACCCCAGAAAGGAGCCTGGGCTCATCCCCCAAGGTGAGGGGAGATCCCTGGGAATCCATCCATCTCACGGCTGCCACAAGCCCTGTCCTTCTAGGGGGAGACCACCCCCACGCCCCACACAGGGAAGGTGACGCATGCAAGACCCGTCCACACCCCCCCTGCGGCAGACCCTCGTAGCCCACCTTGAGACAGAGACCACCCCCACCCACAGGCAGAGCACACCTACCACCAACACTGCTATTTGGACTTGGATAAAACATTTGGACATTATCCATCCTGGCTAACACAGTGAAACCCCGTCTCTACTAAAAATACAAAAAATTAGCTGGGCGTGGTGGCGGGCACCTGTAGTCCCAGCTACTCGGGAGGCTGAGGCAGGAGAATGGCGTGAACCCGGGAGGCGGAGCTTGCAGTGAGCCGAGATCGCGCCACTGCCCTCCAGCCTGGGCGACAGAGCCAGACTCAGTCTCAAAAAAAAAAAAAAAATTGGATATTTCCATTTCTCACCAAATTGGAATTTTTCCTGTCCAAGGCCAACACTCTCTCATCTTTAAAATCTAAAGAAACGCATTCCCAAGTCGCCTCCACCTTCCCACACAAAATGGCAGTCTCCAGGCGCCCTGGAGCCCCGCACGGCCCAGGGTCCAGAGCACAGGTGCACCCTGGGCCAGGGCACCCCGGGCGGGAGGGTGCGCAGGGGCCCTCTAGATTTTCGCCCAGAGCTGGCTGCTGTGGGGCCTGCAGCTGGACACTCACGGCTGGACCACCGGGTCTGGGAAGAAAACGCCCTCCACTCGTTACTTTTCCATCCAGAGCTGGCTTTGTGGGCACGCAGCCATGTCCTGGGCTTAACGCTCTGTCCCCATCATTGGCATTCTGAACAGTTTCACCTTTGATAAGATGTTCTTTTATAAGCAAAGTTCTCCGTGACCACAGAGCATGCATGAGCAGAGGTGGCACACGCCACATGCAAGCCCACTGCCATTCCCAGCCCGTGTAAAGAGCGTCCAGTGGAGGAGGTCGCGTTGGTCCCACCCAGTCACTTTCTCCCACTAGCCCACGACCGGAGCCTTGGGAGGGAGGGAGACAGGCGCCCACAGCCCCCACACGCAGTCTGTCCTCACTCAGAGCGAGAGCTGCGTGGCCACATGGGTGAGTTAAGCGAACTCCAACAGCCAGGTTCATTTTGGGCAGCGTTTGCCCTGATGTGGTAAGAATAAAATGCACACGCACTTTAATTATTATATTTGGGGTTCAAATCAAGAACTGTGCAATTTTGATGATTCCACAAGTTAAACACTCTTACATTTGCATTTTATGATTTTTTAAAGAGACAAGGTCTCACTCTGTCACCCAGGCTGAGTGCGGTAGCATCATCATAGTTCACTGCAATCTCTGCCTCCCAGGCTGCTCAAGTGATCCTCCCCTCTCAGCCTCTAGAGTAGCTGGGCCTACAGGCACACTACCACACCCAGCTAATTTTTGTATTTTTGTAGAGATGGGGTTTCTCCATGTTGCCCAGGCTGGTCTCCTGGGCTCAAGTGATCTGCCCACCTTGTCCTTCCAAAGCACTGGAATGACAGGAGTGAGCCACTGCACCCGACCTGCATTTGCGTCTTAAACTGGCATTACACAAGGTAAAGATGAACAGTAGGCTGGGCGTGGTGGCCCATGCCTGTAATCCCAGCACTTTGGGAGGCCAAGGTGGGTGGACGACGAGGTCAGGAGTTCAAGACTAGCCTGGCCAATGTGGTGAAACCCCATCTCTACTAAAAATACAAAAATTAGCCGGGTGTGGCAGTGCGTGCCTGTAGTCCCAGCTACTCGGGAGGCTGAGGCAGGAGAATGGCGTGAACCGGGGAGGCAGAGCTTGCAGTGAGCCGAGATCGTGCCACTGTGCTCCAGCCTGGGCAACAGTGCGAGACTCCGTTTCAAAAAAAAAAAAAAAAAAAAACCTTCTGGCTGGTGCGGTGGCTCACGCCTGTAATCCCAGCACTTTAGGAGGTCCAGATGAGCAGATCATGTGAGGTCAGGTGTTCGAGACCATCCTGGCCAACATGGTAAAAACCCCCATCTCTGCTACAAATACAAAAATTGGCTGGGCATGGTGGCGGGCACCTGTAATCCCAGCTACTAGGGAGGCTGAGGCAGAGAACTGCCTGAACCCGGGAGGCGGAGGTTGTAGTGAGCTGAGATCACGCCACTGCACTCCAGCCTGGGTGACAGAGCAAGATTCCGTCTCAAAAAAAAAACAAAAACAACAAAACAAAACTTTCAAAGGAAGAGTTGTTTGTTTATTGTTTGTTTTTGAGACAGACTTTTGCTTTTGTCACCCAGGCTGGAGTGCAGTGGCACGATCTCAGCTCACTGCAACCTCCGCCTCCCAGGTTCAAGCAATTCTCCTGCCTCAGCCTCCCTAGTAGCTGGGATTACAGGCACCCGCCACCACGCTCAGCTAATTTTTTTGTATTTTCAGTAGAGATTGGGTTTCACCATGTTGGCCATGCTGGTCTTGAACTCCTGACCTCAGGTGATCCAGCCGCCTCGGCCTCCCAAAGTGCTGGGATTCCAGGTGTGAGCCACTGCGACCGGCCTGGAAGAATCTAAGTCCATTTGTTAACACCTTCCAAATGCATGTCAAAAAGGCAGCTGACGTCAGGGCAGATGGAAATTTACTAGACAGATGGGGACAAGTCCACACGGCCACACCAACTGCCGCATGACACCTATCTCCAACCCAGACTCTGACCCTGGCCACGACTGCCCCCAGCCTCCAGATACCCTGGTGGCCCAAACACGAAATCATAAAACTTTAGCAAGAACAAAAAGGCTTTTCTGTCCTGTTAATTTACAAAATAAAACCACTTATGAATTCTGATCATCAGAAAGGCCCGCATGGTGCACCTGTGCTGTGTGTGGCACCAAAACCACCTCCACACTGCACTGCGGAGCAGGGTCAGACCCTCAGTGAGAGCACCCACTCTCACTCTCCAGCCACCGGGGCCCCCAGCACAGGCCAAGGTGGGCCCCCGTGTCCACCTGTCATTCTTACAGCCACGCCGGCCATCCACCCCTCCCTGACTCTTCCCTGCCTGGAGCCCTCCCAGCCACCCAGGGGCCAGGGAGGGCTCATAGGCCGGTGTGGGGCGGGAGGGAGCCGCCGCAAGAGGCCCATGCAGTCACAGGAGGTCCACACGGACAGCGGGCCCTCTGGGCCGGTGTGAGCTTGAATTCTACCACCCCCACACCACTGGGGTGAGCCCACTGGGGAAGGGTCCCTGCCCCCCCAGGCACCTCAGCTGCATCTGCCCTGCTCCACAGAACAGGGACAAATCTCTTCCAGACAATCTCTACTTCACACGGAGCTGCCGTTGCCCAATTAGGTTTTAGGTTTCCATGAGATAACTGTTACAAAAGAGGTCTGAGGGCAGCTCCGCCTCTACTGTGCTGACCCAGGCCAGGTCACCTGAACCTCCAAGAGGCTCTTCTCAGGCCGCCTCGGGGTGGGAGAGGAGGGAACTCAACCCTACCAGGACGTCTCGGCAGCATGGGTCCAGGGATCAGGGATCTAGAGGCAGGGCAGCAACCTGAGGGAGCCCCGGCCAGTGGAACGGGGAGGACGCTGTGTTGGGGCCAGAGCCCCCCAGGGCCGGCCTCTGGGGCCTCTGATGCAGCTGTGACACCCAAGAGGGGAGGTCCATGTGGACAGGAGATGGACCCCAAGCCCCGGGCATTCATGGACGGGGGATGGCCCGGAGGACAGGGTCTCCATGAGTTGGGGAGGGTCTGGGTCTGGGGAGAAGATGGCACGGGCACTGCACCTGCTAACAGGGCACTAGCTGCGGGCAGACAGCAGCTCTGGAGGGAAACAAGCACCTCCCCGCCTCCTGCAGGAAGGGGACGCCACAGTGGCCCCCACCCGCCAGCGGGTCAGCTTTGCTGCCTCGGCCTCCCGCCTCCTCCAGCCCCAGCAGACGCCCACGATGTTTTCTCGCCATGAAAACCGACACAACATGGTGCCAGGCCTCAGTTCTAGTGGACGGGCCTCCCGTACCCTTGGGGCAGCTTCGAACCAGAGCAGTGCTGCCTGGACTTCCGGGCCATGGGCAGCAGGGCTGCACCCCAGCACCCCACATGCACTTGAGGGGCAGCTCCCTGAAGCCCCCTGGGCTGGATGGCCCCTCGTGGTACCCAAAGCCACAAGCCTGTCCTGAACATGGAGACACAGAGACCCCAAGCCAAGGCCCAGGCCTGCAGTACAACATCTGAGCAGGGGAAGCGGCCACCAAATCCACAGCGACAGCACGATGGCTTTGGTCCTGGCCCCGGCCCACATGGTTGCAGGAGAATCACAGGGCCCTCCCTAGAAAGCCAACACCTCTCCAAGACTCTGTCCTCAAAAGGCGATGCTTGCCACCTCCTCACCCCCATTTTCACAGAGACATACTCCTCAGGAGGCCCTGCCCTCCCCCCCCTGAGGCTCTGAGTCCTTGCCCTGTCAAAGGACCTGGACAGGCCCTGGGCCAGCAACAAGAGCTCCGTGCTGGGGAGACTGAGTGAGGCCTGGCGCAGAAGTGGGGAGAAGTGTTCAACTGTAAGCAGACAGCCTCACCCATAGGAGGGGCGCACCGGCACCCTCGGAACCCAGCCTGGGACCCAGCCTCCGCACAAAGCCTCTCAGGATCCCCGACAAAGGCGGTTGGGCCGGGTGGGGGCGCCTCCCTGGCCATGGCGTGGGGTCATTCCCACGGGATCCTCCCTAGTCAGCCAAGATGCCTGCGCCCCCACAGCCACAGGAGCTGCTGGCAGATGAGGGTCCGAGACTGGCTCCCGTCTCCCAGCACCGGCAAGGGAAGCGGGCCAGGTGCACACAGGACCCCAGCCTCCTCTTCAGTGTACACAGTGGCTCAGCTTAGGGCACAGGAGGAGCTCACTGAGGTCACTGGGCCCACACCGGGGTGACAGGTCGGAGGCTGAGAACCAGACCCACCCTTGCGAATGTCACTAGTAGCATGTGCTGGGCGCCAAGGACAGGACTGGCGCCCCCGAGAGCCGGTGTCCCTGGAAACCGCTCCTTGACGGGGAGCCCAGCCTCCTGACCTTTTCCTGGGTGGGGGTAAAGGGTGACCAGCAGCCCCTACCCAGGCCCTATCATGAGGGTGGAGGGCTGGGAGCCAGCGGGCTTGGGGGAAGCAAGGCTTTCCATGGGTTCGGAGGCCCTGCCCTGGTGCCACACAAGCCGAAATACTGCCCACCCGCCCACTATGGAACTCTGGGCTTTCTTTCTGAAGATCTCCGCCACTGCCTGTCTTCTCAGGCGTCCTCTCTCTGAAGATCTCCACCACCGCCTGTCTTCTCAGGCGTCCTCTCTCTGAAGATCTCCGCCACCGCCTGTCTTCTCGGGCATCCTCTCTCTGAAGATCTCCGCCACCGCCTGTCTTCTCGGGCGTCCTCTCTCTGAAGATCTCCGCCACCGCCTGTCTTCTCGGGCGTCCTCTCTCTGAAGATCTCCGCCACCGCCTGTCTTCTCAGGCGTCCTCTCTCTGAAGATCTCCGCCACCGCCTGTCTTCTCGGGCGTCCTCTCTCTGAAGATCTCCGCCACCGCCTGTCTTCTCAGGCGTCCTCTCTCTGAAGATCTCCGCCACCGCCTGTCTTCTCGGGCGTCCTCTCTCTGAAGATCTCCGCCACCGCCTGTCTTCTCGGGCATCTCTCTCTCTGAAGATCTCCGCCACCGCCTGTCTTCTCGGGCGTCCTCTCTCTGAAGATCTCCGCCACCGCCTGTCTTCTCGGGCGTCCTCTCTCTGAAGATCTCCGCCACCGCCTGTCTTCTCGGGCGTCCTCTCTCTGAAGATCTCCGCCACCGCCTGTCTTCTCAGGCGTCCTCTCTCTGAAGATCTCCGCCACCGCCTGTCCTCTCGGGCGTCCTCTCTCTGAAGATCTCCGCCACCGCCTGTCTTCTCGGGCGTCCTCTCTCTGAAGATCTCCACCACCGCCTGTCCTCTCGGGCGTCCTCTCTCTGAAGATCTCCGCCACCGCCTGTCTTCTCGGGCGTCCTCTCTCTGAAGATCTCCGCCACCGCCTGTCTTCTCGGGCGTCCTCTCTCTGAAGATCTCCACCACCGCCTGTCCTCTCGGGCGTCCTCTCTCTGAAGATCTCCGCCACCGCCTGTCTTCTCGGGCATCCTCTCTCTGAAGATCTCCGCCACCGCCTGTCTTCTCGGGCGTCCTCTCTCTGAAGATCTCCGCCACCGCCTGTCCTCTCGGGCGTCCTCTCTATGAAGATCTCCACCACCGCCTGTCCTCTCGGGCGTCCTCTCTCTGAAGATCTCCACCACCGCCTGTCCTCTCGGGCGTCCTCTCTCTGAAGATCTCCGCCACCGCCTGTCTTCTCGGGCATCCTCTCTCTGAAGATCTCCGCCACCGCCTGTCTTCTCGGGCGTCCTCTCTCTGAAGATCTCCGCCACCGCCTGTCTTCTCGGGCATCTCTCTCTCTGAAGATCTCCGCCACCGCCTGTCTTCTCGGGCGTCCTCTCTCTGAAGATCTCCGCCACCGCCTGTCTTCTCGGGCATCTCTCTCTCTGAAGATCTCCGCCACCGCCTGTCTTCTCGGGCGTCCTCTCTATGAAGATCTCCGCCACCGCCTGTCCTCTCGGGCGTCCTCTCTCTGAAGATCTCCGCCACCGCCTGTCTTCTCGGGCATCCTCTCTCTGAAGATCTCCGCCGCCGCCTGTCTTCTCGGGCGTCCGCTCTCTGAAGATCGCCGCCGCCGCCTGTCTTCTCGGGCGTCCTCTCTCTGAAGATCGCCGCCGCCGCCTGTCTTCTCGGGCGTCCTCTCTCTGAAGATCGCCGCCGCCGCCTGTCTTCTCGGGCGTCCTCTCTCTGAAGATCGCCGCCGCCGCCTGTCTTCTCGGGCGTCCTCTCTCTGAAGATCGCCGCCGCCGCCTGTCTTCTCGGGCGTCCTCTCTCTGAAGATCGCCGCCGCCGCCTGTCTTCTCGGGCGTCCTCTCTCTGAAGATCTCCGCCACCGCCTGTCTTCTCGGGCGTCCTCTCTCTGAAGATCTCCGCCACCGCCTGTCTTCTCGGGCATCTCTCTCTCTGAAGATCGCCGCCGCCGCCTGTCTTCTCGGGCGTCCTCTCTCTGAAGATCGCCGCCGCCGCCTGTCTTCTCGGGTGTCCTCTCTCTGAAGATCGCCGCCGCCGCCTGTCTTCTCGGGCATCTTCTCTCTGAAGATCGCCGCCGCCGCCTGTCTTCTCAGGTGTCTTCAGGTTTCTCTTTAAAAGGTGTGTGGCGGGTAAGGGAAGACTCCCAGAAGTGGCTCTTTCCAAGACCATTCCGGGGTATTTTAATGTCCGGTCACTGCACTTACAGCAGACCAGGCCTTCCCCAACGAGGGTAGAAGGGGCAGCCCCCTTGTGAGAAGGGGCTGTGGTCAGACTTTTTTTTTTTTTGAGACAGACGCTTGCTCTGTCACTCAGGCTGGAGTGCAGTGGTGCCATCTCAGCTCACTGCAACCTCCGCCTCCCGGGGTCAAGCGATTCTCCTGCCTCGCCCTCCCAAGTAGCTGGGGACTACAGGCACCTGCCACAATGCCGGCTAATTTTTGTATTTTTTTTTTTTTAGTAGATACGTGGTTTCACCATATCAGCCAGGCTAATCTTTAACTCCTGACCTCATTAGCCACCCGCCTCGGCCTCCCAAAAGTGCTGGGATTACAGGCATGAGCCACCACACCCAGCCCGTGGTCAGACCTTCCAGAGGGGGTTCAGGTGGAAGGCAGACTCAGAATTTTCGCGCACCCATGCCTCGCGCTTCTCCTGAATGGCTGAGGAGTGGAGGGCTGGGGGTGGGGCCCAATTTAACCCATGTTTTAACAAACCCTACTCTAAAACTGCCTGACATGTCACAAGGACCACCGCATCACAGGCCAGTTCCCCTCACTGGATGCCCACACTGGTGTAAACTTAGGAAGAGGCTGGGCACACTGGCTCACTGCTGTAATCCCAGTGCTTTGGAAGGCTGAGGTGGGAGAATCGCTTGAGGCCAATCACACGACTGCACTCCAGCCTGGGCGACAGAGTGAGACCCTGTCTCTAATAAAAAATAAAATAAGGAAGAAAGAACTGTTCTGTCTGTGGGGCTGGGCCACGCCCAGTGCCTGGGTGGGCAGGAGAACACTCTCCCCCCAAGCCGACTCCCCCCTTCAGCCCTCCCTCGTCTCACCCACTCTGCTCTCCCCTCCCCCCTCCCCCTGCAGCTGGAGCTGTTGTCAGAGGAGGGGAGGCATTTCCTGTGTCCCCCTCCCCCTAATTCCCCTACATTCCTGGCAAGCCCAGAGGAGGCCTGAGAGAACCAGAGAGGGATGGGCGGGAACAGGCGAGAGGCCGGGAGGGAAGCCAGGCCCCACCACACACACAAGACTTGGAGAGCAGGGCCAGGAAGGAAATGGGGGAAGGGATGAAGCGATGCCCCGAGAGGGGCTGGAAAGGACGCCCACCGTCATCAGAGGGTGGTCTCTGCTGGGCACGGCCACGCCCCTTCCACCCCTCAGCCTGCCTCCTCAGGGCGTCTAGCAGGCTGCTGTTCCGTAGGGGATGCAGAAGAAAGGCCAGAGGCAGTCCCGCTCAGAGATCAGGGCCATCCCCAAAGAACTGACTGCGCCCTGAGAGTCAGGCGCCCAATGGGGCGGTGGAGGGCCCAGCCCAGCAAGGCCCCTCCGGGACACCAGGAGACAGGAGGGCAGAGTCCAGGCGACCACCCAGCAGCCACCAAGCCCCCGAGCAGCTGGCCAGAGTGACGGCCACAGCCTGCCCTTGTCTGGAGCTTACTGTCTGGGGAGGGAGATGAAGGTGGCACTTCAACGCCAGGGTCCAGGAGGCGGCAGCATCCCAGCACCATGGGAAATTGGATGGGGGGGTGCGCAAGCACTCGGGCCCTAACCAAACCTTAGCCCCAACACCCCCCACCACCACCTGGCTCACAGGGCAGTGCTCACGGCCTGTGTGCACGTGTGCGCATGGGTGCTGCCTGCCCAGGGACTGCAAGAAGGGGGGTCTGCAGGCCACGGCATCCAGCCTGGGGCAGCCTCCAGCAGAAGGGGCCACTCCAGAGATCAGGTGGGGAGCTGGGCACCCACCTGAGTGGCATCAGTGACTTCCTAAAAAAAAAAAGGCCCCAGAGAGACCCCACCCTTCTCACCATGGGAAGACACAGGAGTTGGTGGGTCTGGGGAAGCCCTCACCACACAATGAATCTGCCGGGCTCTACCTTTAGCAATGGGCAGGACAGGCCTGCTGCGCTGAGGCCACGCACAGATGGGGAGGCACACCACGCAGCCTGTCCCTGACTGTGGAGGGTGAAGGGAGGGACAGACCCAAGGGACCTGGGTAGATTTCTCCAGCAAGAGTCGTCTCCAGATCACATTTAGGAATCTGCAGTTTCACCACTGCCCTGATACAGACTGCCGTCCTCCCCCAGGGCTCCTGCGTCTCACAGCAGGACAGTGAAGGTAAGGCCCAGCCAAGCCAGAGCTGGCTGCTGCCTCTAGGCAAGGCCTCCACACCCCACCCTTGCATCACTCGTGACTCTGCCCTGTTCAGACAGCCCTGCCCATGATGGGTGGGGCACAGAGACCAGTGGGAGCAGCACTTTGGGACCCAAGGCTGGGAGCAAGTGGGTCCAGGGGACACTGGGCTCCTAAGAACCATACTGTGGCCCCACCCCAAGTGCCTGCCTCCAGACTTGCTCACCCGAGGGCGAAGCAGGCACCCAGCAAGCCGAAGCCATCGGGAGTGGGTGCATGTGTGTGTGCCCATGGTACTGATGTGTGCATCCATGTATGCCCATGGGTGCTGATGTGTGCGTGCACGTGTCCACGGGTGCTGGTGCATGTGTGTACATCTGCCCGTGGGTCCTGACGAGTGCGTTGAGTGCAGGTGTGTGCGCCCACGGTGCTGATGTGTGTGTGCACGTATGTCCGTCGGTCCTGAGTGCGTGAGTGCAGGTGTGTGCGTGAGTGCAGGTGTGTGCGCTCACGGTGCTGACGTGTGTGCACGTGTGCCCATGGGTCCTGATGAATGTGTGAGTGCAGGTGTGTGCACCCACAGGACTGACGTGTGTGTGCACGTGTGCCCATGGGTCCTGATGAATGTGTGAGTGCAGGTGTGTGCGCCCACAGTGCTGACGTGTGTGTGCACTCCATTTTCACGCTGCTGAAGAAGATATACCCGAAACTGGGAACAAAAAGAGGTTTAATTGGACTTACAGTTCCACATGGCTGGGGAAGCCTCAGAATCATGGCGGGTGGTGAAAGGCACTTTTTACATGGCAGCGGCAAGAGAAAAAATGAGGAGGAAGCAAAAGCAGAAACCCCTAATAAACCTATCAGATCGCATGAGACTTACTCACTATCACGAGAATAGCACAGAAAAGACCAGCCCGATGATTCAATTGCCTCCCCTGGGTCCCTCCCACAACACATGGAAATTCTTGGAGATACAATTCAAGTTGAGATTTGGGTGGGGACACAGCCAAACCATATCACCGTCTCTACTAAAACTACAAAAATTAGCTGGGCATGGTAGCATGTGCCTGTAATCTCAGCTATTCAGGAGGCTGAGGCATGACAATCACTTGAACCTGGGAGGAGACAGGGTGAGACTCCATCTCCAAAGAAAAAAAGAAGTTTTAAGTTTGAAAGGTTTAAACAGCCTTTCTTTTTAAACAAACAACTGTTAGCACAGAGAGGAAAGACCCCTTCCTACAGCCCCAAATGAGAGGAATCCCAGCTCCATGGAAGCAACCGCTCCAGCACCCACAGCAGCCTCCTGGGTGAGGGCCCTGCTGTGTCGGAATCTCCCCAATGCCCCATCCCTGTGGGGAAGCAGCTCCAGTGCTCATCAACACCCAAAACAAACGCATCAGGGGTCAAAGGGACCCAGGAATTCCAGAACCAAAGAGAAAAACCTCAACAGAGGCGTTCCTGAACATGTCAGGAACGGAGCTATGAGCACGGGCTCTTCATCGGGGTTCCTAAGTTACGCAAAGACAGCAATCAGGAACTCAGCAATCAGGAGCCAGAGGATGGCCACATACTCACAGTGGAGGCCACTGTACCCCTCTTGGTGGAACACCCCAGGTTGGGGTGCACGGCCTAAAGCAGGCCTAGCGCTGTCCCCAGCCCCACACAGTGAGCCCTGCCATTTTCTGTTTACAAATAAAAAGCTTCATGTTTTCTCACCATCCATGCACAATTCTGTCTCTTGCTTATGGGATCTAAAACACTGCAGGAGGTGGCTCAGGGCCTCTAGAGGCACAGACAGGGGGCCCTACAGGCCCTCAGCCCTGGCTCCCCAATCCCAGGGCCACAGAAGCAGGTGGCCCAGGGGCCAGGAGAGCAGCAGACACGCATTTCCGGCTTGCTGAACTCCCTGGAGGGTCCAGGCCAGTCGGGGCAGCCCTTCCTTTGGAGATAAATATCAAACCTCAAGTAAACGGCCTCTGAGTGCAGCAGGTGAACTTCTGAGAGCTGGGTGGAGCCACCTGGGGTAGCCAGCCACAGCCTGCTGCGCTGTCCCTCCAAGTACAGATAAAGGCAGGTGGCGCTGCAGTGGGGGTCGGGGGGTGGGGAGCAGGACCACTTCTTTTTGGGAAATGTGGCTGCGTGAATGGGAGAGTCCACAGGCCCTGTGCTCAATCACAGTAAATGCCACTCCTCACGTCTTCTCCCTATCGGAGCAACCAGCCCTTGCTCAGTGTGAACCAAAGAAAAGAACAGCTTGAAAGAGCACAAGGAGATTGCTCAATTCTCAACAGCTCTGAGAGGCTGCCTGCCCCAGGACCAGCCTGATTTCCCTTCAGGAGTGTAGGGCCTGTAAGAATTCCTGCCCGGGCAGGGAGGGTGGGCAGTGACCAGGAGCCAAGGTGCACTGGTGGGGTGGAGGCAACGGGGCCTGCCAAGGACTCTCCCTCCCAAAGAGCCAGGGGCCAGGTCCAAGGCACATTTAAAGATAAACGCTGGCCAGTGCGGTGGCTCAGCCTGTAATCCCAGCACCTTGGGAGGCCGAGGTGGGTGGATCACAAGGTCAGGAGATCGAGAGCATCCTGGCTAACACGGTGAAACCCCGTCTCTACTAAAAATACAAAAAATTAGCCGAGTGTGATGGCACACGCCTGTAGTCCCAGCTACTTGGGAGGCTGAGGCAGGAGAATGGCGTGAACCCGGGAGCGGAGCTTGCAGTGAGCCGAGATCGCGCCACTGCACTCCAGCCTGGGCGACAGAGCGAGACTCCGTCTAAAAAAAAAACAGATAAACGTCTCTGGAAAAAGCAAACTCTCCCCACACCCCTCATCCTGCCCCAGGGCTCGGGGTCTCAGACGAAGGGCAAAGCTGCCCACACCGGCCAGGCCACACCCAGATCGCCTCAGAGCACCTAAAAAGCCCCCAGAGGCTGGGGCAGCCCCACTGCTCCCTGACGGCGGAGCCACAGGAAGCCTCCTCCCTGTGGGAACCTCGAACTCAGTGACTACAAGAAACAGAAAGGAGCCGCCGTGGCGCCTGAGCGGAGCCGTGGGCCGGCCACTGCTCTGACCTCTCAGGGGCCCGATGTTCCTTCCAAGACAGAATCAGACCAGGACCCCGCGAACACATCTCCACCGGGCCCCCAAGGCTGGCCACCATCTCTAGAAGCTCCTCTCATGGGGGCAGTAGCCCTTTCAGGGTGGGGGTTCCAGGGCGAGCTTGTTCAGCTGGAGAAACACCTGGTGCCACCCCCTGTGAGGCCGCTTCAGCTTGGGTGGGTGAGAGGTGCCCAGCCTCCACCTGCTGACACACACGGCCTGGGGATGCCTGGAAAGACCAGCACAGACAGCAAGGGACAGCGAAGGCCCCAAACAATTGGAGTGCCTGTGCCCACCCTCACAAGGGTCTTGTCCCCTCTGCTGAGAGCAAGAAGCCAGGAGGGGGCCGTGGCGGCCGGGAAAGTGACTGAAGATGACTGCAGCAAGGGGCAGCAGCCGGCCCTCCTCACTCCCACCCAGAAAGTGGGGTCCCTGCCCCCCATCACGGCTGCTATTCTCCTAGGGTCCAGGGCTGCAGCCACACTGTCCAGAGGCCCCTTCAAGTCCCATCAACCAACTGTCATGGCTCATGGCCAGGGGGCAGTATCTGCCCGCTATGAGGCTCCAGCCTAGAATCCCACTTCCAGAAACATGTTAGAGGGACGTGGCCAGGTGCCGCTGGGACTTCCTGCCATGGGGCAGGAGTGGACACCATCCAGGTGGCCCCTGGGGAGGACTGACCACCCACACAGCAGAGCACACGCGGCCACGACCAGGACACGGGCCCTCGGGTGGCTGGTGGAGCGAGCGAGAGGCAGCCCCACACCACCCTCGGCGCCCACGGGGAACTGCACCCCACGCAGCACAGCCGTCATGGGTGGTCGTGACCTGCAAACCCAGCATATGGGGGCCTGGCTGAAATGCAGAGAGAAGAACCGTGAGCCGGCAGCCCCAAGCCTGGGAAGGGCCAAGAACTTGCCGGAACCAAGTATTTGCAAAGACTGATGAAAAGTTTGTGTCTTTATTTAACCAATAAAAAGCCTGCCATGGGAAAGCAGGCAAAGCACATGAGCAGAGCTCCTCAAAGGGAAAAGGAGTCCAGCCTCGGAGCAAAACCAGTGCCATTGACAAAGCGCTACCTTCCTCAATCCCCCTTACCTGGAGGTGCCTGTGTGAGCGCTCACCCAACTACAGGTGTCACCTGACCCCGGGGCTGGGTCTGGACACGGCCCGTAGGACCTGCGCACACGCATGGGCGCTCAGCATGCCTCTGGGGCGACCAGGACACTGTTGTGGGGCTGCCATCCTGGCGCTGCCGGTCAGGGAGATGCCGTCACCTTCCAGCCAGGGCAGTGAGTGAGAGGGTGGTGGGCGGAGAGGCATCCCCACCACAACCACCCAAGAGCACGTCTGCCTGCACGGCCCATCCGCACCCGGTCCACAGAACAGACAGGAGGGCCACCGTGCTCCCAAGGCCCCCTGCAGCCTCAGCCCGAACGCTGCCCACGGGGCATCTTCGAGGTCCTGCACGAGCACACTTTGGTGCAATGCTGGGGGAGGCTGCAGTCACGGTCAGGCCTCCTGGCTGGGTCCACACTCTGGTCGCACACTCGTCACACTTCTCCGTGGATGTTCTTACCCCCCACCAGGTCAGCCACCCAACCTGCACCTCTGCCCTGGCTCACAAGGCTGGGGAGGACCGCCCCAGGCAGGGTCACGGGTGTCCCTGGCTCAAGCTCAGTAACAGAGGCAGGGCCAGGCCCTCCCGTTTCCATCACAGACAGAATGAGGCATGGCAGCCACCCCGTCCTGCCCTCCCCATGCCAAGCTGAGAAGTCCCATCTCAGCCCTGTGGCTCCCAGGACTGTGGGAGGAATGCCACCCTCTGACCAGGATAGGGACCCCACAGCTGCTGTCCTTCCACATACACTTCCGAGGGTCTCCGGCACTGGCGGGAAGGAGGAGTGGCCGGCCAGGACAGGGACCCCACAGCTGCTGTCTTTCCACACCCACTACCAAAGGTCTCCGGCGCCAGTGGGAAGGAGGAGGGGCCGGGAGAAGCATGGGGCTTGGAGAAGGCAGCATGGCCAAGGCCCAGACACCCCCAGGTGGGTCTCAGACGGCCGAAAACACCCCCTTGGTCTGTTCCCGAGATGAAGGGCCAAATGGCCTCGGAAGCCATCTCAGGAAGAGCCGTGTGGCATCTGCACTGAACGCAGGTGGCACCAAATGTCTCCATGGAGGCGGGGTACAGCCTGTGTTTCCAGGGGCTCTTTGGGGCCAGCTGATGACTTTTACTACTGCTGGGACAGTTTCTCTGATTTAAGACCCAAGGTGCCTACCACCTCCCCCTCCGCCTGGAAGAAGCACAGACGCCAGCGAGCCTCGGGGGCAGGAGGGGCGTGGGAGGGCGAGGCTCGGGGCGTGGGAGGGGGAGGCTCGGGGCGTGGTGAGAACTGCCTCACCGGTCCCAGGGTCAGCACACATAGGCCGGGGCAGGGGAGACGGGAACCAGACTCCAACACGCTATTGACAGAACACTAAGGCCTCAACAGGGAGTTTTGGTTTTGATAAAAACATTCTACATTAAGGACACCATTTAAAATACATGGTTGTATTTAATTTCAGGGGTTCTTGGCAATCAATTACAATGCAAAAATAGGAACCAGTTCACCCTCCATTATTATTTTTCTAAAGTCACAAAGGGCTTCCCCGAGCCTTGGCAGGACCAGGGCTTGTGTAGCCTGTGGGGGAAGGAGGCCCCCAGACCACAGGGACGGCCACTGCCATTCAGTGCCGCTGGGAGCTGCAGACGCTGGGCCAGGGCCGTCTCCCCAACCCCCCAGCGGAGGGCTCCTGTGGAGGGCTCTGCCCCTCTTTCCACTGCGCTGGTTTGAGGGGGCAGCACGGTCTCAACACCTCTGGTTTCTATTTATGCTAAACCTGGAAGTCTATGTGTGTTTTGCTTAATTTTTAACACCATTTTTAAGCTACTAAGACATTTAAGCTTGGTAGCTAGGCTCAGACCTTTCAGTGGGTTTTTAATCCCCGGAAAGGCCGGCCCTCGTGGAAGCTCCAGCCCCGCCCATCTGTGCAGAGGGCAAGAGGTCGTGAGAACGTAAGAGACAGCAATAAAAATCGGGGCAGTGACCTTTTGACCCGGCCTCTTTGCAGGACGCAGGCCTGGAGAGAGAGCAAGGTGGCCTGGGGCGGGCAGGGGCCCCCAAGCCCCTCCGCTCAGTGCCCCTGCACCTGCCCACAGGGGCAAGTCCTCCCAGAGGAGAACAGCTGCGAGAAAGCAGCCAGTGGCCCGGAGTGTCTCTCCCAGTCCCGCCAGCCATCCACGGGCCAGGACCAGATGCATCTTCAAAAACCACTTTCTGGAAGCATCACCAGCCAATCCTCCCCAGGATGTCAACCTCTGGGGCCATCGCACAATGTCAGAATCTCCTGGCCCCTCGGCAACAGACCTGGACGTGAGGTTGGGGGGAGGCCTGCATGAGTGCTCAGAGGGTCCCCTTAGGCCACCAAAAGCCCCCTACCCCCCCCCAGGGGACCAGGGCCACAATCCCCGCCCTGGGGCGGGCCCGCAGGGACAGGCAAGGGGCCCCAGGCAATGGCGGGGCTCAATGGGACAAAGGTTCCCGAGGGGCGAGAGCAGCGTAGCACAAAAGGCGAGCGTCTGGGGTCAGCCCGGGGCAGGGCAGCCAACACAAAGCCCCTGCCGAGGGCAGCCGGGCACTCCGCGGAACCTGCCAGCATCTGAGCGCTTAATCGCCACGCTGGAGGCCGTCTGAGAGAGGGACATTGAATGAGTCTTCTTTAAAAGGGGGCTCCCAGGGGTGACACCAGCCCAGGCGCCACGCGGCTCCATAACAGGCTCCTGTGGGGGACCTCTCCCGGCGGGAGAGGCTGCCTGGTTTCTCTGGCCTGGACAGGGAGCAGCCCCCTGCGGCTCCCCCACCGAGCAGACTCTTCTGAGGGGAGGACAGCAAGTGTTCTTCAGTGAACAAAAGCCCCTGGAGCCATCAGGGAGGATGTGGCAGGGCCTGACTGGGAGGTGGGAGTGTCCAGGCCTCTGTGCTTCTCAGGGACTGTCCCGGGACCCTGGGGTCGCCAATCACAAAGGAGCCCAGGCTTGTGTGCACCCCAACACCCATCAGGAAACCCCAAGTTCTGGGGTGGGCCCAAGTCGCGCATCCCTCCAACCCCCACAGACCGTGCAGGTCACACCAGGCCCCAGCCCACTCCTCACTGGGCCTCAGTCATCCCCACAGCCCAGGCCTGAGGCCAGGCACTTGCGGCCATCGGCTCATTCACAGGGAAAGCGCCTGGCCTGGTGACATGGGCAGCTGGTCCAGCCTGGGGTGGCCCGGGACAGGGCCAGGTGCCCTGGGGCAGGAGAGGGACAAATGTGAACTTGTGCACCTCCATGCTGGTCCTCTGGAGAGTCCAGCAAAGGGACAGCAAGGATGTCCAACAGCCAAACAGCCCTGCCCTCGCCCCCAGAGTCCAGGGGCCCAGAGGAAGGGAAGCGGGAGGGGCTGGCCAGGTCCAGTCTCTGCTCCCGCCCCACCTCCAGCCCCTCTGGAGAGCAGGGACAGCCTGAACTTTTCACCTTGGGTTCAGACACCCAGAGAAAGGCCGTGAGGTGTCTGCCCGGGAGGCACGGGGAGTGCGGCCTCCTCAGCCGGCAGCTTGTTTCCCCAGCGCCCCCTCAACACTGCACACTGCCCGTTTTACAATCGCCAGATGGCAGCCCAGGAACCACAGGCCTCCCATTACCCTGTGACCGCCTGACCTCTCGTAAACGGGACAAAGCCCAGGCCCTGTGGCCACACCCCCTGGCCTGTGAGGGACCAACGCAGGGGCTTCAGGTCACCAGGGCTGCATTCAAGATGGGCACTGTCCAACGGCTGCCTCAGGCCGTGGCGTCAGAGTGGTGTCACCAGCATCTCTCAGCCCCTACTCCCATGCCAGGCCCGCAGGGAGGATAACACGCAGCAGGTCCAGGACCGAACCCAGACGCAGCGCCAGCCAGTGGGCCCACCTGCCCTTGCTCTAGCTCGTAGACAGATGACCTCTGTCCCTCTCTTGCAGCAAGGTGCTGGCCACACTTTACTGCCTGGCTGTAGGGGACAATGACCAGGGCACAGCACCCCTGGGCAAAACTCCAATCCGTGGGGGACAGGCAGGCTCATCCATCGGCAGCCTGATGGCAGGCACCACCAAACATGCCAGACCCGCCAGACCCACGCCAGCCACAGGCACCACCAGACCCGCCAGACCCACGCCAGCCACAGGCACCACGAGACCCGCCAGACCCACGCCAGCCACAGGCACCACCAGACCCGCCAGACCCACGCCAGCCACAGGCACCACGAGACCCGCCAGACCCACGCCAGCCACAGGCACCACCAGACCCGCCAGACCCACGCCAGCCACAGGCACCACCAGACCCGCCAGACCCACGCCAGCCACAGGTACCACCAGCCACACACTGCTCTGGTCCAGAGCCCTGAAGCAGCCTCCTGCCAGCCCTGGGCCCGGTGCACAGCCACGTCCCCACTGTCCCTGGTGCCCAAGGCTGGCTTAACAGCAACCAACAAGGAAGGAAGGAGGAGAGGTCCAGGGCCAGCCATGAGGCGATTCCAAAGTTGGCTTCTGCCCACAAAGCGACGCTCCAGGGCAGCAAAGCTCCTCACCACACCTGATAACCAGGCGCCACTAGTGCGGGCCTGGAACGGGGATGAACCCAGCCTGCAAAACGGCTTTGCTTCACAGAAGGCCACAGACTGCTGAGGACGGACATCCCACGTTGGGGAACGTGTCCCGCAGTGTCCGCTTGGCCTACTAGTGACGCTGTGGGGGCCTGCAGTGTGGCCACTTCCGTCAAAGCTCACATCACTGCAAAACCCACTGTCTCTGTCCTAACAGCCCCTTAGTCACTCTCTGGCTCTGCCCAGTCATGGCCAGCGGTGCTTTCTTCCCAGGGCTGGATCTGCATCGAGAATCAAACATGGGCCAGGCACGGTGGCTCACACCTGTCATCCCAACACTTTGGGAGGCTGAAGCAGGAGGATCGCTTGAGCCCAGGAGTTCTAGACCAGCCTGGACAACATGGCGAGACCCCATCTCTACCCAAAAAATATAAAACGTTAGCCAGATGTAGTGGTGTGTGCCTGTAGTCTCGGCTACTCATGAGGCTGAGGTGGGAGGATCACTTGAACCAACAAGGTTGAGGCCGCAAGACTGTGCTGCTGCACTCCAGCCTGGGTGACAGAGCCAGAGCCAGACCCTGTCGAAAAAAGAAGAGGGAGAGAAGGAGAGAAGGAAAGAGAGGGAGGGAGGGAAAAGGGAAATGGACATGGAAGGGGGGAAAGGATAAAGGGGAAAGGCAGAAGGGAGGGAGGGAGGGAAGAAGGAATCAGAATACGGCAGCACAGCAGCTGGGGCTCTCTGGGTGGGGCCAGAAGGCACAGTCGCTGTCCCCACCAGTCCCCACACCCACTCCTGTCATGGCCTCTCCCTGGACTGCACCTACAGCCCCTGGGCACGCTGCTCTGCAGCCCTCACAGGCCAGAAAAAGACTCCAAGCCTCATTTCTCCGTCAAAGCTGAAAATTGGGTGAAACTCCATGGTGAGGGAAAGGGGGACCTGTCAAGCCAGCCAAGAAAATTCACCTTGTCTCAGCACCAGCCAAATGGGCCATGGCTGCCCTGCAGTGACGGCTCAGCACCGCTGGGGAGGCCAGAGGAGTCCCCATGCACCCAGACATACCCCAAGGTGGCTTATGAGCCCCCGGGCACCTGACTCACTACCGTGCCCCCTTAACAAGAGGCCCTCCATCAGCGCCACGCAGAGCCTGCAGGAAGCACGGGTGTCCCAGGCCACAGAGCACCAGGACCCCACACCCGGGCCAGGGTGCAGGGTTCAGCCCACCCAAACCCTACCAGGAGCCCTGAGCCCTCTGAGACACCTGGCTACACAGCCCCCTGGGAGGCACTGGAGGGGCAAGAAAGCACACAGTAGGAGCAGCAGGGAGGCGACGCCGGCCCCCAAGGATGGGCGACAGCAGCGGCAGCACAGCCACCCACCCACAGAGCCAGGGCCCCGCCGCACAACCCAGGGGGCACCTGGGCCAGGGCTGCGGGCGCCATGCATCTGACCACAGGGGTGGGCACCAGCTCCACGCAGTGCTGTTGGGAGTGCCCTGGCCTGTGGGAACCTGCTTCTAAGGGTGAGTAGCGTCCACAGAGGGGTGGCGGCTGCCCAGCCTGGGAGGCCTCTGCCCGGCACCCACAGAGCCACGACCACCACAGCACACAGGCCCCGGGTGGCACACAGGACCTCCAGCCTCCCACTGGAGGTGGCCTGAGGTTCAAGCTGTGACCTGGAACCAAAGTGTGACTTTCAAACACATCTCGCAGGGCATGCAAGGTGTTCCTGCTCATTTGGAGACCGTGTGACCGTGGACCCGTGTCCTGGGACAGTCTGGAAGTAGAAAGGCCCATGCATCAGCCTCACACACCTCAGGATGTCCCAGCTGCGTTTCCTGAAGCCCAAAGGCCGGCTGCATCCCTGAAGTGTGGTGCGCCCCCCGCCCCCACAACAAGCCTTTCCCAGGCCTCTGGCCACTGCCCAGCTTCCGATGAGAGCAGAGTGCAGTGCTGACCACGTGGCCCCTAATGCCCCACTCCCTCAGTGCCCTCAGGCCTGGCCCAATCCCAAAGCCATCCACCACCCCTTCCACCCTGAAAGGAGGCTCTGGAACGAATGGGATATTGAAGCAGGAAGAGGTTTGTCTCCCGACAGCACACGAGAGGACGTGGGACATTCCTGTCGCACCTGCTCCGGCCCGAACGGCCCTGTCAACACACCCCTTCCTTGCTCCTCACAGGATCAGACTACCTGGAAATGCCCACAAACAAACCCCAGAACTCCACCGCAGCCCGCGCAAGCTGAATTCTGAGTGGTACGTGCTAGTCCCCCCTTTCCTGACGGCTGGCCCACAACTGCTATCGTCGCCTGTGCCTGCAGATGTTATTAAGAGCGATATGGACACCAAGCTTGTTACAAAACCAGTTCAGTGCTGGCTCGATGCAGTTGCTCGCCTGAATAGTCAAAATCATGGCACTTTGTTCATAATCAATTCCCGCTGAAACTGAAAAGGCGGTGATGAAGATGTTAACAAAACGAATTTAATGTAGCCAAAATTATTGCAGAAGGAAAACACATCCGCTCACAATGGATGTGCCAGTCAGCACAATTCAGCGATGTTTTTAAACCTGCTGCCACGGAGCGTGATTTGCCCACCTTCCTCCCTGAAGCAGAGGCCACCCTGAGGGCCTCCAGGGCCATCTCAACATTTCCAGTTACTTTCGCTCTTTCTATCTGAAACTTGGCCCTGAGCAACTTTCTCCCACAACAAGAGCCTCAGCCTAGAGGGGAGCCCACGAGCTACAGATATCCGGCCGCTGTGACGACAGCACCATCTTCATTTTCTATCTCATTTTACAAATGGAGTGGATGAACGGGGTGGCTGATGAGAGAAGCTGGAGGTCACTCATGGACTGCGATGCCAGGGCCCGCCTGCAGCCAAGGTGAAGTCACAGAGACCCATCACCCTCCTCCCTGGAAAGGCCAAAAACGCAGACAAGACAGGAGATGGGAGACAATGGCCCCAGGGACCCTGGAGGTCAGGCAGCAAAGGACGGTGGTCCCCAAAATTCAAAGTGGAGCCAAGCCCTCTGGCAGCCCCAGCTCACTGCCTCCCGAGAGTTCCCAGCCATGGTACAGGAAGCAGGACCCAGGCAGGGCCCAGCAGAAACTGGGTTGAGATGGAGCTGACAATTCAGGGAGAGCATGGCGGCTGGAATTCACAGGACGGAGCAGCAGAGAAGGGAGCACCACACAGAGGGCCTGGGGTCTGCAGAGGCCCCTGGCAATTCCGCAGACCCCAGATCACAGTATGTATGTGCAGAAACTCCACGAGGCTGGGGAAGAGTCACCCACAAAGATTTAGAGACAACAGGCCTGAGGCTTGCACCAGGCTAGGCAGAGAGCCTGTCTCCACCCGACAGACAGGAAATTGCCCAAATTCATGGGGTCCTATGTCTCTCAGAAGATTCTGCCACAGGAGTGGTGAATTATCAGGCCTAGAATGAGCCCTGAGCCCAGCTCTAGACCCACCTAAAAAAAAATCACAAAAGCAAGACTCAAAAGGATCAAGCTGCCTCCAAATAACTGAACGCAGTCTAGACAAAGCTCAAGATTTTTTTTTAATTTTATTTTTTTCCTTGAGATAGGGTCTGGCTCTGTCACCCAGGCTGGAGTGCAGTGGCGCGATTGAAGCTCACTGCAACCTCCACCTCCCGGGTTCAAATGATCCTCCCACCTCAGCCTCCTGAGTAGCTGGGACTACAGGTGTGCACCACCACGCCTGGCTAATTTTTGTATTTTTAAGTAGAGACAGGGTTTCTCCATGTTGCCCAGGCTGGTCTCAAACTCCTGGACTCAAGCAATCTGCCCACCTCAGCCTCCCAAAGTGCTAGGATTACTGGTGTGAGTCACCATGCCCAGCCAATTTATAGGAATACAAAAACATTCAGCACCCAAACAGGCACATTTCAAAACGTCTAGAATCCAGAAAGCAAGAAAATGTGGACCACAATGAAGAAAATCATCCATCCATCGCAAACAACCAGAATTGACACAGACATAGAAATTCACAGAGAACACTGGAACTGTTATTACAGTGTATTCCACATATTTAAAAGAGTAAAATAAAGACACGAAAGATATAATATAGTCCCAAATCAAACTTCTAGAGATGAAACATCCGCTATATGGGATTAACCGTGGAGGAGACATTGTGGAAGAAAAGGTTTGTGATATGGACACAGAGTAACAGAAACTACTCACAGGGAAATAGAGGAAAAAAAAGAATCCAGAAGATGAGAAGAGCACCCTGAGCTGACAACATTCACATGACTGACACACGGGCCACCAAGTGCCCAGAGGAGGGACGCAGGAGACACACCTTCCAAACCTGACAAAAACTACACAACGTACTCCAAACACATGCGGCACGGGGAAACCACAGCAAAGTGGCTCAAAGCAGTGACAAAGAGACAATCTTAAAGAAAGGCATGTCCAGCCGGGCGCCGTGGCTCACTCCTGTAATCCCAGCACTTTGGCAGGCCAAGGCAGGTGGATCACCTGAGATCAGGAGTTCGAGACCAGCCTGGCCAACACGGAGAAACCCCGTCTCTACTAAAAATACAAAAAATTAGCCAGGCGTGGTGGCGGGTGCCTGTAATCCCAGGTACGCGGGAGGCTGAGGCATGAGAATCACTTGAACCCGGAGGCAGAGGTTGCAGTGAGCTGAGATCGTCCCACTGCACTTCAGCCTGGGTGACAGAGTGAGATTCTGTCTCAAAAAAACAAAGGAAAGAAAGAAAAAAAGAAGAGGCATGTCCGTCAAGAAGAGGATGAGCAGATCTCTCTCTGGAAGCACGCATGCAGGAACACAGTACAGCAACATCTTTAAAGTACTGAAAATTGGGGCCAGGCACGGTGGCTCATGCCTGTGTAATCTCAGCACTATGGGAAGCTGGGGAGGGCAGACTGCTTGAGTCCAAGTTCAAGACCAGGCTGACCAACATGGTGAAATCCCATCTCTACAAAAAAATAAAACAGGCCGGACGCAGTGGCTCACCCCTGTAATCCCAGCACTTTGGAAACCTGAAGCAGGCGGATCCATGAGGTCAGGAGATCAAGACCATCCTGTCCAACATGGAGAAACCCTGTCTCTACTAAAAATACAAAAAATTAGCCAGGTGTGGTGGCGGGTGCCTGTAATCCCAACTACTCGGGAGGCTGAGGCATGAGAATCACTTGAACCCAGAGGCAGAGGTTGCAGTGAGCCGAGATCGTGCCACTGCACTTCAGCCTGGGTGACAGAGCAAGACTCCATCTCAAATAAATAAATTAAATTAAATTAAACCACAAAAAAAATTGAAACTTTTTGAAGTCAACCTATAATTCTATACCTACGCAAATACCTTTCAGAAACAAAGGGAGAAATGGCATTTTTAGTTGAATTGAGAAAATTACTTGTGTAACACAAACCAGTAACTCTCAACCAAGAACAGATAAACTGAATAGTCTATATAGCTAAAAATCTTCCCACAAAAAACACTCTGGGTCCGAGTAGGTTTTAATGGTAAGTTCCACGAAACTTTTTTTTTTTTAATAGAAACAGTGTCTCCCTATGTTGCCCAGGCTGTTCTCGAACTCCTGGGCTTAAGGGATCCTCCTGCCTTGGCCTCCCAAAGTGCTAGGATTATAGGCGTGAGCCACCATGCCTAGCCCCACGAAACTTTTTTTTTTTTTTTTTTGAGATGGAGTCTTGCTTTGTCGCCCAGGCTGAAGTGCAGTGGCACAGAGATGGGTGAACCATCTCACCACCATATTGGCCAATCTGGTCTCGAACTCCTGACTTGGCCTCCCAAAGTGCTGGGATTACAGGCATGAGCCACCGCGCCCAGTCCCCCCACCAAACATTTTTAAAAGAAAAAATTCTTCAGAAAACTTAGGAGGAAATACCTCTCAAATCATTCTACAAGAACATTACTCTGTTAACACCAAAACCAGACAAAGATACACGGGAAGAAGAAGAAAAAAAAACACACACCAACATCCCTCATGAATATAAATGCAAAAATTCTTGGCAGGCGCAGTGGCTCACGCCTGTAATCCCAGCACTTTGGGAGGCTGAGGCAGGAGGATCACCTAATATCAGAAGTTCAAGACTGCCTGGCCAACATGCTGAAACCCCGTCTCTATTAAAAATACAAAAATTAGCCAGGCACAGTGGCATGCGCCTGTAATCCCTACTACTTGGAAGGCTGAGACAGGAGAATCGCTTGAACCCAGGAGGCGGAGGTTCCAGCAAGCCAAGATCGTGTCACTGCACTCCAGCCTGGGCGACAGAGCAAGACTCCGTCTCCAAAAAAAAAAAAAAAAAAAATTCTAAGCAAAATTTTAGCAAATAAAACTCAAGAGGCCAAACACAGTGGCACATGCCTGTAATCCCAGCACTTTGGGAGGCCGAGGCAGACAGATCACTTGAGGTCAGGAGTTCGGGACCAGCCTGACCAACATGGTGAAACCCTGTCTCTACTGAAAATACAAAAAATTAGCTGGGTGTGGCGGTGGACACCTGTTATCCCAGCAACTTAGGAGGCTGAGGCAGGAGAATCATTTGAACCTGGAAGGCGGGGGTTACAGTGAGCCGAGATAGCGCCATTGCACTCCAGCCTGGGTGCAGAGCAAGACTCGGTCTCAAAAACAAAAACAAAAAAAAACAAATTCAACAATATTCTAAAATAATAATACATCACGACTGAAGGGGGGCTATCCCAGGAATGAACAATTGGTTTAGCATTCAAGAATCAGTCAATATAATTCATCACATTAGTAACCTGAAATAGAAAGACACTCACCATATTAATAATCTCAATAAATTAAGAAAAAAAAACACCTGACAAAACCCAATATCCTTCCTGATCAAACTAGGAACCGTATTCTGGGGACTTCCTCGGACTCATAAAGGGCACTGGCGAAAACCCAACATGCACCATCACACTCGACGGTGCCAAATCCAGATCAGGAGCAAGGGCGTCCACGCCCACCACTCCCACCCAAACTCTGATTCCACGCCTTCCAGACCAGGAGATCAGGAGCGAGGGCGTCCACTCCCACCCAAACTCTGACTCCACGCCTTCCAGATCAGGAGATCAGGAGCGAGGACGTCCACTCCCACCACTCCCACCCAAACTCTGACTCCACGCCTTCCAGATCAGGAGATCAGGAGCGAGGGTGTCCACTCCCACCACTCCCACCCAAACTCTGATTCCACGCCTTCCAGATCAGGAGATCAGGAGCGAGGGTGTCCACTCCGACCACTCCCATCCAAACTCTGATTCCACGCCTTCCAGACCAGGAGATCAGGAGCGAGGGCGTCCACTCCCACCACTCCCATCCAAACTCTGATTCCACGCCTTCCAGACTAGGAGATCAAGAGATCAGGAGCAAGGGTGTCCACTCCCACCACTCCCACCCAAACTCTGATTCCACGCCTTCCAGACCAGGAGATCAGGAGCGAGGGTGTCCACTCCCACCACTCCCACCCAAACTCTGATTCCACGCCTTCCAGATCAGGAGATCAGGAGATCAGGAGCGAGGGCGTCCACTCCCACCACTCCCACCCAAACTCTGATTCCACGCCTTCCAGACCAGGAGATCAGGAGATCAGGAGCGAGGGCGTCCACTCCCACCACTCCCACCCAAACTCTGATTCCACGCCTTCCAGACCAGGAGATCAGGAGTGAGGGCGTCCACTCCCACCACTCCCATCCAAACTCTGATTCCACGCCTTCCAGATCAGGAGATCAGGAGCGAGGGCGTCCACTCCCACCACTCCTATTCAAACTGCCCTGGAGGCCCTAGCCGGTGCCATTAAGCAGGACAAATAAAAAAGCATCCAGACTGGAAAGGAAGAAGTGAAACTGCTTTTACTGCAGACGACATGATCATCTACACAGAAAACCCAATGGCAACTACAATAAAAGCCACTAGGACTCATGAGCAAGTTAGGAAGGTTACAGGCTGCAGGATCAACATATAAGAACTGTAGTGGCCGTTTATATCCAGTAATCGAATTTTTAAAATATATTATTTACAAGACCAAGAAAAAACCTCAATAGATAAATCAATAAATCTGACAAAAGATGGTAAAAACCTGTGCACTAAAAATTACAAAATACTAAATTAATAACAACCCATAAACAGAGAGCTTTCCGTTGGTCGGAAAACTCCCGATTGTTAAGATATTCCCAATTTATCTATGGACTCAATACAATCCCAATCAAAATTTCCCAGAAATGTTCACAGAAATTGACAAACTGATTCTAAAATTCATATGGAAAAGTGGAAGATCCCGAATAGCTGTAACAGCTCTGAAAAAGTGCAGGGTTAGAGCGCGAATATCACCTGACCTCAACAATTATTTCAAAGCTACAATAATCCAAAACAGCATGGCGTTGATGTAAAAAGATAAACAAGTGGATCAACTGAATACACATCTGCACAGCTGATTTCTGACAAAGGCACAAAGACAATCCAGTAGAGAACTAATCTTTACAACAAACTCCACTGAAACATCTGAACACCTTAGGCAAAGAAATGAACTCAGGTCCACACCTTGCATTGCACACAAAAATTAACTCAAAATGGATCACAGACCTAAATATACAACTTAAAGCTACAAAATTTCTAGAATACAGGAGATAATCTCTGTGACCTTGAGTTAGGGACAAAGTTCCCAGCTAGGAAACCGAAGTCCAAACCAAAAGAACAAACTGAGGCCGGACGTAGTGGCTCACACCTGTAATCTCAGCACTTTGGGAGGCCAAGGCAGGCGGATCATTTGAGCTAGAGTTCGCAACCAGCCTGGGCAACATAGCGAAACCCCGTCTCTACAAAAAATACAAAAATTAGCCAGGTGTGGTGGCATGTGCCTGTAGTCTCAGCTAGCCAGGAGGCTGAGGCAGGAGGATCACCTCAGCCTGGGAGGTAAAGGCTGCAGTGAGCCCAGATCACAAGATTGTGCTCTAGCCTGGGCAACAGAACCACACCCTGTCTCAAAAAAAAAAAAAAAAAAAAAAAGAAAAAGAACAAACTGAAAAATTGGATCCCATAAAAATTTTGCAGTTCTACTCTTCAAAAAACACCGTTCAGAAAAGGAAAGCCATGGACAGGGACAAAGTCTACGTAAGGCGCAAATGTGAAAAGGGACTTGCATCCAGAATACGTAAAGATCTCACGAGTCAACAGTAAAACAACAAACCCAGTCTAAAATAACTGGCAAAAATCAGAAGGGACATTTCACCAAAGAAGACATATGGTGGCAAATACGCACAAGAGAAGCCACTCTACGTTCTCAACGATTGGGGAAGCGCAACTTAAACCTCAAGGAGATGCCGCCGCACACCCATCAGGACGGCTGAACGCCTAAGCCCGCCCACCACACACGCTGGCCAGGACGTGGAGCAGCAGGAACTCTCACTCACTGCTGGTAGGACGAGGAATGGTGCAGCCACCTTGGAAGATAGTCTGGCAGTTTCTAAAAGTTAAACATAAGCACAAATATATGATCCAGCCATTCCACACCTAGGTATCTATCCAGGGAAATAAAACCGTGTATCCCGACAACAACTTGTACCCGAATGTTCACAGCCGCTTTCTTTGTGACAGTCAAGAACTGGAAACACTCCACACGCTCCAACGGGCAAATGGAGGAACAAACGCGACATCCACGCAGGGGAACACTGCCCAGCACACGCCACGCATCCAAGGAGCCCAAAATAATGACGCTGAGGGAAGGAAGCCAGACCAAAAGAAGAACATATTGTAGGATTTCATTTAGACAAAGCTCTAAGGAAGGCAACGAATCTACAGGCCCAAAAGCAGACTGCTGCAGCCTGGGGAGAAAGGGGTGTGGGTAGGAGAGAGCTTCTGGGTGACGGACAGGTTCATCATCTGGACGGCAGCGAGGGTTTTATACATGTTTTATATGTGTTTGCATACATCAAAAGTTATCTAACTGTATCTTTAAATATACGCAGCTTATGTTAATTATGCCTCAAAAAGCCGTTTTAAAAAATAACTACACAGCAATCATCCTAACTGCACCCTTATATTCCAGGCTTCATTTGATCTATAGCTTTAAACAACCTCCACAGCTCAGGACAAAGGTAAACTGGTGGCATGAAACCACCACGGCTTCTGTCGCTGACCTCAGAGATGCCCTTTTCCATCCTAAAGAGTTTCACAAAAACAATGTAGCCCTGCGTTACAATTATTCTTTCTCTAGATCAGGAACCTGCAAGTGTTTTCCGTAAGGGACCAAATCACACATATTTTGGGTTTGTAGGCCACATGGTCTCTCTCGCACCTACTCAGCCTTTCTGCTGTGGCACAAAACAGCCACAGACAGCACCGGCGAGGGCGGTGGGGCGTGGCCATGCACCTGTAAAACTTTACCCACAAAAGGAGGCAGGGGTTCCGGAGGAGCCACCATGTCATCTGGGAACTTGCTAGAGATGCACATTCTCAGTCCCTACCTCGGACCTGGGAACCCAGAATTCTGGGGATGGAGCCCACAGCATGTCATTTCAGAAGCCAGCCCAAGATTCCAAACCTTGGGTTTGAATATGCTGGTCTAGAAAACCGGCCAAGTGATGAGCTGATCTGATTTAAAAGGAACACACCCCGAGGCAAACACTCAAGGGCCAGGCACTGCTGACCCTGCTCCCAGGTGGGGCCCTGGGCCACCTCAGATAAAACATGAGCTCCCGCCAGGCACGGTGGCTCACGCCTGTAATCCCAGCACTTTGGGAGGCCAAGGTGGGTAGCTCACAAGGTCAGGAGTTCAAGATCAGCCTGACCAACAAACCCCGTCTCTACTAAAAATTAAAAAATTAGCCGGGCATGGTGGCAGGCGCCTATAATCCCAGCTACTCAGGAGGCTGAGGCAGGAGAATCCCTTGAACCTGGGAGGCAGAGGTTGCAGTGAGCCAAGACCACATCACAGCACTCCAGCCTGGGTGACAGACCTAGACTCTGACTCAAAAACAAAAACAAAAAAAAACATGAGTTCCCCGACCAAGCCACTCATGGGAGAAAAAAAAAAAAAAAAGGAAAATGACACTCCTGATAAACCTGTTACTCCATTTCCTGACTGACAAGTTTCAACTCTTTTTAAAAAACACAATTCTCAAACGCCTCTGCTGTTCTTCCATGACGCCGTAGCACGCTCAGCACAGCCACTGTCCCATCCTCCCTAGGGGGCGATTCGGCCTCGGCATCTAGAATAGGGGCATCTGAGCTGGTCCCACACATACCAGCCGAGACCATTCTATGCTGCAGACACCGAACATACGGGTTTAAGGACCAGGAATCCTGTGTGTCCACGTGTGCATGCACACACATTGTCACTAGATAAAACACCACATTCCAAGACAATAACATCTGGCTGTCCAAAGATTACTTCTGGTTAAAGTCGCAAATAATCAGTATTGCCATATTTCCCTTTATAAAGTACCTCTTCACACTCTTCCTTGCTCAATGCTTAAAATGTCAACATTTACTTAAAATGTTGTGCAGGCTGGGCACAGTGGATCAAGCCTGTAATCCCAGCACTTTGGGAGGCTGAGGCGGGCAGATCACCTGAGGTCGGGAGTTCGAGACCAACCTAACCAACATGGAGAAACCCCATCTCTACTAAAACTACAAAATTAGCCAGGCATGGTGGCACATGCCTGTAATCCCAGCTACTCAGCAGGCTAAGGTAGGAGAATTGCTTGAACTCAGGAGGCGGAGGCTGCAGTGAGCCCAGATCACACCATTGCACTCCAGCCTGGGCAACAAGAGCAAAGTTCCACCTCAAAAATAAATAAATAAGTAAATAAATAAATATATAAAATATAAAAATCTTTTGCAAATCCAGAGAAACATGTCAAGAAGATATAATAATTCAAAAGCATGAGGAAAGAAATCCAGTTTTAAGACGGAAGAGCAACATCGCTTCAACCCCATTCTCCTCTCAAAAATCGCCGAGAGCCCGGCTCTTGGATGAAGGAAGCATTGTCTCGAGCTCAAGCACACATAGGGCAGGAGGCAGCTGGGAGGAGGCGGCTGGGGGCCAAGCAGCTGCAGAGGCAGACGCTAGGGAGCCACGCCGACGCGCTCTGGCACCAAAGCGCCACCATGGGAGGGGAGGCCTTGCAGAAGCAGGATCGGGGCTGGCCCGCACGTCTGCATAAGAGCCATCCGCGGGCTCCCAGGTGCCCTCCCCCTTGCAGCCATTGGCACGTCAGCCTTGACGTGACCAGATGGTCAAGAATTGGCAATGTGGGGAAATGCCCCTTTAAAGCCGAGGTCTGAAACCAACCAAAGGAATGCAGAGGAAACCAGCAGGACAAACTGTCAAGAAAAACATCATTAATGTCTGCAGCAACAGGAGAAAGATACAGCATCCACAAGTCACAAAAGGTGGGAGCTTTTACAAAGAGATAGATATCTTAGAAACGAAAATGAAATCATGAAACTAAAAGTAGCCAACAAAGAAAGTGCTCATGATAAGGCGGAGACCTCCAGAGAGTAATCCTGAGCCACAAGGGAACAGCAGGGAGACCACAGCAACCGGAGCACCAGTGCCAGGAGGACCAACGTCCAGCCCTAGGGAGCACCGAGCAGAAGATGCCACGGGCACCATCCCGAAGATCGGGGCGCGAGCCTCCTGGCAACAAAAACCTGACAAGGGCCCAATAGGCGCCCAACACAGGGCCAAACACAAGCCGCCTCGAGGTGTCTGACAAGACATTTTGAATGCCAGATCTAAGAGGAGGTTCTGAAAGCTCCTGAAGGGCACAGTCAGGTCACATGTCAGAGCCCAAAGCAGATGGCAGGGGACTTCGCCATGGGGACACCAGAGGCAAGACGCTGAGGAGCGCCGACAAGTGTTCTGTTCCAGCCCTCCATACACGGGTGCCCAGTTACCAGGTCAGCCATGCAACACCCAAAGCACGTGCCTCCCAGGCACCCAACTGCACAGTGTGCTGTGGCTACTCAGGTAAGGATGAACCCAGGAGGGGAACCCCTAGAATCCCTCACCAGGAAGAGCACAGAAATACCCAGGGCGGGCAGGTGAGGGCCAGCTGGCCATCGGCCTCTGGACCACAGAGGGAGGGGGCAGAGAAGAACGCTGGAGCAAGGACGGAGCAGCCAGAGATCCTGAGAAAACCAAGCAAGGGAGTAAAAACCAAGATGATGCCTAACTCCAGGAACACACAGTGGAGAGGAAATGAGGTCAGGCACGCAACTCCAAGACAGAAAGCAGCACAGACAGGAAATGAGGTAAGGACACAGAGAGCTCCAGACAGGAAATGAGGTCAGGACACAAGACAGGAAATGAGGTCAGGACAGAGTGCTCCAGACAGGAAATGAGGTCAGGACACAGAGTGGCACAGATAAGAAATGAGGTCAGGACACAGAGTGGCACAGACTGGAAAAGAGGTCAGGACACAAGAGTGGCACAGACAGGAAATGAGGTCAGTACACAGAGTGCTCCTGACAGGAAATGAGATCAGGACAGAGAGAGCTCCAGACAGGAAATGCAGTCCGGGCACAGTGTGTTGCATACAGGAAATGAGGTCAGGACAAAGAGTGGCACAGACAGGAAATGAGGTCAGGACAGAGTGACACAGACAGGAAATGAGGTCACTGGCTCCAGACAGGAAATGAGGTCAGGACAGAGAGAGCTCCAGAGAGGAAATGCAATCCGGACACAGCATGTTCCAGACAGGAAATGAGGTCAGGACAAAGGGTGGCACAAACAGGAAATGAGGTCAGGATACAGAGTGCTCCAGACAGAAAATGAGGTCCGGACAAAGTGGCACAGACAGGAAATGATATCAGGATACAGCATGTTCCAGACAGGAAATGAGGTCAGGACATAGAGAGATCCAGACAGGAAATGAGGTCAGGACAGAGAGAGCTCCAGACAGGAAATGCAGTTAGGACACAGCATGTTCCAGACAGGAAATGAGGTCAGGACAAAGGGTGGCACAGACAGAAAATGAGGTCAGGACAGAGCGGCACAGACAGGAAATGAGGTCAGGACACAGAGAGCTCCAGGCAGGAAATGAGGTCAGGACACAGTGTGTTCCAGACAGGAAATGAGGTCAGGACAGTGTGCTCCAGACAGGAAATGAAGTCAGGACACAGTGTTCCAGATAAGAAATGGGGTCAGAAGACACCACTCAGTCATATTAATCAGCCAAAGGATAGATTTATCAAAACTCAAGACGCAAGGTGTCAGCACGTGGGGCTGTGGCAGGTACAGGTCTAAGCAGCTGGACTGAGGTCAAGCACCATAGTGCTTGTCACACTCAGGTACGTGGGGGTCACTCAGGTACATGGGGTCAACAGAAGACTATGCAGCAAGAATGGGGAGCGTCCCTGCCTGTGGAAAGTTGGGGAGGACAGGATGGGGACACTGGCTGTCATCATTCAGCTTTTGGTATGCCATGGACTCCTTAGCTAAAGATAAAAGACAAAAGAAAGGCCGCATGGTAGGGTGACCGACACCTGAGAGAAACTGGCCTAACAAGCACGTGGGGTGTGGTGCCAGTCCACAGCACGCACCACAGGACACAGAGGTGACACTGTGGGGCAGTGCCCAGCCATGTCCCCTAAAAGCCACCTGCACCCAAGTGCACAGCACAGGCATTTGGAGGAAAGAAGTGTTGTTGTGGCTGTCTCCACCCTCAGAAACCCCCCAGAGCTCACCTGACCGCAGGGACCCCATAGGTGTGCAGCAGGGGGGCTGCACGCCTCAGGTGCAAATGCCAATGGCCCGTGCTATTCCACCAGCAAATGCCCTGCGCATCACACACACACACACACGCACGCAGTGACCACAGTCTGGCCAAGACTGTGATAACTTCAGGAACAAAGAGAAGACTCCAATTCGGCTCCTACCTCCCAGTCCACTTCACCCCTCCCCAGAGATAGTGGTGACGGCCACAAGTCTAGGCACAAGGCCAGACAGGTAGACCGGTCACTGCACACAAGGACAGGCTGACAGCCAGAGGCCGCGTCTTCAACGCACCCAGACTGAGTATCAAGTAAATTAAAATAAAAAGCAGTCCAGTAGACATCTAAGTAGGACCTCAAGCCTTCGGGAAGGGACGGTAATCCTAGGATGAGGCATTGCCATTTCAGGGCTGTTTGGGACGGGGACATGTCACGCTGGAGATCTCAGTGCAGCAGAGTCCCCCAAGCACCCTGTGACACGAAGACCCACGGGGGGAGAGCAGAGCCGAGCCCTCCCACCCCCTCCAACGGGCACCACGCATGGAGACCAGTTGGGCCAGCACTCTTGCAGGCGCACCAGCAGGTCGTGGCCTCCTCTAGCGTGGACCTTCCAGATTCTTCACAATCAGTGTCTGGAGGGGAACAAGCAGCTCCCACGTGGGTCCAACACCTCAGAGGAGCAGCGCCAGTGCCAACCCCAGCCCCTCATGGTCACTGGAGCCCACCTGGAATGTCTAGAATGGTGCCTTCTGTGCAAGAGCCACATGAGGCAGCTCCGGACAAGCATCCGTGGCCTGACGACCAGGCACGTGGCCCTTGCCGCCGTGGTCCACACAGCCAGGATGGGCATCCAGAAGGACCCAGAGCCTTCTCTTCCAGCAGCAGGCACTCTGGGGACACCACTCTGGCCCAAGATGTGTGCACACCACCAGAAAGCAACCCTCAGCAAGTCCAGCATCGATGCCCGGCCCCCGCACACACCTCCCCTCTGCTGTCACTGTGGGCTCTCAGCCCTGGTAGGGGGGGCACAACACCCCCAAACCAAGGCCTCAAGCCAGGGCCGCACCAGGGCACGAGGGACCCGCAGCCTCACTCCCAGGGCCCCTGTGGGCAGCAGCACCAGCTCCATCCTCCATCTGCTCGCACCGTTCCTAGCTGTCAGAACTGGGGGCATGTGGCTCATTTAGTAAGTGCACACGCGCTGGGAAGATGTCCTCAGGAACAAAAGTGAGGAGGCCCTGGCAGAGGCCAGCAGCCCCCTGAGACAGGGCATATGTGCAGGAAGGGCTGACAGGAACATAAGGCTGCGTGTCCTGTTCCTTCCGATTCCTCCAAGTGTGTGTCCAAGGACGACCTGCACTCACAAGTGGCCAGGCTTCTCCCTGGGTTGTAAACCAAGGGATACACCAAAACTCAGGAAGCCCCCTTTATGGATAACTCCAGACACCTAAAGTCTGGGGAGCCTCCCACCTTTTGCCCGCTGTGCTGGAGCCCGTGATACCGGCCTGGGTGCTCTGGAGCCCATGATACCAACCTGGGTGCTCTGGAGCCCGTGATACCGGCCCGGGTGCTCTGGAGCCTGTGATGTAGGCCTGGGTGCTCCAGACTCCACAGGGGAGGCTGCGCTGCAGGCGGGTGCTGGACTCACAGAGCAGCTAAAGCAACTGAACTGAATCGCGTTATGAAATATTTACTCCAATTTAGCAACTCTATTTTTTTTTTTTTTTTCAGACAGGGTCTCACTCCATCACCCAGGCTGCAGTACAGTGGCATGACCTGGGCTCACTGCAACCTCTGCCTCCCGGATTCAAGCTCTTCTCATGCCTCAGCCTCCCAAGTAGCTGGGATTACAGGCACCTGCAACCACGCCCGGCTAATTTTTGTATTTTCAGTAGAGATGGAGTTTTGCCATTTTGATCCAGGCTGGTCTCAAACTCCTGACCTCAAGTGATCTGCCCATCGCCAACTCCAAAAGTGCTGGGATTACAGGCACGAGATACCGCGCCTGGCCTCACTTCCTTCTTGTAACGTTCAATATTTCACTCTTCCACGGATGCGCTGGGACCATGGGACGGCTCTTCCAGAAGAGCTGAGCACCAGCCTGGTGCTGGCCCTGAGGGAGGAACCCATACCACGCGTTTGGGGACAGCTGTGAGGACGCTGGCCGGGTACTCCAGAGGGCCACAGACTGTGCCAGAAAGGACCGTGAGCAAGGGGCTGCTCCCTTCCCTGAGCTGTACCTGCTCCGCGGGCACTGACTGCTGGGCCGCCAGGTTTCTCTCGAGTGTGGAAATAAAGACCCTCAGTCAGCAGCTCAGACGGACGAAAGCCTTCCACAGGCCAAAACACCATGACATAAAGGGGCCCTGCAGAGGTTAGTGCCAGGTGGGACCCGGGACCAAGCTGCTTCTGGGGAGGCTGAGTGCAGCCCTGCACCAGGATCAGAACGTGGGGCAGCCTCCTCAGCAGCCACAGCACCCTCCTGGGGCCCAGGGGATTCTCAATCGAGCCAGGCCACAGCAAACCCTGGTCTTGGGACACAGCCCCCTACTCAGCTTTCTCACCTTTCACGGAGCAGCTAAAAATGAATGGACCCGTTCTTTACAAGACTTTTGAAAACTTAAGGTAGGATAAAGTTTGTTATTAAACTGGAGATTCCAACCCTCCACATCTGAAGAGCGCCCTACCTGCCCTCGGTTCCTCCTCCTCCTCCTCAGATCTCTCACCGGGGGGTGCACAGAGACCTGGCAGGAAACCCCGAGAGGCCTCCCCACAGGTGTGCAGAGCACTGGCAAAGACCAGCATCACTCCCACGTGCCACGGCGCGTCTGGGCACAGCCACTGCCAGGAACAGTGAAATGTCAACGGACATGACAGCTGGGGAGGCCTCCAGAGACGAGGCCAGATAAGCCGGTTCAGCCACGCTGTGCCCGGAGCCAAGGGGCGGGGAGGGAAGCAAGAAGGGGAGAAGCTGCAGGTTTGTGTCACTGGCCAACAACAACCAGACTCGAGAAAATGGTCGACATTCACGAGGAAAGAAATACTTTGCGGTTCATTTTTCTAGAAAAAGCCACCGTGTACAAACACAATTTCACAGCTGAGACCTGTGAACCTATCACATACATTGGGTTCCACCAGTGACATGGAGCAGGTCTCCCACTGCCCGGCGCCAGCCCCCCCAGATGCTGCCCACACAGAGGCAGTAACCGTTACACAGGCGAGGGCTCTACAGGGAAAGGAGGGCGGCTGCAGCTGGGGATGAGCCTCGATGGCCCCACACGACCTGGGGACCAGGACAGGAGTGAACACACCATACGTCACTGTGGTGGGACGTGAGGGCGCTTGAGAGCTGGGAAAACCCTGCCGGCTCTGAAATAAGACCTCAGCAGGGGCTGGGGCAGGGGGAGGGAGCGGGGGTTCACACCTGTAATCCCAGTACTGTGGGACACCAGGCGGGAGGATGGCTCAAGCCCAGGAATTCACGACCAGCCTGGGCCACAGAGTGAGACCCCATCTCTACAAAAAATAAATAAATAAAAGAACATCAGCAGATACCCAGACCTGTGGGCAGCCAACAGAAGGTCAACTTGGGCATCAAAACTGTGACTAGAACGGACAGTAAGTGACTCTTTCCGAACACGGTCCGCAGCGCTACTACACGGCAAGAAGGCAGGCGGGAGGAGAAAGGCGAGACTCCAGCAGCAGCAGTGGCCAAGAGTGCGGTCAGTGCCCCACGTCCCCATCCCTAAGACAAGCAGACTCACCAGGGATCCTGGCCCACCCGGATAAAGTCCATGGGGACAGGGGACTTTTGGGGTCCAAAGTTCCCCTCGGCGGATTACTCATTAATTACCAAGGGAGAGGCTCCCCTGAGAAAAGCATGGGGGCCGCTTGCTCCTGATGCCTCCCACGCCTCTGATAGGGCACCGGCCCCCCGGGGCTGCCGCTACCCACCTGCCCGTCCGGGCCCTGCCAACGCGCAGCCAGCTGCCTAGGGCAACGAGGCAGGCCCAAGAGAAGAGTCAGCTGAGCCGCCAGGCAGGTCCCAGGCAGAAGTAAACTACTGAAGAGGGCGTGGCAGACACGGCAGAGCGTGGCCAGGGGAGCCAGCTTCCCAGACTTGGTCACCGTGTCACGGTCACACACCACATCCCCTTACTTTTAGAAATTCAGAATGAAGGGCTTAGCAGGGAGGACCCCACTGACTGAAACATTCTCTCAAATGACCGGCAAAAAGTTGCAAAAACAGTCGTGGCGAGAGGAGGCCAGTGCCAGCAGCAGCTGAGCTCAGGGAATGGGGACTCACCACGTTCTTCCTGCAACTTCGCTGTATGTAGGTTTGGAGATTTCTCAAAATAAAAAGACCCAAACCAAGGACAGGCAGCAGGCTTGCAAATGGGCCACTTCCTGCTCCTCCATCAGCCATGGACAGTGGCATACCTGGGCAGCAGTGGCCACCCCACACTCGAGGACACGCTGGGAACGGACAGCGGGTTCTGGGACGGCCAGAGAGCGGCACGAGGGCTACCCAGCACCACACGGGACTCTCTGTTGAGCAGGGCAATGAGCACCCTTAACTTTTAAGACACTGAGTGGTTTCCTTAAAACAGGTGGCCATGGCCAGGTGCGATGGCTCATGCCTGTAATCCCAGCACTTTGGGAGGCCAAGGCGGCTGCATCACTTGAGGTCAGGAGTTCGAGACTAGCTTGGCCAACATGGTGAAACCCCGTCTCTACTAAAAATACAAATATTAGCCGGGCGTGGTGGGCGGGCGCCTGTAATCCCAGCTATTCGGGAGGCTGAGGCAGGAGAATCACTTGAATCCAGGAGGCGGAGGTTGCTGTGAGCCAAGATCACACCACTGCACTCCAGCCTGGGAGACAGAGTGACACTGTATCAAAAAAAAAAACTGTGGCCAAAAGATGCAAGCTGCAACAGCAGCAAGACACCGAACTCCAACAACCCGAAATGTTCTGACTGTAACAAACTCTCCAACTGTAAAAACATCTCCAATTCCAGTTCAACAACCTGGGTCATAATTGACGAATCCAACAAAACCTGTGGCCTGTTGAGCAGGAGGCAGGACAGGGAGGCCCCATGAGGCCGCGGCCAGTGAGTCGGTTGGAGCAGGGGACACCGTGAGCCCTCTGTGCTGGCTCTTCCCTCCTCCACGCTTTTGGCCCCAACAGCAGCAGGTGGGGAGTCAAGCATCTCTCAGCTGGCTCTCCACTCACTGCCTTGCTCTCATTTCCAGAAACATCTCTTCCGAATAAGAATCACCTGGGGTCGGTTTCAGCCCACTCAGACCACACCATGGGTGAGGAGCCGGCCACCCGGGACCACCAAAGGCAGAGACACTTGAAAGGGTCCCCCTCAGCCTTGATCTCAAAACAGCCCTGGGGCACTGAAGGCTGAACTGAGCAGACAATTGTCTCCCATTGCCAGGGAACCTCCTGGTGGCACGGCTGTCTGCGTGGCCGGCAACGCTAGGAACATCCGGCCTGCACGCTGGACCCTGGAGCCTCACACGTCCTCAGCCTGTAGAATTCCCCCAGCACCTCCACGAATGAGGCAAGGGGCCCTGTGGACCCAACCACAATGGGACCTGATGCCCAGGCCCAGGTCAGACACACCCTGCACGCCCACCAACAACGCTGCCATGAAAGCTGGCCTCCAACTCAGAGCCGACCATCAGGGTGGCAGTGCCAGGCAGCACCAAGAAACAACAGCACTCGACCGCATCTGCCACTGGCCTGACAGCCTCGCACACTCCAGGCATTTTGCTAAGTACCTACGGGAATCCATCAGCTGACCACCAGGCTGGCTGGCTGTGGGCACAGTCCCCGTGCCAGCGCCCAGACGCGGCTCCTGAGATGGCTTGTGGGACCCAGCTGCCTCTTCCAAACAGGAGAGGGGCCAATGGGAAACTGAGGCCTAGAAAAGTAACGTGGCCCACACTCAGAGTAGGAAGGTAGCCCAGCCATGCTCCTAAACCCTAAGCCACGCTGCCTCTCTACGCTCCTAGAAACTTCCACTTGACTGAAATAATCAAAAAGTACACTGACCACTATTTGCACAGAGAAGACGTGAGAAGGAAAGACAGTGAGTTAAACAGCAAACCCAGCTGCAGTGACTTTCACTTCACTGTGGGCAAAGGAAAACCAACAGGTACAGCCAGTGCCTGCCAGAGAGGCTGCCCCACGGCTTTTCTGAACCAGCGCAGAGCGCCGCCCCGCCTCAGGTCAAAGGCTGCCTGTCCAGGCCCCGCCACTGCCAGGCTTCCTTTTGAATCCAACCAGCACCGTCACAGTTGCATTGCCCCAGTGGCGCAGGGGCCCCAGCGTTATTTGCAAAACAAAAAGTGAGGACCCTCCACTGGAGAGCCACCCTGCGGCGCCCCTCATTAATATTCAACAGTTAGGACAAAGCCGGACAAAAGAGCAGAGCGGGTCACCAAGCTCAGAACCCACCCTGAGTCCCACAGCCTGCTCCTGATTCCAAGATGGGGCCTTTGGAAACCAAGTAACGGAAATGGCTGCCAGCCAGGCTGAGTCCGGGCAGCCCCGGAGAGGGGACGCGGCAGTGTGGGCACCACCCAGCCAGGCCAAAGCAGAACCTAGGAGCTCCCCCCAAGAACCTGGTGGCCTCAGGGCCTGGAAAGGCAGCTGGCCAGGCCCCTAGGGCTCTGGGGAAGGAATGTGGGCTGCTCCAGAAAGTCCCCAAAAGCACCAGGGTCCTTCCGCGCACTCACCACAGCCTCTCCGTGAGGCACCGGTGCACAAGAGCAGACACGACGCGACCAAGGCCCCCCGCCACCGCGCCCCCCCGTCACCACCAGCAGAGCCAAACAAGTCAACATGGGGCTGAAACTGGTCCCAGCCCACATGCCCTGGTAAAAGGGGCGGGCACGCTGCGTCCAAGGGCTGTCCCAGCTGCGTTGGCAATGGCGCATCCAGGGGAAGGAGGCCAAGGTGTGCAGCCAGCAGTAAGGCCCCTTCCCGAGAGCCAGACTGGACTCGGGCTGGGGCAGCTGTGTGCTCCCCAAGGGCACCTGTGGGGCCCAGGAAAGAGGAAGAGCAAGTCCTGATGCCAGGAGCAGGCCCTGGGCTCCTAGGTTCAGGAAAAAGTCAAGGCCAAGCCAGCAGATTGTCCCAGAAACCCCAAGTGGCCAGGGCAAGGGGGTACATACTTCTTGCCTGGTGGCTGCACCCCAACCCCAGGGAGGCATTTCTAGGGGCTGCCAGAGAATGGCCCCTTGCCCCGGGTCCACCACACCACCCACATTTGGCAATGGGTTCCAAAGGGAGGAACGTGACAGGCTTCTGTGAGGTGGCAAGTATCATCTTCAGCGAAGCCATCATTTTGCTAAAAGAACTTTCTCCAGGATCTGGCAGGATATAACTTCAGAGCCAGAAGAAAGGAGGGAGAAGCACGCTGCAAACAGGCCCTTGGTCATTTGGGAGTCTGGGGTCCTCTCGCTGCCCTTCCCTGGCTCCAGGCTGAGGGCGCCCCTGACCCAGGCCCTTCCCTCTCCAGCTGCACACACCCATGCACACCTGTGCACACACATGCCCACGGCTCCCTTTTTTGTTTTTTGTTTTTTTAAGATGGAGTCTTGCTCTGTTGCCCAGGCTGAAGTGCAGTGGCACAATCTCGGCTCACTGCAAACTCCGACTCCCAGGTTCAAGTGATTCTCCTGCCTCAGCCTCCCAAGTAGCTGGGACCAGGTGCATGCCACCACACCTGGCTAACTTTTGTATTTTTAGTAGAGACGAGATTTCACCATATTGGCCAGGCTGGTCTTGAACTCCTGACCTTGTGATCCGCTGGCCTCAGCCTCCCAAAGTGCTGGGATTACAGGCGTGAGCCACCGTGCCCGGCCTGTGCCCATGGCTCTTGCACAGGCCTCCCAGAAAGCAGAAGCAGCCTGGCCACAGTGGGCGAGGTGGAGGTTCCTGAGGCCCCCCCCATCAGGTTCCTCTTTGCTGCTGCTACAGGCCAGGCACACGGTAGGTGCCCCTTCACAGAAGAGCAGCCCCATCAGGCCCGACTGCCGCACTCTCTGAGACTCCCTCCCCCAATGGCACTCACAGCCTTCGGCCCCAGCAGGTCACTGTCATCTCTTCATCACACAGAAGCCCTCTCCATGAACACCACCAGTCCCGGCAGAGCCCCCGCCCAGCTCGCACAAAGGAGGGGTGGGGAGTCTGACTTGCAGACAGCGCTGCACACCGAGGCTCACAGAGCGTCTCCTCTTACAAACATGAATCTGGCGCCGAGACGCTCCAGCTTCCTGACCACCACAGCAGAGGACAGAGGCAGCCTCCAGCAACAGAGGCAGGATCCGACCACGGTGCACGCAGTAGACAAACAGGAGACAGAAATTTACAAGTAGAACAGGATCACTAACCAGAGTAGATAAAGACGTACAACTGAGCAAAGGCCCCCACACACAACTCGACTCAAAGAGGGACTCAGACATTCCTCAAAGAGGATATAGGAGTGGCCAATAAGCACACGAAAAAATGCCCAACATACTAATCATCAGGGAAATGAGAACCAAAACCACAATGAGATGCCACCTCACACCCATTAGGATGGCCGCTGTCAAAAAACAGAACAAGTGCTGGAGAGGATGCAAAGACAGTGCTGCTCGAACGCTGTTGCTGGGAGTGGAAAATGCTGCAGCCACTATGAAAAACAGTCGGTTCTTTAAAAAGAAAAACGGGCTGAATGCGGTGGCTCACGCCTGTAATCCCAGCACTTTGGGAGGCCGAGGCGGGATGACGGCTTGAGGCCAGGAGTCAGAGACCAGCCTGGCCAACGTGGCGAAACCCGTCTCTACTAAAAAAACAAAAATTAGCCAGGTGTGGTGGCACACACCTATAGCCCCAGCTACTCAGGAGGCTGAGGCAGGAGAATCACTTGAACCTGGGAGGCGGAGGTTGCAGTGAGCCGAGACTGTGCCACCGCACTCTGGCCTGGGCAACAGAGTGAGACCCTGCCTCAAAAAAAAAAAAAAAAAAAAAAAAAAGAAGGAAAAATAGGGCCAGGTGCAGTGGCTGACGCTTGTAATCCCAGCACTTTAGGAGGCCAAGGCGGGCAGGTCACATAAGGTCAAGAATTCAAGATTAGCCTGGCCAACATGGTGAAACCCCATCTCCACTAAAAATACAAAAATCAGCTGGGCATGGTGGCACATGCCTTTAGTCCCAGCTACTTGGGAGGCTGAGACAGGAGAATCGCTTGAGCCCAGGAGGAGGTGGAGGCTGCAGTGAGCCGAGATCGTGCCACTGCACTCCAGCCTGGGCAACAGAGCAAGATGCTGTCTCAAAAATAAATGAATAAAAATAGAATGATCAATGATCCAGCAATCCCACTTCTGGGTCTACACCCAGAACTGAAGGCAGGGTCTCCAGAGGTCACTGTGCACCCGTGCTCACAGCAGCATCATTCACGACAGCTAAACTGTGGAAGTCACCCGTGTGTCCACTGACAGAAATGGGTAAACAAAATACATCCATACAGCAGCCTGCGGTTCAGTCTTGAGAAGGAAGGAGACTGTGACACAGGCTACGCATGGCTGCGCCTTGAGGACATGGTGCTGAGTGAAATAAGCTGTCACAAAAGGACAGATCCTGTGCGATTCCACTCACAGGAGGCCCCTAGAGTCACCAAAGTCACAGAAACAGAAAGCGGCGGGTGGGTGTTGGGGGCTGGGGGAGGCAGAATGGGGAGTGAGTGTCTCATGGGGACAAAGGCTGAGCCTGGGAAGGTGGGTGAACAGCAGCGTGAATTTGCTTTACAGTTTTAGCTGTTCTGAGGTTAGGTGCGTATATATTATTGTTAGATCTTCCAGTTGATTCGACCCTTTTATTGTTCTGTAACTACTTTTCTGTTTCTAGTAATAGTTTCTGAAGAAAAGTATATTTTGTTTGATACAAATGGAGCCACTCCTGTTTTCTTTTGGTCACCAATGGCATGGGATGTCTTTTTCCATTCCTTCACTGTCAGCCTATGTGTTCAACACTGCTGAATGCTACATGTAATGGTCAACATTATGTTTATTTTGCCACAATAAGAAAATGTAATATGCACAAGTTACAGAAAAAAATACTGAAATAACAAAACAATCAACCCACCAAAAAGCAAAGAAATACAAACTAAATGATGAGATTTTTCACCTTTCAAATTAACAAAGACACTCTAAATGACAGAATCTTGTTTTTGCTTTTCGTTTTTTGAGACAGAGTCTCGCTCTGTCACCCAGGCTGTAGTACAATGGCGCCATCTCAGCTCACTGCAACCTTCACCTCCCAGGTTCAAGCTATTCTCCAGCCTCAGCCTCCCAAGTAGCTGGGACTACAGGTGCACACCACCACGCCCAGGTAATTTTTGTATTTTTCTAGTAGAAACATGGTGTCACCATGTTGGCCAGGCTGGTCTTGAAAACCTGACCTCAAGTGATCCACCCACCTTGGCCTCCCAAAGTGCTGGGATTACAGGTGTGAGCCACCATGCCCAGCCTAAATGACAGAATCTTAAAAGTTGTCAGGAGGGGCCAGGTGCAGTGGCTCACGCCTGTAATCCCAGCACTTTGGGAGGCCGAGGCAGGCGGATCACGAGGTCAGGAGATGAGACCATCCTGGCTAACACGGTGAAACCCCATCTCTACTAAAAATACAAAAAATTATCCGGGTGTGGTGGCGGGCACCTGTAGACCCAGCTACTCAGGAGACTGAGGCAGGAGAATGGGATGAACCCGGGAGGCGGAGCTTGCAATGAGCCGAGATCATGCCATTGCACTCCAGCCTGGGTGACAGAGCGAGACTCTGTGTCAAAAAAAGAAAGAAAGAAAGAAAGAAAAGTTTGGGTAAAACAATCCCACCTTTTAGGGGAATCTCAGAGTCCACTAAGGAAATGATCAGAAACGTGAACAAAGATCTAAGCACACACAGAATCATCCCAGCTGAGTGAACATACAAAAGCAATCTATAGAGATGTGTATTGCGTGTGCGTGTATCAGTAAATAACAGGGTGCCTGGCAGACAGTGTGCCTCCCCTCTGACCTGCCACGTCTACAAGAAACTCACCACACCCCTAGCATCCCATGCAGCAGAGAACTCGTTTACAGCCAACAAGACCGATGACAGGGAGTGTTGGGACGCTTTGGAAGACAGCCTGGCGTGACCGACATGCCCTCTGACCAAGCTGTTTCACTCCCAGGCCCACATGGTGCACCACAGCCTACCCAACAGCAAGCACTCTGCCCACTCGTCCCAAGGCACAAGAACAGGACGAGCAAAGCTGCACGGTGACACTGACACAGTGAGTCAGCCAGAGTGACAGGCACTCGGAGAGCACACGCGCAGACCAGCAGCCTGACAGGAGCTCCTGCAACAGAGCACAACGGCCAGCCTGCACCCACAGCTGCAGAAAGGGCAGGCGGGGCATAAGGATGGCGGCCCCCTGCCGAGGAGCACGAGAGGGCAGGGCGGGGATGAAGCAGGTGGTACGCGGAGCACACTGACATCTCGTGCAGCCAGCACATGGTCACGAAGCCCGTGTGATGTGTTTGTGCTGACACGCGCCCTGAAGCATCTCTTGCGATACCAAAACACGGCCCATGCCCCAGACACTAAGTAAGTTCCAGACTCTCAATACCAACGGATACTCCAAAATACCACAGGGCTGGCCCAAAAAGGCACCAGGCACCCAAGGCACTCATATCCCAAAGCTGCTGAGCAGAGCAGGGCAGGTGGGGAACCGCGTTCACACGCCCTTGTGACAAACCAAGAACAACTCTGCCCTCACCCATGTCTGCGTTTGCCTTTTATAACCTTCTGTGCTATGTGAATACCGTGCTGGTGTGCTTTTCACTTACTTCTTACAAGCATGTCACAATAATATTCCCACAGAGAACACAGCCACAGAAATACTTGTTATGCCTCATTCAGGGAAAAAGGCAGACCTTAGTGCACATATGGAAAAATCCAATTACGAAAAATACTTTCAGGCCAGGAGTGGTGGCTCACAGCACTTTGGGAGGCTGAGGCAGGAGGATCACTTGAGCCCAGGAGTTTCAGACCAGTCTGGGTAACAAACGGAGATCACATCTCTAAAATTAAAAAAAATATCCGCCAGGCGTGGTGATGCCCACCTACAGTCCCGGCTACTCAGGAAGCTGAGGCGGGAGAATCTCTTGAGCCCAAGATGTCAAAGCTGCAGTGAGCTGGGATCACACCACTGCACTCCAACACAGATGACAGAGCGAGACCTTGTCTCCAAAAATAAGAAAAAGAAAAATCTTTCCATCAATGTGGTAGAGATTACAGTGAGGGCAGGGACACCCACTCCCCTGCGGGGCCAGAAGGGGCCACGGTAGGCCACATCCCGGCTTCCCACGTTTCCAGCGACAGAGATGTGGTACATTCCTGCCTCTCCCCTGACGTGAACAAACAGGACACTGTACTTCTCCCCCAACCCACCAAGAACAAAGACAGAGAAGGGGTTACCCTCTGCACTCTTCTCGGCTGTTCTGGGGTTCTTTGATGAGCACATACCAATTGCTTCTCTGATTACTCTCCTGACTAGACATGCACGGGAAGTGTTCACATACATTTACAGAGGTTCACCACTAGCGGCTGGGGGCCACACCAAGGGACGCATCACATGAGGAAGGTCACCGACGGTCTCTAGGTGGGGAGGCTGGCCCTCCTCCAACCAGCTCCGCTCTCTCCTGGCCTGCTGCCTCCCAACAAGATATTGACTCTGCCAGGCTCAGGTCAGCACGCGGGACTGTCCCCACAGCCCATCACAGCACCACACACGTACACACAGGCACACACAGGCACACACACACACACACACACAGACAGGCATGCACGGAAGACCCATCCATCGCACGCAGTGCTGTCCCTGGGTCCCGAAAAGCAGCAGGAAAACACTTCTGAGACAGGAAGGACCTGAACATGGGCTGGTGTCCGGAAATTGCCCTCAGCTTTGTTAGGCAAGGTAATGGGTCATGGTGAGCGTTTTTTATGATTCCATATTCCTTAGATGTGGATATTGAAACACTTAAATATGAAATAAGATGATGCCTGGGATTTGCTTCAAAAAATTACAGTCCTGGCCGGGCGCAGTGGCTCACACCTGTAATCCTAGCACTTTGGGAGGCCGAGGCGGGCGGATCGCGAGGTCAGGAGATCGAGACCATCCTGGCTAAAACGGTAAAACCCCGTCTCTACTAAAAACACAAAAAAATTAGCCGGGCACGGTGGCGGGCACCTGTAGTCCCAGCTACTCGGGAGGCTGAGGCAGGAGAATGGCGTGAACCCGGGAGACAGAGCTTGCAGTGAGCGGAGATCGCAGCACTGCACTATAGCCTGGGCGACAGAGCAGGACTCAGTCTCAAAGAAAAAAAAAATTACAATCCCTCCCCCTCAAAATAGGAGAGGGAGTTGGATGAAACAAAATGAGTGAGCTGTGGATAACTGGTGAACGGGATACATGGGGTGCATTGAGCTAATCTCTCTACTTCAGTGAAAGCTGGAAATTTTCCACACAGGATGGCACTTTGAAGTCCACAGACATATTTAAGCCGCAAGTTCATAATGACAGTAAAATGAGAATTGTTCCCACTGGTCCCCACAGGCAAGTGTGAGGGGACCCTGGGCCCTCTGTGCCCTGGAGTGAAGTGATGGAGCCCGCAGGGCCCCACCTTCTGGGCCCACAGCATCCTGGGCTCCCTCTTCCATGTGTCAACGTTTAGGCAGAAAATGGCAGAGGCCAGGGATGTGGGGCGGCCACAGAGCTCCTACAAAGCCCTCGCCTGCAGCTCCTGTGTGCATCCTGCAGTTACCCACCAAAGCTCAACCAGGGAGCCCAGGGCATCTCAGGGGCTGAACACAGCTGAGGAGGATTGGGGTCGACGCAGGGCCACTTCCCCAGCAGTGCCGAAGGGCTGTGGACGGCCCCCACACTGGGCAGCACGGATTTTCCTAAGAGCTGTGGTTTCTCGCGCCTCTCACCTGACTCACGAACAACAGGATGCTGTGCTTCTCCCCTCCCACCAAGGGTGAAGTCCGTGTCTGCGCCACCGCTCTCCTGGATCTAGAACTGTCCTCCATCCTCCGAACAAGTAGAGAGAGCTTCACTTCGAAGAATTCCAAGTTTTCTTGTTAATGCTGTATGGTTACTTCGGGCTAAAGAGAACTCTGCTTCTTAAAATCCTCTTGATTTCTTCTTCTGGGAGCCTCGATGGCCCCAGGAAGCCAGCGGTCCCAGTCCCGCAGCCTTGCCCCACAACCAGCCACCACCCGCCACCACCCACGGGACCTCCTCATGGGGGCCAGGCAACATTGTGACAGCATGTGGCTTGCCGCCAAGTGCTTCTGGCAGTTCAGAGTCCCAGACACACTCCTGCCCGTAGCCAGACCTGCCTGGCCCACATTTCTTGAGGCTGCTAGGAGGCGCCTGCCCCTCCCACGTTCCTCCAGGCCCAGGACTCCCTCCTCCCTGACTTCTCTGCCGGTGGCTTCCCACCGGTGTCGCTTCTCCAGGCCTGTGGCCATTTCACCCTCCCAGAGGCCTCCTCGGCCAAGGTCCCAGAAAGTGGAGAAGAACCCGGAGGACAGCAGCCTCTGTGGTGGGGGCCACCCTGCGGGGTCCTGGCCACCTCCCTCAGCCCTTGGGGCCACACTTCACTGAGCAAACCAGGACAAGAGACCCCACAGACACTCCTGAGAGAAAACAGGTCCTCCTTCATCTACAGTCCATTGAAACACCAAAGAAATCACAATCCAAATAACGACGTTCAGCTGGGAAAATTAAAAACCCATCTACACTAGAGGCGCCGAGCTCAGTCAGGGAACCGAACAGGGGTGGGGGCACTGAAGTTACGGGGACCCGCAAAGGACGCAGCTGAAGCAGCAGTGGGGAGCAGAAGCACACCTAAACCCAGTGGAAGGAGCCAGCTGCGCCACTGCCCAGGCACACTGGGACGCCCCGGAGGGCAGGATGAGCCTAGACACAGGCCTCACTCAGCCCCGGAGCCGTGAAAGCTGCTCTGAGAAGCCTCCCGTTGGCCAGGAAAGACTTCAAAGTGAGGGGTTCTCGCCTCTCCCAAACTGAACTGTGAACCCCAAGGCCCACGCACAACCATCCACCAGCATCACCAGGGAGCCCGCCACCAGGACCGGCCCTTGCCACTGCACACCTTGCGGGTCCCCGGCACGCGGGCCATCCAGGTTGAAACCCTTCCTGACTCCATTCAGGTCCAGGGTGTGTCCCCGTACAAAGGTGCCGCCAACGGCTACACCCACATGGGATGAAGGTTCTCCCGTTCCCCCAACGGGAGCTCAAGACCACGCACGAGGCAGGTCCCCACCCCAGCCAGTGACAAGGAAGACATCGAGCCCGGCTTGACTCGAAGAGCCACACAGAGGCAACCCAGGGGGTTTACCTTGTTTTCACAGTTTAAAGAGCTTTATAAATTAAGACAAAACCCACTAGGGTCAGGCAAGCTGGGCGCCACTCACCGCATCCAAGAATGTTAACAAAAATCACAGTTTTGATAGTTCTGCAAAAAAAAACTTAGCAAATTTACAACAAAACTGTCAAGTAATTAAGGCAAGGCACTTCACACATGAACTTAAACTGCTAATTAAAATCCCCTCGCTTAATTGACTACATTTGCATATCATTCAACTTGGTAGTATAATTTTTTTAATGGTTTGGGCAACAGGGTTGTAGCCAGGAAAGGCGGAGGCAGCAGGTGAGGCAGAGCGAAGGCACTGCCAACGGCACAACCCGGAGCACCAGGCAGGTGGCCAGGGACCATGCCAGGCCGGGTCCCCACCCCCCTCCAGGTCCACACGGGCGTCCAGGGAAGCAGCAGCTGAGATCTCACAGACGCCACACCAGCTATGGAGGTCCTGGGTATCCCTAACCCAGAAGGCAGCCTGGGGCAGGCTTCAGTGCAAGCACACGGAATACCTCCCTCCCCAGTGTGGCCTGGCCCGCTGACAGCGGAGGTTCTGCACACAGCTCTCACTCGGTGAGTGCCAGCCCACAGGACACAGGCAGCGGCGCAGGTGGCCTCAGTGGACGTGTACACCTTCAGCACCACACACGCAGTGTCCACAGCTCCGCAGAGGGTGGCTCGGCTGCCCTGTCCAGTGTGCTCCTCTCCCGCCTGGACCAGGGGTCAGAGTCCAGACCCCACGCTCACCCTCACCAGGCAGGCAAGAGTCCCCTCACTCTGGGGCCCCGGGCTTGTGCCACCTCTGCAGAGGGAAGTCTCAAGGCTGGGAGTGCCCGGCCCCCATCCTCAGGCATCAGAGCCTGTCAGGGCCATGGAGGCAGAGCACCCTGTGCCCAGAGGCCCAACCGGTGCCATGGCAGGCCTGTCCTGGGTACCGTGTAGGTCCACGCAGGGCCGCCGACCTTCCAGGGAAGCGCAGGGAACAGCATGCCTAGGATGCAGAGGCCCAGCTTGGCCCAGTCATCTGGGAAACCATAAAAAAAGAGGGCCACGGGCAGCTGGAGCTGCCATCCACTGCCACGCAGAGGCTTCTCAGGCCACAGGATCCTGAAGGGAGGCACGGGGACAAACTGCTTCCTAAGGAAGGCTCGGGTTCTCTGAGCACGGACAATGAGGCCTAACTCCTCTCAGACAGACCTCCCAGGGCCAGCTGGTGAGGGAGGGAGCCAAGGATGCCCACCCTGGAGCTGCCTGGACCGTGGGCAGCCACACCAGGCGGGGACCTGGGGCTGCCACAGCCCAGCGCCTGGCACAGAGAAGCCCTTGACAGCACCAGGCGGGAGGGCACCGGGGAGAGACGCCCGCCACACGAGGGTGATCAGCCTCTCAAGGCCCGTTGGACTCCTTAAGTAACCCGTCCTGGATAGGGTCAAATGGGCCAACCTCAGACCTCCCACAGAGGGCGCCAGCCTCCCGGGGCCCTCAGGGATGAGGCGTTCACGCGTGTTCTGCAGGACGAGCTCAGCACCCGGCCAGACTGGCCTCCACGCTAAGGACAGACACGTTCCCTCAACAGGGCAAGAAGGACCCAGCCTATGGGCCTTATTTCCAAAAAAAGAAACCAAGAGCATTTCTGTTTCTGGGCAAAGATACATCTGCTCCATAGTAAAAGCAACAATGTTTCCATGTTACTTTCCCGGCAGAGAAAGCCTGCATCAGACTCTGCAACAACTGTGCCCCCAGTCAGCCTCCTCTCAACAGCTGGACCAGGGGTTCCCAGCAGGCAGCACCCCAACCAGGACAGGGTGAGGGCGGGTCTGCAGGCTGACAGCCGCTTCTTATTCTCATCACTTACAGGTTCACTCCTGGGCAGAACAACACAACGTAATTAGCGGACACCTGGCTCTCCTGGCAACATGGTTTCCCCTGTAGAAGAAGACTGACATCAAAGGAAACCACCGGCACAGCCGCAGCCTTCAGGAACCACAGCAGCCAGGAGCACCGCAGGGAGCACCTAAGCCACTCCAGATACACACAGGGCGTGGACAGAGAGACAGAGGCAGCGCCAGCACCGCTGGACACCTGCTGGGCGCTCCCTGCCCTCCCACCACCCCTCACCCACTCCTGACGCACTTCCCGGTGAGGTCAGCCAGTCCTCAGGTGCCCCCATAACGGCACACAAGCTGTCGTGGAGTCACCATCACCTCACACACGCAGCTCAGGGGTCAGGTCTGGTCGGGAAGGGCCACACAAGAACCCAGTTAGTGCCCTGGGTCCTGGGGTGGAACCCTCAGGACAGAGAAAGATCCCTGATTTGGGTGATGGCATCCCCTGCCACCCATGCCCACCTGAGGCCGCCAGCCTGAGCTGCGTTTCTCTGAAACAAGCAGCACCGTGGGACCTGCAGGAAGCCTAGAACAGGAGCTGTTTCTTTCTAAGTCAGCCGCCGACGTTCCAGCAGAAGCCGCAGTTGGTCCAGGCAGGGCTGAGAGCTGGGAGGAGCATCAGCACTCAGCCTCACCAGCCAAGGGTAATAATATTCCAGCAACTTCCCAGCCCTCAATATGGAACCAGGGTAGAAGCGCCCCCCAGGTCAGAAGACGGTGAACCAATTTCTTCCAAAGGTGGAACAATGGCCAGGCGCAATGGCTCATGCCTGTAATCCCAACACTTTGGGAGGCCGAGGTGGGCAGATCAAGAGGTCAGGAGATGGAGACCATCCTGGCCAACATGGTAAAACCCCGTCTCTACTAAAATACAAAAAATTAGCCAGGCGTGGTGGCACGCACCTGTAGTCCCAGCTGCTCAGGAGGCTGAGGCAGGGGAATTGCTTGAACCCGGGAGGCTGAGGTTGCAGTGAGCCGAGATCACGCCACTGCACTCCAGCCTGGGCAACAGAGCAAGACTCCATCTCAAAAAAAAAAATGGTGAAACAGTGAGAAAAGAAACAGCATTCTCCTTCTAGCCAAAGAATGGACCTGCCAATAAACCTTGACTGCCAGTGCCTGCAGAGTTCCACTGAGTCATTCAGTGAGTTATTGAATCTGGCCCCCAAACTGGGGACCCAGACGTGACCAGGCGTCCCTAACCCTAGCCCCTGAAGCCAGCAACACAACCACACAGGCAACAACCCCCACGGCCAGTGAGACAAGCACCCCAGCAGAGGCAGCCCAAGAAGGCCTGACCAAGGCCGCCAGGTGTGCCAGCCCAAGAGGCAGGCCTAAACGCCCCGATTCAGCATCTGCAGCTGCAGAGGCACCGAGGCAGAGCACTCCTTCCATCTTTATGAGTCAAAAAGGTAAAATCAGAGAAGACACGAACACCAAGCACCGAACAGAATCTCGGCCGTTTCCCAGGATCACGCCGAGACGCCTCTCAAAGCCCCCTTTATCTGTTTCCCCCCAAACAAAAGACAGGAGCATTACTCAAAGGAATAAGCACTTCAAGCGAAGGCCTACTAGGCGGCCGGCAGGACACATGCTGAGGGCCACAGGCGCCAGGCACCACCACGCCACCTCCGGGCCATGGCCAACGCAGGTGCTCAGTCCATCTGGTCCTAGTCTGGATTTTACTATTGTCCCCACAATCTCATTTAAAATTCACACTCAAGTCCTGGTTCTTCATTTTCGTAAATAAGCAGGCTCATGTGGCAGCATGTCCCCAGAGCTGGAGGCTCCCTGGGCCCCCCATCGAGGCCACCCCAGCAAGGCAGCCTGGAAAAATATCAAGTACCACACAGTGAAACCAACATGCAGGCTCTGGGAAGCGGGGCCCTTCTGGAACTCTCTCATATTCACAAAGCAGCAGCACCTAAGAGCTATCGCTTATCATGCCCCCCAGCCCCCGGGGTGAGCCAGAGCTTCCTGAGGGTCACCTGGCATGGCACCTGGTCTGCAGAGGGCAACCAGGCCTCGAGAGAACAGGTGGCACAGTGGGGGCGACCCCTCCAGCCCGCAGACCCCGGGGATGCCTTCCGTGGCAGAACCCACTCCAGGGGCCAGGCACAGTGGCTTATGCCTGTAATCCCAGCACTCTGGGAGGCCAAGGTGGGCAGATAACTTGAGGTCAGGAGTTCGAGACCAGGCTGGCCAACATGGTGAAACCCCATCTCTACTAAAAATACAAAAAAATTACTTGGGTGTGGTGGCACACATCTGTAATCCCAGCTACCAGGAGGCTGGGGCAGGAGAATCGCTTGAACCCAGGAGACGGAGGCTGCAGTGAGCCAAGATCGCACCACTGCACTCCAGCCTGGGCAACAGAAACAGACCCTGTCTCAAAAAAAAAAAAAAATAACAACAAAAAAAAACCCTGCTCCAGACCACGAGGGTGACAGCCAGGGCAGGGCAGGAAGGAGCCGCCCTACCACCCGCTCTGGAGGCCAGGTGTAAAGAGCTGGTCCCCAGGCAGCCCCCCCTCCATGACACCCTGGCCTGGTGACCACTGCTCAGGAGGGGAAGAGCCCTGAAGAATAAGGACAGGGGCCTTCTTTTCCAGCTCTCCCAGATATTAGGGAAATAATTCACCTTCTGTATTTTGACTCAAAACAAAGAAACTTTTTAAAAACATTTCAGTTGAAGCTTGCATAATTCTTCCAGTGGAGAAATCCTCCCTCAACTTTCGCAATCCTTAGAAAGAGACACATTATTGCCACAGAGAGCCGGGCCGCCGGCGTGGACACCTCCTGCCAGACAGTCAGGGCCCAGGCCCCGGAACCACCGCCTTCTCTCTGGAGGCCCTGCCAGCAGCAGTGAAGGCCTAACCTAAGCTGGGGCTGTGGCCCCACAACCCCGAGAGACTCCAGGGCGGGGTTCGGCTCACACTTACCCCAGACTTCCTCGCACCATATCCTGTCTGCCCTCACCCGGAGACTCAGACAGACAGACATTGCACAAATAGCCGCAGGGACGGCTGAGAAACAAGATGCTGAAAGAGAGGACTAGCCCCCCCACCGTGACCCTGCTGCCCCAGAAGGCGAGGGACCCAGCCCAGCTCCCAGAGGGGTCCCAGACAGACGGATGACAGACCATGCCGGGAAAATGACCACTAAGCTCTGCTCCCTGCAGAAGCCACCTGGGGGCAGCTGCCCATGCCCTCCCCAGTCCGTGCACAGCCAGCTGGGGTGGGCAGAGGTCAAGAACCACTCTCGAGCTGCTGTTTCCCCTGCTTGAGAAGACTCAGCAGCCGGCCGTCTTTCCGGAACCCTCACCTGGGGGGCAGACCAGCCCAAACCCGCAGACCCTGGCCTTCTGCACGGGGACCAGGGCCTGCCGGGAGCCTGACCCCAGAGCATGGCCCAAGACTACAGGGAACCCCACGAAAAGCTGGAGAAAAACACTTGCAGCAAACACTTTTTCCAAAGGAAGCTGGTGGACAAAGGGACAGATAGCCCCCGAAGTGCTCCCCGGACCTGAGGGTGTCTGGGAGAGCACAGCCCCAAACCCACACACGGCCGCTGAGCTGAGTGAGGGGTGTCCCAGAAAGAAACTCTTGATGCTGTCCCTTCCTGTGATCATTTCAGCTTAAAACAGCAAAGAGCAAAACACAACTCCTCCCCAGAGGCTCTCCAAGCCCAGCAACCCCTTCCTGGCCTCCACAAGCTCAGTCATTCCCCAGAACAGACCTCGAGACTCAAAGGTCTCAAGCCCGACCACCTGGCTGGGCACCTGCCTGAAGAAACGCTGCCTGGGGCCAGGGGCAGCCTTGCAGTGACACGGGTCAAAAGCCAGCATGAGGGATCAGAAAACCCCCGTCGCGGACCCTCCACTGGGAAGCGCGCAGAGCTTCCCAACCAAGCGACCCTCAACCCACAGCCCACTGAGACCCACGCCAGCCCACACAGCGCAAGGGCAAGGGGACCTGCAAGACCCCTGGGAATTCAGGCATCTGCAGGACAGAGCAACAACACTGTAACACAACCCAAATTCTCCAGTCACCAGAATGCCCAGACTGCACGTGGCAGGTGAAGAACAGCTCTCACACAGGCAGCCCACCGCCCCTAGGAACAGGACGCCCGGCCCCCTCGGAGCAGGACCCCCGGCCCAGAACAGGACCCTGGCCCCCTCAGAACAGGATCCCGGACCTCTGGGAACAGGACCCCCCCCACCAGCCCTGTTGGAACAGAAACCCCGGCCCCCTCGGAGCAGGACCCCCCCTTGGAGCAGGATCCTGCCACGGCCCAAGGGAAGCACGGCACCACCCTGTTATCAGCCTGCACGGAAAGCGCTTGGCTGACGTTCTGCGGGACAAGGGGCCGCGTCCCAGGCAGCAGGCCAAGCGGCAGCTCCAACTGCCACATTTTGTCTCCGTCTCTGACAGCTGTCTATACTGACAAAAAAATGTAGTCCAATGGAGTCCTACAGCTATCAGAGAACCCGAGGAAGGAGGCGAGCCGACCGGAAAGAAGAAAGAGGGGTGGGAGTGGGGAAGGCTCAGAGGCTCCAGTCTTGGCTAAGTGCTCCCAGCAGCACAATGACCCATCTGTGCCCCACCTGTACCACTCAAAACATAAAGTCCAAGATCAATAAACAGTAGTCCCCAGTTTACACTGAGGCAGAGAGGTTAAGCAACTCGTCCAAGGTCACAAAGCCAGTGTGGGACCGAGTGGGGAGGTGAGACAAGGTCCCCTGTCAAGGATAGCAGCCCCAGGGTCCCTAAGAGGAGACTCGCCAAGCACCCATGCAGCCCACATGGTCTTCCAAGATACAGCAGCAGGAAGCTGGCCGGGCCCGACAGCCACTGGACAGAAGCGGAGGCTTCCTCTGTAACCCCGTGACATGAGGGGGCATCTGGAGGAAGACTGTCTGCCCCTCATGCTGCCACTGCACTGCCGACAGGCCAGAGGCTCAGGCACAGCCGCTGTCACAGGAGGCTTCCAAGGAGAAAGCTGCAGCCCTGCCTCCCACTTGGTTTGGGACCCGGGAACATCTCCGCCCTCTCCCACCTCCCACCATGGGTAGGAGAGTGGCGCTGACCCAGCCCACTCAGGCAGGAGACCCGACCCTGGCCTGGCCACAAACACCCGGAAGGCAATTCAGCCCCCTCCGGCTCCGCAGAGCCCGAAGGCCTGCTGGGAGCAGCAGCCCTGCAAAGAGAGTTCCAGTACATTCTTTGTTCTGCCCTCATCTTCGGCAGATCAAAAATATTAAAATAAGCTACAAAGGAAGTGAAGAAATCAAAACATATCCCGAGAATAAGCTGTCAAGACACGAGTGGGAGGAGCCAACGGCGGCCAGTGAGGGCGGAGGCGGGGCCTCCCAGGCCACTCCTTCTAGGACAAGTAGGGTCTGGGCACTGTGGGTCCACGCCCACCCTGAGACCACACTCCCTTCTCATGTGTCGCTCCTGTGCACACAGAGACACGCACACGGCTGTCCTGAGGAGACTTAAGGGGACCCTGAAGCCCAGAACTCCCAAGTGCACAGTCACAGAGCCTAAAGGGCAGGCACTGAGCGAGGGCAGAGTCCCTGGCCGCCATCCCACGTCAAGAACATAGAGCAGGAGGCAACACGGGCAGGATGGGTGCCCCACCCCCAGGAGCATGAGGAGAGGAAAACCCGCAGGAGCTGGTGAACATTCAGGGAGCCAGGCGGAGGACACCACTGCCAGGGCCAGGCTGTGTGGCTGCCACTCAGGCCTAGAGGACGCAGTCACTCACACCGTGCACGTCGTCAGTATGGCCTGGGAATTGCTTTTTAATCGGTAAATGAAATTTCAGAGCAGTGCTGGGGACTTCAAAAGGGAAAGGCGGCTCGGAGGCATCCGCTGAGATGACCAGAGCCTGTCTGGCCTGTCTCTATGGCGGCCCAAGGACCCCGGCGCTCACAACCACAGGGAGAGAGAAGCCGGGTGGCCTGGGCCCTGCTCTGTGTCAGCTGTGACAACGAGGCCCCACTGGCCACTCCAATGGGCCCCCAGCAAAGCCCAGGAAGACAGAAAGACCACAAGCACACACATGACCCACAGTCGGACAAAAACAAACGCAGACACACCCTGCTCAACCGAGATCCTCTGCCATCAGCTCTGAAGACAGTGACGTGAGCGTGTCCCAGCAGCTCAGGCCTTGGCCACAGGTGACCCACTACGCAGCCTGCACGAGCCCACAATCCCCCCCGACATGTGGCTTCCTCCAGCCACAGGCACTGACGAGGGTGCGGCCACCCCAAAAAGAAAGGCCCCAGCCCACAGGGAGCGCCATCGGGCCCACCCCAACCAACTCCCCGTGTGACACGAAGGGCCCCAGCCTGCTACGTCTGTCTGCAGCTCTGCCACGAGCATCCTTCCCCAGCCCACAGGTCTGCAGGCGGCTGCCACCTGAGCCCTGGCCTGGCAGGGTCAGAAGCGCGCACACACAAACACACACATGCACACACACATGCACCCTCCGCAGCCCCCTCCGAGCAGAGGCGACAGTCCCTCGCTTCCATCCACAGCCCCTCCTCCCCACGATCTGACACTCTGCTGGAGGGGCGCCCAGAGAAAACCGGGCTGGAGCATCTATTCACAGATTTAGAAAAAAAAAGTTTGATGCAATAGCTGAATTAATTAGGCCTCCCAAGAATAGCTGAGCCAATGCAGCATTCTGTGTGTGCAATTTAATAAGCCTGGATATTTAAAAGAAAAGTTACAAATACTTGGGGAGGTACGCAACGGAAAGTTCCTGAGGACCCCACTGAGTAATTTCGGCACCTCGTGGCCTGGGAGCTGCCCATGCCGGATCCCATAGATCCTCCAACTGGCAAACAACAAAGCCAGGCCAGCAGCCTCCCTCTCCGGCGCACCCCTCTGCGTTTCAGAGGGAGAGAAGGAAATGGGTGAGTCCAAAGCAAATCGCAGGCCGCCAGTAACTCCAGCACGCGGGCCCAGGAGCCTGCTGACCAGGCCCCTCAGCCGGGTGCCAAATGGCCCTCACCCCACACGGCGGACTCTGGGATTTGGTCCCTGGCAGGCCCAGGGAGACCAACCAGCACAGTGCTGGAGCCGCCAAGTCTCGGGCCCCTGCCACTGAAGCCTGGACACCTGGCTTCATTTTGTGTCTGTGTCCCAAAACTTCAAGGCACCAAACAGGGAGCGGGAGCCAGTAACAAAACCAGGCCTCGCCTCACCCAAGCTCTGTCTCCTGGGGCCCAAAGGCAGGCAGCCCTCCGTCTTCGAGGCTGGGTGCCTTCGGGGCGAGGACAGCCACCTTCACCCCAACCCCAAGAAAGACCTGGGCCTGAGGCATCCGGGCCGTGGCCCAGCTGGACCTAACTTCCCTGACCTGGGGCAGGCCGCTTTCTCGGGAGCATGAGGCCTGTGCCTTCCTATCTGGGCAATGCCTGTGGGCCTGCGGGCCTTCCCCACACACCAGGCCTGGCCCCCCACCCCACCGCCACAGCCCGCACTCCAGGCTCGTCCTGGGGAACGGGCAGGAGGGCCTTCCTACCAAACTCTCTGGCCCTGCCAGTCGGAACACTCTGAATTTCCCTAAAACAAAGCGAAGACTGGAGACATGGGGCACGGCAGAAGCACAGGTCCCAGCCTTCGGAGACCAGAGCCTGTAGTCCAGAAGGGGCCCCCACCCCAAGCGCATCCTCCCCAGCTCCCAGGCCTGGGGCCACTCACCCGGGGCACCCGCCGCTTGTACTTGTTGCCATAGTCGAATTTCTCCTTCACGTCGTCCAGGCAGCGGCCGAGGCGCGCCTGCTCCTCCTTGCCCGTGTAATCCTGGCTCAGCAGGATGTAGGCCCGCCAGTTGGCCGAGTCGAAGCCCCAGTGGCAGGTCCGGTTCTCCAGGGCCTTGTGCGAGTGCACCACGAACTTGTGCGGCGGGTACATGAGGCGGCAGTCCAGGCACTGGATGCAGGCGGCGCTCGGGCTGCTGTAGAGCTCGGGCACCAGCAGCCCCTTACACTTGCCGAAGCACTCGTGGTACACGCGGACGCTGCGCTCGCTGAGCTCCAGGCCCAGCGCCAGGCTGGCGGCCAGCTCCTTCTTGCAGGGCGGCGGGTAGGCGCCGCCGTAGAGCAGCGCGTTGCACAGGCGCTCGGCGTCCGTCTTGGTGATGAGCCCGCACGAGGGCGCCGAGAAGGGCAGGATGCCCATGACTTTGAGGATCTCCAGCTGGTCGGCCGTGCAGCGCGAGCAGTAGATGTGGAGCTCGTCGCACACCGCGTTGATCTGCTGCAGCGAGAAGTCGCGCAGCACCGAGTTGAGAATCTGCGGCAGACACAGGCGCTTCTCGCCTCCCACCACGAAGCACGAGATGGTCTCGCCTTCCAGTACGGTCTCGCAGCGCTCGGTGGAGCGGTCGGACGGCATGAAGAAGGGCCCGGGCAGCACGGGCGGCGGCGGCTGGATGGCGGGCAGGTGCAGCACGGGCGGCGGCTCGGTGGCTGCGGGCACCGGCGCCGGCACCGCGGCCGCGCCCGCCTCCTTGGCGCTCTCCTTCTTGTAGGCCTCCTGCGCCCAGCGCGCCGAGAAAGCGGCCGGGCCGCCCAGCGAGCTCATGGAGCTCAGGTGGAACTGCTCCAGCGTCTTCTGCAGCCCCGGGTGCGGCTGGAAACAGCCGCGGCCGCCTGCCGCCGCCTCCATGGTGCGCTCCGGCTCCCCCGGCCGCTCCCGCTCCCGCGCGCCCGGGCCCCCCCGGCCCCCGCCGCCGCCCCGCGCGCCCCGGCGGCGCCCGCGGCCCCGACCCCGGCCGCCCCCCGCCGCCGGCTCACGGCCGATCACGGCCGCGGCCTCGCCCGGGGGCGCGAAGGGGAAGGCGGGCGGGGCGAAGGGGTCCCGCCGCTGGAGCCCGCCGCCGCCCGGGCCCGGCGCCACATCCACGCGCCCCGCGCCGCGCCCGCCGCCGCCCGGGCCCCCCGCGCGTCCCCCGCGCGCCCCCCGGGCTCTAGGCGCGGGGCATGCCCCGGCGCGCGCCGCCAACGCCAACGCCAACGCTCGCGGGCCCGGGGCTCGCGGGGGGCGCGCGGGCAGGTGCCGGCGCCGCGAGGCGCGAATCGCCGCGGCGGCCGAGGCCGAGGGGCCCGGGAGGAGCGGGGGCGCGGGCGCGGGGCCCGCCGGGCCGTCCTCGCGCGGCGCGCCGCCGCCGCCCCGCTCCTCCCACCGCGAGGCGCCCGCCCGGCTCGTCCCGGCGGCGCTGGCCGGCCGCGTCGCGCCCGCCGCCGGCCCCCGGCCCGCCCGCCCGCCGGCTCCGCGGCCCGCCCGCCCGGCTTCCGGGGCGGCGGAGGCGCCTCTCGCCCGCGGCCCTCAGAGCGCGGCGGCGGCGCGGGGCTCGGGGCGCTCGGCGCACATCCTCCCGGCGGCTCGCTCCGGCTCGGACTGAGCGCCCGGCGCTGAGCTCACGCCGCCGCCGCGCCGCCCCGCCCCGCGCCGCCCGCTCCGCCCCGCGCCGGCCCCGCCCCCCGCGCTGTTTGTTGCCGTGCGTCCGCCTCAGCCCTAGCGCTGGCCAAGAATGTGACCCGCTCCCCAGCCGGGCTCTTCCAGGAACGCGCGCTCCCCGCCCGGACTCGGCCGCGCTCGGCTCCGCTCGCCCGGGACTCGGCCACGCTCGGACCCGCCCTGCCATGACTCGGCTCCGCTCGGCCGGGACTCGGCTACGCTCGGCCATGCTCGACTCCGCTCGGCCCCGCTCGGCCCCGCCCGCCGAGGGCCGCTGGGCGCGGGCGGAGGCGGAGGCGGCGGTGGCGCCCGGGGCCCCCCTTCCGGCCGAGGCCGCTTCCTGCGCCGCTGGGAAGGCGCCCGTCTCGCCGCCGTCGGGGCCCAGAAACCCACAGGCCCCCGCCACGACCGCAAACCAGCTGGGGGCGGCCGGGGGGCCACGCCACGCACCCGGGGTTCTCCCAGGGTGGGACACCACACAGCGGGGAGGCCCCGGACGCCTCTGGGGTCCCACACACTACCGGGACGCCACACGGTGACCTGGGGTCCCACACACGAGGGGGACAGCGGCCACGCCCAGGGACCCTGCGCCGAGACGGGCACCGCGTCGCGTGACCCTGGCGGCGCAGCCCGGCGGCCCCCGCTGCGCCGTGGCCGGTGGCTCGGTGGCCGAGTGTCCGCGGCTCCCGGCCGCGCCGGCCCCGCCCCGCCCGCCGGCCCCTGGCGGAGTGTCCCTGCTGCGCGGGCCGGGGGCTTCGGGCCTGGGAGGGGCGGCGCCCGGTGCCCCAGACGCAGCCGGTCTGCCAGCCACTCCTGCCAGGTGGCTTATCAGGACTTCGGCCCCGCGGGGCCCGGCGTTCGGGCCGGCGAGACCCCTGACCTCCGCCCCGGGGCCGTGGAGCGCTGAGACGTCTTTCGGGGTCGGATCGGCCGGCCCTCCACGCCTGGCCACGCAGTGGGAGAGACTCAAGCCTTGGCAGGGCGGGGAGCGGGAAGCCCGGGGCCCCGAAGTTGGACAGTCGGCCGGGTGGTCTCCAGGGGAGGCAGCTTCCAGCGAGGCCTGCGGGCGCAGGGACGCAATGGTGTGTTTGGGGAGGGGCAGGGCTCGGTCTGTGCTCGCCTGAGGCGGAGGGACATGCCCCACGGGCCGGGGGTGCCCAAGCTGGCCTGGGTGCTGGGCGGAGGCGAGAGGGCCACGCCGCTGCAACCTGAGTGACCTTCAGCTGGGACCTCCTGCCCCTCACTTCCCCAGTGGAGGCTGGAACCTGCCTCAAACCAGCACTCCTGGGCGCAGTTCCTATCCTGGGGGAGCCGGCCCGGAGTCCCTGTGCAGGTCTTGGCCGGACCTGCGGCAGGGCAGGTGTCTAGAGAGGCAGCCAGGACCTACCTGTAGGTGACCCCAGGGCGGCTCCATACTCCCTCTCTCCGCTGCCTTGGGGGTTGTCTCCTTGTCCTCACACTCCACACTGTCCCCCGACTCTTCCCATTCACTCCGTTGGCCCCCACAATTGGAGGCCAGGCTTTCTCTGTGTGTTCACACACCAGAAAGCTGGGTAAGAAGATCATTTCCTTAAAAGTGATATTTAACCCGGCAAGGTGGCTCACGCCTGTAATCCCAGCACTTTGGGAAGATAAGGCAGGCGCATCGCTTGAGCCCAGGAGTTCAAGACTAGCCTGGGCGATATAGTGAGACCCTGTCTACAAAAAATAATTTTTTTTTTTAATTAGCCGGGCATGGTGGCCTGCACCTGTGGTCTCAGCTACTTGAGAAGCTGAGGTGGGAAGATTGCTTGAGCCCAGAAGGTTGGGGCTGCGGGGAGCCGTGCTTGAGCCTCTGCACTCCATCCTGGGTGATAGGGACACACCCTTTTTTTGAGACAGACCCTGTCTCAAAAAAAAAAAAAGGGTCAGCCTCAGTGGCTCATGCCTGTAATCCCAGCACTTTGGGAGGCCGAGGCAGGCGGATCACGAGGTCAGGAGATCGAGACCATCCTGGCTAACGGTGAAACCCCGTCTCCACTAAAAATGCAAAAAATTAGCTGGGCGTGGTGGTGGGCGCCTGTAGTCCCAGCTACTCAGGAGGCTGAGGCAGGAGAATGGCGTGAACCTGGGAGGCGGAGCTTGCAGTGAGCCGAGACTGCGCCACTGCACCCCAGCCTGGGCGACAGAGCGAGACTCCGTCTAAAAAAAAAAAAAGGATATTCAGTCCAGACGCAGGGGCTCACGCCTGTAATCCCACCACTTTGAGAGGCTGAGGCGGGTGGATTATTTGAGATCAGGAGTTGGAGACCAGCCTGGCCAACATGGTGAAACCCCCTCTCTACTAAATATACAAAAATCAGCCGGGCATGGTGGCACATGCCTGTAATCCCAGCTACTCGGGAGGCTGAGGCAGGAGAATCGCTTGAACCTGGCAGGTGGAGATTGCAGTGAGCTGAGACTGCACCACTGCACTCCAGCCTGGGCGATGGAGTGAGACTCTGTCTCAAAAAAAAAAAAAAAAAAAATAGAAAAGGGACTTATTTGTTTTCCTGGAGATAGTTTCGTTGGCCCACGTTTTGGACAAAACACAGCTAGTGTTGCACTTGACGTTGTCACTTCCTTCCATCTGGATTTGAATTCCATACAACTCAGTCAAATTGTAACTCAGAGAAGGTGGTTGCAGCCAGGCCTGCTGGGAAGTGTCTCCAATCAAGCAGAGAATTCCTCTGGCTCCTCTGGTGGACCAGGGGCTCTGTGCAGGGCCCCTAGCATGGGCAGTGCCCACCCAGAGCCTCTGCTTCCTTCTGTGCCTCTGGCTTTGCAGGGTCCTAGCCAGGGACCAACACTTTGTCCAGAGTGCGGACCCCTGGGAAGTAGCCATAGGTGTGCCATGGAGTGAAGGTGCGGGGACAGGTGAGGGCCTCCAGTTGGTCTCTGAAGCTACCTCCACCTTTGTGGACTCTTGAGACTTCCTTCCCCCAATATGTCAGAGCTTCCAGAGGAAGGCACCCACCCCACCAAGGGTCAGAGCAGCCACGCCTAGAGGGAGCCACCAGGGTCCACTTTTCTTCCTGAGCTTGGCAGGGAAGAGGGTGGGGGGTGTCTCCCGCCTGCTGGCCTTCCACCCTCCAGCCCCGCCCAGCAGCTGCCCAGGCCAGTCGCCCACGCGGGCCACCATACTGGCAGGCCGCGGGTTAAGGCTGCAGGCACAGCCACAGCGCGGAGTAGGGTGGGATGGACGTGGTGCCTGCCCAGAGAAGCCCTGGCATGCGGGCAAAGGCAGGGACCTCCCAGCTTTCTCCCTGGCCCCTACCACGGTGACAGGCTTGGTCAGCTAGTCATGAGTTTGTCCCCTTGTTCGATGAGCTCCTACCACTGTAGACACTGGGATCAGGGTAAGGAGACCAGGTTGTACCCCGTGTGGTTCCATTCTGGTGTGAGAGACAACAGTCAATCAACAAACCTGCTAGTACGGGAGCGAGATCTTTCAGATCCCCAAAAGGCGCGGAGTGGCTGGGGCTGGCTGTAGGCAGGGAGGGCCTCCTGGGAGGCTGGCCTTGGAGTTGAGACCCCCACCTTAAGGAGCCAGCAGTGTGGAGATGAGTTGGATGGCGCCCCAGGACCAGAAAGAGGAAGACACTGGCAAAGCAAGGGGTACCCCAAGCTTTGGGGGAACTTGGAAACCTTGGTGGGGAAATGCATCGCAGACCAGCTCTGCTCCACCCTGCCTTGCCCTGCCCTGCTGCCACCCACTCTCTCCTCCTCAGGAAGCAGAAGGAAGGCCTTGTAGCAGCCAGGCATAGACTGCCATTGGCAAAAACATGCTCAGTTACTGGGAAAGAAACCTTCAAATGTGAAAATAAAAATTGCTCAAGTAACATCAGCTTCGTATAATTTTGTTTTGTTTTTGTTTTTGTTTGAGATGAAGTTTCGCTCTTGTTGCCCAGGTTGGAGTGCAATGGTGCGATCTCAGCTCACTGCAACGTCCATCTCCCAGGTTCAAGCGATTCTCCTGCCTCAGCCTCCCGAGTAACTGGGATTACAGGCGCCTGCCACCATGCCCAGCTAATATTTTGTATTTTTAGTAGAGACAGGGTTTCACTATGTTGGCCAGGCTGGTCTTGAACTCCTGACCTCAGGTGGTCCACCTGCCTCAGCCTCCCAAAGTGCTGGGATTACAGGCTATGCCACCGTGCCCGGCCAGTAGAAATTTTAGAAAGACCTTTGTCTTACTTTGGATTCCCCCAAACATAGGCCCTGAGACAAAGATTTTTATTTTACTTTATTTTATTTTATTACTTTATTTTTGAGACAGAGTCTTCGCTTTGTCATCCAGGCTAGAGTGCAATGGCACGATCTCGGCTCACTGCAGCCTCAGCCTCCTGCATTCAAGTGATTCTCATGCCTCAGCCTCCCGAGTAGCTGGGATTACAGACATGCGCCATCACACCAGGCTAATTTTTGTATTTTTAGTAGAGACGGGGTTTCACCATGTTGGCCAGGCTGGTCTCAAACTCCTGACCTCAGGTGATCCGCCCGCCTTGGCCTTCCAAAGTGCTGAGATTACAGGCGTGAGCCACTGTGCCTGGCCTTTTATTTAATTTTTTATTTATAGAGATGAGATCTCACTATGTTGCCCAGGTTGGTCTCAAACTCCTGAACTCAAGCGCTCCTCCCCTCAGCCTCCCAAAGTGCTGGGATTACAGGTGTGAGCCACCGCGCCCAGCCAAGACAAAGATTTGAGTTCGAGTGCTTTGCTTGGGAGGCGATCCAAGGAAGCACAGGAAAGGGTCAGAGCAAGTGAGCGGGGGAGGGGAAGCCGGGCCCTAAAGAGGGATCTGCAAAGCCTCTTACCGCTGGGCACCTGGAGCTGAATCCTCAGGGCAGAACCCAGGGCTCAGAGCCATCCCAGGGGCTGCCCTGGCCAGAGCGCAAGGGAGTGAGGGACAAGCACTGGAGTGGGGGGGTTGATCCAATCAGGAAATGAGTTTAAGGTAGCAAGAGTCAGGTTTCTCGATGTTAAAATACAGAAAGGGAGGAAGGAAGCATGTGGTGTTGGATTGGAATTATTGATACCTGCATGATCTCATAAATGTCCATATTTATAAAGAAAACTGTTGATGTAAATGTGTTTTGTATAAACATCAGCCCTCACTCTGCCCACCAAGACGAGGGACCCCTCAGCAGTAGTGAGCGCACCAGGAAGCCCAGTCTTGGCTCCCAATTTTCATTCACTGAAGGGAACCAAAGTGTTTTTGTTTGTGTTTTTGAGATGGAGTCTCGCTCTGTCGCCCAGGCTGGAGTGCAGTGGCACGATTTCGGCTCGCTGCAACCTCTGCCTCCTAGGTTCAAGCGATCCTCCTACCTCAGCCTCCCAAGTAGCTGGGACTACAGGCACCCGCCACCACGCCGGCTAATTTTTTGTATTTTTAGCAGAGACGGGGTTTCACCGTGTTAGCCAGGATGGTCTCGATCTCCTGACCTTGTGATCTGCCCACCTCAGCCTCCCAAAGTGCTGGGATTACAGGCGGGAGCCACTGCGCCCGACCAGGAACTGGAGTTCTTTAAAGAGATGGCTGACCCAGGCCGGGCGCGGTGGCTCACGCCTGTAATCCCAGCACTTTGGGAGGCTATGGCGGGCGAATCACCTGAGGTTGGGAGTTCAAGACCAGCCTGGCCAACATGGTGAAACCCCGTCTCTACTAAAAATACAAAATTAGCCGGGTGTGGTGGTACATGCCTGTAATCCCAGCTACTCAGGAGGCTGAGGCAGGAGAATCACTTGAACCTGGGAGGCAGAGGTTGCGGTGAGCCGAGATCACGCCATGCACTCTAGCCTGGGCAACAAGAGGGAAAAGTCCACCAAAAAAAAAAAAAAAAAAAAAAAAGAGATGGCTGACCCCAGGGCTGGGAAGGGAGAGAGAGTAACGACAAGACATAAGGCACACCGGGTCACATGGAGAGGGCACTGAGTCACGGCCTGTTTGCCAAATCAGACAGAATAATGATATTAATAGATGGTAATGATAGTAATGAGTTATAATTATCAAATAAAATAGGAAAGCATATGTCTATACATATTTTAATATTTATTAAAATATATTAATGAATTGAAAATTTAAAAAGAGCTATTTGCATATTTTAAACGTATCAGCTGGGCATGGTGGCTCATGCCTGTAATCCCAGCACTTCTGGGGAGGCCAAGGTGGAACGGCTGCTTGAGCCCAGGAGTTCGTGACCAGCCTGGGCAACATAGAGACCCTACTTCTAAAAAAATTTAAAAATCAGCTAAGTGTGGTGGTGCAGGCCTGTAGTCCCAGATACTTGAGAGACTGAGACAGGAGGATCACTTGAGCCCAGGAGGTCAAGGCTGCAGTGAGCTGTCATGTTGCCACTACATGCCAGCCTGGGCAACAGAGCAAGACCCTGTCTCAAAAATAAAACAAACAACAACAATAACAAAAAGTAGCTATGCATGATGGCATGCACCTGTGGTCCCAGCAACTCAGGAAGCTGAGGAAGGAGGATTGGTTGAGCCAAGGAGTCCGAGGCTGCAGTGAGCTAGGATAGCATCAGTGCACTTCAGCCAGGACAACAGAGTGAGACCCTGTCTCTAAAAAAGAGAGGGGGAGAGAGGGAGGAACGAGGGAGGGAGGGAGGAATCTTCCCCACAAAATGCTAATTTGTCACAAAGGGAAAAAGAATGTCAGTTCCAGCGGAGACACAGACCCCACCTTAACCGAGCGATCGCGGTGGGCTCCATTGATACTGGATCCATCAGAGTCCTGCCCCACCTGACAGGGTGGGGTGAGCAGACCACAGTGTCACATCTGCTCCTTTCCTGCCAAAGATGCACAACCTGTGTCTCTCTGTGATGACATCTCAGACAAAGCCACACAGGGAACCGTCTCCAAAAGGCCTGGCCTGGAAGCTTCAAAGAACAGTCAGGGAAAGGCCCAGGAATGTTCCGGACCGAAGGAGACAGAAGACATGATGGCACCTCAGTGCAATGTGTGGTCCCAGGCTGATCTCTTTACTGCAAGGGATATTACTGGGACAACCAGAAAGCCCAGAGTGGGGTCTGACTCCACGTGATTTCCCGCCTTGGACAGCCGTGTTGGGGCGTGTAGGAGAATGTCCTTGTTTTGGGGTGTGGTGAGCACCATGCGGCAACAAACCCTCAAATGCTTCAGGGGAAAAAAAGTTCCTGTACTATTCTTGCAACTTTTCTATAAGCTTGAGATTGTGTCAAAATACAAATTTTATTTTTAACAATGTTAGGAGGAGGAGGTACACATTCTCCATTCGGCCCTGCTGAGCTTGAGCTGTCGGGCAGGCTGCAACCTGAGGCTTCTGACTGCAGCCCTGCAGTGGGGCGCTGTGAGGGTGGGGCGGAGGAGCCACAGGACACCAGAGCATCTGCTACAACCCCAGCCAAGATGGTGCAGGGTCCCCTTCCTAGTCCAAGCACAAACACATGCTGGGTAAAATAGATTTGCTTTTTTTTTTTTTTTTTTTGAGACCGAGTCTCGCTCTGTCACACAGGCTGGAGTGCAGTGGCGCGATCTCGGCTCACTACAACCTCCACCTCCTGGGTTCAAGCGATTCTCCTGCCTTAGCTTCCCGAGTAGCTGGGATTATAGGCGCCCGCCACCACGCCCGGCTAATTTTTTGTATTTTTAGTAGAGACAGGGTTTCACTGTGTTAGCCAGGATGGTCTTGATCTCCTGACCTTGTGATCCGCCCAGCTCGGCCTCCCAAAGCACTGGGATTAAAGGCGTGAGCCACTGTGCCCGGCCATTTTTTTTTTTTTTTTTTTTTGAGACAGAGTCTCGTTGTGTCACCCAGGCTGGAGTGCAGTGGCGCAATCTCGGCTCTGTGTAAACTCTGCCTCTCGGGTTCAAGCGATTCTCCTGCCTCAGCCTCCTGAGTAGCTGGGATTACAAGCACCCGTCATCATGCCCAGCTAATTTTTGTATTTTTTTTAGTAGAGATGGGGTTTTGACATGTTGGCCAGGTTGGTCTCAAACGCCTGACCTCAGGTGATCCACCTGCCTCGGCCTCCCAAAGTGCTGGGATTACAGGTGTGAGCCACCTCGCCTGGCCAGATTTGGTTTTTTTGTTTTGTTTTGTTTTGTTTTTGAGACAGAGTCTCACTCTCTCGCTCTGTTTCCCAGGCTGGAGTGCAGTGGCACAATCTCGGCTCACTGCAAGCTCCGCCTCCTGGGTTCACACCATTCTCCTGCCTCAGCCTCCTGAGTAGCTGGGACTACAGGCACCCGCCACCATGCCCAGCTAATTTTTTTTGTATTTTTTAGTAGAGACAGGGTTTCACCATGTTAGCCAGGATGGTCTTGATTTCCTGACCTCATGATCTGCCCGCCTCAGCCTCCCAAAGTGCTGGGATTACAGGTGTGAGCCACCTCGCCTGGCCAGATTTGTTTTTTAAATGTCCTGTAAAAAGGCACAAGGAAGGTAGCTGTGCAGAGCTAGAAATGAAGATAGCACTCAAGCCACAGTGGTAAGCAAGAGTGGAAACCAAACTGCCAATGCAAGCCTTGGGCCTGGTCTCACGTCCACTGAGGGCTGCTGGTTAAGGCCAGTGAGAGACAAGAGTCATGGCCACAGGCCCTTTCTGAATGGGATCTGGAACTGGGCTTCCATCATAACAATAAGAGCTAAGAAGGGTCTGTCCCAGTCCATGAAGGGGAAATGGAAATCTCTGCCCACCAGCCTAGACATGGAGCCCAGAGAGTAAGCAGCCCAGACTAAGCCAGAAGGACACAGGGCTCCAGGAAAACAAGGAACCAGTGGAAGGTAGGATGCAACTGACTAGATCAAACACTGTGTGGAGGGCTTGTTGGAAGAGGTAGGTGGGATGGGCCATAGGCACAGAGGAAACTCAGCAGATGACAGAAGAAAGCAAGGCCACTACTAACTCCAGGAAAAATAAAGAGAAAACCTAAGCAGAGTTCACTACTTGACTCAGCAGAGAGTTATAGTACAAATTATAATAGAGACATCAACTTAAACAAAAATGAGGAAATTGCTCATTTGGGAAGACAGAAGAAGAGATGGTAGGGTGGGGCAGGGAGCATTGGATAAGAGCAAAACCCTCATTCTCCAGTAACATCTCACCATGTATAAAGCTGCTAAACCAAGGAGGAGCAGCAAGAGCACATAATTGAGAAGTATGGAGAGAGCTAAGACAAAAAAAAATGGGTGAAAGCTTTGAAAGAAGCTGACGCTAGGGCCGTAATGGAGGAGCAAAGGAGGGCCAGGGCTTGGTGAGTTCCACAGAGACAATAGTTTCTACAGATTCTACAGTTTCAGTATTTAAACTGTACTAACTTTGGGGGTTCTTTTTGTTTCTTTTATCTATGTATCTGTATTTCTTTGGTAACTATTAAAATAAAGAAACACACTAGAATTCCAAACTAAAAATAACAGGCTGAGGGCAGTGGCTCACACCTGTAATCCCAGCACTTTGGTAGGCTGAGGTGGGCGGATCACCTGAGGGCAGGAGTTTGAGACCAGCCTGGTGAAACCCTGTCTCTACTAAAAATACAAAAATTAGCCAGGTATGGTGGCATGTGCCTACAGTCCCAGCTACTCAGGAGGCTGAGGCAGGAGAATCACTTGTACCCAGGAAGCAGAGGTTGCAGTGAGCTGAGATCGCGCCACTGCACTTCAGCCTGGGTGACAGCGAGACTCCATCTCAAAAAAATAAATAAAAATAAATAACAAAGAAAAATACACATTCCCATCAAAAATCACCATTATCTGGGACATTGCAAAATACTTTGGACACATCATCAATTAAAGAAGGGATCAAAATGGAAACCACAAAATGTTTTAAATTGAATGATAATGAAAACACTGTCAATGAAAATTCCTGGATGTAGCTTACATGGTACGTAGAATGTTATAGCCTTCAGATCATATATCAAAAAACAAGAAAGTGACTTTTGCCAAGTGAAGAATCTACAGATGTCTTAAAGTTTCTCTTTTGCGCTGACCTGCAATTTCTAGTTTTCTTTGTTTTTTTTTTGTTTTTTTTTTTAAAGACGGAATCTCTCTCTATCGCCCAGGCTGCAGTGCAGTGTCACTACCTCGGCTCACTACAATCTCCGCCTCCCGGGTTCACACAATTCTCCTGCCTCAGCCTTCTGAGTAGCTGGGACTACAGGCGCCCGCCACCATGCCCGGCTAATTTTGTATATTTTTAGTAGAGATGGGGTTTCACCATGTTAGCCAGGATGGTCTTGATCTCCTGACCTCATGATCTGCCCAGCTCGGCCTTCCAAAGTGCTGGGATTACAGGCGTGAGCCACCGCACCCAGCTCTTTTTTTTTTTTTTTGAGACGGAATCTCTCTCCATCGCCTAGGCTGGAGTGCAGTGGTGCGATTTTGGCTCACTGCAACCTCCGCCTCCAGGGTTCAAGCAATTCTCGTGCCTAAGCCTCCGTAATAGCTGGGATTACAGGCACATGCCACCATGCCCAACTAATTATTGTATTTTTAGCAGAGACGGGGTTTCACCATGTTGGCCAGGCTGGTCTTGAACTCCTGTCCTCAGGTGATCTGCCCGCCTCGGCCTCTCAAAGTGCTGGGATCACAGGCATGAGCCACCATGCCTGGTCGGCAGTTTCTGGCTTTCTTTTTTTTTTTTTTTTTTTTTTGAGACAGAGTCTTGCTCTGTTGCCCAGGCTGGAGTGCAGTGCTGCAATCTTGGCTCACTGCAACCTCGGCCCCCCGGGTTCAAGCTATTCTCCTGCCTCAGCCTCCTGAGTAGCTGGGACTACAGGTGCCCACCACCACACCTGGCTAATTTTTTGTATGTTTAGTAGAGATGGGGTTTCACTGTGTTAGCCAGGATGGTCTCGATCTCCTGATCTCGTGATCCGCATGCCTTGGCCTCCCAAAGTGCTGAGATTACAGGCGTTAGTCACTGCACCCGGCCCATTTTCTGGCTTTCTAAGGAAGCTGCCTTCAGTTTTGCTTGCGTTTCCTGTTGTTTCTCTCAGAGCCATTCTGCCCAGGAGAGCCCTCGCCCACCATGGGATCTTCTGTGAAATCAGTTGCCTGACCTGTACCGTGCCCAGGTGGCCTCGGGTGTGTGTCAGCCTCCCGGTGGTGGTCCCAGAGCCAGGGCCTGCCTCTTGAGATCACCTGAGGTGATGCATGGGAAGTGCTGAGCAGGGCACCTGCCTCTGGGGGGCCATGGATGGTCCTGCCATTGTGGCCATTGGGAACCAGAGGGTGAGAGCAGGTGGCCAGCAGACCACCCCACTCAGAGCCACAGCCCAGCTCCTGCCCACTCCCCACAGGGACAAAGCCAGGTAGGGCAGCAATGAGGCTGCCCAGCCTTGGACAGCCTGGGCCAGGCATTGAACCATCCCGGGAGCCAGGTGTCCACCCAACCCCACCTTGGGCTCACACCCAGAGTGTGACAGGGCCTGGCCCAGGTCCCAGGCTAGGGAGACAAAGCTGGCTCTCTCGGGCTCCCTTTCCTGCAGGAGACCCCTGGCAGCCCATGCCCAGAGACACAAGGACCTTGGAGGCTGAGGGCGCAGCAGCAGGATGTTGGGCCCGAGGGAGGGAGGGGCACAGAGGCCTCGACACCCTCAGCAGCCCGTGGCCTGGCTCTGAGGACGCATCCACAGCCTGTGGACAGCCAGGGGGACACTGGTGAGGCCCAGCCTGGGGGGCCGTGTGCTGAATTGAAGAGCCAGTGTGGGCACCCAGCCCTGCCACCCTCACCCACTGAACCCTGTCCTGGGGGCATCCTGTGCAGCCCTGGATTGTGCGCTGTGCTGGTCATAGCTGCCCGGGGCTGCAGCCACACCACGCCACGCCACGCCACCCCAGTCATTCGCCGCCACCTCCCTGCGTGCCCTCGGCACTTCACTGAGCCCGGGACCCCCAGGCCAGAGATCACTCTTGACTTAGCTGAAGCGGTTGTGTGTCAAACAGTGGGGACAGAGCGAGAGCCAGGGACCCAGCCGCGGCCTGGGCATCACCAGCATCCTCCGAGGCCCTGGCTGCTGTCCTTTACCCGGCACACAACACTGAGCACCACGAGGTGGGCACAGGGGACCCAATGGGGGCAGAAGGGTGCTGTCCTTGCCCACACAAAGCTTTCAGCCAGCACTTCTCGAAGTGGGGGACCATCCCCGCAGTGCTTTCCAGGGGCCCAAGCTGTGGCACTGTTGGTTGCAATGGCAGAACCTCATAAGTCATCACAGGCACTGTGGGACCCTGGTGCCAGGACTGGTTTCCCTCAACATGCTGAGCCAGGTGGCATTACCGCCACGTGCAGACCAGAGCATGCTGAGGCTCAGGGCAGCCTGGGACCTACTGGGGCAAGCGGCTGGTCGGGGCGGGAGGTCAGGTGAGGGCAGGGTGTGTGTGAGGGCCAGACCTCGGGGGCCCAGTGGTCCCAAGGGCAGCGGGGGCTCCTTCACGCAGGTCCTACCCTTCAGTCACCCACGGCACCTGCCCGCAGCCACCTTCCCGCTACTCAGAGGGGGTGCAGCCTCCAGGCTCAGACCAAGCCATCCCAGGGGCCCAACCCCTCACCTCCTGCTCTCCGCCTCTGCATGGACGCCCCTTGCCCCCATCCTCACCCCTCCCCATCAGCAGCAGGATACAGCCCCTCCCGCTGTCTAGGGCCATGGCCCCTCAGCCACCCTTCCTGAGAGCAGGATCTGCCCCACACTGGGCTCCCGGCACCACCCTTGGCCCCCTCAGGGAACCCCCACCCACCCCGTTCTCCTGCTTAAGGGTTTGAGGGCAAAGTCCAAGACGCTGCCAGGGACCCCTGCCAGTGTTCTGCCCTCCTCAGGCCCGAGGGCTGGCCTCCCCCTCCTCCTAGTGGGACTCCCGGTCACCCCCTCCTTGTCAGGGGCTGGCTGCCTTCCCAGCAACAGGCCGTGAGCTGACCAATGGCTGGCCTGGGCCTGGTGAGGTGCAGCTGTGCTAGGCCCTACTGCTGGCGGGACACAGGTCCCCAGGCCAGGTGCCCCTTGGCACTGTGTTTGGAGGGATGGCTCCCTCTTGGCTGGGGGCACTGCCCTGAGGACCCGTGCTGTCACCCAGGCCCCACGCGCCGCCCAGAGGCCCTTGCCCCTCTCGGCTCCCGGGGTCCCATTCCAGGAATGAAACTGGGCTGGGCCAGCCACACAGTGTGGGCGCCTGTGCAGCAGGCGGAGGGGAAGCACAGGGTGGGGCCAGGACTCCGAAAGGGAAGGGAGGAAGGGCAAGGGCGGCCGCGGGCACTGGGTCCAGCCCTGCCTCAGGGCCATCCTCAGCGCAGCATCCGTCCTGGTCTGTTTCTCAGGGTGGAAGGGCAGCTGGCACTGGGGGAGATGGCACTGCCTCCACCCATCCACCCCTCTAAGGCCCCCAGAGCTTCTCCCGGGGGTCTTGGGTGACTTAGGCCCCTTCCTCTGACATCTCGGGCCTGCTGGTGCCTGCTAGTGGGGGAGTGGGGTGGGCCTGACCCCACATCCTGCTTGGCCAGGCACCCACAGGCCAAGTGACCAGCACAGCCACCCCAGGCCTTGCCATACACTGCACCACCACGGCCTTCGCTCCCTCCCAGGCCCTGCCCATCCCCTGCCAGTGTGGGAGCCCCAGGTTGCAAAGGCCCGGGGCCCCTCTCTCCTCAAGGCAGGGCCCAGGCTCCTCGTAAGCCTGAGCCACACTTGGCTTCCCGAGCAGGCCCCTCCCGCCCCTGCCGTCATTTCTGGCAGGCCCTCTGCGTGAGCTCACGCGTTACATAAGGCATGCGAGCTATGTCTTGGGGGAATGAGAAACCCCTACACAGGGCTCTATGTCCCCTCGCCCTCTCCAGTCAAGGCCACCACAAGCCAAGGGAGGTCTGGGCGTGAGAGGTGAGACCCCGTGCTCCCCCTGCCCTGGGTGGAGGAAGGGGGTGCCCTGCCACCCTGAGAACAATGGTGTGTGCAGAAGAGAAGGGACTGAAACTCTTTGAAGATGTTCCAGGATTTAGCACCCAGGGAGCGGCGGAGACTCAGCCCCACCAGCCTCCGGCACGGAGGGAGGAAAGCGTTCCCCAGGCTGCTCAGGAGAACGTTTGTTGCTGTAGTGGGCAGTCACCTTCCAACCGGGGACAGTCACCCCCCTGCTCGGGGACAGTCACCCCCCCGCTCGGGGACAGTCACCCCCCCGCTCGGGCACAGTCACCCCCCTGCTCGGGGACAGTCATCCCCCCGCTCGGGGACAGTCACCCTCCCGGAATGGGGCTTCCTTTCTCGGGGCTGGGAATCACCCTGGATCCCTCCCCACTCGGGGTGCTCTTGGGCCATCTGAGGGCTCCTGGGTCACTCTTGGGCCTTCTCAGGGTTCCTGGGTCATTCTTGGGCCATCTGAGGGTTCCTGAGCCCAATGACACTTCTGCCTAGGCTCGCGCTGCGGGAGGAAGCAGCCAGGCGAGGTCCCCTCCGTGCCCCGGTGCAGCCTGGCCTGGGAGAGAGGAGCCCCCAGCGACACCGAGAGCCAAAACAGGGCAGAGTTTCTCAGAGGTGGCACCCGGCCAGGGAGCCCCTCGCGGCTACAGGGTTTCTCCACGGACTCGGCCATCTGGGGAGAGCAGCCCAGAGCCCTCGAGCCTCCTGCTGTATTCTGTGGCCTGGGACTTGGGGGGACCCATTGAGGACACTGGGACGCAGCCAAAGGGAGGTGCAGACAGTGTGTACTGGCGTTTCCGGGGACCAAGCCCAGAAGGAGCAGGACGGCCACCTCCTGGCCTGGAGGAAAATCCTGCTTCCTGGCAAGAAAACCACCCCTAGAGGAATAGGACTGGGGTGCAGGACGCTTTCTCAGGCAACCGCCCCTTTCCTTCTCCAAAACTGGGGCAGGAAAAGAGCATTCAGGCCAGGCAGCGAAAACCCCAGCTCTGGTACCTCCCGCCCCAGCAGAGGCCGCCTGGAGGCACGGAGTTCCGGCCTGGATGAGGCCTGGGAAGCCCAGCGACTCACAGGCCACGGCCGCTTCCCCTCTCCGAGGAAGGAAAAGTCCCTGCAGCGCGGCCTCGGCTAAGGCTCCGGTGCCCAAGCAAAGGAAGGGAGCGTGCTTGCAGACGCCTCCTGCTGGGAGCCTGCCACGCCCGCCACACCCTGCGCGGGGACAAAGCTCTCCGTGGCTGTGGCAGGGACACACCGCGTGTGGGTGGCTGCAAGCCAGCAGCCCCGAGCGGCCCCTCCCGCTAGACTCCCAGCCTGGGCCCTCTGTCCTCCAGGCAACGAGAACATGGATGCCTCGCTTTTCAGAGACTCGCGTTCTTGGAACTTACACCCTTTTGGGTTTGCTATTTTTACCCACCCTGAGCCTTCCGGTCTCCATGGCGACGCCTCCAAACAGCAGATTCCAGGCGGCAATGACGTCATCTCTCCCTTTCCTGCCGCCCAGGCCTTGGAGGTACTGCTGCCTGGGGCCGGGGGTGGGGGTGGGGGGGCTGCAGGGCTTCCCTGGCCCCCTCCCATACCCACCTGGTGCTCCCCCAACCAGAGATCCAAGGCCTGTGGGCCACGGCTGCGCCTCTCCTGACTCCAGCTTGCCCGTCTGTCCTTGGGGGCAGCGTCCTTCCTTCTCTCGGCCCCTTGGAGCAGCTCTGCGGGAACCCCACAGCAGCCCAGCGGATTGAACGCAAAAGACAGCCACCCTCCTGCTCCGGATCCTGGGAGGAGGCTACACGCTGGCGCTGAGACAGCAACCTGCCTGGCCTGGGAAGCCCCCCGCAGCCCCTACATCAGAAGCTTGCTCTTGGCGCAGTGGCTCACGCCTGTAATCCCAGCACTTTGGGAGGCTGAGGCGGGCGGATCACGAGGTCAGGAGATCGAGACCAACCTGGCTAACACGGTGAAACCCTGTCGCTCCTAAAAATACAAAAAAACAAATTAGCTGGGCGTGGTGGCGGGCGCCTGTAGTCCCAGCTACTCGGGAGGCTGAGGCAGGAGAATGGTGTGAACCTGGGAGGTGGAGCTTGCAGTGAGCCGAGATCACACTACTGCACTCCAGCCTGGGCGACAAAGCAAGACTCCGTCTCAAAAAAAAAAAAAAAAAAAAGCAGCAGCTTGCTCTCGGCCAGGCACGGTGGCTCACGCCTGTAATCCCTGCACTTTGGGAGGCCGAGGCAGGTGGATCACCTGAGGTCAGGAGTTTGAGACCAGCCTGGCCAACATGATGAAACCCCGTCTCTAATAAAAATATAAAAAACTGGCCGGGCACGGTGGCTCATGCCTGTAATCCCAGCACTTTGGGAGGCCGAGGCAGGCGGATCACAAGGCCAGGAGATGGAGACCATCCTGGCTAACACAGTGAAACCCCGTCACTACTAAAAATATAACAAAAATTAGCCGGGCGTGGTGGCGGGTGCCTGTAGTCCCAAGCTACTGGGGAGGCTGAGGCAGGAGAATGGCGTGAACCTGGGAGGCGGAACTTGTAGTGAGCCCAGATTGCGCCACTGCACTTCAGCCTAGGCAACAGAGCAAGACTCTGTCTCAAAAAAAAAAAAAAAAAAAAAAAAAAAAATATATATATATATATATATATATATATATATATATAAAATTAGCCAGGCGTGGTGGCAGGTACCTGTAATCCCAGCTACTTGGGAGGCTGAGGCAGGAGAATCACTTGAACCTGAGCGGCGGAGGTTGCAGTGAGCCGAGATCGCGCGACTGCACTCCAACCAGGGCAACAAGAGCGAAACTCCGTCTCAAAAAAAAAAAAAAAAAAAAGAAAGAAAGAAAAAGAAAAGAAAAGAAACTTGCTCCCAAGAGAGGCAGTGGCATGGCGGCAGGGGCCCAAGGAGCCCACAGATGGCCAGAGTAGGGGTATGGTGTACAGCACGGTCTGCTAGGCACCCGCCGTGGTGCCCAAGGGCATCCAGCCCCTGAGAGTGAGTCTGTCAGAACACCCTGGCCCCAGGTCGCACAGCTCTAGGGCTCCAGCCCGGGCAAGACAGGCGCTGCAGGGCCCGGCCCCACACCCTGGTCCCAATCAGGCATCTGGATAGGGGCAGCAGTCGCTAAGCCCAGGCCCAGGTCCCCCGCAGCAATCGCCAGCTTGCGTCCCTGTCTGGGACCACACTTTACCCAGCTGCCTCTGCAACGCCAGCCTGCAGTCTGCCCTCAGCCCAAATTGAGGATGGGGACACCTGGGGCTGGATGGCCACTGGTGACCAAGGTTGGGTGGGCAAGGCTACCCATTCCCAGGGTCACCCTCCAGGAGAAGAGCCCCAGCCCTGGTGCATGTGTGTGCTCTGCTGTGCATGCAGAGACCCACAGAAATGCCACAAGTCTTGGCAGTGTCTTGCAAAAGGGACTAGTGCTGCCCAGAAAGCTTCACAGCCCCCGGAGGGCAGGAGGAGCCCCGAGGAGCCACCCCCACCCAGCCCCCAAGGCCCCCTTACCTGGGGGGTTGCTGGGGTCTCATTGCCGAAGCAGAGCCTGTGACTAGATCAGCCCCACCCCCACCTGGCCTCCTCCCCAAAGCAGGCGTGGAGGGTAGGAGGGCAGGGTCTGGGGTGGGGGAGGCGGCAGGCAGGGCTGTGGGCGCCGTGGGGGGCTGGAGCTCTCAGCACAGGCTGGGTGAAGGTCACAGCCACCCCCTGTCCCGCCAGCACCCGGATGGGAAAAGAGGACCCTCAGCAGGTGTCCCACTGGCCGACATCGCCACTCCCAGAAACGATACAGAAAGAAGGTGGTTTCGAGGCTCACATTCCTACCCTCCCGCTTGATTTCAGGTGTGAAGTCCCAACTCGCCTCTGTCTGACACGGGCAGGCACACTCGCAGGTCTGGGCACGAGGCAGGCAGGTGAGCCGCCCATCTCCAGAGCCCCCAAAGACCCTGTCACAGACAAGGTGCCTGGAGAGCACAGCCACAGGGCACTAGGCAGGGCCTTTTCCCCCAGCTCCCCTCAGGACCCCCCACCCTGAGGCTGCATTCCAGGGTGAGGTGCTGGGAAGAGGCCTCTCAAGAGGGGGCCCAGTGGGACAGAGGCCCCGTGAGCGTTTCAGTGCCCAGGACAGGTTCTGTGCTCCCTGGATGGAACCTGGCTGCAGCAGGGATGTGCGTCCACTGAAGCGCCTCCTCCGACAAGCTCTGTCTGGACAGAAGGCAGGAGGGAGGCTGGAAGGCTGGGAGCCTGAAGGGTCCTGGGGGTGTGAGCAGGGCAGGAGGGAGGCTTCACGTGGAGGGTGTGGAGTTCCTGGACGAGTGGCCCATAGTCCTGCACAAAGTGGGGTGGCCGAACGCCACCAGCACCAAGCAGCCCCCCTGAACTTCGTGTGCCTCGGCCTGCTGCCCTCCCCCTGTTGGCTCAGGATCCAGCTGTCCCCGCTGAGCCCCACGGGAGGCCCCTGGCCTGAGCTCTGGTCAGCCAGATGTGTCCTGCCCGACAGGGTCCGGGTGCAGGCCAGGGGGCTGGGCCCTGAGGGCGCTGGGTGGGTGAGTGTGGAAATGGTTTCTTCTGTGGAGTTGACTACATGCCTCCCTACAGCAAGCACACGGACACAGCGGAGAGTTCCTGTTCTAGAGAGCTGGCAGCTTCCTTGGGAGAGCATAAAAAATTAAGTCTCCAAATGTTCTATGTTGGATGGGGGTCCATGTTCTTAAAAGGAATAGACGAGGGTAAGTCGAGAGGTGCTGAGTTGGAGGAGGGCTTCCTATGAGGTCCATCTCAGCAGCCCTAAAATGGGTGTGGGATAAGCTTTCGGGGCGGGGGCCAGCAGCGCAAAGGCCTGGGGGCAGGACGGTGCTTGGTCCCTGCAGGATGCATGCAGCAGGTGGGGGACGGAGTGGTAAGAGAGGACGCGAGGGAGGGGGTGGCAGATGGTGGGTAGAGGACACCGTGCCTGTTTGCTGTTGACCTCCAGCTTTGCTCCCCTGGGGAACCCGGCCTGGGGGGCTCTGCTCCTAACCTGGGAGGCTCTTGACAGGCCAGGGTGGAGCAGCTGCTGGGTGCAGTGAGTGGGGTCCGGGCTTTGTGCCTCCTGCAGCTGTGAGGGCTCCCTGAGGTGCTTGAGCCCATGACTCCCCATCCCTCCACTTCCCTGCTGGGAAAACTGAGGGCCCAATAAGCGGAATCGATTCAAAACAGATGAGGCTATTTTTTTTCTGAACACTTTGTTTCCAGTCCCACCCCTAGCCTGGCACAGAGCTGGAGTGACTGGCTGAGGGGAGGGCTCTCGCCTGGCCCGGCCCAAACCCCTCTGGGGCCCCTGGCTGGCCCCTCCCAAGCCTGCCCAGGGAGCTGCTGCCCACAGGCTTACCCGCTCTGGCCGAGCATGGGGGTTACATAAACAGGCACATTCGTGACTCCAAAGGGCGAGGCAAGAGGCTGCAGGGACCCAGGTATGGGCTCAGGGTGCTGGGGCCACCTGTACCAGCAGCTGCCCCACAGATGCTGCAGGGAGGGGCCTGGTACTCACCCCCTCCCAGCACCTTCCGCACGCGGGTCCACCTCCAGGCCAGGCACTGCCCTGCGGGCTCTTGTCGCCATGAGTAATGTTTAACTTGGAAGGGCCCGTGGACAACTGCAGGGGAGAAGTTAACAACAAGTTTGGATTGCAATCCGCTTGCCAGGAGGGGGGCAGAGAGAGGAAGGGAGGGAGACAGGGTAAAGTTGAGAGGAAGAAAAGAGACCAGAAGGCGGGCTGGAGGACGTGCACTGCAGGGAGGCAGGGCTGAGAGGACACCCCTGGCCTGGGACCCAGGGCCATGGTCTGTGTGCAGCCAAGGCCCCGGGCTCCCAAGAAGCCCAGGCCCTAGGGCCAGGTGCCCGTTGTGCCCAGGGGTGGGAGCTCTGAGGCTGACTCCCTGGCAGTCACCCCCCCAGGCAGGGGCTGAGCCTCCCACGCCTCAGTTTCCCCTGCAGAAAACACCCTGCATCCAAGACGGGCCTTGGTGTCCAGCCCTGGGGCGGAAACACCGCACGCATGTCCACACACGTGCAGGCACGCGGGCACACACAGGCTCACATGCCTGCACGCATGCGCGCGCGCACGGACACACACACACACACACACACACACACACACACACACACACACACGGGTGTTACCAAAACGGCCCCGCCTGAATCGCTGAGGCCTCGACCCAAGGCCGGAAAAGTCCATGACGCTGGAGCAGGGATGAGGTCCCATTCCAGCAGGCTGGGGGAGGGCCGCCGCACTGGAGCCGGGACAGAGCTCTCCCCAAACAGAGGCCTCCTGCAGCACAAACCCCGGCCTTTTGTGGGGTCAGTGCCCACAGGGTTGAGCACCACGTGCCTGGCTGGGCAGTGCTCCTGCCAGGGTCCCCTTCTCCACTGTAGGAAACACGGCTGCTCCTGCAGCCGCGTCTGCTCTGCTGCATCTCCAGCTCCTGCCAGGCATGGTGTGCGCGGCCCCAAGACAGGGAGTTTCCAGTGCGTGAGTGGGAGTCCGGGCCCCGGGTAGGGCCGATGCCGAGTGGGCGACGGGGAAGGAGAGCGTTGGGCCAGGGATCAGGAGCACACGGCTCCTCTCCCGCCTCCATCTCCGACAGCCCAGATGACCTGGGGGCAGCTCCCTGACCTTGCGGGCTCACTGTTCTCACCTAGAAAAGAGGAGAGCAGCTTTGACTGTCTTCAGCCTCTCCCAGCTCCAGTTATCTACCAGACCACGCCCAAGAAGGCCGGCGAAGGGTGGGGGTTCATCCTCTGAAGGATTAAGGGGACAAGACACCCTGGATGCACAGGCCATGTGGGCCTGCCCAGCTCTGCCCCCACCAGGACCCAGCTCTGCCAGCAGACTGGGAACCTGGGGCACCAGCTCCCTTGGGCCAGGCAAAACATCACATCCACCCCTCACCGGCCCAGCCCTCACTGGCCCCCCACTCACCTCCATTCCAGAATACAACACCTCTCTCTGCCCAATCAATGTTTTTTCACAAATGTGGACTTCGACAGGAAACAGTGCCCTCCTCCCCTGACCTTGCCGTGTTTTCGGGTTTGTCCCTGGGCAAGTCTCCCCTCCTCCTGGACAGAGTGCAGGTCACCGATCTGAGGCAGGGAAGAAGCTGGCTGCATGGGGAGCCACACCTCCCAGGCAGGAGGCCGTGGCCTGGGGCTCGTGGGCCAGGGGTCCCAGAGCCTTTTTTTTTTTTTTTTTTGAGACAGTCTCGCTCCGTTGCCCAGGCTGGAGTGCAGTGGCGCCATCTCAGCTCACTGCAAGCTCCACCTCCCTGGTTCACACCATTCTCCTGCCTCAACCTCCCGAGTAGCTAGGACTACAGGCACCTGCCACCACGCCTAGCTAATTTTTTGTATTTTTAGTAGAGACAGGGTTTCACCGTGTTAGCCAGGATGGTCTCGATCTCCTGACCTCGTGATCCGCCCGCCTCGGCCTCCCAAAGTGCTGGGATTACAGGCGTGAGCCACCACGCCCGGCCCCCAGAGCCTTAGTCTCAGAATCACACCCACCCCACGGTAGGTGCTCAGAGCGACCTTTTCCCACTTCTGGGATCCCTGCAACTGTTTTTTCACTGGAGTTAAACAGTTTCGTTTTATACCTCCCAGCCCAGGGCGTCTGTCACAGCTTTCCAATCCATGAGCCCATCAATCGGACTGGACACAGATAAACTGGGACAGGACGCCGGGTGGCAAAGGCCGGGAGAGCTGGGCCACTCCCTCCAAAAGGTACCTCAGACCGGGGCTGTGCAGGGCTGCAGGAGACACAGGGGGACCCCGTATGGCCCGTTAGAGACAGGGTCTCCCGGATGGCAGATTCCTGTAGCCTCTCTTCCTCCTTCACGCTTTGTTTCTTAAGGGGGAAATCGACCATTGCTGCCTTTCCACAGACAGGTGGGTGAGTACCAACAGGGAAGTGAACTAACAGGGAAAGGCCCTGCCCCCCTCCCATGCTAGAGTGGCCATGCGAACGTAATGATGGAGCCCCAGTGCAGGGACGCCCCTCTCCTGCCTGGGCCCTAATTGGCACGGCACCTGCAGGCCGAGCCCTGGGTCCCCATCCCTGCCGAGAGCTCGGCTCTCAGATCAGACCGAAAAGGAATGAAGACCTTTTAAGGCTTCGGACAGGTGTGCGGACAGGTGGGCCGGGGCCCGGGTAGGGGGCGCAGGCCCGTGTCTCCCGATGCCCTTCCCAGCCTCCCCCTGCGCTTCGCCGGCGATCTGGGCACAGTGGCGGAGGGACTCCCGCGCACATGGGAGGAGGGCGGCTCAGCCTTCCAGTCCCCGGGCGCGCCACTGAGGCCTGCGGCGCAGCGGGGGCACCCGCAGAACGCCCGGCCCGGACCGTGGGCGTACACCGTGCGGCGACGCGCTCGTGGCTTGCATGTGGCGTCCACCTTGAAACGAAGCAGGCTCGACGCTGGAAACTCGTTTCACCCGCCCCTTCGCCGTCCGCAGGCGGCGACTGCACGCTCAGAACCCCCCGCGCGCTTCCCACGCCTCTTGCACGGCCGCCCCGGAAGCGCGCTCGCCCTGGAGGTCGCAGAACGAGCGGCGCGCGCCGGGCTGGGCCTGTGGACCTGGAGGAAATTGAAGCGGCGAGGTGGCTGGGACAGGCTCCCCTCGCGGGGCTCACGGGGACGGCTGCCCCAGGCTGGGCGCCGAGGACACAGCTGGGGCGGGGTGGGGCGGAACGTGGGCGGGACCCTGCGGGGCGGGGCTTGCTTGTGTGGGTGGTGCCCATGAGGGGCGGGGTGTGGGCGCTGCCTGGAAGGACGGTGGCACTGGGAGGGGCGGGGCAAGGGAAGGGCCAGAAGGAGGAGCGGGGGCGGGGCGTAGGGGGCCGGAAAGAGGGGCGGGGCGTGGGGGGAGCCCGGGGGAGGGGCGGGGATTGAGGGGTGGGGCGTGGGGCGCCTGGGGGGCGGGGCTTGAGGGGCGGGGCGTGGGGGAGCCCGGGGGAAGGGCGGGGCTTGGGGACGGGGCGTGAGGGAGCCTCGTGGGAGGGGCGGGGCGTGGGGAGCCCGGAGGGAGGGGCGGGGCTTGAGGGGCGGGGCGCGTGGCGCCCGGGGGGCGGGGCGGGGCTTGAGGGGCGGGGTATGGGGGGCCCGAAGGGAGGGAGGGGGGCTTGAGGGGCGGGGCTTGAGGGCGGGGCGTGGGAGGTGCCCGGGAGGAGGGTCCGGCAGAGGAACCAGGCTGGAGAGCTAGCTCGGGTCTGAGGTGGGGTGAGCCGGCGGCGGGAGGAAACCAAAGGCGGCGGCTGGCTGAGCCTGCAGCTCACTGCTGATTTACCCAGGACCCTGCTCCGGAGGGGTCGTAGCCAGTTTAGCACAAGTCCATCATCCGCTAGTCCTGAAGGCGCTGGGCAGTGGGGTCAGGGGCAGTGGGAGGGAATCCACCCGGCTGACGTCCTGCGGGTTCTCCGGCTCCCGGGGGCTCGGCGGCGGGCGGGGCCCTCAGAGCAGGCCACAGGGCTGTGAGCTGTGAGGGGCGTCTGAGGTCCAAGCTGACGCCCGGAGCCACCGGGATCGCCAAGTCACGCCCCACGTGGCCTGGCGGCTTTTTCCTGGTCCTCCCAATCCCTCAGCCAAAGGCTCTCATTATGTGGAGAAAGGAAGTCACTATTTGGGAGAACTGACCGTCCCCAGGGCACGTCCCAGAAGGGGGCAAATCCCTCTGAGGAAGCGCAGGAGATTCACAGGCAGCCTCTATGCGTGCACCTCCATTCAGGATGTGCCAGGACGGCAGACCACGGCTCACGATGCTGGCAGGACCAACAGCCGGGCACCTGGGCCTGGGGTCACCGGAGGGACACTGGCCGCACACGCGGGCTGCAGAGATAGTGACCATGGGCAGTGCAGCCGCTGGGTGTTGGCCTGTGAGGCCGTCTGTGAGGGTCTGTGGAGGCCAGCAAGGGGCTTTCACATCTGAGAAGCGCATGGGGACCCGAGATGGCAGGAGCTGGCCTCACCAACTGCCCAGATGTGAGCTGGCTCTCCCAGGCTGGAGGGGCTGCCCCAGGGTGCTCGGAGAGCCAGGCACTTACTTCACTCCCTGACCCCGATCCCCAGTGGGAGGTCAGTGGGTGCCACTAAGTCCTCCCCAACCCCACCGGGCGGCAGCATACAAAAACCTGGGTTCACATCCAGCTTGGCCGCTCACTGTCATGACAAGTGGACAGATGCCCCGGGCCTCAGTTGACCCATCTGTAAGTGGGGCCACGCGACAGCACCTCTGTCACAGGGCTGGGTGTGGGGTGAACAGGCTGGTCCCTGGAGGCAAGTAGTGTGGTGCCCTGAGGCCTGAGGCCAGGCTCCAGGACCGCTCAAGGAACAGGGGATTTGAGGCAACTCAGAGAGGACAGGCCCAGCAGCCGGCCCCAGCCTGATATCTTCCCTCCGCTCAGGCCCCAGACGCAGCTGCATCCTGGAGTCCTTCTGAGAAATGTGGGACCTGCCCCAGCTCCACCCCAGGTGAGGGGCACCAGCCAGCTCCAGAGCTGCCTACCTTCCCTGTCAGGTGCACAGGTCAGCGCCAGGCCAACCCCAGAGCGAGAACACCTGTGCTGGACTGAGCTGGAGCAGCAGGGTGGCCTGCACCGGTGAGGCTGCCAGGAACAGTCAGTGCAGCTGTGCCCAGGCCTGGGCAGGGCAGCCATGGGTGGGCCCTGACTGCGGAGGGGTGTCCAGAGAGCCTGCCCCACTATGGAGAAGCCTGGGGGGAAGAAGGCGGCAGAAGGGAGGGCGGGGCTTGTCTCAGCGGCCACTCTCTGGCCTGTCGGGATCCTAGCTGTGCCTTGGCCCCACCTGGGCTGCAGGCGAAGGGCCTGTTCTGAGATTCTGCTGGGCATCAGGCCACTACTTCCAGCGGCCAGATAGCTTCCTGGGGCCTCGGGACCCTGGGCTGCCCTCTGGCCCCGGGGAAGGTTGCCAGGCCATGGGCAGGGAGAAAAGCAGAAGGGGGATGGGAGGGTGAGGAGAGTCTCAGCCAGTGTCCCACTCGGATGGACAGCACTGTTGTCCAGTCACCAGCTGGCTGGGAGGACGGCTCCCACTGCAGGATGGACCCCAGGGAGGAGGATGGAGCTTCATGTCAGACATCATCCCTCACACCACAAAGTCGGAAATTGCTCACCCAGAAGTGGGGGTATATGGCACTTTGGGAGGCCAAGGCAGGAGGATTGCTTGAGGCCAGGAGTTTGACGAGACCAGCCTGGACAATATTATGAGACCCTATCTTTACAAAAAATAAAATTAGCCAGGGCCTGGTGCAGTGGCTCATGCTTGTAATCCTAGCACTTTGGGAGGCCGAGGGAAGAGGATCGCTTGAGCTCAGGAGTTCAAGACCAGCCTGGGCAACATGGCAAAATCCCATCCCGTCTCTACAAAACAAAACAAAACAAAAAATTAACCAGGTGTGGTGGCTTGTGCCTGTAGTCCCAGCTACTTGGGAGGCTGAAGTGGGAGGATTTCTTGAGCCAGGGAAGCATCAGTTGCAGTGAGCCGAGATCATGCCACTAGACTCCAGCTTGGGTAACAGAGGGAGACTCTGTCTCAATAAATAAATAAAATAAAAATAAAGAGGTGTTGAGGATTGCTTGAACCGAGGAGGTGGAGGTTGCAGTGAATCGAGATTTCGCCACTGCACTCCAGCCTGGGCAACAGTGCAAGACCCTGTCTCTAAAACAAAAACAGAAGTAGGGTTGTTGGCTGTCACTTAGCTGGGGCTCGTGGTGATGGGGTCCGGTGGCACATATGGAGGGCATAGCTGGAAGGAACAGAGGCCACCTCCTCCTCGGGTACCTGGTAGGGGAGAGCAGCCCTGGGCCAAGGCCACACGGTGCTGGGGTTTGCAGGACAGCCCGGAGTCTGCACAGGGGCCTCCTGGAGCCTGGTTCTCCAAACAGTCCCTGAGGGAGCACCCAGGGGAAAAGAGAAACAGAAAATCAGGCCCATTTTTGGGCCATAACTTTCAGGCCACTTTTTCTTTTTCTTCTTCTTCTTCTTTTTTTTTTTTTTTTGAGACAGAGTCTCGCTCTGTCGCCCAGGCTGGAGGGCAGTGGCACTATCTCGGCTCACTGCAAGCTCCGCCTCCCGGGTTCACGCCTTTCTCCTGCCTCAGCCTCCCAAGTAGCTGGGACTACAGGTGCCCACCAGCACGCCCAGCTAATTTTTTGTATTTTTAGTAGAAACAGGGTTTCACCGTGTTAGCCAAGATGGTCTCAAGCTCCTGACTTCGTGATCCGCCTGCCTTGGCCTCCCAAAGTGCTGGTATTACAGGCATGAGCCACCGCGCCCAGACTTTTTGTTTTTTTTGAGTTGGAGTTTTGCTCTGTCACCCAGGCTGGAGTGCAGTGGCACAATCTTGGCTCACTGCAACCTCCGCCTCCCAGGTTCAAGCAATTCTCCTGTCTCAGCCTCCCACATAACTGGGACTATGGGCGCACGGCACCACGCCCGGCTAAATTTTGTATTTTTAGTAGAGATGGGGTTTTACCATATTGGTCAGGCTGGTCTTGAACTTCTGGCCTCAGGTGATACACCCGCCTTGGCCTTCCAAAGTGCTGAGATTTGACAGGTGTGAGCCACCGTGCCCAGCCTCAGGTCCCTTTCTCTAAAAGTCAGCAATTCTACCAGATGAACAAAGAAGACCTAAGCCCCCGGCGGTGCCTTCTTGCTCCCTGCCCACGGGTGTCCCAGTCCTTCCAGGCTGTGCCTTCGAGCCTACAGAGGTCGCTCACCGTGCGTGTCCCTGACCCTCTGGAGGATGCGCAGGGCCCAGGCCACCCACTGTCCTTATTTTCCAACACAGGGGCAGCGAGGGAGGCGTTGGATGGAGCCACCCCACGGCTCCTCTGTGAAGGTCTGCACGTCACTCAGAAAGTTGAAGCAAACCAAGCAGGGTTGGAGCCCACAGTTCACAGCCGGCTGCACAGGGGATGCACCAAGCACAGTTTCCTATGACAAGTGGAAACCTGTGCGCCACAGGTGAGCTGGGTCCTGGAAGGTGCAGGGACCAGGCAGCATCTCATCTCAGGACATCAAGGGCTGTCCCCAGCCAGCAGATTTCCCATAAAAACGTGCTGAACTGGGGACAAAGCTGATTCTACAGAGCCGAGAAGCCAGACCTTCCCTGGGGACTCCCGAGGGGGTCCCAGCCACCCTCTCCACCTGCAGAGGTTTCCTGGCCCACTTGGAGGACCTTGGGGGATCCTCCAAGGGCCCCCTTCCAGCTCTTGGCCCATGGGGGAGCCTCTTCCTCAGCTCCGGGTGTGGTGGACAGGAGACCGAGGGCTCCCCGCACCCAGCTGGGCTCAGCGTTTTCAAGCTGAACTTGGTGCGTGGCGGCTTGGAAAGCCGGGAGCCTGCTGCGTGTCTCCTGGGGCTGCTGTGAAAAAATGACCACACACTGGGAGCCTAAAACGAGTGACATGTATATTCTCACAGTTCAGGCAGCTGGTGTCCAAAATCAGTGGTTGGGAGGGTGGAGCTCCGCCTAAAGGCTCTGGGTGGCTGCTGCCTGCCCCTTCCAGCCCCGGGCCCCCGGCATTCCCTGGCGTGCAGCTGCTCCACCCCCAACCCCAAAGCCTCCTTCCTGTGTCTCTGTGTCCAAATTTTCCTTACCTTTTTTTTTTTTTTTTTGAGATAGAGTTTTGCTCTTGTCGCCCAGGCTGGAGTGCAACAGCACGATCTCGGCCTATCGCAACCTCCGCCTCCTGGGTTCAAGCGATTCTCCTGCCTCAGCCTCCTAAGTAGCTGGGATTACAGGTGCCCACCACCACACCCAGCTAATTTTGTATCTTTAGTAGAGATGGGGTTTCACGATGTCTTTCAGGCTGGTCTCGAACTCCTGACCTCACATGATCCACCTGCCTCGGCCTCCCAAAGTGCTGAAATTACAGGCATGAGCCACAGCACCTGGCCAATTTTCCTTTTCTTTCTCTCTCTCTTTTTTTTTTGAGACGGAGTCTTGCTCTGTTGCCCAGGCTGGAGTAAAATGGCACAATCTTGGCTCACTGCAACCTCTGCCTTCTGGGTTCAAGCGATTCTCCTGCCTCAGCCTCCCGAGTAGCTGAGACTACAGGCGCCCACCACCACACCCAGCTAATTTTTGTGTTTTTTAGTAGAGACGGGGTTTCACTATGTTGGCCAGGCTGGTCTAGAACTCCTGACCTCAAGTGATCTGCCCGCCTCGGCCTCCCAAAGTGCTGGGATTGCAGGCGTGAGACACTGCACCCGGACAATTTTCCTTTTCTTACAAGAACACTGCTCACACTGCATTCAGGGCCAACCCTAACCCAGTATCGCCTCATCCTGGTTTGATTATATCGGCACAGACCTTGCTTCCGAGCGAGGCCACTTTCTCAGGTACTGGTGGACATGAGTCTTCGGAGACGCTGCTCAACCCACAGTGCTCCTCCAGCTTGGTTTCTGTGACTTGCCTTCCCCAGAGGAGGGGTGCCCTGAGAGGTCTCCACTCCCTGACCGGCTCCTTGGTGCCGCGCACTCTGAGAGGCTTCCCAGGGAACAGAGCACACAGGACCGCCCTCCTGGGTAGACCAATCAGCATCTGAGCTCACAATTTCCCAGCAGGGCAGTGGGGTGGAGAGAGAAGCCTGGGCTGGGCTGGGCTGGGCTGGGCTGGGGAAGCTTCTCCGGGCGGGGGGACGTCAGAGCAGGATCTGGGGCTGATAAAAGCCCGCCCCTGGGTGGGGGCTGAGTGGTGCGGAAGCTGAGCCCGACACGTGGGGATGGAGGACAGGCTGTGGGAGGGTGTGAACCGGATACTGCTTGAAGGGGTGCTGGGGACTTTGAGAGAGGGCGGCTGGCCCTGTCTGGTCGGGGATGCTGGCCCAGACACAGGCCATGGCTGGGATGGGGTTCAGAAACAGGACCGCTGTCTCTCCCGGGCCAGGGCCCTCCCCAGCTGCTCCTGGCTTTCTGGTTCTTGGGGTCAGGGGCAGGCCTGTGCCATGACCCCGCCACTGAGGCTGTGAGGAGGCTGTCGGTGCCCAAGGGCACCAAGGCACACCCCTACTCTTGCACCCCATGTGTGGGCCCGAGCACCTGCTCTGCTGCCCCAAAGATCTGGCGATGTTTCCCAGGCAACTGTCTCTCACAGCCTGTCTGCCTGGCACTCCCGTATCCCATAAATGCCACCACATCTGGCTATGGGTGGGCGTGCCTGCCTGGCATCCACGGGCCAGCAGGTGTGGTGGAGCACAGCCCAGTTCCTGGCTGCGTCAGAAGGCTGCCCGGGCCTTTTGGCTGTCCTTGCCAGCAGGTGAGCACTGCCAGGGCACCGTGTGTGGGTGCTGGGCCATTTAGCCACATGGGAAGGGGTGGAGGCAGCCCAGTGCCTTCAGCATGTGCCCAGGGTGCCTGTCGGCCACAGGTCTCATTTGGAAATTGGGAGGGTGCACGGCCACCGGGCTGCTTAGGCCTGCCAGCCTCAGGGCCCGTCACCGCTGTCTTAGCCTGATTTGCAGGGTGTCAGCGCTGGGCAGAGATGAACATTTGGGTGACTCTGAGGATGCCAGTGGCTGGGACACTTGTTCTTCCGCGGTGGAAGGAGTTGGAGAGGCCTGGCTCCCTGACCTACGGCCAGCCTGGCTTCTGAAACCAGCTCAGTGGGCTGGGGCCTGATTCATCATCCATAAATGTGTCCTTTTTTGCCACAGAGGGTAAGGGGCCTCCTAGCCCACCGGTCTGCAGGTGCGGGAGTAGGAGATGGGTGGCTCTGATGCCCCCACCCACTCGATCACCTTCTGCTCTGCCTGGGATGCAAACTCCCACAGCTGAAACGTTCTTTTGTAAACATGAATTTTGGCTTAGAAAAAACTCATTTCCACTGTGCACGTGTCAGTCCCAACCAGAAATTATTTTCCAATAAAGCAAAACTCCGTCACCACAGCAGCAGATGGCTCCGAAGAAGTGGAGCGTTTTCATCAGGTTCAACTTTGAAACCTCCACCATCACCATCACCAGCACCGCTGTGTCATGCTGATAACTTGAGGACAGGCAGGACAAGGTATGTTTGTTGGAGGTGAACATGCTTCCTTGTCTTGAGAGTCTTGAGTGGCCGGTCCCCTTCCAGGCCCTCGGCTGGCAGGCAGCTGTCGGGAAGCTGTCAGGCGGGAGGGGATTGGGGGTCAGGCTTCCTGACAAGTGGAGGCACCCGCCACGTGCCCAGAGCAGAGGTCACCCCAGTGCCTTTCTCTGTGGACTTATCTCTGGCTGTAGGTCACAGGGGCCTGCCCCACTGCCCCCTCCCCAGTGGTGACATGGGAGGAGGGGAGATTAATCCAGAGCAGCAGATAAACTGGAGGGGAAGAGCCCCCAGGAGGACAACTGTGACACGTTGTGCTGCCTCTGCGTCCCCAAAGCACCAGGCCCAGAGGCCCTGCCTTCTGCCCCATGGCACTGGCCTGGGGCCCTGGCTCCTCTTCCCTGGTGGCCAAGGGTAAATGAGGCCCACTGGGGTGGCTAAGACTCAAGGGGATGGGGGCCCCCCAGCTTCAGTGATGCGGGCTGGAGCCAGGCTCAGCCAGCCCTGAGGTCCCCTGCAGGCCCGTGCCTCCTACCCTTGGGGCACCCGCAGCGAGAGCTTCCCAAGCAGCCTGCGCCAGCCGGGCAGCGCAGGTGTCCCGGGTCTGGGTCACTTGAGACCCCGCCCTGCTTCTGCTCGGCTCTGCCCCTCTTGGGCCCAGTGGCCAGGGCACCTGCATGGGGGAGCCGGGAGGGGCTGGAAGGATGCTGAAGACCCCAGCAAAGCTCTAGTGTTTGGCTTTCCAGGGGTGGGGGCTGGGTCCTCCCGCCCAGAAAGGCCCCTGTTCTGGGGCAGCAGCCACACACAGGTGTCCCTCACATGGTCCTCCAGGACAGGGCAGGGGCCTGAGTTTCCCAGGCTCTGCCCAAGGGACCCAGGCAGGGAAGGAGATGGGTCCCAGGGGGCTCGGAGCCCATCCAGAGGCCGGCCGGTCCCATGGCAGGAGGGCACTGGACCATGTGGGGGCCATAGAGGAGGAGGAGGCAGGAGCCACCCCCGGGTCCAACAGCAGAACCCTGGGGTTGGGAGCCAGAGTGGGGAAGGGAGAGGAAGGAGCAAGAACACCCCCCACCACCCCCAGCACGGCACAGAGAGCTGAGCAAACACTTGTCACCAAGGGCTTTTCTCCTCTGTCTTTTTTTGTTTTTCGAGACAGAGTCTTGCTGTGATGCCCAAGCTGTTGTGCAGTGGTGCGATCTTGGCTCACCACAACCTATGCCTCCTAGGCTCAGGTGGTTTTCGTGCCTCAGCCACCCAAGTAGTTGGGATTAAAGGTGTGCACCACCATGCCCGGCTAATTTTTGTATTTTTAGTAGAGATGGGGTTTCTGCATGTTGGCCAGGCTGGTCTCAAACTCCTGGCCTCAAGTGATCCTCCCGACTTGGCCTCCCAAAGTGCTGGGATTGCAGGCTTGAGCCACCACACCTGGCCTATTTTTTTTTTTTTTTGAGTTGGGGTCTGGAGTGCAGTGGCACGATCTTGCCTCACTGCAGCCCCCACCTACCTGGGCTCAGGTGATCCTCCCACCTTAGCCACCCAAGTAGGTGGGACCACAGGCACATGCCACCATGCCCAGCTAATTTTTTATTTATAGAGACAAGGTCTTGCCATGTTGCCCAGGCTGGTCTCAAACTCCTGGGCTCAAGCAATCTGCCTGCCTGGACCTCCCCAAGTCCTAGAATTGCAGGCATGGGCTGCTGGGCCTGGCCTTTTCTCCTGTCTTGGGAGGCTGGGACCAGTCTTCCTGGAAGTACCCAAGGCCCTCCTGCAGACCATGGTGACATTTCCAGGAAAGACCCAGAAGCTCGGAGCTGAAGCCAGGGCAGCCAGGACTGTCGGGGAGCCCTGGACACTGGCTGTCTGAGAGCGCTTGGTCAGCTGGCACCTGCCATGTGGTGGACGTGGGGCTGCAGAGACCCCACGGCTGGGCTTCTCTCGCCTGAGAGCAGGCCCAGCCACAGGCTACCTCCCACAGGGCCCCCTGAGACCACACGGCCTGCAGCAGCTCCCCCAGGCCCCCTCCCCCTGCCCGGGCAGCACTCAGCGCTGCATCTCCATCTGCTCACTCAAGTCGAAGGGCCTGGGGGTTGGTGCCTCCATCTTGTTCTGCTGGGGGCCTCCAGCATCTAGAGCAGGAAGGTGTGCGGAAGAAAACCACTCATGCAGGGAGAGGGGGACCTCCCAGTCCAGGCCCTGCTGCTGACCCTTTCCCTGAACACCAACCTATGGCCTCCAGGCTGGGGCCCCTTGAAGGACGGTGGGCCACTCGGGTGGCCTGGGTTCAGGGCCGGGCTCCACAGCTGAGTTCTGGAGGGAGGGCACAGACGACTGGGGGCTGGGAGGGGCCAGGTGAGGGGTAGGAACAGCCAGGGAGCCCTGCAGGAGGGGTGCCCAGCATAGCCCCAAAGCTGCTGGGGCTGGGCAGGGCAGAAACTGCCAAGGAGTCCCAGAGCCCTGAGTGGCGTCTGGCGAGGGCCCCTGACCCTGATCTCTGTAGACCCCACTCCTTCCGTGAGGGTGGCAGCCACTCCAGGGCCCAGCAGGGCCAAGGGAGAGGCAAGTGGCCTGGGCCCATGGGGCACTGGGCACAGCCAAGTGTGGCACCAGGGTGCCTGGGCGGCTGCTGCCACCACGTGGCCGACTTTGAGGTCGCAGAGCCCGGGGTCCAGGCAGGAAAGCCCCTCAGCTGCCCCCAGGGCCCTGGCCCAGGCCCCTGAGGCCCAAGTGAGCCACCTGGACTTTGTCACTTCGCCTCTGGTTTCTTGGTTAAGGAGCTTGAGTTCCCCGCCTTTTGTAAAGAAACGGTGGTGGCGACGGCGGATTTCAAGCTTTATTTACTCCTGGAATGGTCCTGGGAGGAGAGGCGGCTCCGCAGAGCCGGAAACGGGGGCGGGAGCTGTTGGGTGCAGCCGGGAGGAGGCAGTGCCGGGGCGGGCCGGGCAGCCATCGGGGTAACGGAGGGGGCTCCGGCCCGGGGGCTGCCCGGACGGGAAAGGGGACACGGGCGGGGCTCCCCCACCTGGGCCCCCCACCCTCACGCCAGGCCCCCCTGTGCGGTGCAGGACGAAGGAACCCTGGCCTCAGTTTCCCTACAGGCTGGGATCAGGGCCCCTGGGGTTCCGACTGTCTCGGAGGGGGGCGGCCTCGCTGCAGAGGTCTGGAGGCGGGGCCGGGGCGGGGGCGGGGCCTGGAGGGGCGGGGGCGGGGCTTGCGCTCACTTCCGCCCGGCGCGGGCTTGGATGGAGGCGGCGCGGAGGCCGCGGCTGGGGTTGAGCCGCCGGAGGCCGCGCCCGGCGGGCGGGTGAGGCCGGGAGCCGGGCGGGGGCGCGGCCGGTTTTCCCGCTCCCACGTGCTTCCCGGCGCCCCCGCGGGCCTCCCGCTCTATTCTCCCCCTGGGGAGGGCTCCCTGCCCCCGGGCCCGGCCCCCACGCCCGTCGCCCCACCCCGCGCCGCCATTCAGCGCCCGCCTTGAGCCCCCACCCCACGCCGAGCTTCCCCCGCGCCGCCCCAGGCCCTCCCGCGCCTCTCCCATCATCGCGTCTCCCCTGAGCACCCCCCATCTAACCCTCTACCTTCCCCAGGCCCTCCGCAATCTCCCCAACCATCGCCTCATCCCGCTGAGGACCCCATATTTCCACCCACCCACCCCGCTCCCCCACCCCCAGTACCCCTCATCTCCGCACTGTCTGCCCCAGCAGCCCTTCCCCCAACCCTGCCGGCCACCTCCCGCACCATCGAATTTCCCTCTAGTACCCCCCATCTCCCCGCTCTCTCTGCCCCAGGCCCTCCCGGGTCTCCCCACCATAGCGTTTCCGCTACTGAGTACCCCCTGTCTGCCCTCTCTGTCTGCCCCAGGCCTTCTGGCGGCCGCCCCTGGTTTCTCCTGGGGGGTGATGAGCGGGAGCGGCTCTGGGCCGAGCTACTGCGCACGGTGAGCCCGGAGCTGATCCTGGATCACGAGGTGCCTTCACTGCCCGCCTTCCCAGGACAGGTGTGCCCACTGGGCCCATCTTAGCGATGAAGGGGTTTCCAGGGCGGGAGCCATCGCTGGGCAAGGCCCAACAACTCTGTGTTGCAGGAGCCCAGGTGCGGCCCGGAGCCCACTGAAGTCTTCACTGTCGGACCCAAGACCTTTTCCTGGACACCCTTTCCGCCGGACCTGTGGGGCCCGGGCCGTTCCTACCGGCTGCTTCACGGGGCAGGAGGGCACCTGGAATCCCCCGCCAGGTCCCTGCCCCAGCGCCCGGCACCTGATCCCTGCAGGGCCCCCAGGGTGGAGCAGCAGCCGTCTGTGGAGGGTGCCGCGGCCCTGCGCAGCTGCCCCATGTGCCAGAAGGAGTTCGCCCCCAGGTGAGTAGGCCACCCCTGCGCCCGGCCCGGTTATCCATCCGTGTTTGGAAACCACAGCCGTTCAGAAGGTCAAGAGGTGGCCGAGCTCAGCGCTGGCTTTTAAAGCCCTGTTTCACACTGGAAAGGTGGCCCAGTGCTGTGGCCTGGCATGTCCAGGTGGCTCTCTGTCACGGGTCTGGGGTCCACCTGCTTGCCGTGCTCTGTGGGCAGGGCAGGCTGGGGGCCCACAGAACAGCACAGAAGGAAGGCTGGGAGCACTGGCCCCGGGTCCACCTGGCCATCCTGGAATCTGGTGGCACCAGCGTCCCCAGGCCCAGAGCACAGGAACACCTTCCCGAGAGTGCGTCATGGGTTTTAAAAATGAAGATCGTCTTTTTTGTCTGGAGATGCTTTTTCTTATTTTTGAAACCCAACGTATATTTTTATGTATTTTTTAAGTAAAGGGGAATGGAACCCAGTTTTGCTAACAAGATAACCCAAACTGCCCAGTGCCTGGCCTTGTGTCTGGCGACCTCTGGGCCCTTGGCCTCCGGAGCAGGTCCTGGGGCTGGGGTGGTGTGAATGATGCTGGTTCGTAACTTTTGGTTGAGTTAATGGGCGGCAGGTTTCAGAGCTTATGGAGACCAGGTCCTTCAGTCATGCCTGATGCCCCTGGTCTTCCAGAAGCAAAAACAGCTCGGGAATGCGAAGGCACCGGAGTCCAAAGTTGGCAGCCAACAACAACAACAACAAAAGAAAAGGCCGGGCACGGTGGCTCACGCCTGTAATCCCAGCCCTTTGAGAGGCTGAGGCAGGTGGGTTGCTGGAGCCCAGGAGTTTGAGACCAGCCTGGGCAACATGGCAAGATCCCATCTTTACATGCCTGGGCGTGGTGGCGCGTGCCTGTGGTCCTAGCTACTCTGGAGGCTGAAGTGGGAGGATTCCCTTGAGCCAGGAATTGGAGGCTGTAGTGAAGTATGATTGCACCACTGCACTCCAGCCTGGGTGACAGAGTAAGACCCTGAATCACGGACAGAGGGTACTGTTGGGAGCCCTGGGGAGAAATCCATGCTCTTGGCTGAAGCTCTGAGATCCTTGTTGCTGTCAGGGTGCTGCCCCCCGCCCCCCGGGGAGGGGCTTTTGTCTTTGCATCGCCTGCTTTTCCAGATAGTCTAAAAAAAGACTTCTGAAGACAAGGACGTTCACGAGGAAAAACTTGCCATTTTGAGCTTTTTAAGCAGTTGCTGAAAGCTTGGCAGACTGCCTCAATTTTTCCTAAGTAGGCGTCAATGAAGTCAGGTCCAGGCCTTGGTGTGTCTGGAATGCTTCAAGCACATTCGAACACTTGATCGTAAGGGAGAGCCGGTACTTTGGAACCGGAACTCACCCGAGGCTGTGGCCACCGCATGGGCAGGCTAGCTGGGGGACAAGCCCCATATCTTTGGGAACAAGGGTTTGCACAGCCACCCTGGGATGCCCTGGGACTCCTGACCGCACAGGACCCCAGCAGGGAGGCCGCCTGGATTGGAGGGTCTGGTCTAACAGCCGGACTTGGTCTTGAACCGTCGCCCTGTCCCGCACAGGCGCCTGCTGAGCCTGGAGCCCTGGCAGAGGCGGGTCTGGGGAGTGGAGCTGCCAGGAGGCCTCCCATTTCTCACAGCCTTGGTGTTCTCCGGGTCACCCAGAGGACCGTCAAATGCTGGATTTGACAAACTATGTAGAATGTTCTTTGTGTCTTTAAGATCTTCTTGTGGTCCTATTTGGACATTTTGTGCATTTTCAGACACCTGCGGGTCACGTGGGTGGATGGGAAGCTGGGCACCTGGTGAGGGGTGAGGATGTTGAGAGCCAGAGCTGCGTTTTGTCTCTGTTGATGTGGCGAGGCCCTGGGTTGGTCACTGGGATTTTTTTTTTTTTTTGAGACGGTGTCTCGCTCTGTCGCCCAGGCTGGAGTGCAGTGGCATGATCTCGGCTCACTGCAACATCTGCCTCCCGGGTTCAAGCGATTCTCCTGCCTCAGTCTCCTGAGTAGCTGGGATTACAGGCGTCACCACACCTGGCTAATTTTTGTATTTTTAGTAGAGACAGGGTTTCACCATGTTGGTCAGGCTGGTCTTGAACTGATCTCAGGTGATCCGCCCGTCTCGGCCTCCCAAAGTGCTGGGATTACAGGCGTGAGCCACCGCGCCCGGCCGGTCGTTGGGATTTTAACAGCCCTGAGGCCCCTCACGCTGCCAGGTGCCAGCCCACCCTGCAGCCCTGCTCCCCTGCCCACACGCAGAAGCCACCAGAGGCTTCTGGACTGAGCCCCCACTGTCCTGCAGCCGGGCTGGCCTGTCCACACCACAGGGCGTGCTCAGCTACTGAGCAGAAGCGTCACGGACAGGGCAGATCAGGCCAGGACAAAGCTCTTCCGCCACAGGCGGGGGTCTGAAGGCATCTCAGAGGGCCCCCAAACAAGGGACGCTGCCTGGAAACCCCGGGACAAGATGACCTCGGTTCAGATCTTAGCACCTTCTGGCAACCTTAGAGAAAGCTTCTGGAGGGAGGGGCTGGTTCCCAGGATGGGCAGAAGCCGGAAAGTCTCAGACTGAGTGACCCTCGGGGGCTTCAGAAGGCACTGGGTGGGCTCTGCCAGAGTGAGAAGGCAGCTGATGGCTGCTGGAGCCAGCCCCGGGAGTGGGGGTCCAGCTATGGTCTGGAGAGGGGGACTTGAGGGTTGCAGTGGCCACACAGACGGGGCACAGGAGCCAAAGGAAGGGACACAGCAAAGCCCAAGGGTAAAACGGCGCGCCGTGGACTGGTCTGAGGGCAGAGGCTGTAGGGGAGCGAGGGGCGGTGTGGCTGACAGGTGGACACAGGGACACGTGTCCTGTGGACTTGGCCGCTCAGTGGGGGTGTGTCCCCCAGCAGTGGCGTGTGAGGGATGGTCACTCTGATGGGACACTGACCACTTGGCCTCCAGCAAGATCTAGGCCCAAGTCTAGGCTGAAGCCGCCCACTCAGCCCCGGGACATCGTCCCCGGCAGCTCTGCTGAGCACGCCAGCTCCGGCACTCTCCGGGAGTCATGGCCGGAAGTCAACTGTCCTGGCTTCCAGGGCCACACCTTGGCCAGGCCTGGTGATGGTCATTTCCAGCCGCTCCAGTTGGGCTGATGGGGCCACATGAGGCCGGGGATAGAAGGTGGCTGCGCTCAGACACCCCTCCCGGCCCCACTGGATGCCCAGGGCGCTGACCTGCAGGACTCGGATGGGTTTTCTCCTGCCACCCCTGCCTGGCCGGCCACCATCCCAGCGCCAGCGCCCTCCTGAGAGGTGCAGGGGCCGCGTGGGGCCTCCCAGAGTGGCAGGTTGGCAGCCTGCACGCCGGTGACGGCGTCCTTCTCCGTGGTGAGGCTTGGTCCCTCCTCGCCAGAAACACCAATTCTCTGACGTGAGCTGCACATCCACTGCCCAGCCATGTTTACTCTTCTGCCTCCTGTAGACGCAGCCGCGGCGGCTCTCCCTGGCAGGCCACCCGCCGTCCTGCCTTTTCTCCGGGTCAGGCCGCCTGTCTGCCGGGCTCCACGATGAGCGCGTTCTCAAGCTGAGCAGGCGCCAGAATCCCATAGAGAGGCTTGTTGAGACACAGCTTCCCCACCCCCAGCTCGGACGCAGGGGCCTGGCGTGGCCTCCTCACGGGCACGGTGTGGAAACACCACTGGCGGTTACCGTGGTCTGCCGGGTGCATGAGCCCCTGGGGTGGCCCCGTCCCTTGTTTCTGACCAGCCGGATCCTCTCCAGCGGCAGGAGCAGAGAGGGCCCGGAGGTCCAGACGGTGCTCTCTGCGGCCAGCATGCCGCGGAGGTGGCCGAGTGAGTGTGGCCCCTCCCTTGCAGGCTGACCCAGCTGGATGTTGACAGCCACCTGGCCCAGTGCTTGGCCGAAAGCACAGAAGACGTGACGTGGTGAGCGCCATCCAAGAGCCCTGCGCAGAGTGCGGCGCCCGGACACGCTCTCCCCCGCCAGCAGCCCCGCCTCTCGGCTCCCCCGCCAGCAGCCCCGCCTCTCGGCTCCCCCGCATGCGCATTAAAGCAGGGCGGGCTCCTGTCTGTCTCTGTGTTGTGATGAAACGTCTGCCGCTTTTCTTTCTGACGTTTGGTTTAGGGCAGATTCACTGCAGTGCAATCAGAACCAGACACAGCCCCAGGCGGGGAAGCTGACCCCTTTCCCCTGGCGCCCCCACTGTGGACAGCGGACGGGCTGAGGGTAGCTCGTTTTCCTAACTTTGTGGACAGGCGTGGTTAGCTCATGTGCAGTCACGGTTTTTTTTTTGTTTTTTTTTTTTTGAGACAGGGTCTCGCTCTGTCGCCCAGGCTGGAGTGCAGTGGTGCAATCACGGCTCATTGCAGCCTCAGACTCCTGGGCTTGATGATCCTCCCACCTCAGCCTCCTGAATAGCTGGGACTACAGGCGCGCGTCACCACACCCAGCGACTTTTAGTATTTTTTGTACAGATGGAGGGGTCTTGCCATGTTGCCCAGGCTGGTCTCGAACTCCTAGGCCCAAGCGATCCTCCCGCCTTGGCTTCCTGAAGTGCTGGGATTACAGGCGTGAGCCAGCAGCCCCAGCCTCTGGTGGCGTTCTTTTTGTTTTTTTTTTTTTTTTTCTTTTTTGAGACGGAGTCTCGCTCTGTCGCCCAGGCTGGAGTGCAGTGGCGCGATTTCGGCTCACTGCAAGCTCCGCCTCCCGGGTTCACGCCATTCTCCTGCCTCAGCCTCCCGAGTAGCTGGGACTACAGGCGCCCGCCACCACGCCCGGCTAATTTTTTGTGTTTTCAGTAGAAACGGGGTTTCACCGTGTTAGCCAGGATGGTCTTGATCTCCTGACCTCGTGATCCGCCCGCCTCGGCCTCCCGAAGTGCTGGGATTACAGGCGTGAGCCACCGCGCTCCACCATCGGTGGTGTTTTAATTCCCCAAAATGAACTTGCAGCTGCAGCTAGTTATGAAAAGGAAAGGCTCCTGCCACCGTGTGCTGCGGGCCTGTAACTCCCCAATCCCTAGGTTGAAATCCTCACCACAAGGCAAGAACTCTGCCAGGACAGGAGGTCGGGGCGGCGCCTCTCGATGGGATTAGTGCCCCATAATGGAGACCCTGGGGAGTTCCCTTGCTCCTTCTACCGTGGGGGACACAGGCCAGAAGAGGGCCGTCCTCTGGAGCCGAGAGAGTCTGGTTGAAGCCCCAGGTCTGTGGTCGTTTGTTAGGGCTGCGGGAGCTGAGACTCTCCGGGGGCTCCAGGGCCTCATCATTCGCCAGGGGTTTTGAGGCAGCTTCTCCTGAAATCCGGAGTTTCTGGGGAAGGACAGCAGCAGTGGGCATCTGGTTCACCCAGATCCGTCAGCCACCGTCTGCCTGGGCTCACAGTGTGAGTGGAGCACAGAAAGCAGCGTCTTCAGGGAGCTTCCTGTCCACTGCTGTTCAGCCCCCAGGTTCTGGAGAGCCGGGCTTTGCGGGCTCAGCTCTGACCCCCGTTTGTGGTGGCTGAGGGAACAGATCTGGGGGCAGACGTGGTGTGAACACCCAGACGTCTGTATTTTCCTTTCAATCATGGCCTCAGATAGGCCGCAAAAAACACGGAGCCATAAATGCAGATCACTAAGGGAAAGAAAATGCTACACACTGTGATTCCAACCCTAGGGGGTTCTGGAAAAGGCAACACCGTGAGGACCAAAAACATCAAGAGAGTGCAGGGGCTAGGAAGGCACAGGCGGAGCACAGGAGGTCTCCGGGGCATGGGCTCCTCTGCATGGCCCCACAGTGGTGAATCCACACTGTCACGTGCCTGTCCACACCCACGGGACTGACGGTGCCCTGGGCGAGCTGGGCGGGAACTCTGGGCGTGGGGCGACGACAAGGGCAGGCCCAGCAGCTGTGAGCAGCGTGTCCTGTGGTGGGGGAGGCTGGGCAGGGCAGGACGGGCAGGGCAGGGGCATGGGGACTTGGCTGCACCTTCTGCTCATTTTGCTGGGAGCCTAAAACTGCCCTGATATATGCCTACTTAAGAAAATGGCTTCAGGCCGGGCGCGGTAGCTCACGCCTGTAATCCCAGAACTTTGGGAGGCTGAGGCAGGTGGATCACCTGAGGTCAGGAGTTCAAGACCAGCCTGGCAAACATGGTGAAACCCCGTCTCTACTAAAAATACAAAAATTAGCCGGGCGTGGGGCAGGTGCCTGTAATCCCAGCTACTGGGGAGGCTGAGGCAGGAGAATCGCTTAAACCCGGGAGGTGGAGGTTGCAGTGAGCCGAGATCTCGCCACTGCACTCCAGCCTGGGCTACAGAGTAATACTCTGTCTCAAAAAAAAGAAAAAAAAAAGAAAAAGAAAAAAAAAAAGAAAATGGCTTCAGAAACCTTTGCTTCTTGGAAACACCTGCTTTTAATGAAAATAATAATGTGAACATTTCCATTAAAGTCTTTCATGGATGTGCAAGACTTTGAATGACCCTGGCAGTCAAGGGTGAGTGTCATCCACAGGAGAGCCGGCCAGCCACGGGCTCCATGGGCAGTTGCCCCGCACCACGCCCACGCAGGCCCACTGTGCAGCCCCCAAGTCACCAGAGTTTTCGAGAACCACTTCCAAAAGACACCGTCGTGACCGGAGCCATTAGCAAATATCAGGATTTTTCAAACCACACTTCAATACATCCTTCACTTTAATTTATAAAACAAATTACTGAATATAAAAGTCTCCCCTCTGATGAGCACAGCATTACTCACATATTGTGTACAAGAACGGCCAAACTGGTAACCGGCACGCTACTGGCAACACGGCAGTATTTAGGTAAGTGCCTTCAATATTTAACAAATCAAGGAGGCTCATGGAAAGCAGTTTGCTTGTTAACCACTTCTGGGATACACTGGGGGTCTCCCACTCAAGGTGGGGTCCCGGCAGCCCTACTCACCCGGCAGGTGTAACTTCAGCGGCCGCAGGCTGGGCCTGGCCACCTGGGCATCCCCACGCTGGTCTGGGACACCTGTGTGAGACCCAGGTCGGCTCCTGGACTCTGCCCTGGGGTTTCTAACTTTCCGTCTTTGGAGTTGAGTCTCAACAGCTAAGGTTGGGAGTGTGGCTGAAACCCGTCTCCACATTCCACCTAGAAGCCTGAGCTGGCCGGGGGGGGGCGGGTGTCCAGGGTCTCGGGCCGGGGGGAATGGGCCGGCAGTATGCCCAGCGCTGGCATTCTTGTCCTGGCACCTGGGGCTTGGGTGTGAATCCACCATGTCGTGCTGAGCGCCAGGCACGGAGTGGCACCCTGAGAAACCTGAGTGTGTAGGGTGGGCCACGCTCACCTGCTGGGGATGACCTTGAGGCAAGGCAAGGCGCGGCACAGACCTCCTAACTTGGGGTTTTACGTCTCTCTTCCCCAAGCCACCAGCCGCACAATGGGGTGGAGCGGCCCCTGAGTCATGGAGGCCTGGGGTCTCTGCGCCTGGCCAAGAGGGCTGCGTGGCAATTTCCACACCTGTGCACCAGGCCTCACTCAGAGGCATGAGGTGGCGCGACCCCCTCTCCCAGGGAGCTCAGAAGACGGCTCTGCCACACCTGACACCTGGCAGCTGGCAGCCCTGCCTCTAGGAAGCCTCAGCTCTGGACAGCTGTGCCTTCACCTGAGGGGTGGGTGGACGGAGAGCGCGGGTGTGTTCCCGGGAGCAGGAGGTCCGCGCCGCTGGGAAGAGTGCCTGTGTTTCTGGGTGTTTGTAGGGTCATCACGTTCAACTTTAAGGCTGGGGTCCGTCACATGCACATCTTTTAGTTTTCCCTAACTCTCAGTGCTGTGTGACAGATAAGAATATCTTCCAAAAATCAAATGCGTCGCACGAGGCATCGTGCAGGCACTGCTTAGTGTGGTCAGAAATGATTTGTGCAGATTTAGTGTTCAGTTTTTTCTCTTTTTTGGTCTACTGTGCTTTGGTGGGCCACGTTTTAGAATCTCTATGATCCAATTTCCCCCATCGGTCCAGTGAGCTGGCTGGCCCAGCTGCCATCTGCTTAAGGTGTCACTTCACCCTAGACCACAGCGGCTGGGACACACTCTGCAGGAAGAACAACAGGAACTTACCGGGGTTTTTAGGAAACAATTCTTGATTGCGGTGTGTCCCCACAGGTACTTCAACTCCCGCCCCCACCTGTGTCCCGCTGGCTCCTAAGCTGCCCCCCTACGTGTGGGTTGCGTCTGAGATGTGGGGCAGGCGCCACTCACGGAAAAAAGGCATCAGAGGAGCTTCCACATCATCGGAACATTTTATTCCTCAGGACGCTACACGCTCACTTTCCTGGCGGAGCAGGTCAGTGCATCGAGTTCTGTTTCCGTGGAAAATGTGCACCTTGGAAACCGCATGACAGCCCCCTCGGCAGGGTCCCCGCGGATCCGCCGCGACGCAGGCACAGCAGCAAGTTCCTCCAGCACGAAGCTGGCCTGCCCGGGCCCAGGTGTGAGGGACTGTTCTGCTCCCAGCAGCGCCCGCTGACGCTTCCCTCTGCGGTCTCGGCGCAAGCGTCTGTCCCTGGCCGCCCTCGGAGCCGTGCCCAGCCTGGCATGCATATGCGGTGGTTAAGGATACAGTTAAAGGGTCAATCACGCGTGTCCACGACAGAGACGCACGCGGCCTCACACCGACTCCTCGGTGGACAGCAATAATGGGTTGATATACTCAAAGCCTTCGAACTCTGACTGGTCGATCCTCTTTATGGCATCCCTGTGGGCAAAGGTGGCAGGGGGGAGGGGGGTGACCGTGTGTTCATTCCCTTGGGGGAAGCGGAGTCACGTTCGCATAAGAATCCTCCCCCAACGCCCACTGGAGAGATGACACCAGGCGGGTGGGACTCAAGGGCAGGCTGGGTCACCAGCTGCCCAAGGTGCCGGCCTGCCATGGGGCTGCCCGAGGGGTGCTCCAGGGACCCGCACCCAGTGGGACTCACTCATCGTCTGGGGTCAGCTGCACGGGCTCGCTGGTGAACTGTGTGTCAAAGTTGTCCAGACCGTAGTCGTCTGTGATCTGTGGCTGGAATGGAGGGAGCGCCTGCTTCTTCTCCAGCTTGGAAAAACAATAGGAGAAGGGTCAGCTCCGCGCGGGCATCATCCCTACCAGATTGAGTGTTTTGCACGCACTTCAATCACAAAATGAAACAGTGAGAAAGTCAGCATTTCAATCTGCCTAGTATTTGACTGCCAAGTGTTTTTTCTTACAACACAAAATCTAGAAAATATCCAAAGTCAGAAAAATTGTTGTCGAGCTGAGAAATGCCAGTGTCGGCCATGCTGGCCACATGTGGGACGGAGCAGGATCCCCAGCCACCCATGCGAGGCCACCCCCTTCCTTGGGGGGGTCCTTGTTCAGAGGGGCACCGACAACTAACTGGCTGAACAAGCCGTCTCATGACGTCTTGGAACCCTGACCATAAAGGTGTAGGACCTGGCCACAGCACCCTGCCTGCGCTGGCACTGCACAGACCCGTCTGTCAGGAGCCTCCTGCCGGCCCATTTCTGCCTATCCAGGCATCGACTTCAGAATCTCAGGTGCTGCTTGGCAGGAAAATGCCCAGCAGGCGGGCCTGGGACTCGGTGATGCGCCTGTGCCGGGGAGGGCAGAACGCTGGTGCCTGGCACAGGTGCCACAACACATACGGGTGAGGACACTGAAAACCCCTCAGTTCCCCCGACTCATGGCCACTTGTCCCAGTGACACAGCCATGCTCTCCCACTCACCCACAATAGGGTCTGAATGTGCCCCCCAGATTCACAGTGAGAAACTCATTCCCCAGAGCAACAGTGTAGAGAGGTGGAACCTGATGGGAGCCCCGCCCTCACAGACAAACTCCTGTAGCTGTCAAGACAGCTTGGGCATGGATTCCTCTCTGCCTTCTGCCATGTGGACACGTGGCCTTCCTCCCCTCTCTCCTCCGGGGAATGCAGTGTTTGGGCGCCATCTTGGAAGCAGAGATCAGGCCTCACCAGACACCAAGCCTGCTGGCACCATGACCCTGGACTCCCAACCTCCACAGCTGGGAAAGAACTCTGCTCCCTAGAAATTACCCAGGCTCGCTCAGGTATTCTGTTACAGCAGCACCAAGAGACATTCACTCGCTTACTCCCTCACTCTCTAACCCACTCCCATTCACCCTCTCACTCCCTCTCTAACCCACTCCCATTCACCCTCTCACTCCCTCGCTAACCCACTCCCATTCACTCATTCACTCACTCACTCTCTAGCCCACTTTTTTTTTGAGATGGAGTCTTGCTCTGTTGCCCAGGCTGGAGTGCAGTGGCGCGATCTCGGCTCACTGCAACCTCTGACTCCGATTCAAGCTATTCTCCTGCCTCAGTCTCCTGAGTAGCCGGGACTACAGGCATGCACCACCATGCCCAGCTAATTTTGTTTTTTGTTTTTGTTTTGAGACTCGCTCTGTCTCCCAGGCTGAAGTGCAGTGGCACGATCTCGGCTCACTGCAAGCTCCACCTCCCAGGTTCACACCATTCTCCCGCCTCAGCCTTCTGAGTAGCTGGGAGTACAGGCGCCCGCCACCACGCCTGGCTAATTTTGTTTTTGTATTTTTAGTAGAGGCAGGGTTTCACCATGTTGACCAGGCTGCTCCCGAACTGCTGACCTCAGATCATCTGCCCTCCTCGGCCTCCCAAAGTGCTGGGATTACAGGCGTGAGCCACCGCGCCCGGCCCTCTTTAGCCCACTCATTCACTCACTCCCTCGCTCTCTAACCCACTCCTGCTCACTCACTCATTCACTGGCTCACTCACTCTCTAACCCACTCTCTCTCATTCCCTTGCTCGTTCTCTAGCCCACCCTCGCACACTCATTCACTGGCCCGCCCCTTAGGTGTGTGCTCCTGTACCAACACTGAAATCCAGCTGTCACAACAGGCACCCACTGACTCCAGCCTCATGGAACCACCATTCACCAGGCTTGAGGGGAGGATGTCACGGCGCGCTGCTCCCTTCGGTGCCAGCCAGGATGGGGCCGGGTGGGTGCAGCTGGTGAAAAGAAATGCAGCCCCCCAGCCCCTGCAGACCAAGCCGAACAGCCCAGCTCGCGGGTGGATCACAGGGCACCCAGCAGCCGCCTTCCCTCCGGAAGAGCCAAGAAGGCTTCCAAGACCAGAAATGCCCCCAGTGTGGCTGTGCCTGTCCCCGGTGCCCCGCCAGCTGGGGGGCAGCATACCCAAACAGATGCACCCTGCCCATGATGGCACCCCAGGGACCCCCATCCTCAGGACCCTCCAGTCGTTCAAGCTGGAATTGGCAGGTTTCTGCCTGTATAGGCATCGGCTTCAGAGTCTCAGGTGCTGCTTGGCAGGAAAATGCAGGGCAGGAGGGGCTGGGCCTCAGCTCGAGGCTCCCAGGTGCAGCCCCCCACTCCACTGCAGGGCCCAGGGGGGCCAAGAACAGCCACAACAACAACAAAAGCCAAACTGGGAACGGAATCGTGGAAAAAACCCTCATAGGCTTTTGGGAACTTACAAAGAAATGCCCACATCCATTCTACTAACATGGCATCTACTAACGTGGCATCTACTAGGATGCCACAAAACAGACAAATCCTTCCACGTAAGGCTGGACACGTGTCAGGGCGGTGTCTCAAAGCTGGGCCACAGGCAGCATCCACGGCCAGGCCACTGGGTGGAGGAGACGGTGCTGGGGAGGAGCCGGAGGGAGGGGCCGGGGCTGTTCCCTTAGGCAGAACGGCTCACCTGTGGTGTGCGCACAGCAGGATTGTGGGGACACAAGATGCCCCCTTCATTCATCAGTTACTTGTATTCTTTGTATGAAACACCTGCCGATAAAATGTGAAAAAGGGGCATTTCCTAAAGTACTTTCCCTACCTTAGTCCTGTGCTGCTTTACAAGGGTTTAATAAGCAGCAGGGGTGGGAACAGAGCAGGACCCAGCTGGAGCTGGCCCAGGGTCCTCCAGCCCCTGGCCCAGCCCGTTCTCTGCTCCGAGGGCTCAAGATTGCCTCAGTTTCCCTGACAGCATCCCCAGGGGCCAGCGTTACCTCCTCCTCTTGCTCAAAAGCCTTCAGTGCCCATCTCTGCAGCTGGCACGTGGGCTCCAGGTCGGGACCCATGGTGCCTGACACCTTTTCCCACCGCCGCCCCCTGCGCCCAACCCATGGACGTCCTGGCCTCTCAGAGCAGTGCGTTTGAATGCACGCTGGCCCCAGGTCGGACGCTGTGGCAGTAACAGGTGTTGCCCCTGTGGCTGCAACCACAGCAGTGACCTGAGATACAACAGGGGGCCCGTTCCGTGTCAATGGGGCTGGGGGCCCAAGGGCTCTAGTTCTGAAGGGACATCTGAGAAATAGCCTGGGGGAGGTGAGGGCTGGAGCCTGGGGAGGGCACAGCTGTGCAAAGGCCCCATAGTGGGTGTGTGCCTTGTGCGCTGGGGGCCACAGAGGGGCCCCATGAGACCCGAGTGAAGGGGCTGAGGGGGAGGAGGCTTTTGGACACAGGACGACCCTGCTGTCCGTAGGGCCAGGCAGGATGCTGGTGGCTTGGTGGAGGTGGCGGGGGTGGGGTGGGGAGAAGCAGCAGGGCTGGGGGGCTGGGCTAGGCCCCGCATGGCAGAGCATGGTCAGGCACAGAATGGACGAGCCCCACGTGCTGGGCAGGGCCTGGAGGCGTCCAAGGGGACAGCACGCCAGGGTCCACTTTGGCCATACTAGCCGGCCACATGGAAACATCCTGGAGCCAGTTCTTGGCAATGATGAGAGGAGGTCCCTGAGACCACCCTGCACTGTTGGGGTGATGACGGTGAGCCCTGCCACCGGATGCAGGGCTGGGCCCAGGAGGTAGTGCCCTGGGGGCAGCATGGGACTCCCAGGCTCCTGGTGCCCAAACCACAGGAAACGCCCAGAGAGCCCTGGGGTGGCAGCACAGCAGCGGTCATCTGAGCATCCCAGTCATCTGTGCGTTTGAGTCATCTGTGGATCTGAGTCGTCCGTGCATCCATGTCATCTGGGTGTCCGTGCATCTGAGTCGTCTGGGGATCTGAGTCATCCGTGCGTCCACGTCGTCCGTGCGTCCAGGTCATCTGTGCGTCCACGTCGTCCATGCATCCACGTCGTCCGTGCGTCCACGTCATCTGTGCGTCCACGTCATCTGTGCGTCCGCGTCGTCTGTGCGTCCGCGTCGTCTGGGTGTCCGTGCATCTGAGTCATCTGTGGATGAGTCATCCGTGTGTCTACGTCGTCCGTGCATCCACATCGTCTGTGCGTCCATGTCGTCTGTGCGTCCACATCGTCTGGGTGTCCACGTCGTCCGGGCGTCTGTGCATCTGAGTTGTCTGTGCATCTGCAGTCAGTCCCCATGCATTTTCATAAACAGGTTGGCCTTAAAGCCCCACCGAGGATCCACCCACTCAAGGCTCCAGCTAGAGGCCCCACGCCTGCCCTGTGCCACGCAGCATGGGGTGGACAGAGGGGTTCGCGGGTGGCCAGGCCAGGGCACTGCTGCCTTCTACACACTCCAGGCTTGAGAATTTTACGGCCACACAGGTTGGCCCTGGGTAGTGGAGCTGGCACCAGCCCAGCTGTGGGGCTTGTCCCTCTCCATGAGGTCACAGCTGTGATCCCCACTTCTGACGGCCTCCACTGCTCCACGTCTCCCATAACCGCCTCCCTCCTGCTCCCACCCGCTGCCCAGACCCAGCCATCTCTCTGTGGGCCTCTTGTCACCTGCCCTCCTCTGCGTCTTTCCGTTTTCCCCTCCCTGCCGCCGGCTCCTTGCGCAGCACACAACGTGGCTGGGTTCCTCCCACCGAGCTCCCAGGAACGTGCCTGTCGCACGTGGGAAAGTCCTGAGGCTCCCACCACACGAAGCATTAGAGTCCTTGCTCCTCCCTGGGGCCTCCCACCAGCAGCCCTGGGCCCGGGGTGGGAGGAGCAAACCACTCCTGGCCCTGAGGCAGAATCTCCCCAGCAACATGGGCAGCAAATGACTCTCAAGAGAATCGGCTGTCACCACGCAAACGTTTCCATCCAGGGGGAGATGAGTTAGCGCAGCACCGCCCGGCCATGTGGGACACGTGGGGTTGGGCAGCAGGTGGTGGCTCAGCTGTTAACTCACCACCACCTTTCACATCAGTGGGGAGCTGGGACCATGCTGGGAAATCCATCGCTTCAAATCTCAGACTCCTGATAGTCACTAGCACAGATCACGTGATCCACAAATACTCAGGCTTTGCAGTGTGCCAAGTACCGGGGATCCTGCGGGGATGGGGACCCTCTTAGAGTGGCAGCCCCAGCCACCAGGCCAGGACGTGCTGTCTGGACCCAGTTCCTTCAGAATGAGCCTGTCCATCACTCAAAGCTCACCCGGGACAGGCCCAGCAACTTCCCCACGGCCTTTGCTCCCACAGCCAAACCGGAGGACTCAGGATTAGGAGCCTGAGGATGTGCCTGGACCGGCGGAGGGTGGGGTCTAGACACGGCCCATGGGAGCCCCCGACAAGATGAGCGCCACCTCCCAGTGCAGGGGCAAGGCAGGTGGATCTGCCTGGCTGACGGGGCCCTCTGCACACACACTGCCTCTCTTCTCCAGGGCAGTGTGCAGAGGCCAGGCTCCAGGAGGAAAGCAGTGTTGGGGACCCGGTGCCGGGCCCCAGAGTCACACCCCAGTGGCGGCGACTGCCTGAGTGGTGCTGGTTCAGCTGGGGATAGGCAAGGAGGGGGCGGCTTTGGGGTGACTGTGACCCTGTCCCAGCTCTACCCTCGGACACTCGGGGGGCGGGCACTGTGTCCTTTCACCATCCATTCCTGCTGCTCCCACTGCCTTCCCCGCAGTCCGTGAAAGAGACCCTGAGTCCACAGGTGGGGACCAAGGCCTCACACGTGCCCCACTCCCACATGGAGCTGACACCCACCGAGGGACTGTTCTCAAGCTGTGCCCACTACAGCCATGGAACTAAGTCCAGCACAGACTGAGGGGGCCCCCAAAGGGACCAGAAAGCAGCCGCTGCAGGAACAGGTGGCCCCCCTGAAAGGCTAGACTGAGACCACCGGACCTGCAACTGCGCCCTGAGCACGTGCCCAAGAGAAATAAACACGTGTCCACCCAGAAGCGGGTTCACAGGTGCTCACAGCAGCACGAGTCCACCCAGAAGCGGGTTCACAGGTGTTCACGGCAGCACAATTCACAATGGCCAGAAAGTGGAGGCCACCCTATGTCCACTGAGGACGGATGCAGAGGTGCAGTCTCCACGCAGTGGACGCAGTGGGTGGGGTTCAGCGCAGGAAGGAGGCAGTGCCACGTGCTACTGTGTGGGTGCAGCTTGTGGAGACAATGCTGAGGGGAGGGCAGGCACGAAAGGCCGCGGTGTGCCCAGGTCCACTTCCATGACATGTGCAGACCAGGCAGAGCCACACAGCCTGGCGGAGCAGCCACTGCAGGGTGTGGGGAGAGGCTGGAGTGGGTTCGGGTCTTCTCTGGGTACAGGGTGATGAAAGTGATCGCGATGACGTCATGTAACTCTGGGATTGCTCAGAACCACTGAGTTGCAGGCGTTGGGTGAATGGGAGGAGGACCTTCCTTCTGCCAAGGTCACATGGGGGTGGTGGTGACCCCACACCAACCCTGCTGAGGACAGCTAAAGCAATCTGGCCAAAACAGCCACACTTCTTCCTAAAAGCCTCAAGAGCTGATGGGTGGCAAGGAAACGGCAGAGGCAGGGTCGGCGGTCGGTGGCAGAGGCAGGGCCGGCGGTCGGTGGCAGAGGCAGGGCTGGCAGTCGGTGGCAAGCCCTTCGCAGGCCTCTCAGGCTGGGATGGAAGTCACAACACAGCCCGCAGCAGCCAGGAAGAAGCAGGGTGATGGAAGCCGCCCCTGTGGGCAGCCACGGGGGTGATTCTGCAGTGGTGGGACCCAGGTGGGAAGCCAGGGCCGCTGACTACCTTCCGAGAGACAGCCCGCGGCAAGTGTGTGCCAGAGATCACCTGGCGTGCTCGCTGCAGGGACGCAGACCTCTCCCAGCTAGAGGCCAAGGGTGGCTTCATGGTCTCCTTGAGTTCCGGCTCGGGCAGGGTTGGACTCACACTCAGATTAGACAGTGCTCCGAAGAGAAGGAGCCCGTCACTCCACAGGCAGCCATCTGTCCTCATCTGTCCACTCCCGGTAAACCAAGAGTGGTTGAGAGACAAGATCAGGGGCCCGGCTGGCACCAAGGCTGCACCCAGGATCGGGCTCTCCCTGGATCCCATGGTGCTGGTGGGCCCCATACGGTGGTGGGCTTGGAAGAGAGAGGGTGGGAAAGGCACGGGGGAGACTGAGCTGAGACGGGCGAGGGGAGGTGGCTGGGAGCGGGGATGCTGGCTCCTCACGTAATTCTACTAAGCACCTGCTACGGGTTCAGCCGGGTGGTACCTGGACCTGAGTGTGTGTGTGGACCGGAGGGGTTCTGTGGGCCAGAGACAAGGGGATGCCACCACTAACACCAGCTAGGCCAGGTGTGGCCTGAGATAGGGGAACGCCACCAGTAACCCCACTAGGCCAGGGGTGCCTGAGCCAGAGAAAAGGGACGCCACCTCTAACCCCGGCCTGGGCGTGAGGATGACTGACAGTTAGAACCAAAGGCAGATCTCTTCTCCCTTATGCTACCAGAGGCATAAATTTAAATGAAGAATTTGCGAAGGTGATTCCGTGGCAGGTGCCTATGCTCAGAACATTTCTAAGTGTGTGCATCTGACAACCGCACGACAGAGAATGGCCCCGTCCTAGTTTGGCAGCAGCCCAGCTGGGCTCTGGAAGGGCTGTATGTAGGAAGGGGTGTGGGCACGTTCTGACCACTTCACTCCCCACCTTCCCCCACGGTCCCACACATGCACAGGCAAAGCAAGGCCTTCGACTAGAAAGTGACTTGTTGGGCTGTGTGGACAAGGGCCCCCACTGACCACAGGGGCCAGGGAGTGACCTCCCACGCTGGCCGAGGCTGCCTGGAAAAGTTGGGTGGGGTGGAGGACAGAGCTAGAGCTGGGCTTTCTCCTGATTCAGTTCAACCTCCTCCAAAATGCACTGAACGAGCTATCCAATCTGCTTTTTTCCTTGAGAGTGTATTTTAAAGGTTTTATTTCAGTAGCTCTGCAACCATTTACACAGCTGGAAACAAATTCCACAGACGCTCCTCAGCTTCAGACAAGGTCACCTCCCAATAAACCCTCCATGTGCTGGAAACATCCTAGGTGGAGACTGCGCTTCCCACACAGAACCCACGACCGAGCGGCGCTGGAAACATCCTGGGTGGAGACTGCACTTCCACACAGAACCCACGACCAAGCGGCGCAGCCTTACCTGCCTTAACCTGACAGACACACGCCAGCCTACAGTCCGGCAAAACCCCCTGCACGCAGAGCCCCTCGGGACATTCGGCCCCCTCCTGATCACGTGGCCCGCTGGGGCTGCAGTCACCGCCCCTCATCACAGGAGAGTACTGACCTCATACGGCCAGCTGGGGAACGGTCAAAACTCAAAGTAGTTTCTACCGAATGCACCCTGCTCACACACCACCGAAATCAGATTCCTAAATCGAGCCAGTGTACGTCGCACCCTGTCCACAGACTCACTCTCCTTCAATACCCGACGCTAAAGCTCAAGCCGTGAACGCTGCGACTGCTGGTCCTGTCCAGTAACTGCTGATAAAACCGGCCATGAAACCAAAGCAAACGCCCTTCTCTAGGCCGGCCCCCACTATCAGATCCCTGTGGAACCAACAGCCAATGTGCTCACAGGTCAGGACGCATGTGCCGCTAGCTCCTGGCGGCACCAAGCCAGCACAGTCGAGGGTTGCCAGGAAGCGCCATGGGCCGAGCTCGTCCGGCCCCTCACTCTCCTGGCTCCGGAGGACGAAATGTGTCTCCCCATCCCTCCTCGGGGCCCTGGAGGGTGGTCCCCCATTCCCAGCTGACCCTTCTGGGAGACAGGAGCCTTGGCTCCACGCAAGTGGGGCCATGTCAAAGACCAGCCCGGCGGTGCGCGAGCTCACACAGCCCACCCGGCCCACACAGCCCCGGCTCTGTCCACCAGATTATAGGGGTTGGAGGGGTTGGGGGTGTAGGGGTTGGAGTGGGGTTGGGTGGATATTGGGGTGGGGGTTGAGTTGGGGGTTGGGGTGGGAGTTGGGCTGGGGGTTGGGTTGGTGGTGGGGTGAGGGTTGGATGAATTTGGGGTTGGGATGGATATTGGGGTTCGGATGGGGTGGGGTGGGGGTTGGGTGAATATTGGGGTTGGGGTTGGGATGGGGGTTGGGTAGATTTGGGGTTGGGATGGGGATGGGGGTGCAAATAGGCTTTGTGATGCTTTACCAAGTCCCAGTCTATGCTGCGGAAGAACGCGTGGGACTTGATGTCAGAAAATCCAGTCTGTGGCCGGCAGCCGAGCCTCTCTTTGGGGTCCTGGAGGTCAGAGTTCAAACAAGGACAAGTCAGCCCCATCCCGGAAGCCCCATGACCCCCTCTCCTTGGTGGCCACTCCCAGTGCTGACAAGCCCTCCCCCGATGCTCTGACCCAGGTGGTGGAAATCAGATGTTTCCTTTATTGAAAGTTCCTTCCCCGTACGTTAAGCTCCGTTCCATTTTCCTTGGGCACACATTCTCATTTTGTTAGGTGTGAGTAAAAACGGACGATTCACAGAACACAGAGCTCAAATACTGAAGCGGAAAATCAACCCACACACCCGATACACAGCAGCCGACATGAAAAAATGGCCAACAGCCGTGCCTGGCCCTCTGCCCACCAACACCGAGGCCACAAACGAGATTTTGTCAGCATGGCCAGAAACGTACCTTATTTAAAAATCCTTTTAAAACATGGGAGGCTTTGACGGACAGGAACCGGGGGATCCGGATGGGCTTCTCCAGGATCACTGCAAGGGCGGAGCCTGGTGAGGACTTGCCTGTGTTGTGTGCCATTTGCCCAGTGCCGCCCAGACTCTGACTCTGAGCAAGAGCTTTGGGAGCTCAGCCTTGGGGCCCCGGAGCCCCTCCCTTCCTACAGCCCAGCAATATCTATAACCCGGAGTCCCGCCGGGTCCTCCCTGGGCCTCCTGGTTACATGCGCTGGCACGTGTCGTAGGATCGGACGTGAACCAGCAGCTCCCCTTCCTCAGCCCCAAGATCGCAGGTACACGGGTGCCTCTGCAGGCTGGCCACCAGAGGGCACCGCGGAGACAGCCGCGTTCCCAGATCCCACATCCCCACAGCACTGAATTCCAGACCAGGAGCAGGTCCCGGGGCCTCCAGGTGGGAAGGAGCCCATGATGGTGGCTGTGGGTTTTGGGGGTGGGGGCTGTGCTTTCAGCTCGGTACAGCCTCGGTCAAGGACATGCTGGGGCTCCAGCATGTGCTGCTGGCCAGGGCAGGAGGGAGTTGGAGCTGAATGGGGACAGGTTCTCTTTCCTGCTGACCCACAGGTGTGGTAACCCCACCCCACGGCCCGGGGAGTGGCATGTGACACAGGGTCTGGCCAGGAGGAATGGTTCCCGGTACGCTTTGCATGGCACTGCCGCTCCAGGCACCCGCGGGACCCCTCCACCTGCACCTTTGAAAAGGAAGGAAGACAGTCGTGCAGGTGAGGGGTACGAACGCACAGCGGGGCACGCACCTTGGAAAAGGTAGTCCTCTGTGTTCATGTCCGGGTTGTCGGTGATGATGTCGAACGGGGAGCGCCCGGCCATCATCTCAAACATGAGGACTCCCAGCGCCCACCAGTCCACGCTGAACCCTGGGGGAGAGCACACAGCCATCACCGAGTGGGGCCACATGGGCCGGCAGCAGGACGAACCTGGCTGGCGTTGGTTTTCATGCCCAGTTGACACGAGTGTGAGCCAGGCTTGAGCAGGCGGCACACAGGCCTCTGTGACTTCCACTTCCCAAACAGAACCAGCACCTCCACCTGGCAGCTCGGCCTCCCTGCCACCGTCCCTGACACTACGGAGGTCTCCCAGGCTGCCTCTGGGCTGTCGGTCCTGCCAGGGCACCTGTGACCACACCGGCACGAGGCACTGGTGGAACCTGCGGACGACCCTCCTCTCTCGTTTCTGCTTCTACAGAACTAAGCTTGAAGAAGCCCTTTCGCTGCAGTAACGGAAATACTCTCCTGTGTTTCCTTCTACAGCCATTTTGTTTTTTAAAAAGGTTCAAGTAGTCAACCTGTTGGGAATGTGTTCCAGCGAATGAGGGGTGGGAGACCCTGACCCGTTTTGCCCAAGGACAGCAGCTGTCTCTGCGTCCCCGGAAGTCCCCCTGGTCCCTGCTGAGGTGAGACGCTGCCGCTGTCCCACACGGAATCCCCATCCCAAGCTGGGTTCTAGACTATATTCCAGTCCTCCAATCTGCTGTCTGTCCTTCTCTGGCTACTGAGACTTCCATTGTGGCCGCTGGGGAGCCCAGTTATCCCAGCGGCGAGTGACCTGCCCGCCCTGCCTGCCCCACACCCATTCTGATGGCAAAAAAAATGTGTAAAAATGTCTGAAGGCACACCATGCATGCCTCATTGAAAACACCAGGATGCAGAAGTGGGTGGAGTGTGTACAAACACAGTATGCATGTGCACACAACACACATGGATGCCCGACACACGAACACTCAGCCCAACGGCACACACGCACACAGGGCTGCACACGCGTGCCCACGTCCCCGTTTCACACACGCACACACGGCTGCACACGCGTGCCCACATCCCCGTTTCACACACGCACACACGGCTGCACACGCGTGCCCACGTCCCCGTTTCACACACGCACACACGGCTGCACACGCGTGCCCATGTCCCCGTTTCACGCCCAGAGAGGGGAGAGGAGCAGAAACACTCTGGTGTGCACGGCGTCCTCAGCCGCAGGGCCTGTGGGGTCCTGTCCACACGCTCCTGCACCCCCTGGGGCTCCCCAGACAACAGCTTCTCCCCCAGCCACTCGTGCAGCACGGGGACTCAGGTGCTGCACCCTGTCCCACCCCCGCTTTCTGTGTCTTTCCCCTCCCTGTGCCCCGGGGCTCCCTGGCAGGAGGAATCCTGTGCAGTGCCCTCCCCAAGGAGCTGCTCAAGTGGACATGGGAGGTTTTCCAGAATTCAAATAAGGGGCTGAGGCCAGATGATGACATCCGGCTGGGAAAGACAGTGTGTGGCTTTTGGGTGTAAGATGGTCAAGGACACCTCTCCCTGGCTGCTGGGCCAGGCCCGAAGCCATCTCTGGCCCTGTGTGCTCCGAGAGGGGCCAGGGCAGCGGCACTCACCGTACTCCTCTCCCCGCAGGATTTCGGGGGCGATGTAATTCGGGGTTCCGCAGAAAGTGCTCGTTGTGTCACCAGGGCCCAGGCCTTCCTGTGGGGGCAAAGTTACTGGGAGAGGGTTCTTGTAGACACTACCCCGCGGGACAGGCGCCCCGAGACGCACATGCGGGATGGTCAGGGGAGGCGGTCCAAGGCACGCACCTTGCACATGCCGTAGTCTGTGAGCTTGATGTGCCCGTCCGCATCCAGGAGGACGTTGTCCAGCTTCAGGTCCCTGTAGATGATCCCCCTCTCGTGCAGGAAGTTGAGGGCGATGCAGATCTCGGCCGCGTAGAACCTGGGGGTGGGGATGCCGTCATGGGGGCAGTGCCTGTGCCAGAGGCTGCGCCAACAGCTCCAGCCTGGGGGCCACACACTCCCGTTTGCCCCACCACGGGCCCGGCATCCTCTCAATGACCAGGCCCAGGATTTGAAAGTGCAGTGCACAGGGCCAGGGAGGGAAATGCCAATGAAAGCTCCAGGACACCACCCCATGCGCCTTAGGATGGCCTGCTGTCAAAGACACAGAGAACGATGTGGCAGCCTCCACAAGGGGAGGAGCGGGCAAATAACACGACAGCTTCCATGCGGGAAAGACCGGAGCCATGGCACGTTGTGGTAGGAGTGCAGAACAGCGCCGCTGCTGCGGAAGACAGTCCGGCAGGTCCTCGAAAATTAAACACGGTGCCAGGCTTGGTGGCTCACACCTGTAATCCCAGCACTTCGGGAGGTCGAGGCAGGCAGATCACCTGAGGTCAGGAATTCAAGACCAGCCTGGGCAACATGGCGAAACTCCGTCTCTACTAAAAATACAAAAAAATTAGCCGGGTATGGTGGCGCACACCTGTAGTCCCAGCTACTCTGGGGGCTGAGGCAGGAGAATCACTTGAACCTGGGAGGCAGAGGCTGCAGTGAGCTGAGATCCCACCACTGCATTCCAGCCTGGGTGACAGAGCGAGACTCCATCAAAAAAAAAAAAAAATTAAATATGACCTTTTTTTTTTTTTTTTTGAGACAGAGTTTCACTCTGTCACCCAGGCTGGAGTGCAATGGCGCGATCTTGGCTCACTGTAAGCTCTGCCCACAGGTTCACGCCATTCTCCTGCCTCAGCCTCCCGAGTAGCTAGGACTACAGGCGCCCGCCACCACACCTGGATAATTTTTTGTATTTTTAGTAGAGACAGGGTTTCACTGTGTTATTTCACCGTGTTAGCCAGGATGGTCTCGATCTCCTGACCTCGTGATCCGCCCGCCTTGGCCTCTCAAAGTGCTGGGATTACAGGCGTGAGCCACCACGCCCGGCCTAAATATGGAATTCTTATGTGGTTAGCAATTCAGTTTCTGGGTGTATACCCCAAAGAACCGGAAGCAGGGTGTTCAAGAGATTACTTCACACCCATGTTCACAGCAGCACTGTTCACCATGGCCAACATGTGGATGCCACTCAAGTGCCCCCCGAGGGATGGACGGATAAGCAAAGTGTGGCCCCTCCATCCAACGGGGCATTATCCAGCCTGAAAAAGGAAGGCAATTCTGAGACAGGCCACAGCACGGATGAATCTTGAGGACGCTATGCTCAGGAAAATGAGCCACCGAAGGACCAACACTGTGATTCCACTCCGATGAGGTCCCTAGAGTCCTCGAATCAGAGGGACAGAAAGTGGGACGTGCCCGTCTGGGGTGAGGATGTGAGGCTGGGGCGGGGGACAGGGAGGGAGTGTCTGATGGGCCAAGCTTCAGCAGGGAAGAGGGGCGTGCTCTGGAGATGAGACGGGGGCCAGCAGTGGCTGCAAAGCATGGGGTGCATTCAACGCCACTGAATTCCATGCCCCAAAATGCTACCTTTTATGTTGTGTGTTGCCACAGTTTTTAAAAACAGCGTTGTGGGAAGTGTACTGTTCTAGATTTATTGCCTACTGTCCTATTGCCAGAAACAATCTAAGGTGACTCACAAAACTGCATGCAACGTTCTTAAGTAAGGAAATGAGGAAAAGGAGAAACTACAAAAGACAGGAAAGGTCCAGGGAGCTGAAATAAGCCCCCAAACGGTCCTGGAGGTCCCGCGGCTGCCGGGGGAGGCTCCTGAACCATGCTGGAGGCCCCTCGGCTGCCAGGGGAGGCCCGAAGATATCAGAGATGAAAGGGAAGGGCAGGAAGGAGTCTCTCAGGTCACTCTAGAAACAGACCACTCTCGTTCTGCTCCTAACGCTGAGGAAATGCTGGCCATGCTGTGCCACTAACAGGGTGAAGAGCAGAACCAGGGCAGAGCCACCATGAAGACAGCACAATCCCAGGAGACTCTCACTTCTCTCGGATGAGGCATGGTGCTGCTTCAGGGGTGGGGCCTGGGGGACTGGTCTGAGGCACCATAACTCAGGAGACCTCCCAAATGTTGTGACTCTGGAGCAAATATGGAATGTGTCACAATGCAGGGGACGTCACACTGTGGGGGACATGATGCCCTCTGCCATCCTACCTGGACTTCCCTCCCTTGAGCTCCCTGCTGACCCCTGGAGAAGGTCCCCGGCCCCCTCCACGTGCACCCCGCCCCCCCCGCCCCCGTCATACCCCCTCCGTGCACACCCCACCCAGCCACCTCCCCTCTGCGCACACCCACCCGGCCCCCCAACTCCGCGCGCACCCACCCGTCATCCCTCTGTGCGCACCCACCCAGCCCCCCAACACCGCACGCACCCACCCATCCCCAACTCCGGGCGCACCCACCCGGCCCCGTCCACGCGCACCCACCTGGCGTGCTCCTCAGGGAGCTTCCTCTGCCTCTGCATGTGGAACATCAGGTCCCCGCCGTTGACGTACTCAATGACCAGGAACAACCTGCAGGGAGAGAGGCGCCGGAGGCTGCAGTCACCTCGGCAGACGGCGGCCTCCTTAGACAGAAGCCCCACAGAAGCGGCCTTCGTGGGCCCGAACCCTCCCGCAGGTTCAGTCTTGCAAAGAGCAAAGAGCAGCAGGAGCACCCTGGCAGCAGAGAGGGGCTGGTGGGGACGGGCTGCGGGGCCGCTCGTGAAGGGTGCAGGTGAGGGAGTCATGCGGGGGCCTCGCCGGCCTTCACTCTTGGCCACTGTGTGTGGACTTGGGAAGTGTGGGTGGGCCCCGGAATGAAGGAGGTGGCCCGTCACCAGGTGGGAGTGGAGGTGGCTTGGACCAGGGCTGGGGGCTGGGACAGGATCTGCTGGGGGCTGGAGCGAGGCAGTTTCTTGCATGGGGACAGCACCGCAGGTCACGGGTGGGGTGGCCTCAAGGCCTGATTTCATTGCTGCAAGGCTGAGGAGTCCACCGGCCCTCCAAGGGAACAAGCTGGGGTCAGGGAGAAGCCAGGTGGGAAGTGGCATCCCGGTTTCGCAGACATGATCGTATGATTTTAAAAGATCCGCAGATGTCATCAGGACCACGCAGGCCCTTCCCGTCTCAGGGACTGGGCCACATGGTTTCTCTTCCTAATAAGATCTTTTCCTACATTTCATGAGACTCAATTTTCAAAATTAAATTCTCATACAATCTCCCAGAAATACCCTGTGGCGGGTTTTTTTAGGTCAGCGGCTCCTCTGGCACCTGAATTGTTTATTTGCTTCCGACTGGTGGCTGCTCCTGGCTGCCCCTCGTGGAGCGGGGAGTGAAGGAGGGAAGCGTGTGGTGACTCTGCCCGTTTCCTTCGATCCCACGCAAGCTCCCACACCACCGCCACTGTTACGCCTCAAGGCACCTGTCCCTGCTCCTGCCCTCCACAAGCTCCCAGAATTAAGCCAGAGAGGACAGAGGCCAGTTTACACAGGGCAGGTGAACTGGCTGCAAATCATCTGTGAAGTTTCTGATTGGAAACAAACTCCTAAAAATCGAAAGAGCCCTGGGCCCCAAGTGAGGAGCTGGAGAGACGTCCACGTGGCCAGTCGGGCACCCTGAAGAATAAGCCGTGCCTTTGGGGAGCGGCTGGGGAAGGCTCGTTCCTCGGCTTTTGTTGTCTCCCCTGCCTCCAACGGATGTGCCTGGAAATTCTCTGGTAACCTGGCCCTTGTCCTTGGGGACTCGCTGGTCCACTGCTCCCTGTTTTGTAAATAAAGTTTTATTGGAACGAGGCTATGCTCACTGGTGCATCTATTTTCTATGTCTGCTTTCCAGCCACCGTGGCAGAGGGAGTTGCTAACAGAGACCCTGTGGCCGCAAAGCCAAAAATGTCTACTCTTGGGCCCTTCAAGAAAAAGTTTGCCAATCCCCGGTATAAACAAAATAGCAATGACAGAAAGAGCAGCTCTGAGGGTGCCCTCGATGTGCAGGAACGTCCTCAGTGCACCCGTGGAGGGACTCGTTCAGTAACGTCAACCCCACGGAACGAAGCTCCATGAAGGCCTCCAACCCCTGGAGGACACCCACGACCTAAGAGTCGGTCAGAAAACGTTAAGAAAGAATTTATTCAAAACCCTTAGAGTGCCTGGGCGTGGTGGCTCACGAGGCCTGTAATCCCAGCATTCTGGGAGGCCAAGGCAAGCAGATCACCTGAGGTCAGGAGTTCGAGACCATCCTGGCCAACATGGTGAAACCTCATCTCTACTAAAGATACAAAAATGACCCAGGGCTGGTGGTGTGCACCTGTAATCTCAGCTACTCGGGAGGCTGAGGGCAGGAGAATCGCCTGAACCCAGGAGGCACAGGCTGCAGTGAGCTGAGATTGCGCCACTGCACTCCAGCCTGGGCGACAGAGCAAGACTCTGTCTCAAAGAATAAAATAAAAATACAAAAAACCACAAAAACCCTTAGGGTGACTTCACCGCACATTTTTTGCCACCAGGAGTTACACGCCCCAATGGGTGCTGGTCCCTTCCACCTGTCCCCCCGAGAGGAGCCACGTTCACCCCAACAGTGCTGCTGCGGCGCCTGGGAAGGGCCTCCACGGCCTCTGTGGGTTCATCCTAACTTTAAGCTATCACGGCCCATAGGACGGGGACAAAGCCAATGCCATTTCCAGAGAAAATAAAGAAATACATGAATTCTAGAGAAAAGCATCAATACAATGCCTCAGGAGGCTGAGAGAATTTGGGGGACATTTAAACACTTAGAGAGGTAGAGGCGGAGGCCGCTTCCCCTTCTTCTCCAGAGAAAAGCCAATCACGGGAACTGTGCTGAAAGCCAGTTCTCTCTGCCCAAGGCCTAGGACCCAGGCAGCTTGCTGAGGAAGGAATTTATTTAATTTGCAACTGCTCAAGCTGCAATGATGGTGGGGTTTTTTTGTCTACAGAAAAACCTTAATGCTACTTTTGACATTTCTTCAGAGCAAAAACCCACCAGGACAATCTGGTGTCAATTCACTCTAAGGCGACTCTGCGTGACACAAGCTGAGCTGGCTGCTGACAAGATGCCTGGGACCATGGCTGAGCATGCTCCGAGCCCACTCCTCTCCTCACGCTGGTGGTGTGCACCTGTAATCCACATGGGCTCGGCCCACTTGGGTGCCCCACAGGCGCTGTCCTGCATAGAGGCTCTCAGGCAGGGGCGCAAGGCCAGGCCAGGGGCGTGTGTGGCTTCACCCGTAGCCCCTCAGTGACACACACAGTCCTGACCCCAAGGGATGCTGGGAAGCACAGCCTGGGGGTGGGGGTGGGGGGCTGAAGGTGCCCCTCCATGTCCTGGTAGCCACACTCGCCATGTCGTGGCCTGGGGGGGGCTGAGGCTGCCCCTCCGTGTCCTGGTAGCCACACTCGCCATGTCGTGGCCTGGGGGAGGGGGCTGAGGCTGCCCCTCCGTGTCCTGGTAGCCACACTCGCCATGTTGTGGCCTGGAGGCGCTGGGGATGCCCCTCCCTGCTCCCTGTCCTGGCATTAACGCTCCTCTCATGTTTGCAAGGGGAGAGGAGCAAGCAGAGCCCAGATGGGAGGCGGGAGGCGGGAGTCATGAGACACGTGCCCTCGGGGCTGTTTTTCTGAGACAAGATCTCACTCTGTCACTCAGGCTGGAGTGCAGTGGTGTGATCATGGCTCACTGCAGCCTCGACCTCCCAGGCTCAGGCAATCCTCCGGCTTCAGCCTCCCGAGGAGCTGGGACCACATGCTTGCACCACCACCGCCAGCTAATTTTTAAATTTTTTGTAGAGAAAGGGTCTCGAGATATTTCCCAGGCTGGTCTTGAACCCCTGGCCTCAAGTGATCCTCCGGCCTCAGCCTCCCAAAGGGCTGGGATTACAGGTGTGAGCCACTGCACATGCCTGTCCATGATACTTAATCAAATACACAAACGTGAAGAACGCCAGCAAAAATGGATTCATCAACAACCAAAGACAAAGTGCAGCTCTCAGGAACCAGGCGAGACGCAGACCGCAGCCGGATCCAGTCCCTGACCCTGCCCTGGAACCGGCACCATCCAACAGACATGGGAAATGGAGGGACAGTGGCCGCAGGGGGATGCTGGAAGCTCACGAAACCTCCTAGGGGGCGGCCGGGGGCTGAGGGAAGCTCACAAAACCTCCTAGGAGGTGGGCCCTGTCCTTGGTGCCGCCCCCTCCTCGCCACTCCCCCCACCCCTTCCAGGAATGCAAGGTGCCCGGCTCAGAGGGAGGAACCACAGCCCTCTCCTGGAGGCACAGGAGACGCTGCCCTGAGAGTCAAGAATTAACCAGATGGGTCCGGGCGGGCCACCACCATGTGTGTACAGAAAGTTCTGGTGGAACACGGCCACACGCGTCCCTTCACGCAGTGTCTAAGGCTGCTTCTGTTTTAGAACGCATAGTTGCCACAGAGGCCGCATGGCCCACAAAGGTGGAAATATTTACTGCCTGACCCTTTAAGACAACCTTTGCTGACCGCTGGTGTGGCCCTCAGTAAGCGTCAGTCTCCAAGTCCCTCTGTGTTAACGCACTTGACCCCATCACCAGGAAGTAAGTTCAGCTCTCGCCATTTTACAGATGGGGAAGCCGAGGCACAGACAGGTTAGGGGACGTTCTCCGGCTCACACAGCTCCTGGCTTGTCAGACCCAACATCAGATGACTCGGGCGGGCCCAGAACCCTCACTTGGAAACCCCACTTCCAGGTCCTGTCCCCACCTCACAGCGGACATCACAGCGGTGACAGCACCGTCATTACAGGGCACGCTGGAAAATCAGATTCCTGACTCGGAGAGCAGGACGGACATTAAAGCTCTGAGGAAGACACCAGCAGATGAGGAAAGGCGGTAAAGCTGAATCCACAGAAGGATTTTACTTCGTCCAAAGAAATCTACTGGTGGGGATGCTGGCAGGCCTCGGATTTCTCCATCAAAGATAAAAGGCCAGAAAGTGCCCAGGAAATGCACTCGAGCACTGGAGGGCAGTGTGTCCCAGCGACAATGGGGCTCACGTGCAAAGGCAAACACGGGTGTCCTCAACATGAAAGGACGCATGGGAGGCAGCCCCTCACCTTCCTGGAGCCAGGAGACACGGCCTGGGGTGAAGTTGAGCAGAGGAGAAGGCAAGGCAGGGTGCAGCCGTGGGACTGGGTGAGAACACCCAGCCTCGGCAGGGTAAAGCTCACAACATCACGAAAGCCAGGGCGGAGCGAGGCAGCTGCCCTCCACGACACCCAAGGCCCGGCAATCGCACAGGGATCCCGCCAAGAGGTAATAACGCAATTTAGAATGTTCCCGGGAATTGAAAAATTAGGAAAATTTAAAAATCCAATGAAGCTTGCACAAGAAAGGGAAGCTAGAGATCAGACGCCAGAGTGTGCAGGGAACGCTCATGGTTTTAGGCTGCCTCGGCATCCATTCTGGATCTAAGCTGGACTTTCTCCCACCAGAAGCAGGGCTGTCGCCCTGACAGTTTCCAGTTCCACATCCCCCATTCCTCGAGCTGGCCCATCCAGACACCCACCCTATGCAACTGCCCCCTGGTGACTTCCCTGCAGCCCCACTGATACCACACCCAACATGGACTGTGCAGCCACACTGCAGAGTCCCCCGACAGTCACAGTGTGGCCCCACGGAGCTCAGGCCTGCTTGCTTTAAGTCCATCAGTTAAAACTTCCCATGGGAAACCTGTGTGCAGAACACCCTGGACCCAATAAAGGGTCCCTGTCTCTCTTTACGCTCCCTGGCCTCCCAGCAGGTTGTGTACCCCCAAGGCCTGTGGGTGACAAAAGGTGTGTTTCCATCCTGTGTCTCCCTTGATCACTGGAGCAGTAGCTCTGTGTCCTGAAGATTCTAAACTAAAACAATATGAATATCAACCAAAAAAAATCCTAAATAAAATATCAGCAAATTGAATTCAGAAGCACATTAACAGAGTAGCACACTAAGACAGGGCACGGTTTTCCCCAGGAATCTAAGGATGGTTCAATACCAGCAGCTACATTACGATGACACCATTCATTCCAGGAGGCCCTAAGGAGTAAAAATCGTAACAATGATCTCCACAAATGGCAAGGAGGCCCCTGCACAACTTGCAGTGTTCTTCTTTTTTTTTTCTTTTTTTTGAGATGGAGTCTCGCTCTCTCGCCCAGGTTGGAGTGCAGTGGTGCAATCTCCGTTCACTGCAAGCTCCGCCTCCCGGGTTCACGCCATTCTCCTGCCTCAGCCTCCCAAGTAGCTGAGACTACAGGCACCCACCACCACACCTGGCTAATTTTTTTTTTTTTTTGTATTTTTAGTAGAGACGGGGCTTCACTGTGTTAGCGAGGATGGTCTTGATCTCCTGACCTCGTGATCTACCCGCCTCGGCCTCCCAGAGTGCTGGGATTACAGGCGTGAGCCACCGCACCCGGCCTCAGTGTTTTTTCTTGATAGCAAAACAGAAATGGGTGGAAAGTCCCTTAATAGGACAAGTCACACCTCTGCATGCAGTTATCGGTCATCTTCTCTCAGCTTCACGCTGCTGCTCAGCCTTTCTAGAACCTTCTCCCAGTGGCTGGGGGCTGAGAGGCTGTATGTATCATTGCCAGGGCCTTTGCCAGCAGGTGTCCTCAGAGACCAGATGATGGGCCCAGGAACTGGGAGGGTCCGTTCCCGTCTCCAACAGCTCAGGCAGGGACAGCTCCTCTGTGGGCTCCAGAACCCAGTTCCACGGCTGCAGGCAGAGCCCCTGTCTCTCCTCTCCCCTGTGGCCCTCCCAACACCCTTTGCACATGCCAGGGCAAATGCTGCCTGCCCGAGATGGGTAAATGCTTCCGTTCTGCCTTGAGGATGGCACTGCGCTTCCGGTGCAAAGTGTTCCAGCTGGGGTCAGGAATAGGACAGGGCCGTCCAGTGTCAACGTCACCCCAGTGAGGCAGGTGCTGGCCACTGTCACCAGAGAGGAAGATGAACAGAGACGGCACGACCTGGTTGCAGCGGCTGAGGTGGGTGATGCTGCCCCACCTGCAGATGCTAACCCTGTGCATCCAAAGCCCCAGAAAACCACCTGAAAGTTACTACAAGGAAGAACTCAGAAGCCATGAAAGTTACTACAAGGAAGAGAACTCAGAAGCCATGAAAGTTACTACAAGGAAGAGAACTCAGAAGCCATGGGGCCCACAGTTACCACGCAGAGACCAAGCTGCCTGCTGCTGGATGCTCTGAGAGAAGAAAAAATACCTCGTTTATAACAGAAACGAGATGAAACACTCAAGACAAAATTAAACAAGGAAGTGGCCAGGCACCGTGGCTCACGCCTGAAATGCCAGCACTCTGGGAAGCTGAGGTGGGAGAATCGTTTGAGCCCAGGAGTTTGAGACCAGATTGGGCAACATAGCAAGACCCCCATCTGTAAAAATAATAATAATAATAATTAGACAAGGAAGTGAAGAAAACCACATGAAGACTTCAAGAGTCTCCTGAAAGAGGATGTGAGTGAATGAAAAGGTAAACCGGGTTCCTGAATGGGAAGATCCAACACTTAGAAGGATGTCAATTTCGCCCCAGGTAATGTGTGAACTTAACAAATCCCAATGAAAATGCCAGTTTCGGGCCAGGCCCAGTGGCTTACACCTGTAATCCCAGCACTTTGGGAGGCCCAGGCAGGTGGATCACTTGAGGTTGGGAGTTTGAGACCAGCCTGGCCAACAGGGTGAAACCCCGTCTCTACTAAAACTACAAAGATTAGCTGGGTGTGGTGGCAGGGGCCTGTATTCCCAGCTACTCGGGGGGTTGAGGCATGAGAATTCCTCGAACCCAGGGGGCGGAGGTTGCAGTGAGCCAAGATTGCGCCACTGCACTCCGGCCTGGGTGACAGAGCAAGACCCCTTCTCAAAGAAAAGAAAAGAAAATCCCAGTTTCTTTTTCTTTCTGGAGGCAGACGGGTTGATTATAAAGTCCACATGGAAAAATAAACAAGAGAAAAGGAAAAACGAGGCAAAACTGTCTGGATGGTGACGCTGGTTAGTCAAGGGTCTTTGGAGTGCGGACGAAGGTTCTTTCCTGCACGTTAAAATGGGATACAAGTTTATAAAGAGGCTCTTGTTTTATGTGGTCTCTGTCGTTATCTAGTAGTTAAGCAGCAAAGGCACAATTTCAGGACCGGTCCTGAAAGTTCCTTCAACTAAGGAGACTCCAGGTGGCTCCAGGGCTGCCACCCCTATCCCTGCTCATCCTGGGAACCATGCAGGGCGCAGTGGCATGGGACGTTCGGGTCTGGATGGAGAAGGGGAGATGCCATGACCTCATCTCTGCTCACTACTAGCAAAATCATCTCCAAGCCTGCAGTGGAGGTCCCCCGGTCCTAACGTGACCCCGAATGGCAATGACACCTGCCCCCTGACCTGTTCTAAGAGCGGCCAGTGCCTCCCGATTAGAACTACAGACAACGCATCCCTTTCTCCCGTGTTCTGCACAGTCCTGTGTGGCCTGTGACACCACATCAGGAAACAGCAGGGCCCCCTGTACACTGCAGGTGTGTCCCAAAGCCCATGTCCTGGGGGTCCCCGAGGGCCCCTCACTGCCCAGGGCTCTGGGAGGATGCATGCGCAGCTGTCCGCAGTGTTCCCGAAGAGTGCAGGACGCCCTCGCAATGCAAAAGGCAAACCAAGCCCCTGGCTCCTGCCAGGCCCCTGATGCTGGGAAGAGCCCCTTCTCCCGTGCACAGCCTTGTGGGGGCCACAGGCCCAAGCGTCCTGCTCCGGAAGTGCTAGGGTTTAGGGTGGCACTTTTACCATTTTAGGCAACCCCGATGAAAAGTGAGCAAATCAGGGGGCCGCTGAGCCGTCACCGTGTGTCGGCAGAACAAAGGCTGAGGCGGCTGCGCCCACGCTGGGCCCTACGGGTGTCAGTCAGGATCTCTCCTTCTGTTCTGAGCTCCCATGACTCCAGCACACGGATGGGTTTTGAAAGGGAGGTGACTCATGTTCCCCAAGAAGAGGCACCTGCCCTTCCCAAGGTCGCGGCCGAGGCTGTCCTTGCTGTGGCACCCACTGAGCCCTTCCCTCTACTGCCTCCACCCCGACGGCGGCGCCTCCTCCTGCAGCCCTGAGGAGGCAGCACCCCAGGGTCAGACCCCGTCACACCCTCACCTCTTTCTCACACACCCACAACCACAATCACCCCCGGCGGGGCGGGGCGTCTCCATCCCAGGCCACAGCACCCCCGAGTCCTCCACGTCCAGGCTGGCTCCGCTCTGTGCCTGTCTGGCCAGCACTGCCCTGACTTCTGCGAACCGGGGTGACTCCCCCACATGGGGACAGGCCCCTCCTCCCCACCCCCTAAGGCTTCCCTCCAGGCCATGACAGGCCCAGCAGGTCCCTCTGGCTTCTGCGGCCCAGATCCTACTCCTCACACGAGTGCCTGCCCAACACCAGCACTGCACTGAGAATCCCTGGGGCCTCCGCATCCCAGGGCCTCTTGGCCAAGTCCAGCTTCGAAAGCCCCTGGCACCTTCAGGCCTGGTTCTCTTCTGTCCCTGACACACACCATTGCCCTCGTCCTTCCCACAGGCCTGTCCCCCATGAGCCCCTCCTACGTGACCCAACCCTTGCCTGCCCCCCTCTCCACGGAGTCCCACTCTGCTCCCTGCGGACCCTCCCCGGGTGCCACGCCTCCTGACGCTGGTGACCAGTTCCAGGGACGTCACTCTCTGCTGTTAGTAAAGCTGTCTCCCTCTCCAGAGCTTCGGGCAGGTTTCAAAGCATAACTGACACACACACACACACACACACACACACACACACGCACACTGCTGGGTGAAGTGCTTTTCATGTCTAGAAGTCAGTTTGACCAAGAAGAGCTTACTCAAGTGTCTCAGTCAGTGCACGGCCTGAGAAGCGCTTCCACAGATAAGCAAAGGTGTGTGTTTGTTCTTTTTAAAGAAACATTGAGTGTGAATGAATGTAAAATAATCAACCGTGGCAAACAGTAAGAGATTTTATTTTAGAACAGCGAGTGAATGGGCGTATTTTAAGGGTAGTTTGCTCACCTACCATCTGAGATCACCGTGCCTTAGTGAGAAAGTGTCCTCCGACTCCAGTTGAATGGGGCGGGGGACGCTGAAAGTAGTCATTTCAGCTAAATCTCTAGTTACCTGGTTTTCCTGAAATAGCTTAAACTGAAGCGATTTCTCGTTTTGGAGACTTTATGGCTCATTTCAATTTTGGCTGCTGTCTGGAAAAGGTGGGCTGTCTGTGTAGATATGGGGTATGGTTTGTCCATAAAGCAGGTGCTTATTGTGTCTTAAAACTGCGAATGAATTGTTTCTCTCCATCTGGACACACGAGGTGAGACTAATGTTGAACTGTAACATTCAGGAATTCCCTGTAGCCGCCCAGTGGACACGAACATGGCCGGCCAGAAGAGGCAAGACCAGATTTGGGGTGGAAAGAAAGCAATTCTGATTCTTCCCCACTCACAGACCCTTTATGGGAACCAAACTTGTGTGGAAACCTCTGCAGTTTCATCGGCCAGGTTCCCCCTGGATATGGCCCGGGAGCTGTGAGGCCGCCCAGAGCGAAGGAGTGTCCTGTTCTGCGTGTTATTCACCTGGCCCTCAGCAAGGGGCCCACGCAAAACCTCAGCTGGATGTTCCAGCAGAACCAACGCACAAAGAGGAAGTCCTCATAAAGCCTGCAGTCACCTCCAGTGACCAGGGAGCAGAGGCGGCACAGCCGAGCACACCCACCTGGGCCAGGCCAGACTTTTCCGCCACCCGGACGCGTGGCCGCCTTGCCGATGTTGGCTTTGCTTCACGTGGGTGTCTGGTGCTGTGTGGTCAGTAAGAATTTGTGGGCAGTTTTCACAGCCCCCCAGCTATTGGACTAAGGCAGCTGCCGGTCCTCCCCCCAACCCGGAGCTCACCCCGTTTCTACTAAAAATACAAAAAATTAGCCAGGTGTAGTGGCAGGCGCCTGTAGTCCCAGCTACTCAGGAGGCTGAGGCAGGAGAATGGCGTGAACCAGGGAGGTGGAAGTTGCAGTGAGCCGAGATCGTGCCACTGCACTCCAGCCTGGGTGACAGAGCAAGACTCCGTCTCAAAAAAAAAAAAGGCAAAAAAATCAGACATGCATAGGAATTATTCCCAACTGTGAATGCCGAATGCTCCCACAGGACAGTGATTGGTGCCGCTGCGGGGATCCCACAGACACCCCACAGACGACAATTCTTTAAGTTCAGGTTTACGCATCTGGGAACTTGTGACTTGACAGAAGAGTCCAAAGACACAAGTGCAGAAGGGGCTGAGCTTTGGGCCACTCAGGGGAAGTGAGGGTGGGATATCGGACCCCTTATACATCTACATCCCTACAAGTTCACATATGAAGAAGAACCAAAGCAAAACAAAACCCTTCTTGGAACCTCACCATTTAGGAAGTGTGGGGGGCCGGGCTGCCTTCCCCTGGGCGTATTCCCAAATCGCAAGGGATGGCAGTCAGGGCGGAAAGAGGCCTGGAAAAGCGCAATGGGAATGCACAAAGGGAGGCATTGACTCACTCCGGGAAGCAGGGGAGCAGAAGGAAAGGGGACAGAGCCGTCAGGCGCAGGCGGTGCGGGCGAGGGCGCCACGCTGAAGCACACGATGGGGCACTGGGGCCTGGTCACCACAAGCCTCGTCCACACGCACAGGAAGCTTGGAATTTACCCCAGAAGCAACTGGGGAGGAGGAATCAGAGGAGCTTTGAGGCAGGAAAAAGACTTCAGATCTGTGTTTCTCAAATATGGCTCAGGCCCAACATGGGGAAGCCAACACTGGGGAGCCCTGGGGTCAGGTGGGGAGGGTGGGGGACCCTGAAACACACTTAGGAGGCGTAAGCAGCCAGAAAACAGGAACCCTTGACCAGGACGGCACCGCACGTAGAGCAGGTCGGGGAACGGCCGGGTCACGCCGGCTCTTCCGACAGACAGAGGTGGCTGCCAAGCACAGGCAAGAGCAGGACCCTGCGGTCAGGAGAGCCAAGAGTGCAGCGGAGGAGAGCAAGTCGCCAGATGTACAGCTAAGAACCGAGCAGCAGAGGGTTGCACCCAGGGCCTAGGACCGCTGTGCTTAGGAAGCCTGGCCCGCAAAGCTGGCCCGGAGCTGGGGCTGGGAACGTGAACTGCAAACAGTTCCCTACACGGATATAACATGCTTCTGCATGACCGCCAGGCAGAGTGGTGGACACCTGTAATCCCAGCACTTTGGGAGGCTGAGGCAGGAGCCCAGGAGTTTGAGACCAGCCTGGGGCGACAGAGCAAGACCCTATCTTTATTTAAAAAAAAAAAAAAAAAAACTCTGGAGGCGGGGCTCAGTCACTCATGCCTGTAATCCCAACACTTTGGGAGGCTGCAGAGGGCAGATGGCTTGAGGTCAGGAGTTCGAGACCCGCCTGGCCAACACAGAGTACTAAAAATACAAAAATTAGCCAGGTGTGGTGGCAGGTGCTTGTAATCCCAGCTACTCAGGAGGCTGAGGCAGGAGAATTGCTTGAACCCAGGAGGTGGTGACTGCAGTGAGCCAAGATGTTGCCACTGCACTCCAGCCTGGGTGATAGAGCGAGACTCCATCTCAAAAACAAGAAAAGCACATTAAAAAAAAAAAGCTTTGGAATAAGAGCTGCTTGCTGTGCCCAAACTGTGTGTGCCTGAACAGGATGCCTTATGCTCGTGATGGTGAATTCAACGGTCACCTTGACTGGGCACGGGACGCCCTAGTAGCTGGCTGTACATGACTTCCGGGCATGCCTGTTGAGGGGGCTTCTGGAAGAGTAAGCAGACGGCCCTCCCTGAAGTAGACTGGCATCATCCAGGCCCCTGGGGACGTGAAGAGAACAAGAAGGAGGAGGAAGGCTGCGTTTCCCTGACTACCGAGCTATCCACCTTCTGGCCCCCTTGCTCCTAGCTCTGAGGCCTTCAGACCCGGACTGGAAGCGACCCCATCAGCTCCTGGCTCTCAGGCCTTCAAGCTGTGCCACTGGCTCTCCTGGGCCTCCAGCCTGCAGATGGCGGATTATAGGATTTCTCAGCCTCCATAATCCCATGAACCAGTATCTTATAATAAATCTCTTTACACACACACACACACGTGCACACAACTGGTTCTGTTTCTCAGGAGAACCCTGACTAACGCAATGCTGAACACCTGCTCTCCACTGGGAGTCTGGAATTTTGGTTCGTGTGCAGCCTGCATGACCAGCCCTTGACAAAAACCATGAGTTGTCACAATTCATTGCTGGAGGAACTGGGAGAGGGCTCTTGGGAGCTTGTGACTGGTTTCTTCTGGAATTTTCCCCATGTGCCTTTTTCCTTGGCCAAGTCTCCTTTATCTCCCCAGTGCAGTATGCCAGCTGTGGCCCCCAGTGCGGCCATGATTGATCCCAGCAGTCCTCCTAGCCAATCATCGAACCTGGGGATGGTCTTGAGGACTCAATGCAGAACATACTTAATAACTCTTCAAATAAACAAATCAGGTAGGTCAAAGTCAACTGGCCCCCAAAATTTTAAACAGGGCATACATTTAATATCCTAGATCATCAGCTTTCAAATGTATTCAAAGCCACAGAATTCCAGTATATATAAAGCTTGAAGGTGAAGCTGTACATATTTTAATAAGCACAGAAATCCACCTCTTTTGCTTACTTTTGTAGCCCCAGCACCTGACCCAATGCCTGCACTCAGTGGGATACCTCCAGTAAGTATTTCGTAAATGGAATTAAATAACTTCAGATCATGAAATGTACTTAATATGACACCAACCAAGGAGAACAACAAAGAGAGTCTGCTGGCCTGAAAACACCCGTACAGCAACTGGGAGAACCTTACAGGTGACAGTTGACACATCACACCAGACTTAGCTTCTGTGCAGTTCACATCTGAAATCTGCAGAATATCAGAAATACCCTTCTTTTTCTTACCGACTTGTCGTCTGGAAGCAGGAGTGTAATCCGACCAGGAAGGGGTTGCTGGATGCCTGCTCAAACACGTGCTTCTCTGTCTGTACCCAGTCAATATCCTGAAATAGAAACCAGGGAGTGGTAATGAGGCTCCCGAATGCTCCTCACAGGCATCCTGGGCAAGGGGGAGGCAAGGGAGGAGTCTCTTTCCTCCGCTTTCAGGAAGACAATGCAGACAGGAAAAGAAAACACCCATTAGGAACTGCATTACCACCATTGTCACCATCCACCCCACCTCTACCACCACCACCACCATCATCATCATTGTCACTGTCATCATCACCACCGTCACACCACTGTCACCATACACCCTACCCCCACCCCCCACTATCATCGTCACTGTCACCATTACCGTCATCATTGTCACCATCCCTCCCACCTCCACCCACCACCATCATTGTTGCTGTCACCATCACCTTCACCACCACTGTCATCATCACCGTCACTGTCATCATCACCACCACCGTCATCACCATCTGCATCATCACTGTCATCACCATCACCACCACCACCATCACCATTGGCACCATCTACCCCCACCACCATCACTGTCGCTGTTACCATCACCTTCATCACCACCGTCATCATCACCATCACCACCACCATCATCACCATCACAACCGTCACTGTCATCACCACTGCCATCATCACCGTCATCACCATCTCCATCATCACCACTGTCATCACCATCATCACCGTCATCACCACCATTGTCATCACCACTACCATCATCACTGTCATCACCACCATTGTCATCACCACTACCATCATCATCACCACCACCGTCATCCTCAATGTCATCACTACCACCACCATCACAGTCATCGCCATCACCATCATCACCGCCATCATCAACATCTTCATCACCACCACCACGTCATCACCACTACCTCACCATCATCACCATCATCACCATCATCGTCACCATCATTGTCACCATCATCATCACCATCATCTTCACCACGATCACCAAAGCTACCAGCTCTGGTTGTATGCTGGCCTCTGGTGGTATACTGGCCTCTGGCCTCCAGGCTTTGCCCTAACAGTTCCAGGAGGCAGGTATTATTATCTCCAGTTAGGACACAAGGAAATTGAGGTGGAGGGCTAAGCAGATTCCCCAAGGTCCCAGCGCTACCGAGTGATAAGCCCACACCCATCACCAGAGCACTAGCTTCAGCCATAGGACTGTCACCCTCCCAATTCATGCTGCAGTTCAGCAAAATGCTGCAAGGTCAAAGTCAACTTTAGAGTGACAAAGATCCAACAGCTTGGTCTCATCTTGACCCCAGAAAGTAGAGCTGGACGAAGTTCTCAAGCCTTCCTAGGTCAACCCCTTGTCTTCGGGGTTAGAAAAATGACAGTGAAAGAAATGCGTCAAAATAGGCTGGATCACAGGGGTGCGATTACTGCTCACTGCAGCCTCGACCTCTGGAGCTCCAGCGATCCTCCCACCTCAGCCTCCAGAGGAGCTGGGACTACAGATACATGCCACACTTGGCAATTTTATTTTTTGTAGAGGCAGGGTCTTACTGTGTTGCCTGCCCCCACTCCCGGAAGTTTCGTGGAAACAAATCAACAAACCATTAGTGAGTATCTATTTAGCCTCTGAGACTGTGTCATTCCTCCTCAGCGCCCTCCTCCTCCTCGAGGCTTGGTCCTCGGCCACCCTCCCTTCTCTTCGGAGGCAGATCCAATGGAGTGGCTTCGAGTCTCATCTTTCCACGCCGAGAGCTCCCAGCCCGGCCTCTCCCTGAGCTGCAGACCTGCCCCCCGACGGCTGCTCAACATGTGCACCCGGGTATCTCACGCCACCCCAGGCCACAAGCCGAGCTCCTCGCCAGCCCGCATCTCCTCCCATCTCCAGTGGCTGAAGACCTAGTGGGTCGGCGGTGACTCCTCCACCCCTCACCTGCCACCACCCGTCCCCCAGTGGCCCTCACCAGCAGCACCCACCCACTGTGGCCCCGCAGGGACGTCGGCGTTGGCATCATGACCCACATATCACTCAGCACCCAAACTGAGTGGAACCTCCTGGACACAGCACTGCTGAGTTCAAGGCCCTGCGTGGGGCTGGCGCTGCAGAATCGGTGGGAAGGGGCTTGCCAGTGACTCCTGGGGGAACAAGAGGCAAGCCTGGCCCCAGAGAGTGCAGTCTTTTTGTGGGGAGAAAGAAATTTCTAGAAACCATCCAAGCATTCAACAACTCCTGCAATCAGGCTCTTCTCGAAAGACAACCCCAGAGTCCCCACCTCGGCATCCCGGCCCACAGAGGATGATTTCAAGACAGAACAAAACCGCAGCAGCGACTCTTCCAAATGTCTTTTCTCAGGGTCCCGCAAACCTGCTCTCATACGTGGCATTAACTTTCCAGCTGACCGGGACGTGCTGCAAAGGGGGCTGGAATCCTCCTGTGCTGCCGCTGGCCAGCAGCGGGGCTGTCAGCAGGGCACCACACCTCTTGGGGCCTCTGTTCCTCGGCGCAGGGCATGGACGCTGCCACCCACTTTTGAGTTCTGCACCCAGGGATGAGGGGCCAGTTGGACAGCCTGTGCACTGCACAGACACGCCCTGCTGGGAGGTAGTAGAGGCTCAGCCCCAGCCCCAGCTCTGCCCTCCCAGCCCCGAGCATGGCTGGCGAGGAGGGACCCCCTCTGTGGCCCATCGGGGCTCGACGAGCAGCCAGTTGCCTTCTGTGCTAGCAGCACTTGGTGACAACAGCATTACTGCCACCCACACGTTGGCCTTTTATCTAATCCTGAGAGACGCAACCTGCATTCAGGAATGAAAGCAAAAGACCAAAAATACCAGAAGCCAACAGGTGCATGAAAGATGCTGAACACTGTCAGTCATCAGAGACATGGGAGTCAAAGCCACCACTGCACACCTGCCAGGATAGCGATCATCACAATCACACGCGTCACTGAGGACCTGCAGAAACAGGCCCGTGTGGTGTTGGCGGGGAGGTGAAACGGCGCGGCTGCGTGGGAAGCAGCCTGGCAGGTCCCCATCAGTTGAACAGAGAACTACCATGTGACCCAGCAACTGTACTGCTAGGTTTGCACTCAAAAGAACTGGAAATAGACTCAAACAGATTCTTGTACGCGAACCTTCACAGTGGCACCACTCACAACAGCCAAGGGTGGGAACACTATAATGCCCCTTGGCAGGTGCACGCACAAACGTGGGGCCTCCACTGGACAACGGAACATTACCCGGCCAGGCAGAGAGAGGAAGGCCTGAGCGAGCGGCCACATGGACGGACACTGGAGAAGCCAGACACCAAAAGCTCACACACAACTCCGTTCTGTCAAGCGTGCAGAAGACGGAAGTCCGCAGAGGAAGAAGGCAGATTGGAGGCCATGGGGCTGACGCAGAGCAGAAGCAGGGAGTGGGTATGGGGTCTCCTTTTGGGGTGAGGAAAATGTTCTGGAATCAGAGAGGTGATAGCTGCTCAACTCTGTATCTCAATATGCTAAAAGCCGCCTAACTGTACACTTTGTTTGCATATTTTATTATTTTTTAAAGACAGAGTCTCATTTGGTCGCCCAGACTGGAGTGCAGTAGCGTGATCTCGGCTCACTGCAATCTCCGCCTCCCTGGTTCAAGCGATTCTCCTGTCTCAGCCTCTGAGTAGCTGGGATTAGAGGTGTGCGCCACCACACCTGGCTAATTTTTGTATTTTTAGTAGAGTTGGGGTTTCACCATATTGTTCAGGCTGGTCTTGAACTCCTGACCTCAGGTAATCCACCTGTCTCAGCCTCCCAAAGTGCTGGGATTATAGGTGTGAGCCACCGCGCCCGGCCCTAACTGTACACTTTAAAATGGCAAATTCTATGTCATGTGTATTTTACTTTAATTAAAAGAAAAAGGTCTATGAAGTCAGAATTAAGATTTCAACAAACAGGCCAGGCATAGTGACTCATGCCTGTAATCCCAGCACTCTAGCAGGCTGAGGCGGGCAGAGTGCATGAGCGCAGGAATTCTAGACCAGCCTGGGCAATATAGTGGAACCCCGTCTCTACAAAAAACACAAAAAATAGCTGGGCATGGTGGTGCATGCCTGTAGTCCTGGTTCCTCTGGAGGCTGAGGCAAGAGGATCACCTCAGCCTAGCAGGAGGTGGAGGCTGCAGGAGGAGGTGGAGGCTGCAGGAGGTGAACCGTGATCATGCTCTGCCCTCCAGCCTGGGTAACAGAATGAGACACTGCCTCTACAAAAAATACAAAAATTATACAGCTGGGGGTGGTGGCTCATGCCTGTAGTCCCAACACTCCAGAGGCTGAAGTGGGAGGATCACCTGAGCTGGGGACTTTGAGGCTATAGTGGGCTGTGATCAAGCCACTCCAGTCTGGGTGACAGAGTAAGACCGTTTCCAAAAAAAAAGATTTCAACAAATAAACCATTGATCCTATAATCAACAAACTTCTCCCCTAGAAACAGCTGGTGTGGGAAGATCTGCTACACAGAGCCACGGCAGCTCAGCATGTACTGCAAAGCTGGGGCCTTGTGCAGGACGGAGCAGGGCAGTGCCTCTGGGCAGCTTCCTGTCCCACCCCATCACCCGTCCAGTTCAGCTCAACCCCAGAGATTTCCTAACAAGGGTGATGACATCCTAAAACTCAACCGCAGTCTGCTGGAAGGCAACGTATCAGTGGTTGGCCATACATGAGAAGGTTGCAGAGACCACGATACCCATCTTCACCTTTTCTAAGCTTAGACACGTGAGTGCTCTCGTGGTGGTCCCCTCACTGCCTGCAGTGTGCAGTGCACTAACAGCCGTACGGGCTTGCAGCCTGGGAGCAGGAGCTGCACTGTGCATCTTGGCTGTGGAGTTGGCTGTGCTGTTTGGGTTTGTGGAGTGCACACTGTGATGTTCACACAACAGTGCCATTACCTAACCAGGCACTTTCCAGAACACATCCTGGTCATTACACGATGCATGACTATTGATTTTGCACAAACTCCGTCAACGTGAGGCTAGGTCTCTCGTGCATGGATTAATTCCGCTAAAGCCCGGAGGAGGCCCCAGGGCAGCGCGTTCCCGGGCCCCCGGGCCCCATGAGAAGCGGCACCTACCTCGTCATCATGCACCAGCTCTTTCTTCACCACTTTCATGGCGTAAATTTGGTCATTCTTCTTCAACCGCACCAGGAGAACCTTGGCGTAGCTCCCGCGCCCGATGACTCTGATTAGGTCAAAGTCCTGCAGCCCAAGCCCCTGAGAGATTTTGATTCCATCCATCCCATCGATAACTGGCTTAAGGTCCTAGGGAGGGAGAACAAGACCCCAGAAAGTGAGAGGGGGGTTCCCGGGAGACTCAGAGGACCACGCATCACTCATGCGGTCCCAACAGAGACCTGCTCCTCAGAGCCCAGGGCCTCATGATTCGAGTCTCAGTTCTGCGTCCCACATATCCCACCCCCAAACTCCCATCTAAACTGGGGCATGAAAGGTAAGAATTTAAGGCTGTGTGCTTCTGAGGAAGGTGCTAGAAAGCTAGAAGCTGTTCGTTCCACAGACCATGGCTCTGGTCACAGCTGCAGGTGGGAGGGACCCCCAGGCCCTCAGCCCTATCAGTGGGGCTGAAGAGGTGGCCACAGGGACATGTGGCCCAGGGCCTGGGCCCATCCTTCCTGATCAGTGCCCTCCCTCAGGGGAAGGAAGGTAAAGCGAATGCAGCTAATGCCTGCCAAGAGCTCCCAAACCGGCAGGCACACATTATTAGAAATAATTATTAGAAATACCCAGGAGAAAGGCGCTCCGAGGAAGAACAGAAGCCTCTGCCTCCCGCAAGCTACACCTGGCAAGGAGGTCGGGGTGGAGGAGGCGGTTCCTTGGGAGGTGCTGTTCTGTGCGGCAAAATGGATTCTGCTTTTTTTTTTTTTTTTTTTTTGAGACGGAGTCTGGCTCTGTCGCCCAGGCTGGAGTGCAGTGGCACGATCTCGACTCACTACAAGCTCCACCTCCCGGGTTCACGCCATTCTCCTGCCTCAGCCTCCCCAGTAGCTGGGACTACAGGCGCCCGCCACCACGCCCAGCTTTTTTTTTTTTTGTATTTTTAGTAGAGACGGGGTTTCACCGTGTTAGCCAGGATGGTCTCCATCTCCTGACCTCGTGATCTGCCCGCCTCAGCTTCCCAAAGTGCTGGGATTACAGGCGTGAGCCACCGCGCCCAGCCGGATTCTGCTTTTTTTGAGACAGACTCTTCCTCTGTCGCCCAGGCTGGAGTGCAGTGGTGCGATCTCAGCTCACTGCAGCCTCCACCTCCCAGGCTCAGGCGATCCTCCCACCTCAGCCTCCCAAGCAGCTAGGACCACAGGCCCGTGCCACCATGCCCAGCTAATTATTTTGTATTTATTTTTGTAGGAACAGGGTCTCGCTATGCTGCCCAGGCTGTTCTCGAGCTCCTGGACTCAAGCGATGTGCGCAGCCTCCCAAAATGCTGGGATTGGAGGTGTGAGTCGCCGTGCTCAGCCTCAGATTCTGCTTTCTAAGTGCCCCGGCCTCCCTCCAGACACAGGATGGCCAGGAAGGAGCACGAGTTGTGAGGGTGACACTTGTTGGTGCTCTGGAAAGGAGTGGGCTTCGCTAGTGCAGTCCTTCCCTGGGTTTTACGAGCAGAGGCTGAGAACGCAGCAAGCTCTTCTGTTCCCTTCTCAGGGTTTATGGTGCAGAGCTGGCCACAGACGTGAGGCTCAGTTGAGCCTCTTGGCTCAAGTTGGGGAAGGACATGAAAGGGCTTCAGAGGGTTTGCCAGGATGGCCAAATGAGGCAACACAATTCGGAAGGCATGGTGCAGACACAACTTGATAAAAATTGCAGCTCAAAAGCCAGCCCCTGGGCCACTGTACCACCTGAATGGAGAGGATGTGGGGCACGGCTTCCCCCGCAGGGTGTGGTCCCCAGACCACCTGCGGGGACAGCTGCCTGCAGGTATTCATCAAGGACATGCCTGAAGTAAGACCCAAGAATAAGGACTTCCTTCTAGACATCCACACCCGTGAAGATTAGTTAGCAACACCCCGGACCATGTCTATTTCACATCTAGATTTCCGTGACTACCCCAGAGACAGGCTCACAGACTTTCCAGAGGACGTCGGAAATGGCAGCGAGCTGCTCCACACACTCACCTCCGAGTCGTCTTTAATGCTGTCATGCTTCCGGGATGAGGAAATGTAAGCAACTGGTGAGAGAGGGAGGAAGGAAGGGGCGTTACGGTGTGGTCAGGAACGCACTGGGAACACAGCGACCCTGTGGACCTTGCTCCTCTGCAGGGTGACGGTGAAGGGTGAATCCACACAGCAGCCATGTCTGATTCTAATTTAGAGTCTTCTGAAAATGCAGTTTCCTGGGCCCCACTCACACCTGCCGACTCTGACCATGGGACCTGGGGATGTACATTCGTGACATACGTCCCCAGGGGTCCATCTGCAAATAATTCGTCACCGGATTTTGGTGTCTAGTGAATGGGTGGGTAGGGGCAGGAGTGGATGTCTGGTGGATGGATGGAGGATGACTAGATGGGGGATGAATGGAGGCCTGGATAGAAGACGGATAGATGGAGAGGTCAGTGCACAATGGATGGATAGATGGAGAGGTCAGTGGACAATAGATGGATGGATAGATGGAGAGGTTAGTGGACAATAGATGGATGGATAGACGGAGAGGTCAGTGGACAATAGGTGGATAGATGGAGAGGTCAGTGGACAGTGGATGGACAGATGGAGAGGTCAGTGGACAATAGATGGATGGATAGATGGAGAGGTCAGTGGACAATAGATGGATAGATGGAGAGGTCAGTGGACAACAGATAGATGGATAGACGGAGAGGTCAGTGGACAACAGACGGAAAGATGGAGAGGTCAGTGGACAACAGACAGATGGGTGGACAGGTCAGTGGACAACAGACAGATGGATAGATGGAGACGTCAGTGGACAATAGATGGATGGATAGATGGAGAGGTCAGTAGACAATAGATGGATGGATAGATGGAGAGGTCAGTGGACAGTGGATGGATAGATGGAGAGGTCAGTGGACAATAGATGGATGGATAGATGGAGAGGTCAGTGGACAATAGATGGATAGATGGAGAGGTCAGTGGACAATAGATAGATGGATAGACGGAGAGGTCAGTGGACAACAGACGGAAAGATGGAGAGGTCAGTGGACTACAGACAGATGGGTGGACAGGTCAGTGGACAACAGATAGATGGACAGATGGAGACGTCAGTGGACAATAGATGGATGGATAGATGGAGAGGTCAGTGGACAATGGATGGATAGATGGAGAGGTCAGTGGACAGTGGATGGATAGATGGAGAGGTCAGTGGACAACAGACAGATGGGTGGACAGGTCAGTGGACAACAGATAGATGGACAGATGGAGACGTCAGTGGACAATAGATGGATGGATAGATGGAGAGGTCAGTGGACAATAGCTGGATAGATGGAAAGGTCAGTGGACAATAGACGGAAAGATGGAGAGGTCAGTGGACAACAGACAGATGGGTGGAGAGGTCAGTGGACAACAGATAGATGAACAGATGGAGACGTCAGTGGACAACAGATGTGTGGATAGATGGAGACGTCAGTGGACAAGATAGATGGATAGATGGAGAGGTCAGTGGACAACAGATAGATGGAAGGAGAGGTCAGTGAACAATAGATGGATAGATAGAGAGGTCAGTGGACAATAGATGGATAGATGGAGAGGTCAGTGGACAACAGATGGAAAGATGGAGAGGTCAGTGGACAACAGATAGATGGGTGGAGAGGTCAGTGGACAACAGACAGATGGATAGATGGAGACGTCAGTGGACAAAAGATGGATGGATAGATGGAGAGGTCAGTGGACAATAGACGGTTGGATGGAGAGGTCAGTGGACAATAGACGGATAGACGGAGAGGTCAGTGGACAATAGATGGATAGATGGAGAGGTCAGTGGACAATAGATACATGGATAGATGGAGAGGTCAGTGGACAACAGATGAACGAATGGAAGATAGCTGGAGGATGGGTGGGTGGAGGATGGCTGGCTGGCTGGCTGGATGACGAGATGGATGGATCGTGGATAGATGGATAGGTGGTGGATGGATGGAGAATGGGCGGGTGGAGGATGGCTGGTTGGCTGGATGAGGGCTGGTTGGTTGGCTAGGTGGGTGAATGGATGATGTACGGATGAATATCTGTATAGAGGATAGGTGGGTGGAGGAGCAGGTGGGCAGGCAGTTGTTTGTGAGGCATCTCTTTTGCGTGAGGCACTGTGTGAACTAAGTGCTTTATGTTCTGTGGTCTCATAAGTGCTTTATGTTCTGTGGTCTCCCAATGAGACAGAACTCACATGCATCAAGTGAAAGTGAGGCTCTCACACCCCCGTGCAGAGGTGCAGGTGTGGAGGCTCAAACCTGGGCTGTAAGTCCAACTGGTGTTTGAGATCTCTCTCTGAATGCTTCTTAGCAATAAAACAAGTCCTTCCCCACAACAAACAAAACCTCACAAAAATCCAAGGACCATGCCACTGCCACGCTGTGTGTGCAGCAGCCACCTCGCCAGGCTTTCCCCAGATAGGGCTCAGCTCTGTGCAGCAGCCAGATTGTGGGAGGTGCCCGGCCATGGTGGCTGCTGCACTAAGTGCCTTCGAGAACTCCCGGAGCTGGTTAGAGGAAGAGGCTCTGCACCCCTGGGCAACCACAACAGCACTTCACGGAGGCATCCCTGCCCAGCAGCCTCCAGGGAGGGCCAGCTCACCCTGCTCATCTCTGCCGGGGATTGAGAGGAGGCCCTGGAGAGCCTCATCCCCAGCCCCAGGGAAGGGTGGCCAGGCTTGAAGACAATGACCCCTGCAGAGCAGATGGGACTGAGAAAGGACTCGTGGCTAGAAGGCAGAGGTGAGCAGGGTGAGGTGATGCCCAGGCTCTACCCGGCCGGAAGAAAGCAGCGCCTACTTCCATCTGTCTCCTCGGAAGGAAGGTCGGCGTCCTCGTTCTTGTCGTCTACTGGAGGCTCTTGGGAAGGCATGACAGAATCCTGCCGGAGAGACACAGAGATGGCAGCATGACCAAGTGCTAGAGCAGGTGTTACAATGTAGCTTCTGTAAACACTTTGTGACTTTTTAAAATTAAGAACTTTTTTTTACAGACAGGGTCACAGTCTGTCATCATCCAGGCTGGAGAGCAGTGGCGCGATCACGGCTCACTGCAGCTTCAACCTCCTGAGCTCGAGCAATCCTCCCGCCTCAGCTTCCAGAGCAGCGGGCACTACAGGTGCGCACCACCATGCCTGGCTAATTTTTGTATTTTTTTTGTAGAGATGGGGTCTCACCATATTGCTCAGGCTGGTCTTGAACTCCTGGCCTCAAGTGATCTTCCCACCTTGGCCTCCCAAAGTGTTGGGATTACAGGTGTGAGCCTCTGCACCTGGCCACTTCAAGACTATTTATGATTTACATATTTACACATTACAATGGGTATACTGTAATATAGTATATAAAAATCTAATTGTTATGCTATTTTACTGAATTAGATAAAGAACATAAACATTACCTATGATTCTGCAGACGGAGGTGGCCACTCGGTACTGCAGGCCATGACCTTTCCACCAAGTGCTTTATACAACGGGATATTTTGCACAATGCTTGGTCATCTCCCCTGTCCCAAAGCTGCATCCTGTCAGTAACCAAGCATCAGGGGGCCATTCTAAGGGCCTCTGGGTTCCGCCTGCAGATATGTCATAATGGAGCCACCAGTACTGGTGGTCAGCTGGGTGGCAGGCTCTGGCCTCCCTCCGCCTCTAGCTGACCACATTTCTGGGGCCGGTCTCATTTGCTTACGCTAAAGTGGACCTATGAGGTCAAAGGGCATTACAGGCTTTTTGGCAGATGCAGCTGAAGGACCTCTGGAAGGACTGTGCCAACGCATGCACCAGCCTGCGTGGTCCCCCATCCCTGTGGCTGGTGATCCTGGGGTGACACCCTGATCCAGACTCTGTCTTTATCCCGTAACAGAGGAGAGGGCACGTCACTGCCACAGGCGCCTTTCCTCCCATGCCACAGCAAGATGCAGACAAGCCACCCTCCCCAGACACACCCACTGCACGCTGCAGCAGGGCCCAGGGAGTTGAATGTTCAGTCCAGGCCTCACCCCCGTGGTTCAGTGGGATGCAGGGGGCCACACGGAAATGCCAGAGGCAGCCTTCAATAAGCAAAAGTCAATAAGGCCCCCAAAGGCCTGGATGCTTCAAGTCCAAGCACTCGGGGATGGCGGAGGGAAGGTGCCGCCCTCATCACAGGCTGGGCATGGCTTCCCAGGGGGGATGCCAGGGAGAGGCTCCAGATGTTCGGAGCCTCAGCGTGCCCAATGCTACTAGGTCAGACCTGGCTTTCACCTCCACAGTCCTTAAGAGCTGGTTCAAGACTGGGGTATGAATGAACCTTACCTCCGACCCACTGAGCAGAGCGTACCACGTCCTACCTGAGCCTGCTGCCTGAGCCTCATGCCCCAATGAGCAGAGTGTGCCGGGGGCTTGTGGGGGCTCAGGAAGATGGGTCCTATCCAAGACTGCCGCCTGAGTCTCACGCTGCAGCCCAGAGCTAGGACGGCACCACGGCCCCTCTTGAAGAACCCAGGGTCACCAAGGTCTGCTTGGACAATGGGCTGGCTGCCACGCCCCGACCCCGCCCGTGCCCCCCGGGCCTCCCCAGCCCTGCCACTCACCATATGCTTCCTGCAGGTCAGCGGGACGAGGCCGTGGCAGCGCTTATGGACCAGCAGTTTGCAGTTGATGCACCTGTAGCCTTGCCTCGCGAGGCCCCATATCCTCTCGCTGCACTGACCGCAGTACGCTCTCTGCAGGTGGGAACAGAGCGTCAGGCCCAGGCCACACTGAGGGGCCAGCGGAGAGGACAGGCAGGGCCTTCCACACCTATACCTTCTCAAAAGAGGACACTGAGCCGGGCAACAGGTGGCCCCGGCACCTTGTCCCTTCCGGGCGCCAGGCTTGCCCAAGCTTGAGAGCCTCCTCTTGGGTCTATCCCAAGGTTGGGGGAACCAGTGGCCCCAAGGAGAGGCCTGGAACCCTGCTCTGCATGAGGGGACACAGGGGAGGTGCCATCGGGCAGGGGTGACGAGGTGCTGCTTCAGGCAAGGCCCCGTGGCTTGCAGGGGCTGGGGGGCTGCAGCTCCTGCTGCGCTCTGCGTAGAGCAGCCTGGGGTCCCGTCTAGGGCTAAGCAGAGTGTGTGGGGGTACCCCCTGCCTGACCTTCATTCAAACAGAACCTCCTCCTGACAGCCTCAGAGAAGGGGAACTCGGACTCATGAACATCTTGAACTGCTACATGGCAGCCTGCAATTATCTTAGTATTCTTTGTTCAGTATTTTTCAAGATTTTAAATGATCCTTCTTTATTCTTCATGGTTCTGAACAATTCCAAAATGATGGTAATTATCAGCTTGTTTGGCGATGTTTTCATGAACGTTTAAATGTTACAAAAGGCATGAGAATGAATGTTGTCGGGACCTGCTTGGACATTTTCTGCCTTGCCTAAGTGCCCAAAGTGTTCCTGGGAGTAAAGGGGTGCATCTGCACTGTCACCATGTGCCCAGAGCCTCCAATTCAGATTCTTTCCAGACACAGCCCTTTCATATGCTTTTCCCTCTTTTACCATTTTTCACAAATTTCCTTCCTATTACAGAGCTCACCTCACACCTGAGTTAAGACGAGGAAATATAGGCCGGGCGTGGTGGCTCACGCCTGTAATCCCAGCACTTGGGGAGGCCGAGGCGGGTGGATCAGGAGGTCAGGAGATTGAGACCATCCTGGCTAACACGGTGAAACCCCGTCTCTACTACAAAATACAAAAAATTAGCCAGGTGTGGTGGCGGGCACCTGTAGTCCCAGGTACTCGGGAGGCTGAGGCAGGAGAATGGCGTGAACCCCGGAGGCGGAGCTTGCAGTGAGCCGAGATTGCGTCACTGCACTCCAGCCTGGGCGACAGAGTGAGACTCCATCTCAAAAAAAAAAAAAAAAAAAAAGAAGAGGAAATACAGTGTACTGTGAACCGCCTGCACTGAATTCACGTGAGGAAACGGGACTGAAGAGAAAATACAGCACTGAGTTCACGTGAGGAACCGGGACCCTCAGCACATGTGGGCATCAGGTGCGGCTGAGCAAAGGGGGTCCAGACCCTCTACGGGACTCTCCTGCTCATCAGAAGAGCCTGCTCGGGACGTCAGGGCCCGGGGACCCTCCCCCCGCCCACACAGCCCACTTGTTTGGGTGGGGCCGGATGACCAGCACCTAGGACAGTGCCCAGCACACAGTGGGCATCGGGTAAGAAAACACACATGCATCATCGCTTTCAACTTCGTCACAGGAAAAAGGAGCCGACTCCACATCCTCTGCACATGCTACCTACATCAGCCCAGCCATGACAGAGCCACACCAGGACCGTGGGCTCTATTCGAAGGAGGGATGGGTGAGAGGGGGCATCCCACCCAAGACCTCTGATTCCGGGCCAATCTAGCTTAATGCCGGCATTGGGAGTTTTGCCCCAGTCGGCACCTGCTGGATGTGTGGACCCTGGATTGAAAGGAGGCGCTTCGGCTGCTGGATGTGTGGACCCTGGATTGAAAGGAGGCGCTTCGGCTGCTAGATGCCTGGACCCTGGATTGAAAGGAGGGCGCTTCGGCTGCTGGATGTGTGGACCCTGGATTGAAAGGAGGCGCTTCGGCTGCTGGATGCCTGGACCCTAGAGTGAAAGGAGGCGCTTCGGCTGCTGGATGTGTGGACCCTGGATTGAAAGGAGGCGCTTCGGCTGCTGGATGTGTGGACCCTGGAGTGAAAGGAGGCGCTTCGGCTGCTGGATGTGTGGACCCTGGAGTGAAAGGAGGCGCTTCGGCTGCTGGATGTGTGGACCCTGGAGAGAAAGGAGGCGCTTCGGCTGTTGGATGTGTGGACCCTGGAGTGAAAGGAGGCGCTTCGGCTGCTGGATGTGTGGACCCTGGATTGAAAGGAGGCGCTTCGGCTGCTGGATGTGTGGACCCTGGAGTGAAAAGAGGCGCTTCGGCTGCTGGATGTGTGGACCCTGGAGTGAAAGGAGGCGCTTCGGCTGCTGGATGTGTGGACCCTGGAGTGAAAGGAGGCGCTTCGGCTGCTGGATGCCTGGACCCTGGAGTGAAAGGAGGCACTTTGGCTGTGCAGACCTGCTCCATTCTCCTCCGCGTCCACAGCGCAGAAGAACACCAGCTTCCATTTCTAAAACCATTATTTAAAAGTCAAGTTCTTTTGGTATAATGTGCCTAATGTGTTTGGCTTTCTCTAGGTCACCATTTAACATCTTACTCTGCAACACTACGGTCCTAGTTAAGACCAAATTCACAGCCACCAGGTATCTTTACAAATTAACCAAGATTGGCCAGGCGCAGTGGCTCATGCCTGTAATCCCAGCACTTTGGGAGGCCAAGGCGGGCGGATCACTTGCGGTCAGGAGTTCGAGATCAGCCTGACCAACATGGAGAAACCCCATCTCCACTAAAAGTACAAAAATTAGCTGGGCGTGGTGGCGCACATCTGTAATCCCAGCTACTCGGGAGGCTGAAGCAGGAGAATCACTTGAACCCAGGAGGCAGAGGTTGCAGTGAGTCAAGATCACGCCACTGCACTCCAGCCTGGGCAACAGAGTGAGACTGTGTCTCAAAAAAAAAAAAAAAAAAGAAAAAGAAAAACAAACAAACAAACAAAAAACAAATTGACCAAGGTTCCTTTCCGTGGGGAGCCACCCTTACCTGGGGTCAGGCCAGGACATCTGCTGACAAGGGCAGTGTGAATCTGCCAAGGGTTGGCACCCACCACAGAGACCTCACGTGTGTGCTTTGTAAGTGAGGCTGCCCAAGCTCTGTCAAAAGCTCTTGTTTCAAATCTATATTTGAATAGTAACATTTCAGGAAATGTGACATTAAAAAAATAAAACCTAAACCCCAAGTTTCCATTCTCAGAAACTCAGAGGAATTCATAGATTAATGGGTAAAAACGTTTTAAGTACGTCTTACATGCTGCCAACTTGTTCCTTGCTCATATTCCCTCCCTCCGACAGCCTCGCGCCTCGCTCTGTTCCCCAGGCTGGAGTGCAGTGGTACGATCTTGGCTCACTGCAGCCTCCGCCTCCTGGGTTCAAGCGATTCTCCTGTCTCAGCCTCCTGAGTAGCTGGGATTATAGGCACCTGCCACCACGTCCGGCTGATTTTTTATTTTTAGTAGAGACAAAGTTTCGCCATGTTGGCCAGGCTCGTCTCGAACCCCTGACCTCAGGTGATCTGCCCGCTCCAGCCTCCCAAAGTGCTGGGATTACAGGTGTGAGCTACTGCACCTGGCCTCCCTGCTCACATTTTCTTTCTTTTTTTTTGAGACGGAGTCTCACTCTGTCACCCAAGCTGGAGTACAGTGGCATGTTCTCAGCTCACTGAAACCTCCAGCTCCCTGGTTCAAGCCATTCCCCTGCCTCAGCCTACCGAGTACCTGGGATTACAGGCACCCACCACCACGCCTGGCTAAATTTTTGTTGTATTTTTAGTAGAGACAGTGTTTCACTATGTTGACCAGGCTGGTCTCGAACTCCTGACCTCAGGCACTCCGCCTGCCTCGGCCTCCCAAAGTGCTGGGATTACATGCGTGAGCCACCGCGCCCGGCCTCCTGCTCATATTTTCAATCGCCCATTTTCATGTTTTAGACCTGTCACACCCTTACCTATTCTGATGGTTGGAGCCTCTGTCTGGGCTTTTACCAGCTTGGACTCAGGATATCCTGCTTCCCACTGTGTTTTGTGGTTTTCCATTGCGAGCTCAGATGCCTGATTTATTTATCATCAGGAATTCTTTGATGCTGGCTTGAAAAGGAATTGCATTGGCCTCTGCCAGCCACCTGAGGGCACTGCTTGGACCAAATCTGACAGGCACTGCTGCTCATGGATGGCATCTTCTGATCTCCCTTCCCCACCCTCACTCTCTATAGCCTCTTCTCCAGGGACCCAAGTGGTCACTCCTCTGTCCACTCATGATAAAGGCCAAAGTCTTGGGCCATCCACCCAGCTGTCCCTGCGGCACTTGTGCCCTATGTGCCACCAGCAGAGGGCTCTCCAGCAGCCACAGCTCAGAGACGTGGCCCTACCATGGTTTATACCCCACGTGGTGGAGTGGGTTGTTCACAGCAAAGGGAGTAGCTAACTCCAGACACGATTCCCACTCTTGCTTGTAAAAATAATGCTGAGCTGATCTTCCCCATACACAAACCTCCGAATGACGGGTGATTTCTTTTGAAGAGAGGCAGGATGGGAACATCGCTGCACATTTCTGCGTGATTTCCAGAGAGTAGGGTCCATGCCTGTCCCACATCCCCAGGGTTGGCAGACCCCATGACAGCAACCCTGGGCTTTAATTACTTTTTTGTTGTTTTGTTTTTGTTTTGTGTTGTTTTGAGACAGAGTCCTGCTCTGTCGCCCAGGCTGGAGTGCAGTGGTGCCATCTCGGCTCACTACAACCTCTGCCTCCCGGGTTCAAGCAATTCTCTGCCTCAGCCTCCCGAGTAGCTGGGATTAGAGGAACCCACCACCACGCCTGGCTACTTTTTTTGTATTTTTAGTAGACACGGGGTTTCACCAACTTGGCCAGGCTGGTCTTGAACTGCTGACCTCGTGATCCACCCACCTCGGCCTCCCAAAGTGCTGGAATTACAGGCGTGAGCCACCACGCCCGGCCGGCTTTAATTACTTTTAACATCTTTGATGTTGACAGAGAAAATGTCTTGTGTTTCCCTGATCACCTGTGGAGGTCATGCTGTCCTCATCTCTAAACAATTACAGTCTTACTTCATTAACCATTCACACCGGTTCTCAGCTTCTCGGTCCCAGCATTTACCAAAAGCCTTTGTGTAGGAGCTCTTCAATTCTAAGTGTGAGATGTCTGGATCTCTTCTGGGTTTTACGTGCTACAAACCCCTTTCCTGTATGTTTTTTGCATTTAATTTGGAAACTGAAAAAATCTGAAAATTCTGTGTGGCTGAGTCTAAAGACCCTCTGGTCCTCACTGCCCGGTTTTTCTCCAGAGATCTGCACAGCTTCTAGGTTTCTTCTTTTTATTTATTTGAGACGGAGTCTCACTCTGTCGCCCAGTGGCACAATCTCAGCTCACCGCAACCCCCGCCTCCTGGGTTCAAGTGATTCTCCTGCCTCAGACTCCTGAGTAGCTGGGATTACAGGCACGTGCCACCACGCCTGGCTAATTTTTGTATTTTTAGTACAGATGGGTTTCACCATGTTGGCCAGATGGATCTTGAACTCCTGGCCTCAAGCGATCACCCATCTCGGCCTCCCAAAGTGCTGGGATTACAGGCGTGAGCCACTGCGCCGGGCCCTGTGATTTTTTTTTAACCTCAATCCACCTGCCGTTTACTGTGATGGGAGCCAGCAGCCTGGATTCCTACCCACCTCACCCCCCATTCCTGGGCTGATAATTAACCAATCACCTCCTCAGGATTTACTGGAGGATCCCTTCCCTCCTCTGCAAGAAGTGCTCAGCCCTGGGCCAGCTCTGACCCAGCAGTTCTGTTCCACTGAGTGGGCTTCCCTGCCACCCCCGGCACCATCCTTCATGGAGGAGGCAGCCCCTCCTCACCTCCTTCTTCAGAACCTCGCTGGCTCTCTCCCTTTGGCTCCCCCACTGAACGCTTCCTTCTCAAAGTCCAAGGGCAGTGCTTTCAAGTGCACAGAAAGAGCTGGGCGGGGAGCCCAGTCCCCAGCGACGGATGCCCACTCTTTCATCCTCGCTTCACCAACAAAGAGGACGGAAAAGTCTCTCTTCTCCTGGGTGCTTGTTCCCCTTTAAGTCTTACTGATTCACACAAAACCAAGTGCTTTCCTCCTGAAATGCCCCTTTTAAGTGACAGCAGAGGTGATCTGAGTGGTCCTGCAATTAACATGAAGTGAGCACTACATGGAGCGGCTCTGAGGTCCGGACAGAGAACGTTACGAGCAGGTGGCGAGATCAGAGCCCGGGCACAATTAGGCGGGAATCGGACAGGCTGAACTGCAGGGCAGCCGCCCTCCCTGAGCAGTCAGGTTGCAGGCTTTCGGGCCACTCTCGCCTTGGCCTCTGTGTTTGTGAAACTGGCTCGTTCACACGCCCAGAAGGGCTGTACCTCCACAGCAGAGCGGGGCTGTGGTGGGTCCACCTGCCACCCTTTCCTCCAGTGTCTGCAGGAAGGAAAGGAAAAGCTTTTGCTCACTGGTGGTGGTGGGGAGGGGGAGGGTCACTTATGGTCTGCACCTGCCATCGGCAGAATGGACTTTTCTCCTCAAAGCTGCACAGTGAGAGGCCACACCCTGTGCTGCCCGGAGCCCTGGCCCATGTCACTGGGTGGGTAGGGTTCACTCTGGGCTAATCCGTCATGCAGAATGACAGAAGAGACAGATACAGAGGAGGCCATGTGGAGACGGAAACAGAGGTGAGTGGTTCCTCTGCCAGCACAGGAACAAGGCTGCCCGCAGCTACCAGTGGCTGCGGGGGAAGGAGGGCGCAGCCCTGCGGCACTGTAATGGGTCACACCAGGCGCCGACTTGACTGGGTTGAAGGATGCCTAGAGAACTGGTGAAGTATTGCATCTGGGTGTGTCTATGAGGGCGCTGCCCTGAGACTGGTATTTGAGTCAGTGGACTGGGAGGGCAAGACCCACCCTCAATGTGGGTGGGCGGTGGCGTCCAATCAGCTGCCAGTGCGGCTGGGGCAAAGCAGGCGGAAGCAGGTGGGAGAAGCAGTTTTCCTGGGTCTTCTGGCTTTCATCTTTCTCCCATGCTGGATGCTTCCTGCCACTCGTCCTACCCTGGGACATCAGATTCCAGGTTCTTGGGCCTTTAGACTCCGGGACTTATTAGTGGTTTGCCGGGGGCTCTGGAGCCTCTGGCAGAGGCTGAAGGCTGCACTGTCGGCTTCCCTGCTTCTGAGGCTTTTGGACTCGGAGTGAGCCACTGCTGGCTTCTTTCTTCCCCAGCCTGCAGCTGGCCTATCGTAAGACTTCGTCTTGTGCGCCCGAGGGCCAGTTCTCCCTAATCAACTCCCTTTCATGTACATGCATCCCATTGGTACCATCCCTCTGGAGAACCCTGACTCATAAAGACACCTTCGTTTTGGACTTCCAGCCCCAGACTGCCGGAGAGCAAGTTTCCATTGTTTAAGCTGCCAGTTAGTGGTGCTGTGTTCTGCAGCCCCAGAAGACTCACAACGTGTGTCCTCAGAAAAGGCGGCCAGGGTGGGCTGGGGTGCGGACGGGATCTCTGTGCTGCAACACTCCCTGGCACCATACTCCACAGATATTCCCAATGTGGCCACCTCCAGCCACACTCTCCTGAGTCCCAGCCTGAGCCAAACTGCCTGTTCACCCACACCCACCTGCCCTAAGCACACAGCCGCCTAGGCTCCCCATTTCCTGGTGTCCCCAACCTCGTCCTCAGGGCCTCCCAGACACTGGCTGGACTCTCCCGTGCCTGCCACATCCTCGGTGCTCCTGGCATCTCCTCTGCACTGACCTCCCAGGCAGTATGATCAGATGCCTCCTCCTCCAGGAAGTCCTCTGGGCTCTCCAGGCAATGTCCAGGTCTTCCTAGTGCTGACCTGCTCATCTCCTGGAGCCTAGTTCCCACCACACCCCTCTTCAGTCACTCAGGAGCTTGTCCTGCATCCTCACCTGTGTTAGCCCCAAGAGGAATGGGAGTCCAGACCCACTCTTGCCACATGACAGGGACCGAGCACACGCAGGGGCAGGAGGAGTGGCTCACATGAACAGAACTTCCTGATGGTCTAGAGGGCAGACCATGGGAGTAGAAGGAGGGGCAGGTGACTTGAGGCCGCTCCAGGAGACAGAGGTGCCGTACACCCAGCGGAGGTTGACACGTGAGGCCACGTGGCAGGTGAGTGTGGAATGCAAAGGTAGCCCCAGGGCCACCGCTCCTGTGAGGGGCTGTCAGGGGCTCTGTGTGGAGTCCCGCAGTGGGGACAGGCCCTGTATACTTCCACGCACCCCCAAGACACTCCCTGTGTGGGACCAACTCCAGGGCCACCAAGGCACACCCAGACACCTCCCCTTCCACTGTGAAACAGAACAATTACAAAAGCATCTGAATCACCCATTTCATAGGAACTAGAAAAGCATCATAAAGAGAAACAAGGAAAATAAGCTAAGTGTCCTCTGGAAAGGGCCCCCGTGGGTGGCCGCTGGGAAGACAGAGGCCCAAGCAGGGATGGGGCTGAAGGAGCTTCCAGGGTTCACGGAGACTCTTAGCTACTAGGCAACACTGTGTGCGGCTGAAAACACACACCCTGGCGCTACATGCGGATGGAATGCGGCCGCCCCACTCTGGATGCAGGCAGGCTGGGGCCTCAGGCCAGTGAGCCCTGAGCCCTGATAAGAGTCACACAGCCAGGCAGACACAGACAGCATTCACTGGGCAGCCACCACGCAGGGAAAGGCCCGGAGGGCACTTCCCGCCTCAGACAGCCCTAGTCAAAGCCTCATCCTGCACCAGAGAAAGCATTTCTGTAACCTTGCCCTCGGGCGCCAAAAAGAGCCCAGCCTGGGCTCAGCGGGACGTGCCTCCCCTCCTCTCTCTTTGCTTTTAAAAGTAACAAAAGGCCCCTTGAGGGACTAGTCCCAAGGGGGCCACTCACCCTGTTAAAGCGCTTGGCTTGGAAGAGGTGGCCGTTGGCACGGTACAGCTTCCTCCATCTTCTGGCTCCCCGGCGGTAGATAGATTCTGGAAAGGATATGAGAAAGGTGTAAAGAAACAGCGTGGCAGCCACGAGCCCACGCAGGGTGCAGCTGCGACAGGCCACTCCCGTCCAGGTGGTGGCGGCCGCAGCGTCCTCCCAGGCAGGGAAGGCAGGGCTGGAATGACGGCCTCCCGGAGGCCTCTCTCTGCCCCTCCTCACATGATCCTCATGGTGTCACGGCCTCGGCGGCTGGAGACAGAGGCCCAGGTGTGGATGGAGCCAGGTGTCCTCGCAGGGCGGACAGGATCCACCACGGGACGGCCGCTTGCTGACAGTGGAGCCGTGAAGTCACCCCAGGCCAACGCAGGCCGGGTCCGTCTGTCCCCTGCCTGTTTTCCTTTCCACCCCCCTCCTCCCCAGGCAGCCCTGTGAAAAACAGGCCTTTTTTTCCGCACAGGGATAGTTCAAACGGGCCTCAATATTTACACATGACTGTCAGAGGAGGAAGAGTGGACGCCACAGTGGAGCCTGGGCCAGGCTAAGGTGCAGAGCGCCACTGACTTCACTTCAACAACTCGCCAGACGCAAGCGGCGCGAGGCCCCGGGCTCTCCAGTCGAGTTTCCTTTAACCTAATAAATCTCAGGGCAGGAGAGCCAAACCGACCGTGCACCCGTTTCCATTCGCAAGTTACCAAAAACATCATCTTTATAACATGCATTTGACAGTCCAGCCCATGCGGACTGTGCCTCTTATGAGAAAGGCGGCACCAAGCCTGTAACCAGACGGCTGGTCTTGTCCTTCCTCAACACCGTGTCCCACTTTGCTCCTCCAAAACTCTTTGAAACGGATGTGTGTGTAAACAGAATCTTCAGAAACGGAACGTACAATGGGAAGCTTTGTGCTTTTATAAAATTCCATCATAAAAGCGACTTTCATGAACCAAATGAAAGTGCCACAAATATACTGAAGTGGAAATTGTAACGGAATGTTTTTAAAACAAGCAAATGACTAGCCCTGACTGGAAACTGCTGAAATCAGGCCACACGGATGGTAAAACCTGCTCCTCTTCCTTTAAATGGAAGATTCAGAGCGAAACCAAGAAGTCAGGGGTCCTCCAGGAGCGCAGGTCAAAGAGGCCTCACGGCAGCGGGCGGCTCAGCCCACCCAGCCCTCCCAGGATGCGGCTTGGGGTTTGACAGAGGCCTGGTGACACCAAAGGCCCCTCCGGCCACAGACGCGACTCCCAGCAAGCCCGAGGCCAGGCTGGGGTCGTGCAGCCTGTGCCCCCTCCACACTCCACCCACCTGGGCGCCAGGCCTGGGCTCCACAAGAGGCGCAGACCCCCAGGGGCGGCCACACTTTCGGCCCCTGTGCCCCTCAGCCCTGAGGGGGTCGGGTGACCCCTCATGTGGCTCTACCCACGAAGACAGGGCGCATCCTGCCCTAACCAGCCTACGGCAGGTCCTGGCTCCAGGAGTCCGTAGGCCTGACTTGTCCCCTCGGGGGATGCTCTGCCTGCCCAACAACCCTCTCTGAAGAGAGAAAGAAAGAGAAGGGTGTGAAGCGGCGGAGACGGAGGTACTGTGGGCCACAGAGAAAGTGGCGCACAGCTGAGGGGCCGAGTCGAGGGACAGACGCGCAGCCGGGGGCGGAACCGAGGGACGGACGCACAGCCGGGGGCGGAGCCGAGGGATGAGCGCACAGCCGGGGGCGGAGTCAAAAATGGACGCACAGTGCGGGGCGGAGCCAAGGGACGGATGCACAGCTGGGGGGGGTGGAACCAAGGGGCGGGCGCACAGCTGGGGAGGGGGGTGGAACCAAGGGGCGGGCGCACAGCTGGGGGTAGAGCTGAGGGAAGGACGCACAGCTTGGGGACTGAGCTGAGGAACGGACGCGCAGCTGGGGGTGGAGCTGAGGGCCAGACGCACAGCCGAGGGGGCGGAGCCGAGGGAACCGACGAGCAACTGGGGGCGGAGCCGAGGGACGAACGTGCAGCTGCGGGCGGAGCCGCAGGGCGGTCACACAGCTGTGGGGCGGAGCCGAGGGACGGCCGCGCAGCTGGGGGGCGGAGCTGAGGGACTGACGCACAGCTGGGGGTCGAAGCTGGCTGGAGCGGGGACACACAGGACCCACCCCCAGTGCGCCTGGGAAACCCTGAAAATGCGCCAACTGGACATCCTTCGAGTTCAATCAGTAAAGAGAATGACGTCCTAGCAGACGCCAGGGCTCATCAGGGAGCCTCCAGCAGGGTGAACAAACTCTCCCACAGGACACAGCACACAGCCCGGCGTCCCCAGTCCCCGCCGGGACGAACTGAAGTGTCCCCTAAATTCACGTGGGGAGCCCTAACCCCCAATGTGGCTGTATTTGGAGATGGGGTCCCCACGCCTCCAGAACTTGAGAAAAGACGTTTCTGTCGTGTGTAAGTCACCCTGTCTGTGGGGTTCTGTCACAGCGGTCCAGGCGGGGGCTGACCCCGCTTCCCACCATACACACACTAGGCCCCTCAGAGACTAAGGGTGGAAACGTGGACAGCAAAGCGGCAAAACATTTTAGAAGGAATTACAGAAGATTTTAGTCACCGTGAGTCACCTGCACACATGAGAGACAAAGGGCCCGTGGCTAGGGATGCTGGACTGAAAAATCCATGAGGAAAAAGCAGTCAAAATAGGAACAGAAGCCCAGAGCAGGCGTCTCGCCCGAGAGAGACACAAGCATCTCAGCCCCGAGAACCATCGAAGCAACCCGCAAGGCCGCCCAGGCGTCTCCTACACTGCGGGGTCGGCACAAATCAATCCCCCGCAGCCCCAAACACCTTCGAGGCCCAGGAGTGCCCCGGAGAAATGGCTTATTCTCTGGGAGAGCCTCGCAGCTCAGAAACGAGGACCATTTGCTCCCCCTAGGGCCCGGCAGCCCCACTGCTGCTCCGTCAAAGCTCAGAAACGCTCGCTCCTGGGCTCGGGAGCATTCAAGATGTCTGATGACCTCAAGGTCTGTGGACAAGAGAATGCATAAATAAACCGATGTGTGGGCGTCCAACGGAAGACAGAGCCAGTGCGAAGCCCACCTCAGCCATGTGCAGTGGCCCAGAGGTGTCTTAGAAACACCAAAAATCAAACCCTAGGGTGACAGAAACATGGTGCCATTGCTATAGAACCAAACAAGTAAGTCAAAAAACAAACAAACAAACCCAATACTAGGCACGGTGGCTCCCGCCTGTAATCCCAGCACTTTGGGAGGCCGAGGCGGGCAGATCACAAGGTCAGGAGATCGAGACCATCCTGGCTAACACGGTGAAACCCCGTCTCTACTAAAAATACAAAAAATTAGTCGGGTGTGGTGGTGGGCGCCTGTAGTCCCAACTACTTGGGAGGCTGAGGCAGGAGAATGGCGTGAACCCGGGAGGTGGAGCTTGCAGTGAGCCGCGATCGCGCCACTGCACTCCAGCCTGGGCGACAGAGCGAGACTCTCTCAAAAACAAAAACAACATCTTGTTTTAGAATACACAGTCATGTGACAAAAATGTTCCAGTAAGCAAATAACCAATCCAATTTCAGGCCGCAGCAGTAACCAATCCAACTTCAGGCTAGCAGCGGCGGGGGACAGCCTGCAGTTGGGTGGGGCTTAAGTCCTGCCCCTGGCTGGCTGCCGGGGGCAGTGTCCATCGATTACCACGCTTTATATTGCCGAGTCCTGCGCTCCTAGCATGTGTCAAATGGTATGTTGAATAACAATGGAACTAAATGACCTGGCAGCACAGGGACAGAGAGGATAATTTCAAGCATTTCCCTCAGACCTGCCTCCTTCAAATATCCCATCTCACTTTTTAAACTTTAAGGGTTGGTTTTGAACTTTTATTAGGGAAGGGAGTTGCCCCAACCTGTGTTGCCCAGGCTGGTCTCCAACGCCTGACCTCAGGCGATATGCCCACTTCGGCCTCCCAAAGTGCTGAGATTACAGGTGTGAGCCACTGTGCCCGGCCTTCAAATCAGATTTTTAAAAAGGAACAAAGAGCTCTGAGCCTGCAAAGAAACTCCCAGGTGAGAAACCACTGGCATCCCTGCCTGCTCACGGGTGCCGCCTGGAGCTTGGCTTGAGGCAGGACACATGTGGCACCCGGCAGTCAGCTCCAGGCGCCACGGGGACAAATTTGCAAATACCAAAGGAAAATGAGTGAGAGGCGGGGATTCAAGTGACCCAAAGACCACAGAGGCGAGGCCACGCCCCACCCCACTGCAGTCCAGCTGGAAGGTCCGAGCCCATGATGGTGGCCCTCTTCTGGGAAGGCCAAGTGTGCTGGCACTGCTTGCGGGAGGGTCGAACTGTGTCAGGCGGGAGTACTGCTGTGTGTGGAGACCGAGTGTGTCAGGCGGGAGTACTGCTGTGTGGAGACTGAGTGTGGCTTAAGGGGATATGCGTGGATGCCAAGTGCCAAGGAAGGGCCTGCAATGGTTCACTGTATGTGTCCACGCGGCTGGGCCATGGTGCCCAGACGGCTGGTCAAATGTTATCCTGGATGTTTCCATGAGGGTGAGTATGGATGAGATAAACATTTAAATCAGCTGACTTTGGGGGAAGCAGACTGCCCACCACAATGCAGGTGGGCCTCACCCAAGCAGAAAAAGGCCTCCACAGAGCAAAGGCTGAGCTCCCTAAGCAGCAGTGCTGCGGCTGTGGCTCCTCCTAGGTCTCCAGCCTGCTGGGCCCCCTGTAGATTTTGGGCTTCATAAGTCTCTATGAACAAGCCAGTTCCTTACAATAGATCTTTCTATACACACACCCTATTGGTTTGGTCTCTCTGGAAAACCCTGGCACAGGGTCTCCGAGGTGGGAGTTTTGGGCAGGCATCATGTTTCCCATTTTCCTCGCCCTCCCAGCCCCCCATGCGGAGTCCCACGGGAAGGCACGCCAGGAGCCCCTGGCCCTGGGGACCCTGGTTGGGCAGGACACCCAATACCCCCAGCATCTGGGTCTTGCCTCAGTGAAATGGGGGAAGCCCCATGGGGTCCATGCCAGTCCCCAGCTGGAAAGCAGGGACCAGGTGAGTTATAAGGGATAACGGACAGCAGGGCAGCCTGTACTTAACAAATACACCTTTTGGCCAGGCGTGGCGGCTCATGCTTGTAACCCCACTACCTCGGTAGGTCGAGGCAGGTGGATCACTTGAGCCCAGGAATTTGAATCCAGCCTAGGCAATATGGTGAGACCCCGTCTCTATAAAAAAAATATAAAAAATGAGCCGAGTGTGGTGGCGTGCACCTATAGTCCCAGCTACTCGGGAGGCTGAGGTGGGAGGATCACCTGAGCCTGGCAGGTGGAGGCTGCACTGAGCAGAGATCACACCACTGTATTCCAGCCTGGGCAACAAAGCCAGACCCTGTCTCAAAAACAAAACAAAACAAACAAACAAAAAAACCCATCCTTTTTATTTGGGGGTAATTTCAGATTCACAGGGAAACTGCAAAGGCTGTGGAGAACCTGGTAACCAGAAGCCTCCCTGTGGCCAAGGCCCTGCCTGGTCCCTACTCGCCTATGGAGGCTGAGAGGAAGCCTGGTGCTAGAACCTCAACTCCAGCTGTAGGCAGGGCCGCCCTCAACTGTCTTTTTTAATAGACTATTTTTAAGAACAGCTTTAAATTGGAGAGTTCCCAGAGACCCCCCCTGCCTGGCTCCCCACAGCTCTCATCTTCCACCCGCCTGCTACACTGTTACAATTAATGAGACAGGATCCATGGCTACCTTAAGCGATATTCAGACCTTTCCTTGGTTTTCACCCACTGTCTGCGTCCGCCCCAGGGTCCTGTCCTGGAGCCCACGTGTCACCATCCTGCCTCTTCCAGGAGCCCACGTGTCACCGTCTTGCCTCTCGGGCCCTGCTGCACCGTGACTTTCTCAGACTTTCTGACCGTGCTTTCTGACCGTGACAGTTCTGAGTGCAGGCTGGGTGTCTGCAGGACGCCCCTCCGTTAGGACTGGCCTGATATTTTTCTCAAGGTGAGACTGCACTTAGGGCCTCCTTAGCTTCTGAATCAAAGGAGCACCTGCCTTGAAAAATCCACATTCCCACCTTTTCGGGGGATTCTGCAACTGCCAAAACAAACGGAAGCAACCACAAAAACCCCCCAAACCTTCGAACTTCAGGCAATTGACTAGAAGGTTCCCTCAGTGTAAGGGGCCTGGACACGCGGGCCGGCAGCCACTCTGCCTTTCTGGGCCCGCAGGCAGGGATGTTGGGGGGACCTGGCGGTCCCCACCCCTCAAAAGTCACAGTCGAATTTTCAGTGTTTGGGTTTCTGCTTGGAAAGCGATGGGCCTATTTCTGACCTAAGCGACAGACAGCGCTGTGAAAAGGAGAAGGGAGCCCTTCTGGGGAGTGTGCTCTGGAAACGGCCCCTGGCCCCCAGATACTACCGGCGAGGAGGCTGTGGGCCTGGCACCGCGAGTCCCCCGGCTACCTCTGTGGAACAGGGTCTCAAAGTCAAGCCCAGGTTAGCAGGAGGTCCTTCCGGGGGTACGTGTGGACACAGCCTGGGGTCTCCTGCAGTGGACAGCGCACAGTGGACGGTGCAGCCACACGGGTCAGGCTTTGGAGTCAGAGCTGGCTCGATGTCACGTGCCCATTGGGGACCCATCCTGCCACCTCCCTGGGTGCCAGGCTCTGCTGAAGCAAGCAGGGAACAAAATTGTGGGGATCACAGGGGCCGCTCCTCCTCTTTCAGCCTTAACTCCGACAACCTCAAGGAGCTCTGTGCGTGTCTTTGAGATTCTATAATTAGGACGGCCACAGGAATTCTAAGGAGCTCAGTTTCCATGGCAATCTCGCGCCTTGAGCACTCTGACAAGACGTAGAAAACACGTTTTAAAACACTAAACTCGGAGCAGCAGGCTGGGACAGGCGACAGCCCTTGGGTGCGGTGGCGGTGAGGGAGGGGCCGAGTCCCTGGCAGCAGGTCAGGGGGCACTTGAGGCCTCTCCTGTTCACTGGACATGGCCCCGCTACACAGGGTGACCAGCACAGCCCAAAGCAGTGCCACAGGACGGCCCTGCGGGGCCCGGATGGGTGCAAGGCAGTGGTCAAGCCACATGCAGATAGCCAGGTGCCTTCTATGGTGGCCCAGGTCAGTGACCAGGAGGACAAGGAGACAGTGAGGTGCCCTTGGGCCCAGAGGTCCCCAGAAGCCAGGGTGCAGCTGTCACTGAGGGTGCAGGTAAAATGGGTGCTGCCACCTCTAGACTCCGGAGCTTCTTCCCTGGGCAGCGATTTCCACTAGATTCTGAGCTCCAGGAGCCTGGGGCCACCTGGCTTCCTCTCCAGGCTTCCCCAGCACCCAGTTAGCTGCCAGCATGTCCTAGGCAAATAGAGACACAAGAACAGCAATGACCGCAAATTCGTGTCCAGAGCTAAGGTGTCCCAGGGCTGCCCGTGGCCCAGACACTGGAGTTTGGGGTTTGGGGTGGGACTCCCCACCTCACCTGACTCAGCCTGGTTGGCCATTGGTCCACAAACTGACCTGCACCCTCTATAGTGGGCACTGGGCCACCCTGGCCAGGGGCTGCCAGGGACAATGGAGAACACGAACGCAGAGTCCTAAAAAGCCACCGGGAGCCGCGGGAGACGCCGTTCGCCTATTTGCCTGGTGTGGAGCCCCTGAGCCTCGGCTACACCTGCACCAGAGCTCCCACTGCATTTCAGGCCAGAACGCTCCCAGCAGAGCTGTCTGAACAGAAGTCCTTCATTCCTTCTGCGCTGGATAGTGCCAGCCATGCAGGCACCGTTCCAGAGGCTGAGGGCAGTGGGAGGCGGGACGTGGGGCGGGACGGGCCCAGCCAGGACCAGAGGGTGAGAAGGCACAGGGAGGGGCGTCTGAGGATCTGGGGTGGCCGTGGGGCAGGGGCGGCGGTGGGGGGGGCAGTGGAGGTGCAGCCCCTCCATCTGAGGGACCTGCCCGGATCGCAAGCCTGCAACTCAAACTTCCCGTTTCTAACCACAGATCTATTTCCCAGCTGAACATGTGATTGAAAACATGCTATGCTTTTAAAGGTGACTGAAGAATAACACTAAAGTCACAGAAGACGACTTGGAAAAGGTTTTGGGCACCACTGTGGCGGGAAGCAGATGGTTGCCCGGGGCGCAGGGTCTGTTTTGGGGACTGGCAGCCACAGCCCAGGCTCCCACTGAGGCAACAACCTCCCCCTTCCCCACAGCTGCTTAGTGCAACCACACGGCACAGAAGAGCTCGAGAGACAGAAGAGGCACAGCCGAGGCGCCAGTCGGGCGAACAGGGAGCCAAGCTCTGCCGACTTCCGTCCTCTCACGTCTAGGCACGTGGGACACACGGACCCCCAGGAACAGGCAGAACCCGGCCCTGTGGGCACCGGGCCACACGGCGCAGCACAATGGGTATCAGGGTGTCAGTGATACGAAGGGACAGGCAGGTGGATAAGGGACCCAGGAGGGATGGGCGGCCGTGTCCCTGCCACAATGCAGTGGCATGGGGACTGCTCAGGTGTCCGCGGCCCTCGGGAAGGCAACCCCGGGTGAGGGGCAAGTGGCGAGCCTGGGCCAGTCTCACAGTCCAAGCCTCAGGTCCCCTCGTGGTGGAGCTGCGCAATGCCATTCCCCAACCACAGGCTGTGGCCGCTGCATCCAGCTGCCCTCATGGGTGGCTCTGATGCCCCAAGACCTTGGGCTTGTTCATCTGGGGTCTAAGCCAATCAAATGAGGGCATTTCCCAGTGACATCACGGGCCCAGGGCGGTCATGTGACTGAGACACGCAATCAGGCTGGAGGGGGGTGGGCATGGCAGGGTCGGCGGGGCAGGGTCCCCAGCCCAAGGCGGCTGGGGGGAGACAGGTAATGAGCTGGATTACCCACCAGCAGCACCCACCTCTGGACACGTGATGGGGGACCTGCCCATCACCTGCAGCCAAACAACCTGTGGGCGGCACCTGCCCCGACCACGACCCCAGCCGGGCAGCCCCTGCAGCCCAGGTCAGCAGACCAGCCCTCCAAGGCCACCAACACTGGCAGACTTTGGTTTTTGAGCTGAAAATTTAAAAAGTCTATAAAACAGAGCTTTGTTCACTGAAGAAAAGTTTCCCATTGAGGAAGCTGACAGGCCTTGGCATCCGGGTCTCTGGTGCCTGGTGCAGGCGGGGGGAGGAGACGTGACGGGAACACACTAGGTGGCAGTGCTGGATGCTGTGCTGAGAAGCCCCCGCAGGACCCCCAGGTGACGCTGCCCCAGGGCAGCCTTGGATAGAGCGATCGGGCGACAGCCTTCAGGACAGGGGCAACATCCTCGGGCCCTGGCATTCCCACCTGCGGGAATTCAGCTGCCCGACTCTCTCCCACAGTGGCCAATATGGACCCCCGGGACAGGAACCGTGCTCCATGGAAAGGAAGGGAAGTGCTGCATGTTGGCGAGAGGCAGCCGGGCGGCTCCTTCCAGGGCGCAAATCCCCGCATGGACGTGAGGAGGCCGTGGCTAGGATGCGTGGGCCCCCAAGGGACAGCCTCTGCGGCATGGACTGCTGGAGGGACCCTGAGCAAATCTGATTGGGAAACCTGGCGCTGCCCTCCGCCCACACTCCAGCCTCCTTCGAATAATCAGACTCACCTGCCATGGAATGCGGATGGAAAGCGGGAGGCACCACAGGGTCTCAGTCTTTTCTTGGGTTCCCTGGGAGCATGTCAGGGGCCACGGGGACCCACAGTCACTCCACGTCTTGCAGCCAGCCCAGGGCCCCACGCCTCCCTCCTCAGGGGAGCAGGGGTGGGACAAGGGCCAAAGCCTCCAGTTCCCAAGAAGCCAGGCCCCCCAGGATGTCCTCCGCCCCACCGTCCTCAAATGCTGCTGTCAGCAGCCGTTCAGGAAAGTGCCCCTGAGAGATGTTTGGGAAGGAATTACATTCCAACAGTCTGGCCTTACAATCAGTTCTACTGAAAATATCCTAATTTGTTGTAATACAAAATCAAGATTTTATGAAATGACTGAGAGGCTGACCAGTATTTTCATAGTTTCCGTGGAAAGATGTACGCCAACTTCCAAGCAGTCAGTTGCAAATAAATTCATACCAAATACCGCTCCTTTCTATGTAAGAAATTTTTTTTCTGGATTCACTAAAACAAACAAAACACATCAACACCAACAACAAGAAGCTGCTCCGAGTTCCTCACTGCTGAGCTCCGTGTCCCCCACCCTCAAACAGACCCAAAGGCCCAGGCTGGAGGCAGAGATTGCCCAGCGCCCGGCACAGAGCCAGGCTGGCAAGGCCCCTGGGAGGACGTGCGGCTGAGTCACAATAACTCAGAACCAGGAACTGAGCTGCGAGGGGACACAGCGCTGAGGATGTGGCCAGGGACGCCACGCGAGGAGTCTAACCCTCCTCCCACGAACAATCGACGAAAGCTGGAAAATAAGTAAAAACCGCGTTGGAGGCATCCGAGACCAGACAAGTGCGTCAGAAGAGAAGGTGTTGCCAGAGAGATGCGCCACCCAAGCCCTGCACATGCACGGCGTCTGCTGACCCTTCGGAGGTCACACAGAAAGCCGGGCCAGGCATCTCACTGGAGACAAAAACTGGGGTTCAGGGCCACCAGGACAATCAAGACCTATGGAACTGTCTCCGTCGGCTCAGCCACCACAGCAAAATACCACAGACTGGGCGGCTTAAGTGACAGGCATTGACTTTCTCATGTTTCCGAGGCTGGAGTCAGGATGACGGAACCTGCAGGGCGGGGTATCTCCTTGCTTGCTGGCGGCCTCATGCTCACCATGTTCTCATGTGGAGCAGAGAGCACAGGCGCAGCACAACCTCTCTTGTGTCTCATCCTCTCATCCTATAAAGGGCACAAATCCCACCACAAGGGTTCTACCCTGTGACCCTAACCACCACCGTGACCCTAACCACCGCCGTGACCCTAACCGCCGCCGTGACCCTAACCACCGCCGTGACCCTAACCACCACCGTGACCCTAACCACCACCGTGACCCTAACTACCACCGTGACGCTAACTACAGCCGTGACCCTAACTACCGCCATGACCCTAACCACCACCGTGACCCTAACCACCACCGTGACGCTAACTACAGCCGTGACCCTAACTACAGCCGTGACCCTAACCACCGCCGTGACCCTAACCACCGCCGTGACCCTAACCACCACCGTGACCCTAACCACCGCCGTGACCCTAACCGTCGCCGTGACCCTAACCGCCGCCGTGACCCTAACCGCCGCCGTGACCCTAACCGCCGCCGTGACCCTAACCGCCGCCGTGACCCTAACCGCCACCGTGACCCTAACCACCACGACCCTAACCACCGCCGTGACCCTAACCACCGCCGTGACCCTAACCACCGCCGTGACCCTAACCACCGCCGTGACCCTAACCGCCGCCGTGACCCTAACCGCCGCCGTGACCCTAACCGCCACCGTGACCCTAACCACCACAACCCTAACCACCACCGTGACCCTAACCACCGCCGTGACCCTAACCACCACAACCCTAACCACCGCCACGACCCTAACCACCACCGTGACCCTAACTACCACCGTGACCCTAACCACCACCGTGACCCTAACCACCACCACCCTAACTACCACCGTGACCCTAACCACCGCCGTGACCCTAACCACCACCGTGACCCTAACTACCACCGTGACCCTAACCACCGCCGTGACCCTAACCACCACCGTGACCCTAACTACCACCGTGACCCTAACTACCACCGTGACCCTAACCACCACAACCCTAACCACCACAACCCTAACCACCGCCACGACCCTAACCACCGCCACGACCCTAACCACCACAACCCTAACCACCACAACCCTAACCACCACAACCCTAACCACCGCCACGACCCTAACCACCACAACCCTAACCACCACCGTGACCCTAACCACCGCCACGACCCTAACCACCACAACCCTAACCACCACGACCCTAACCACCACCGTGACCCTAACCACCACCATGACCCTAACCACCACCGTGACCCTAACTACCACCGTGACCCTAACCACCACGACCCTAACCACCACCATGAACCTAACCACCGCCACGACCCTAACCACCACGACCCTACCACCGTGACCCTAACCACCACCGTGACCCTAACTACCACCGTGACCCTAACCACCGCCGTGACCCTAACCACCACCGTGACCCTAACTACCACCGTGACCCTAACCACCACCGTGACCCTAACCACCACCGTGACCCTAACTACCACCGTGACCCTAACCACCACGACCCTAACCACCACCATGAACCTAACCACCGCCACGACCCTAACCACCACGACCCTACCACCGTGACCCTAACCACCACCATGACCCTAACTACCACCGTGACCCTAACCACCGCCGTGACCCTAACCACCACCGTGACCCTAACTACCACCGTGACCCTAACCACCACCGTGACCCTAACCACCACAACCCTAACCACCACAACCCTAACCACCGCCACGACCCTAACCACCGCCACGACCCTAACCACCGCCACGACCCTAACCACCACAACCCTAACCACCACAACCCTAACCACCGCCACGACCCTAACCACCACGACCCTAACCACCACAACCCTAACCACCACAACCCTAACCACCACAACCCTAACCACCGCCACGACCCTAACCACCACAACCCTAACCACCACAACCCTAACCACCACCGTGACCCTAACCACCGCCACGACCCTAACCACCACAACCCTAACCACCACGACCCTAACCACCACCGTGACCCTAACCACCACCATGACCCTAACCACCACCGTGACCCTAACTACCACCGTGACCCTAACCACCACAACCCTAACCACCGCCACGACCCTAACCACCGCCACGACCCTAACCACCACGACCCTACCACCGTGACCCTAACCACCACCGTGACCCTAACCACCACCGTGACCCTAACCACCACAACCCTAACCACCGCCACGACCCTAACCACCGCCACGACCCTAACCACCACGACCCTACCACCGTGACCCTAACCACCACCGTGACCCTAACCACCACCGTGACCCTAACCACCACAACCCTAACCACCGCCACGACCCTAACCACCGCCACGACCCTAACCACCACCACCCTAACCACCACAACCCTAACCACCACGACCCTAACCACCACGACCCTAACCACCACGACCCTAACCACCACCGTGACCCTAACCACCACCATGACCCTAACCACCACGACCCTAACTACCACCGTGACCCTAACCACCACGACCCTAACCACCACCATGAACCTAACTACCACGACCCTAACCACCACCGTGACCCTAACCACCGCCGTGACCCTAACCACCACCGTGACCCTAACCACCGCCGTGACCCTAACCACCACCATGACGCTAACTACAGCCGTGACCCTAACTACCACCGTGACCCTAACCACCACCGTGACCCTAACCACCACGACCCTAACCACCACCATGAACCTAACTACCACGACCCTAACCACCACCGTGACCCTAACCACCGCCGTGACCCTAACCACCACCGTGACCCTAACCACCGCCGTGACCCTAACCACCGCCGTGACCCTAAGTACCGCCGTGACCCTAACTACCACCGTGACCCTAACCACCACCGTGACCCTAACCACCACCACGACCCTAACCACCACCGTGACCCTAACTACCACTGTGACCCTAACCACCACCATGACCCTAATTACTGCTGTGACCTTAACTACCACCATCACCCTAACTACAGCCATAGCCCTAACTACTGATATAACCCTAACTACTGCCATGACCTTAAGTACCACCATGATCCTAACTACCACCGTGACCCTAACTAACTACCGCCATGACTCTAACTAACTACCGCCATGACTCTAACTACCTGTCAAAGGCTTCGTCTCCAAACACCATCACACTGGAGGGTTAGGGCTTCAACATATGGATTCTGGGGAGACACACACTCAGTCCATAGCATTCCGGAAGTACACGCCTTGTTCGCTTATGCTGGCCCACAGCCAGGGAGGAACTTGGCCTCAGGAGGAATGGGCCTCCAGGCTCCCCCATGCCTTGTTCAGACAAGACTGCCCCCGCCACACTGGGAGGAGTTAAGGGTTCTGGGGCCATTGGGATGTAATGACAGTATTTTGCACGTGAGAAGGACACAGAATAGACATTCCCACCCCAGAAGAGAGAACTACGATGCCAGGCGCAGTGGCTCACGCCTGTAATCCCAACACTTTGGGAGGCTGAGGCAAACGGATCACCCAAGGTCAGGAGTTCGAGACCAGCCTGGCCAACATGGCAAAACCCCGTCTCTAATAAAAACATAAAAATTAGTGGGGCGTGGTAGTGTGACCCTGTAATCCCAGCTGCTTGGGAGGCTGGGGCAGGAATATTGCTTGAACCTGGGAGGCGGAGGTTGCAGTGAGCCGAGAGCGTGCCATTGCCATCCTGGGCAAAAAAAAAAAAAAAAAGAATCAAATGGAAATTCTAAAAGTAAAAAATGAAGTGACTGAAATTAATAATTTAAAGGGTAGATTTAAGAGTAGATTGGGTGAAATAAGAGATAACAGTAGAAAAAAATCCACATTGAAGCACAAAGCGGGAAAAAACCAACGCAGAAGAAACCCAGAAAAAAGAGCACATTAGACACACAGGTGTGAAGTGTGGGGGTCCCAGGGGAGAGAGAACAGGATGCTATTTGAAAAGCCAAGGGCTGGCCGGGCACGGTGGCTCACACCTGTAATCCCAGCACTTTGGGAGGCCAAGGTGGATGTATGATCAGGAGTTCCAGACCAGCCTGGTCAACATGGTGAAACCCTGTCTCTCCTATAAATGCAAAAAAAATTAGCCGGTCATGGTGGCAAGTGCCTGTAATCCCAGCTACTCGGGACGCTGAGGCAGGAGAATCACTTGAACCGGGGAGGTGGAGATTGCAGTGAGTCGAGATCGCGCCATTGCACTCCAGCCTGGGCAACAAGAGCGAGACTCAAAAAAAAAAAAAAAAAAAAAAAAAAAAACGAAAAGTCAAGGGCTGATATTTTCCAAAAGAGACAAAAGCTATCATGTCCCTGATTCAAGAAGCTCTACCAATCTCAATTAGGAGAAATTCTCGATTCCTCTGTCCTTCACAAGGCTGCTGTTGTGATGAAAACACTTTTAACAGGAGTCAGAGAAAAGAGATGTTGCCTTCCAGGGGTGGCAGTGAGGCTGGAAGGCGCCCTCACCACAGAAATGACAAACACTCCAAGCCAACACAAAAACCTGTTGGGGGAAACCCCCTACCTGCCTAGAACTCCACACAGAGTGGAGAACACCCTCCAGAAAGAATGCCAAAGACATTTCCCACACAAACAAAAAACAACTGGGCGTGGTGGCGCACACCTGCAATCCTAGCTCCTCAGGAGGCTGAGCCAGGAGAATCGCTTGAACCTGGGAGGTGGAGGCTGCAGTGAGCCAAAATCACACCACTGCACTCCAGCCTGGGCAACAAGAGCAAAAATCCATCTCAAAAAAAAAAAAAAGAAAAGAAAAGAAATAAAAAGAATTAATTACAAGTCTGTGCTGAAAGGAATACTAAAGGGACTACTTCAGGCAGAAGGAAGCTGGTCTCCATGTAAGCGCCGTCCTGCAGGAAGACTAGAAGGGTAACCTGGGGGTAAATCTGAAGGACCACTGTCTAAGACAACACTTGGTTTGTGGGTCTGAAATACACGTAGAATTTACAGGCATGATAATAACAGCACAAAGACTGATAAAATAATAGCACAAACTAACAATAAGGAAAGAAGAATAATTAGGCCAGGCACAGTGGCTCATGCCTGTAAACCCAGCACTTTGGGAGGCCAAGGCAGACAGATCACTTGAGGCCAGGAATTCGATACCAGCCTGGTCAATATGGTGAAACCCTGCCTCTACTAAAAATACAAAAAATAGTTGGGCATGGTGGTGGGCACCTGTAATCCCAGCTACTCAGGAGGCTGAGGCAGCAGAATCACTTGAACCCAGGAGGTGGAGGTTGCAGTGAGCCAAAATCGCGCCCTTGCACTCTAGCCTGGGCAACAAGAGTGACACTCCATCTCAAAAAAAAAAAAAAAAAAGGAAAAAATAAGAATTAAACTGTTATAAGGTTTTGAAGAAAATGGTAAAAGTAGTTTATGCTACGTTCCAAGGATGTGACTCATAATTTCTAAGGTAGCCATTAAAATAACATTAAGAGAAGTATTACTTAACAAAGCTATAATAATAAAGGGAGGAAAGTGGAATAAAAACATCTGATTAAACCAAAAGAAGGCAAGAAAGAGGGACAAAACAAAGAACAGACCGGACAAATAAGGACCCATAGCAAGATGACAAAGCTACAATGTAACACATCAGAATGACATTAAATGTAAACGGACTAAATCTTTCATTTAAAACACAGCCATTTTCAGACTGGATTAAAAATAACTAACTTCTGCTTTTAAGAGTCATTTCCAAAATATACAGAAAAGAAAGTGAAAGGATGAAAAAATAGAGCATATAAACACTAAGTCCCCTTCCCTCCCTCCCCTCATCTCACACACACACACACACACACACACACACACACACACACACAGAGCTGGTGTGGTCACACTAACATCATACAGATCAGATGTTAATGACAATAATATTTTCATCTAAAGAGCAACATTTGGCCGGGCACAGTGGCTCACGCCTGTAATCCCAGCACTTTGGGAGGCCGAAGCAGGCGGATCAGGAGGTCAGGAGATCGAGACCATCCTGGCTAACACGGTGAAACCTCGTCTCTACTAAAAATATAAAAAATTAGCTAGGCGCGGTGGCAGGCACCTGTAGTCCCAGCTACTCAGGAGGCTGAGGCAGGAGAATGGCGTGAACCCAGGAGGCAGAGCTTGCAGTGAGTGGAGATGGTGCCACTGCACTCCAGCCTGGGGGACAGAGCGACACTCTGTCTCAAAAAAAAAAAAACAAAAACATTTCATGATGATAAAAGCATCAATCAAAAGGAAGATATGGCCAGGCATGGTGGCTCACACCTGTAATCCCAGCACTTTGGGAGGCCAAGGCGGGCGGATCACCTAAGGTCAGGGGTTCAAGACCAGCTTGGCCAACATGGTGAAACCCTGTCTCTACTAAAAATACAAAAATTAACCAGGCGTGGTGGCACACACCTGTAATCCCAACTACTCAGGAGGCTCAGGCAGGAGAATCGCTTGAACCAGGGAGGCGGAGGTTGCAGTGCGCCCAGATCGGGCCACTGAACTCCACTCCAGCCTGGGTGACAGAGTGAGACTCCAAAAAAAAAAAAAAAAGAAATAATAGGCTAATCTCTCTCATAAATACAGTTGCAAAAACAACAAACAAAATAATAGCAAACTGAATCAAGCAAAATATAAAAAGGCGAACTCATCACAACCAAACGAGGCACACTACAGGAATGCCATCGGTCTACCATTAAGAGCCAATCCATAGAATTCATCGTATGAACAGAATAAAGGAGAAAAGTTCTGTCACATCAATAGATGAAGGAAAAAAAGCATCTGAAAAAATTCAGCACCATTCATATTAACAACTTTCAACTAGGAATAAAATAGAACCTCTTTAATTTGTTGGTGGGGATTTACGAAGGAAAAACAGTATTTCCGCAAACAGCACCCTTAATGGTGGAATTCTTAAAGCTTTTCCCTGAAATCAGGCACGAGAGGATGTGGCTGTCACCACTTCTGTCCCATACTGTTTTGGAAGGATCAACAGTGCCAGGGTAACAAGGCAACATCTGAAGGAAAGGCAGAAACAAACAGCCGGTCACTGACAAAATGGCAGCGCACAGAGAGGTTCCGGAGCAACCACAGACAAACTACGGGGACCAGGAGAGGCCAAGACAAATGAGTTAATCACACTTCTTTACACATTGCTATAAACAAAAAGATAAAAAAAAAAAAACTGTAAAAGTAATACGGCTTAAAACAGCATAAGCACTGAAATACCAGGGAATCATTTGAACAAAAAATGTGGATGACCGCTACACACAAGACTACAAAATATTATTGAAAGAATTTAAGGCCGGGTGCAGTGGCTTGCATCTGTAATCCCAGCACCTTAGGAGGCTGAGGCAGAAGGACCACTTGAGCCCAGGAGTTCAAGACCAGCCTGGGCAACATAGGGAGACCCTGTCTCTACAAAAAAATGCCAAAATAGCTGGGCATGGTGGTGCACACCTGTAGTCCCAGCTACTTGGGAGGCTGAGGTGGGAGGATTGCTTGAGCCCAGGAGGTCAAGGCTGCAGTGAGCCATGATCATGCCACTGCACTCCAGCCTGGGCAAGAGTGAGGTCCTGTCTGCCCCCCGCAACTCCCCTGCCAAAAAAACCCCAATCAAAGGCCTAAAGATATGTTCACGGATTGGAAACCTCAGTATTGTAAAGATGCTAATCTCCCATACTGATCAAGAAATCCAAATGCAATCCAAATGTCTTATGGAGATTTTGAAAGCAAATAAGCCAACTGTAAATGGCTTATTAACAAGCCCATGTGTATGGAAATGTAAAAAGCCAATAACCAAGATAACCTTGAAAACTAAAAACCCCAAATTGGAGACTCATAACACAAGTTACCAATGGTGATTATAAAGCAGAAGAAATCAGAACAGTACGACATGGGGGCAAAAAACAAAGGGGACAGATCAGTCCAGAAAGAGGCCCCACACACAGCCAGGACGCAAAAGCCCTAATTATAAAGTAAGCTTTTACTTTCTGTTCATCAGAAGACACCATCCATGGAGTGGAAGGCGAGCCGCGGAGTGACAGAAGCTGTTTGCAACACAAAAAATCAAAGCACTTGTCTCTAAAACACACACAGCCCCCAGGAACCAACAAAAAAGACGGACCCCCCAATGACATTGTTCTTTGACAGCCCAATTTTGAAATGGGGCAAAAGACTGGAACAGGCACCTTTAAAAGGAGGGTCCCCAATAACCCGGGAGCCTCGGAGAAGCAGCTCACCTCAGCCGTCGCGAGGCCACAGCCTAGTGCCTTTCAGATCTGCTGTGCTGGCGACAACGCAGGGCTCTGACAGTCCATGTGCTGGAAGGAGGTGCATCGGGAATTCCCACACGACCCAGAGTGACTGTGCCATCAACACAGATTCAGCCTTTGTCTCAGTTTCCCAGCGCGCAGCCCCTCTGACCCTAGGAATCCTGGAGTGCGGTAAGAGTGTCTTTTTGCATGCTAATGAGATGACGGGGAGCCGGGAGCCGGGACAGCTCCAGGATGCGGCTGGTCTTCAGCAGGACCAAGGAATGCCTAGCGGGTTGGAACTTTCCGTCCCACAGCCCACGGTCCAGAGAGGAGACAGGAGAGACTGAGGTAATCAGCAGTGGCTGGCTGTTGAATCAACCGTGCCTGTCACGAAGCCTCCACAAAAAGCCCTCAATGACATGGTCTGGAGAGTGTCCGAGTTGGTGAATATACCAAGGTGCTGGAGGGTGGCGTGCCTGGAGAGGGCACGGAAGCTCTGCACCCCCCATACCTCAGCCTCCCGTGCAGCTCCTCCGTGTGGCTGTCCTTTCTAATAAACGGGTACACTAAGCAAAGTGTTTTCCTGAGTTCCGGGAGCTATTCTAGCCCACCCGAGCCTCAGGAAGGGGTCACGGACACCCCCGATTCACAGCCAGTTGGTCAGAATCCAGGTTGTCACCTGGCACTTGCAGCTGGCTCTCAAGTAGGGGCAGGCTTGTGGGAATGAGCCCTTCATCTGCAGGGTCTGCGCTAACGTCAGGTAATTGATGTCAGAGCTGAATGGAAACACAGGACACCCAGCTGGCGCCAGAGTGGCTGTGGGTGCAGAAAACCCCACATAACTGGAGGCAGAAACACAGTGCAGAGTGCGACCTGGTGCGGCCACGCGAGGGAAACGTCTGTTTCCCGGAAACTCCACTCCTGGGTGTGCCCACATGAAAGATGCGCCACGGGCAACAGAAGGCGCTCGGATGTCTGTGGCCAAAAGCCGGGACCCCGGTGCCTCGCAAGATGAGGGTGGATACATAAGACGTGGAGAATTCAGCCAGCAGAGCAGCCCCGCAGTGGGGACGGACACGGCAGAACCGCACCCCACACCACGGGAAAGCCCCACACAGGGGCCCGACTGAGCGGCCACACCCAGGGTGGATGGCCCCGGATCCCAAGACAAAAGCTCGAAACAAGCAAAACTATCTGCAGGCACCAAGGCCGGGGACGGGTAGGTTACGCCTGGGGTCACCTCGGGGTGTGGGGGTGGCCCCGCGTCCAGAGGACAAGCTACACACGGATCAGCTATGTGACGCGGTGCAGTTTGCTTTGTAAAAACTCGTGGAGTTGAACGCTTCAGATTTCATGTTTTAGGGAGTTTTGTTTCAATTTTAAAAAGTCAAGAAAGAAAAAGAAATCAGAGAATGGAGGCACCCAGGCCGTAACATTCTTTCCATAAGAAAAGCTGAAACCCAACGGCAGGCGGCTCCACCTGCTGCATCTTAGCTTTTTCTTTTTCTTTTTCTTTTTTTTTTGAGACGGAGTCTCGCTCTGTCACCAGGCTGGAGTGCAGTGGCACGATCTCGGCCCACTGCCACCTCCACCTCCCGGGTTCAAGCGATTCTCCTGCCTCAGCCTCCCGAGCAGCTGGGACTACAGGTGTCCACCACCACACTCGGCTAATTTTTGTATTTTTAGTAGAGACTGGATTTCACCGTGTTAGCCAGGATGGTCTCAAACTCCTGACCTCGTGATCTACCCGCCTCGGCCTCCCAAAGTGCTGGGATTACAGGCGTGAGCCACTGCGCCCAGTCATCTTATCTTTTTCTTCAGCTTATTTTATTTGCTCTGTAAGCTTAACTTTTGTGAGCTGAACTCCAAAGTCAACCTGCTGTTTGATTATTTTTGTGACTTGTTTCAAATAAAACCTCTTCTAAGAATTAATGTCCACCATATTCCTTTTTTGTCCAACAAAATAAGTCATCTCTTCTGTTTCAAATGTTCCTTCCCTCATTGGACACTGTGCTTGGGCTACCTGTATTAACACAGATCCCTGGAGAGCACGTTCTCAACACACAAGACGAACCTGCCCTGCATCCGGGGTCCCTCCTTCCACGTCCTCCCAGGCCACGACGGAGCGTCCTCCTGGAGAAAAGCTGGGGTGGGAGGGTGGGGGGGTGCAGCCCTCTGCTGTTTTTATCTCCTGAGCATTCCGAACGCTTCCACAAACTTACGCAGCCGGCCATACCCTCACCCACGCGCCACACGCACCACACACACAACATGGCGCCCGCTCTCCCTCCCCCAGAGCCAGCCCCGTGGAGCCCTTGACCGGTGGCACCCAATCCCCAGGGCATGGATGCTGTGGGCTGGGCCCCCGCCCTCTCTACACTCCCACACCATCATCTCCCCTCCCTCAAACACATGGGCACTGCGGTCCCTTCTCCCTGCCCCAACACCAGTGCCTTGACCTCCCTCCTCCTTGGCCACACCACCCACCTGCCATCCCTGGAGTCACCCCCACAAGGACTGGACCACAGCCTCTGCCCCATGAGTCCTCTGTGCCCCAACTCTCACCCACCCCCCAGCATTCTCCACGGCAGCTAGGCTGCCATTGGCTCTCAGAGATACCACTACTTCGTGCATCATGAGGAAAGACAAAAAATGTTGCCAACTCAACTGGGACACAGACAGGCAGGCTGCACCCCCTTCCAGGATGTCAGGATAAGAGAAGTCCATCCCAGCTCACTCAAGGCCCTGGTCGCCTCTGACAAAGGGGCTATCGGATGCTGCCTCTGTGCCACTTCCGAGTTTCTGGCTGACACCCTGGTCCTCACCTGCTGGCTTCCACCTGCCCTGGGTCAGGAGCGAACTCGGGCAGAAAATATGAATGCCCCGGATGAGCCCCCCTCAAAGCCCAAGATGGGGAGACATCAGGTAGAAGCAGCAGGAGCACATACTTGGCGATCCACAGGCAGCCCACCGAAGAGAACGTCACAGTCACCACAAATCACTGCTGAAGGCGAGACCAGTGGGGAGGAAACGGGGCGGCTGCCTTTTTAAACCTTACGTTAAAACCTTACATTAAAAAACATACTCATGAATCGAGGTACTCGCTAGTCAGAACTGAGACCCTGGAGGGATCCCCCGGGGCCCTGACTGGTGCTGCAGGCCCTCAGGCAGTGCCCGGCTCCAGAGCAGGAGAGGCAGGCACCTGGGTGACCCGGCCAGCCTCGGCCAGCAGTGGGCAGGCCCTAGCCAAGCCACTGTCTTTCCTTCAGCTGATGACTGTAAGTCACAAATGTAAAGAAAATGGGGCCGGGCGCAGTGGCTCAAGCCTGTAATCCCAGCACTTTGGGAGGCCAAGGCAGGCGGATCGCCTGAGGTCAGGAGTTCGAGACCAGCCTGGCCAACACGGTGAAACCCCGCCTCTACCAAATATAGAAAAAAAATAGCCAGACATGGTGGCGAGCTCCTGTAGTCCCAGCTATTTGGGAGGCTGAGGCAGGAAAATCCCTTGAACCCAGGAGGTGGAGGTTACAGTGAGCCGAGATCACGCCACTGCACTCCAGCCTGGGCGACAAGAGCAAGACTCTGTCTCCAAAAAAAAAAAAAACCAACCAACCAACCAAACAAACAAAAAAACGGAACTGCAACTCCAGCAAGTTTCAAGGACCTTTTTCTTCTTCCTTTTTTGAGTACTGTGATGATTACAGGCATCCAGAGAAGGAGGAGGAAACGTGTGGGGTCCCATTCACCTCCGCTCCAAGCGGCGGCTGCACCCCACAGTCCCCCATGCCGGGACCTCAGCATGGGCCTCTGGGTTGGACTGAGGGGTCCTCAGCATGAAGCTGGCTGGTGTTCACGGGGCAGGGGTTCCAGGCTGACCCTCCGCCTGAGGCTCGTTCATCCTCATTGCAATGGAGCACGTCAGAGGTTCGCGGGCCGCCTCGCCGGCTGCTTCGGACAGAAGGTGCACTGTGCCGTTTGAGGCCTCTGTGTCACTGGGGCAGGGGCCTCAGCTTAACCCACATAAGGATCATGTCTACACATAAACGTCAAACACTGTGTTTTATGAGCAATTTAGGGGATTCTAAGCAAAGCCTGTTTTTTGCCTTCTAGGCAGACTCCTGGAACCCGCACCCTGTAACCCAGGCAGAGGTGAAGGAAGGAGAGGGGAAAAGCTCTGCTGGAAACCACATTCTGCAGCGATTTTCACTCAGTTTGGGAAACACTTGGAGTTTGGGAGACGTTTTACAGCAGATTCATGAAAATGACTTGTCCCGAGGAAACATCGCCTCGAAGACGACTAAGGTGAAAGGAAGGTGCCAACTGGGAGGCTGGCACACGGCACTGCCCTTCCCGGGTCTTCTGAAAGGAAGCTGTGGTCCCTTCCCCGACACCCGTCTCTCCCACATGGGTGAACATCCAGAAGCCTGGTGGTGGATGGACGGTCGGTCAGGAGGCCGGACCCACAAGTGCCTACGTACCTCCCTCCTGCACGTCCTGAGGCTGTAGGTCAAAGGGCAAGAAACAAGGGTGGAGCCAGGATGTGGGTGCTGTCCACACCAGGACAGAGGGTCTGGCTGGTGGGGAGTCGAGGGTGCGGGCTGGAGGGTGAGGGTCCTGAGTCCAGGCCGGCAGCAGCCCCGCCAGTTCCTCATCCAGACCAGCCCAGACTGGAGAACTCCAACAATGGCAGGCGGGGCGCAGCAGGCAGGGGACAGCTCCCAATGCCAGGTGACCCGGCAAGCAGGCTCCCTTCCTCCCCCTGCCACACACTCTTCCCTAACCCCAGCCCCTCCCTGTCCGCCTCTTGAGTCCTGACAACCAGCTTCTCTGGAGACACCCAGACCACCAAGGTGCACCCCTTGTTGCGTGATCCCCTCTGGCCCCCTCATCCTGCCCATCACTTCTCGGAGGCTCAGCCCCAGGCCTCCATGTTGCACCCCCACCCCGCCTGTCCCTGTCAACCTGGGACCCTCCCTGGCTGTGCCCCAGACCTTCACAGTTGCCGTGGGGTTCCCTCCCCGTCCCCTAAGTGGTCCAAAGACACCTTCTCTGCCTCTTTCTTTTCCCACAGCACCCTCCTGAGGGCTCAGTAACCTCAGCTCAGCCCGAGTTAGGCCCAACACGCACAGCCAGCCCCACAGCTCCCAGCACCCACCTCGGCTCCTCCTCGCCTTCCCTGCCGCAATACCCATGGGTGCAGCAGGCCCAACTTTCCTCCTGCCTTCCATCCTGAGCCCTTACCTCGCCATGCTGTGTGAACTGGCCTGGGTCCCGCCCTCAGGGCGGGCACGGGGTAGGGTGGGGGAGCTCAGGATGGCAGGCCTCGCACCCGAGGGGAAGGCCGCAGGGACGTGTGCAAGCTTCCAGTCCCTCACCTTCCGGCTCGGTCTCTCAGGAACTACACCGTCCACCAGCCCCACCCTGGCCCCACAGAGTCCACTGTCACCAGCCCCTACAGGGACTCTACTGTCCACCAGCCCTGCCCCCCACAGGGACTCCACTGTCACCAGCCCCACCCCAGCCCCCTTCACTCCGCTGCTCCCAGCTCTCTCAGGACCCAGCCCACCCCACCCACACTCACAGGGTTTCAGGCAGAGGCCCACAGTCACCAAGGCCGATCCAAACCCCCATTCCCTGGGCCAGCGATGGTGTGAGGGTGGACAAGTGACCCAAGGGTGTCGAGGGCCCAGTGGACTCAGGGGACTCCAGGGACTTGGGGGACCTTCGTACCAGAGGAGTCTCTGTTTCCCTCTTCGGGCCCAGTGGACTCAATGGACTTGGGGGACTCCGGAGATTCAGGGGACCCTGGTACCAGAGGAGTCTCTGTTTCCCCCATGAAGCTGCGACCCAGGAGCCACGGGGCTGCCACGGGACCAGGAGCCCCCTGACCGGGGATGAAGCCTGAACGGAGGAAGCCAGTGCCGGAGCTGCAGAGAGGGAAGAAAGGTCCTGCCTGCTCTGATCACGCCCGGGGCCCCCGCTGGAGGCAGATTCAGCCCTGGCCGTTCTGTTTCTCACCTCTGGGATCCTCTTGGTTGGGACCCATTGGTTTTAGGTCCTTGGCTGCCCCCAGGGAGGGCCCCGGATTCAGCCCTGGCCGTTCTGTGTCTCACCTCTGGGATCCTCTTGGTTGGGACCCATTGGTTTTAGGTCCTTGGCTGCCCCCAGGGAGGGCCCCGGATTCAGCCCTGGCCGTTCTGTGTCTCACCTCTGGGATCCTCTTGGTTGGGACCCATTGGTTTTAGGTCCTTGGCTGCCCCCAGGGAGGGCCCCGATGAAATGGCCCATGCTGGCCGGCTCCTCCGCTTGCCCAGACTGGGAGACACTGGACATCCCTGGAGACGTCTCCCTCAACACCCCAGCCAATGGCCAGGTCTGGCAATTCTGCTACTGGACATTTCTGGAGTCCACCCCACTGCCCTGGCCCTCTCTCGCCCGGCTCCAGGATGACGGCTTTCCCCGGCGGCTCCCACCACCGACACCACAAAATCTGAGCGACGTGGCACGGCCCACAGGCCCATGGCCTGGACCTCACCTGCCTCTACAGGCTGGGCTGTACAATGGGGAGAATGAGAGCCCGACCCCGTAAATGAGGTGGACCTAGCACCGCCTTCCGGACACTGCAGTGGGCGTGAGCTGCCGCAACCCCGTGTCCTCACCACGGCCGGGACTCTCCATGTCCTATGGACTCTCGCTGAAGCCACTCGGCCCCGTGTGACCCCCTCCGCCCACAGCCGGACCCACACCTGGCTGCATCTGCTCAACCGTCCAAGGGAGCTCTGTCTAGGGTTGCAATCCACATGTTTAATATTCACGACCACACCTGATCTCAGGACAATTCAGTGAGGAGGACGGAGCAGGTATCGTGTGCACCACTTTACAGATGAGAAAACTGAGGCCACCAAGGTCAAGGGTCACCCCCCAGAGACAAGGGAAGGTGGCTCCCAGGTGCCCCCCGACCATCGCCCCTGCGCGTCCGGCAGTGCCTCCATCTGGGTGCCCTCTGCTGCCCTCACTCCAGGAATCCTTCCAGCAGAGGACAGAAACCTCCAATGCCAAGCATCCGGAAGCACCCATGGTCAGCTGTGCAAAACCCAGACAGCCCCACATGCAAGTCCCGGGACCCAAGACTGTGTCACCTTCCGTGGCATACGGGACTTTGCAGACGATGAAGTGAAGGACGTGGGGATGGGGAGATGTTCCTGGATGATCTGGGTGGGCCCACGTCATTGCGGGGTCCTCACAAGAGGGATGGGGGGGCGGCTGTATCAGAGGCGGTGACGTGAGACGGAGGCAGAGGCTGGGGTGACTCAGGGCTGCACCAAGGGGCAGGCGGCTTCAGACGCCGGAGAAGGCGGGAAACGGGGTCTCCCTGGAGCCCCCAGAAAGAACCCACCCAGCTGGTGCCTTGACTAAATTTGGCCCAGTGAGCTCCATCTGCACTCGCACCCTCCAGACCGCTGAGCTAACAAATGCGTGTTGCTTTAAGCCCCCCAGTGGCGGCCACTGTTACAGCGGCCGCAGGAAGTTCATCCACCTCCATCTGCCCAGGCAAGACGGACAGGCAGGGGGTGGTGACCAGGGAGCACATCAGACAGCCTCGCTCACAGCCCTGGGGACTCGGGGCCTGCTTCTCCCACGGCCACCAGGCCAACTACTCAAGAGTCCTGGGGACATGGCTGGAGAGAGAGGGGCTGCCGTCAGCTGTGCAAGCAGGAGGCTGGCGATGTCTCCACTGTCACGCACATGGCCGCGCGAGGCCAACCTCCTCCTCGCAGCCAGCCCAGGACAGACCTGGACGGCACCCACTCATGAGAGGACACAGCGGTGGCGCCTCGGAGCCGCCACGGCCCCACGCACCCAGGCTGTGCCTCTCACTCACCCAGAGGGGATGAGGACGTGGCCTGGCCTCCAGGAGCCACGGAGGTCAATGCATGGCTGCAGGGACAAGGGGCCACGCCCATCAGCATGGAGAAGGCCAGGCAGGCTTCCTGGAGGAGGTGAGCAGGACAGAACAGGTGAGCGGGCAGGGGCGAAGAGGCCGGGGTTCTGCAGGAGAGGACGGCCTCACCACGCGCTTGGACCAGCGCCCAGAAGGATCATGGCCCCACCCAGAGATCACACGGGTACTCGAGTGCGGCATTTACCTCGATGCCTTTTCTCTGAAGGTCTATTGAGAGTGCGGGCCCTGGGCTACCTGACTTCTCTACCCCCAGAACAGGCATCCAACCACCCCGACTGGCCCAGGCCTAAGGCTGGCAGCACCCCACGGAGGCAGGCTCCCTTGACACTGCCGGGGTTGGGGGGCTCCCTTGACACTGTCTGGGGGCTCCCTTGACACTGCCAGGGGCTCCCTTGACACTGCCGGGGTTGGGGGGCTCCCGACACTGCCCTGGGGGGAATCCCTGGACACTGCCGGGGTGTTGGGGGCTCCCTCGACACTGCCCTGGGGGGAATCCCTGGACGCTGTTGGGGTGTTGGGGGCTCCCGACACTGCCCTGGGGGAAATCCCTGGATGCTGCTGGGTGTTGGGGGCTCCCTCGACACTGCCGAAGGGCCGGAGAGGCACAGGCCGGAGAGGCACAGCCCGGGTAGAGGGGATTTCGGCAGTCCTGAGAACCCAAGGTCAGTGTTAAAAGAAGGCCTGCACCTCGCAGGGCTCATCCTCCCTCCCTGTGTTTCCTCCAGGGGTTCGGTGTCTGAGGGTGATCAGCCTTTCACCCAGTCCCCTACTTCTAGGAACTGATCCCAAAAAAGCCCCAGCACAAAAGTAAAATGGGAGGTATCTGCACACGTTTTCCCACCGCAGCTCCATCTGTAGTTGAAAAAGATGGGACGGAGCCCCCACATGCATCAGTCAGCCCAGCCCAACGGGCACGGGAGTGTGTGCGGCCGTGGAAGGAGAGAGGACGCATCCACTGAGGGGTCTCAGGACACGTGACGTGCGGGAAAAAAGCAGGTCTGGAGCAGGACCTGCCTCAGGAGAGGGAGGACGCAATCCCGCCTCAGTGTTGCTTGGCCAGGGAGAGGGGCGGCCTCCGCACAGGAGCCCACACAGCCACGGAAGGCAGCCGGCTGTTGGTGCAGGCAGCACTCACTGTTACACGAATCACGAGACAGAGAACTGCACACCAGTGCTCCGCACCCCGGTCACAGACGCAGAACCCCGAGGAAACACGGGGGAGGCAGAGCAGGCCCTGCGAGGCACAGGCCTTCTTTTAACTTTGATCTCAAAAGCATGAACTCTCTTAAACAACTGAGACAGCCGAGCCGGAGAAACCGCAATCCTGGCTGCGTTTGGTGAAGTCAAGTGACTCCTGTGCTAACGTTTTCTTCTGCTTTGGCCTCTGGAGACACGTGCAGAGGTCCTCGCCCACCGGAGGGGCTTGCTGAGAGTCACCTGGCCTGGTGACACGTGTGGAGGGGCTTGCTGAAGAGTCGCCTGGCCTGGTGACACGTGTGGAGGTCCTCGCCCACCAGAGGGGCCTGCTGAAGAGTCACCTGGCCTGGTGACACGTGTGGAGGTCCTCGCCCACCAGAGGGGCTTGCTGAGAGTTACCTGGCCTGGTGACACGCATGGAGGTCCTCGCCCACCGGAGGGGCTTGCTGAGAGTTACCTGGCCTGGTGACACACGTGGAGGTCCTCGCCCACCAGAGGGGCTTGCTGAGAGTTACCTGGCCTGGTGACACGTGTGGAGGTCCTCGCCCACTGGAGGGGCTTGCTGAGAGTTACCTGGCCTGGTGACACGTGTGGAGGTCCTCGCCCACCAGAGGGGCTTGCTGAGAGTTACCTGGCCTGGTGACACGTGTGGAGGTCCTCGCCCACTGGAGGGGCTTGCTGAGAGTCGCCTGGCCTGGCGACACGTGTGGAGGTCCTCGCCCACTAGAGGGGCTTGCTGAGAGTCACAGGTATCGGCTGGAGTGCAGGTTGCCAGGAGCCAGGCAGGGTGTGCACGAGGCCTCACTATGTAATTCTCTCTACTTCTGTCAGTTTGGCATTTTTCCTAATAAAAACTTTTCAAGTACCAAGCCGCTCAGTTCTGCCTTTTGATGTTTGGATGCCTTGGCTGGAGCTCCACCTCCCTTCCCTGGCTCTGGGTCCGGCCCTGTCCTTCCCTGGCTCTAGGGGGCTTTGTGTCCACAAAATGTCAGGCTGCTCCATCAGCCACAGGGGGCTGGGGGGACACCCCATCGAAGTCCTGGGCGAGGCCCTCATCTCCCAACAATCCTGAGGACCTGTCTGGCATGGCCAGGAGACGTGGAAGGGCCACATGCAAATGAGGTGGCACCTCCCACACAGGGCACAAACGCAGGAGCCCCCTCATCCTCAGGGGGTGCCACTCGTGGTCCCAGCATGTGTGTGTGGGGGGGTGGGGCCTCATCCAGGCCTGGTGGGCAGCCCCTCCCACCTGAGACCTGAGAATAATTCTCATCCGACGATGACAACTATGTGTCTGAAAGTGACCTTCCCGGCATCACCTGGTCATCACCCACAGCAGCTCCCAGGGGCACGCAGCCACCCTGCTCCTCCTGACAGCTCTGTGACTACTTCACCCCAAATTCATTTTGCTTAGACATTTATTTGAAAAAAGACCTGGCCAGGAGTGGCAGCTCACGCCTGTAATCCCAGCACTTTGGGAGGCTGAGGTGGGTGGACCACTTGAGGTCAGGAGTTTGAGACCGGCCTGGCCAACATGGTGAAACCCCGTCTCTACTAAAAATACAAAAATTAGCTGCGCATGGTGGCAGGTGCCTGTAATCCCAGCTACTCGGGAGGCCGAGGCAAGAGAATCGCTTGAACCCGGGAGGCGAAGGTTGCAGTGAGCTGAGATCACGCCACTGCACTCCAGCCTGGGCAAAAGAGTGAGACTGTCTCAAAAAATAAATAAATAAGGCCTAACGTGACCCTTGGCCAAATGCCTAGTGCACTTACTTCTACTCCCGGATGGGCCCCGGGCACCCTCATGACCAAGCCCCAACCTCAGGGCCTTTCAAGAGTTGCGTCTACAAACACCCTGCAGGCCCTCACCCCCAGGCAGGGACAAACCAGCTGCTGGGGTCACCTGCTGGGCGGCAGTGCCGGTACACAGCGCAAGAGCTGTCTCCTGACGAGCAGGTTTGGAAGGAACAGCATGGCCGTGACGCAGTGACTTATGCCTTCAAAGCCACAGGGATGGGAAATTGCTTCATGGCACGACAGACGTGTGCTGTGATAAGGGGTTACTCGTTCTCAACAATGTTGGCTATGCAAGCGTCCTTGAGAAGTCTGAACTCACAGGGGAGCTGTCACAGATCAAGGTCAACAAGCCAGGGTGGCTGTCGGGGTGAGGCCGGCCGCGCCCTCCTGAATAAAAGGCCTGGGTGCTGTGTAATGAGGTGTGAAGAATAAAGGCTACTCACCCTGAAAACTGCTCTTCTCTCTCTGAAGACAGCACACACTCACCAGTCCCCGCTCACACCGCAACACCCGGCGAGGAAGCGCCCTCCAACTCTCCCTTTCGTGCTCGGCCCCGGGGGGCAGCAGTGAGCCCCGCAGGCCAGCCCGCTGCGTCCTGCCTGTCTGGCACCGAGCGATGTTCTGACCACCCCTCGCCAGGGCAGGCCCAGCCTCCCTCTCTCCTCCCAGTCCCCACCCACACTGGCTTCCCCTGGATGCTCCCTGCCTGGGCTCCACCCCAGGGCCTCATCGCGGCCATCCCCTGCCACCTGGGATTGTCCCCTCCCAGCCTCCCCTCTTAGGGCCCTTCCCACCATTCGCGCCACTGGATGCCTCTGGGGCTCCCCTGTCTGTCCCCTCACTCCTCTAGAACACATACCCCTCGCAGACCGATGCTGCTGTACTGGCCCCTGAACTGGACACAGAGGCCCTGAGGTTCAGGCCACCTTCTTCCCCTGCAGCTCTGGGGCAAGCACTGGCGTCTATCCAACCACCAGCCGTAACCTTCCCTCAGCCCGTGGGGCTAGGAGTCCAGGCTTCAGCCAAAGAAATCGCAACCAAGAGTTGGACCCCCTTTTTGATGTTCGACTGCTGGAGGTGTTTGAGACGACCCGCTCCCCTCCCGCCCACATCCCAGTGAGGTGATGAGGGCCCTGGGGAAAGTTCAAACCCTGCAAGCCTCAGCCCCTGCTCACCCCGCCTTGCCCCAGAGCCGCCACGGAAACCGAGACAGTCTCCTTACAGGCGCGCTCAAGACCTTTCTGGACCATCCTGGAAGACCCCCCTCCCCTGCTCTCCCCAGAAAACCTCATTATGTGGTGAGAAGCTCCCTCCCGTCTGCGTGCGGTGCTGTCATCTGTGTGGACACCTGAGCCAAATGTTGGGCAGGGGTCCATCCCATCTCTTCAGGGTGACCAGTGATTACAAGTGAACAGCTGGCGTCCAGGCCAGGAGGTGTTTAAACGGGGGCGCGTTGCCCTTCACCCCTCTCCTCCCACTGCCGCCTCAGGTGCAGCCCCCAGAGACCACAGCAGCTTGTGGAGAGGGGAGCGGCCAGCACTCACCCGCCGCCCCAGAGGCCCTTCCTTCCCATCTACTTTGCTATCCCTGTTTTCCCTTCTAGACAGTCCTCTCTCTCTTTCTCTGTTGCCCAGGCCAGAGTGCAGTGTTGCAATCATAGCCCTGCAGCCTCGACCTCCTGGGCTCAAGCGATCCTCCCTCGTAGCTAGGCCTACAGACACGCGCCACCGTGCCCAGCCTCACGCTTCTCTTCAAGGAAGCGGGGTTTGTGCTGATGAGGAAAAGTACATGACTGCATGACTGATGGAGCTTGGAGGGCTTCTTTGGGCTGGGGTGGGGGCAGCTTTCCCTGCGGAGCACCTGTGTCCCCCTCCCAGGCCTTCCCGAGGCACACGCGCCACTGGACGTGCCAGCTGCTGATGAACCATCCCCCACACTCTGTGTAACTGTGTCTTGAACTGATAAATAAATCAGTCTTGATAAATAAACCCTTACTACTGCGGCAGCTGTGTCGGCCGCTCTCCCGGGGAAGCCTTTCCCAGTCACTGGGGCTACGACTTGCTTTTTGGAGTCCTCTTAGAACAAGGCCGGGTGAGAACATCAGCTGCTGTTTGTCCACAGTGTAAGACCCACTGTGGAAACAGAGATATGAGTACAATTCTTGCCCCCCAAAAACCCCACAGTCTAGCCCGGCGTGGTGGCTCCCAGTACTTTGGGCGGGCGAAGTGGGAGAATCACTTGGGGCATTCCAGACCAGCCTGGGTAACAAATCAAGACCCCCAACTCTACTAAAAATAAAAAATTAGCCAAGCGTGGTGGTGCGCGCCTGAAGTCCCAGCTAGTTGGGAGGCTGAGGTGGGAGGCTTGCTTGAGCCCAGCTGCAGTGAGCCGTGATTGTACCACTGTACTCCAGCCTGGGCGACAGAGCAAGACCCTGTCTCTTGAGAGAGAGACAGACGGGGGGAGGGGCCAGAATATAAAAACAGTCAAGAGTCCAAAGGGTAAGGCCCCTCCAGCCCCTAGGTTTCTGGGCCCTGTGTCTCCTGGTTCTGAACCAATCCGTGACGCAGGAGAGTTGGGGGTTGGGGGAGGAGACTTGCATTTTTAGATCTCTTTCTACAAAGTTGAAATAAAGTGGAGAAAAAAATACACGAAGTTTCTAGAAATCTATCATTACTCATAACAAAGTAAAACAAACAAAAACGAGGGCCGGGCACGGTGGCTCACACCTGTAATCCTAGCACTTTGGGAGGCCAAGGCGGGCGGATCACGAGGTCAGGAGATCGAGACCATCCCGGCTAACACAGTGAAACCCCATCTCTACTAAAAATACAAAAAATTAGCGGGACGTGGTGGTGGGCGCCTGTACTCCCAGCTACTCGGGAGGCTGAGGCAGGAGAATGGTGTGAACTTGGGAGACGGGGCTTGCAGTGAGCCAAGATTGCACCACTGCACTCCAGCCTGGGCAGCACAGTGAGACTTCATCTCAAAAACAAAACAAAACAAAACAAACAAAAAAAAAAACGCAATAAAAAACGTGTACTAGGCTTCACAAAGCCCACACGAGACCCTGGAAATGAATGAATCAATAAATTACCCACCCATCCATCCTGGGCAGGACACAGGGCTGAACTGGTGTGGAGGTCGGGGCAGGGCCAGGCAGGCACCAGGGGCTGCCTACCCGCTCTGGCATGTGGCTGCTCCTGATCCTGGCCCCCAGTATGGAAGTCACCTTCTCCACCTGCTACTGGGTAGGAGCGGTGACCGGGGAAAGGAGACAGGGGATGGAAATTGGACAATTTTTCCAAAGCCCCACCTGCAATCCTTCCTCGTGAAAAGGCCCCAGGACCCCCAGAAGACACAGTCCTCTGTGACATTCCTGACTTGTCATTACCATGCCTGGCTCCTATCACATATCTGCTACATATCTGTTATAAATCCACCACGCCCGCTGTATCCATTATATACCCACCACGTATCTCTGCCGTGTATCCTTGCGTGTCTACTGTGCGTCTCGATCACGCATCCACTACGCCTCTGCCACACATCTTTGCTGTGGAGCACTGTGTCTACTCAGTACCTGCTGCTAAGTACCTGCTAAGTATCAGATGCGGTCCAGACCCAGGATGCACGGGCTCATGTCATCTTCGCAAACCCCCAGGGGAGGTGCTCTCCCACCCTCATTCTCCAGGAAGGGGAACTGAAGCCCAGGGCACTTGAAGACCTTTGCCCCGGGCCCTGCAGCCAGTGGCAGACACAGGCCGAACGCAGACTGGCTGATGGTCTCCGCAGCTGAGTATGAATGAATGAATGAATGAACGAAAGAAATGGAACAAACACAGAAACAAATGAGAGAACAAGTAAATCAGCAACAGGATGTCTCGCACCAGGGGTTGTCCCTGGAGTCTGAGGACAAAGTCAAGGGAAAGAAAGGAAGGAGGGCTGGGGGCCGGGGGACATCAGTGAGACCACCAGAGAAGGGGCGAGGAGGGGAGATGCCCGCTGGCCTCCCCCTACTGAGAGGACGTGGCCAGTGCATTTTGCTTGATTTCTTAAATCACATTTGAGATGCAAGACAGCTTTAGTAACCAAATACACAAAAGGAATGGTATCTCCTTGAAGTTAAACCTTTTAAAAAGTTTTAAAAAGGTATGGGAATAAAGTCTCCAGTTGTCAGAACTAAAATCAAGAGTTGGGAACTCACATGTCGTTTAGAGGGAAAACAAGATGGGGGACAGGGCCAGTCCCAGAGGAGACGCTCCCTTGGGATCCCTCTACAAAGTAGAATCATCTTAACGCCTTTTTTTTTTTTTTTTTTTAACAAAATAAATTGTCTTAGTCATTTTAGAAATGATAGAGAAAGTCAGACACAGGACGAAAGATGAACTGGCCAGGAGCCCCAGCCTGAAGGAGCGGGGACCACATCATATAGGGACAGCCTCCCTCACACCTCAGGGGGTGTGTTGGAAAGACTATGCCTCAATGATAGAATTAAAATGTCATCTTTCATCTCATGCAATTTCTAGCAAGACCAAAACTCCCTCTGAATAAGTCTCCTCCAACCCACGAGGCCTCTGCAGACCCCACCTGCTCAGGGCTGGGCCGGCCTCAAAAGTCCCACGGGAGCCACCACCTGGTGTGACCACTGCTGTTCACTGCACACCACCAGCCGTGCCTGTTCCTCCTGTGCCCTGTCCTGCACCTGCTCCCCGAGGCCCCGCTCGCACACCCCAGAAGGAACAGACGGGCTCCACTTTCTGTGCAAACTTGCAAGGTACCCATAAGTTCCTGTATCAGAGACATCATCGCCCATGGGGAGCTGGCCCCTGAGAGCCAGTGCCTGGAGGAGATCGTCCGGGGAGAGGACACAGCATTTAGATACAAAGGTAGGACCTTGGGAACAAAACCTGGACTCCAGAGATCAGGGAGGTGCCTGGAGGAAGGGGCAGCTGGGGCCTCTGGGCAGGGACAGACAGAGGTCTGGCTGGCAGCTTGTGCCATCCGCTTAGCCAGGCGGTGAAGACGCTGCCTCCAAGGAATTCTCGGTTACCACAGATGGTCACCCTGACGTGGGCGTTTTTCCACAAGGCAGATTTTGAAATAATTTTAGCAAAACAACCTCTACCACTGCAAAATAAAATTAAACCCAGGAAAGGCCAGCAGTATGCATTTGGGGGTGGTGGTGGGGTCGGAAGCAGGGCCGAGACTGAGCTGTCTCCCCACTGGCCCTCATAGGAATCCTAATGACAGTGTCAGCAAGACCTGGGGAATGGCTGGCATCTGACAGGGGCTGCAGGCTCTTACAGAAGATGAGAAATGGCTTCCGGTTTCAACAAGCTGGTTCAAAGCAGGGACCTCAGGTCACCCCTAACAGACGCAGCTCATCACTCTGAGGGTGCAGACCCTGGAGTCTGGTCTTTTCCCACAGAGGCATCAGTTTCTCACTTTCACCGATTTAAAAAACGTATTTCAAGGGTTTTCCATTCCTTGCGAGTGATCTGCTTTAGCACGACACGGACTAATGACCTGTTTAATTGGAACGGGAAATAGGTCACACCCAGGCCTCACTAACTCCTTAAAGAGTCATGAAATGTGCAACTAACATGGCCAGGGGCTCCCGAGGGGCCCTCACCCGACCCTCACCTCCACGCTGCCCCGTCCAGTGAGCTCCCCTCTGTCAATGCCTGGGCACCACCCACACCTACAGCCACAGCCTGTGCCGTGCCCCCGGCTGCCCACAGGGTCCTTGCTGCCCCCTCCCTCCGGGTACAGTCCTGTGAGCCTCATCTGGAAGTCACTCCTCCCCACGGCCTTCCCCACCCCGCCCCGCCCACTGCTTCTGAAGGGGCTCCTTCCTGGCAGCCGCCTGTGTCCATCACACCCTGGAACTGTCAATCATTGGTCTGCACAGTGAGCCCGCTTTGCTTTCACTGGTCCGCCCATTAGCAAGGGGCGGTTCCGGATTGTGCCTCTGGCAGCCGCCCAGCCTGGCATGGGATGAATGAATGAATGAATGACAGGGCTCCAGCTGGGAAAAGGTCTCAGACGTCACACTGAGGAGGATCCTAGCGCCAGCTGCATCGCACTGAAAATTCCCATTTATTCCCTAATTTCATATCCCAGCGACTTGTGAGAGGGGGTGTCCGTGGCCCTGGATGATGGTGATGAAGGAGTGCCGGGTCCCACACAGCTGTGTGGCTCCTTCTCCAACGAATATCCCACAGAAGTCGCAACACAGACAACAACGGAAGTCACAGCACAGACAACAACGGAAGTCACAGCACAGACAACGACGGAAGTCACAGCACAGACAACGGTGCATGCGATCAGGCCCAGAGCAGTAAAAACATCACTATTGGGCCCGGCGCGGTGGCTCACGCCTGTCATCCCAGCACTTTGGGAGGCTGAGGTGGGTGGATCACGAGGTCAGGAAATCAAGACCATCCTGGCTAACATGGTGAAACCCCATCTCCACTAAATATACAAAAAATTAGCCAACTGTGGTGGTGGGCGCCTGTAGTCCCAGCTACTTGGGAGGCTGAGGCAGGAGAATGGTGTGAACCCGAGAGGTGGAGCTCGCAGTGAGCCGAGATCACGCCACTGCACTCCAGCCTGGGCGACAGAGCGAGACTCTGTCTAAAAAAACAAAACAAAACAAAACAAAACAAAACAAAACGAAAACAAACAAAAAACCATCACTATTTGGTCCTGAGTGAGAACCAGAGGGCCATTGGAATGAGTTTTCTACAAGGCCGGGGGTGACGGCAGAGGGCACCCTCTCACCAGCCTCACATCATGGTCCAGGTTTCACTTTCACGGTGCAGATTCCAGAAGTAACTCAGCAGTCTCCAGGCCACTTCAGGACAGGCCTTAGAGAAGCCAGCAACTCGAAGAGCTGAAGCTGGGGCCGGGGCTGAAGCACAGCTGCCGAACGCCTCCCGGCCACAGCCACTACTTGTCCCTGCAGAAGCCACAGGCCAGCGGCACCGCTCCTGTAGAACATAATAAATTCCTCTTCAAAGGTTTTAGCCTGTAAATTGTTAAGTATAATGAATTCTGAGCTCCTCTCCAAAGAAGCAATGTATCCGTATGGTTACATCCCCATTCTTTGTTCTTCATTCTAAAGTTTAACTTCCTTGTACTTTACATATCCTTGCCCCTAGTTTCAGTAAACAACCCCTGCCTAGCCTCTATCACCTGCTCTGTCCTTAGTCACCCCTGGTCACCTGCTCTGACCTTAGTCATCCTTGTCACCTGCTCTGTTCTTAGTCATCCTGAGTCACCTGTTCTGTAACCATCCTTCCCGTCAAACTATTCACCCCGCCACTCCGGCTCGTACTGCTACTCTCTTTAAAATAGCCAATCGGAATTAGCTTAGACTGTGCAGTCCAACCCTAGCCAACAGGGGAACCACACAGCAGCAGGGACTGGCTGCGTTAGGATGAGACCTCCACCTCCCTCGTTCAGGTGTGCTCTCGCCATTGCTCCATCTGCAAGACGCACCCTTCTATAGAAGTAAAATTGCCTTGCTGAGAAAATTAAATTTATGTTCGAGTGCTATTTCTTTTGCAGCACCCAAAATTTATTTCTAACATCCCAAGTCCTGGGCCACTGTCCCCAGGAGCCTGGGCCCCCCTGGCACGGGCCCCACCAGGAGCACGGTGCGAGGCGTGCCTTCCGGGGTGCATGGGCTGGGGGTGCACACAACATGGGGCTCTACAGCTGGGTGCGAGGCGTGCCTTCCGGGGTGCATGGGCTGAGGGACGCACACAACACGGGGCTCCAGGAGAAGTGGTTTGAAAGGTTTGAAAGCCTACGCCAGTCACTGGCTCACCGGGTCCAAGGGCAGGTAAGGAATGCCTTCAGGTTGATCGCCGGGCCACCCAGCCCTCTCGCCAGTGACCCCTGCTTCTGAGAGCACAGGGGGGCACTGGCCACACCTCCTGAATTCTCCACCAGCCCAGCTCATTCTGGACTTTTCCAAAGACCCTGAGAGGGGCCCAGAAAGGTACCTGGGCCCCTGAACTCTTGGTCACACTCGGAATATGACGACGACCCGGGCCTTCCCAGGTGGCCATGTGGCCTGCACCGGACGACAGCAAGAGGGCAGAACCCAGAACCTCTGGGCATGGACACTGGTGTGGTCAGCCCTGGTCCTAATGAACTGCTTTGCTGCTCCCCAGCCATGCCAAGGGCCAGCTGTGGCCCCAAGACAACCTGGTATCTCCAGGCCTCTCTTCCTGTGCAGGCGATGAAGCCTCTGAAGAATGGAGTCGGAGTCTGTGGCCTGAGCGTCAGCTCCGTCCAGAACAAAGGGCTGCGTGGACCTTGCTCAACAGGGACTGGTGCCCGTGGGTGAGACACCACAGGGCCGTGTCCAGGCCTACGCTCAGTGACAAGCCCTGTTAGGACCCACCTGGAGTTTCCTAGGTCTCAGGTTCAGCCTCAAGGGGCCTCGTCCTGAGTCCTCCCCAGGGTGCCTCATGGCAACCCAGGCTGGAGATTTGTTGCAGAGCGAGGTCTGGATGAGCTGGCTGACCCTTCCCTTGGCTGCCCCTGACCTCGGCTAGAGGAAAACTCAGGAATCTGGGGAAGTTCCTGAGTTGAACGAGCAACCCAGACCCTGATTCGGACCGCTCAGCTCCACATTCACCGCCTTGCTGCAGAGCCCAGGGCCGCTCCGGACCATGGCAGTGATGACCACAGGAGCTGCCACCGTCCATGCCACGCCACGGGGAGACCCCTGGGCCACCCTGTCAGAACTAGGCCAACAGCATCTGCACTGCTCACAACCGCCTCTGAGCGCCCACCGAGGACACGCTTGGCGCTGTTTTTACACACTGCTGTGTTAGATCCTCACGAAGTCCGTACAACCGCGTTCCTGGCGTCTACACCACCAACTGGGGAAACTCTGCCCAGAGAAGGGAGGCACCTCACCCGTGCTCCCAGTGGGATGCCGACACCTGTGCTCCCAGCTGCCTGGCGGCTGGGCCTCTCTCGGTGGCAGCTACTCCAGATGCCAAACTGGCCTCTGATGCTGCCGTGACACTCAGGGACCGATCATGCTGCCGTGCGCCTCCCAGGCACACACTGCACAAAACCACCTGCCCGATCGGAGGGATGAAGTCACAAGGAAGCCACCACCACCCACCCAGAGGCCAGACGCAGGGAGGACCAGCCCCGGGCCAGTCTTGGGGCAGCCGAGGTCCCCATCTGCTTGACTGCCTTCCTAGGCAGCTGCCTGCTCCCTGGGACTATGCCTGCTCCTGCAGGAGACCCTGCCTGGCTGCCCTGATCCCAGACAGGCCCGGCCCCCACACCCATTTACTCCGCAGAGTGAGGGGCCAGCCCTGCCCTGGCCCCTGGCACAGCAGAGTCAAACAGGTGAGGGGAGGGGAAAGGAGGAGAGGGGAAGGGAGGGGAGAGGAGGGGAGAGGAGGGGAGGGGAAAGGAGGGGAGGGGAAAGGAAAAGAAGGGAGGGGAAGGGAGGGGAAAAGAGGAGAAGGGAGGGGAAGGGACAGGAGGGGAAGGGAGGAGAGGGGAGCAGAGGGCAGAGGAGGGAAGAGGAGGGGAGCGGAAAGGAGGGGAGAGGAGGGGAGCGGAAAGGTGGGGAGGGAAAAGGAGGGGAGGGGAGGGGAGCTGTGGCGAGTGGAGGCTGGACAAGCACACGGACGTGAGCCCATGCCAGGCTGCGGGAGACAGGGGCAGGGCATGACTTTGGGCACAGCCGGCCGGCACCACCCATGCAGGACGCACGCATCTGACGCAAAGCGCGAATCCTCCCCCTCTTCTCTGAACAACTGACAGGGACTTGAAAAGGCATCCACGGGAGGAGGGTCTGGCTCCCAGCTACCTCTTCAGGGGGTCCCTCACTCCCTGGGCCCTCGGTGGGCACCAGCGACTCAACCACTGGGCACCGGTTGTGGCCTCCTCCACCAATGCTCAGCTCTCACGTGTGCCGTGCCCACCTCAAAGGCAGAGGACAGCATGGGGCTCTGCCCGCCACTGCCCAGCCACCTCCAAAACCATGGTGAGCTCAGGACGCACACAAGGGCCCCTGCCAGGAGGGCAGGCCCTCCCCTACAGAGGGAACCTCAGGGAAACCAGCCAGGCCAACGCAGACCTAGAAGGGTCTGGAAAGGAGACAACCAGACTCCACCCTGGGTACCAGAAGCACAGGTGCCCCAGGGAGACGGCATATCTGGGACCCAGTGGTGATGTTGCTTGGACTCCCAGGGGACCAGCAAACCCAGCTGCCCAAACCACCACCCTGCTACGGGGCCTGGGGTGTGGCGGAGCAGCACATGGGGGGCTGGGGTGACAGTCAGTGTCTGCATCACCCACAGGCATCACTCGGGCACCAGTGTCCGTGTCATGCCGGCGGGGGCAGGGAGAGAACTGGCATGGAGCAGGGAACCCAGGGCAGGGCTTTTTATAGGCAGGAGAGAGAGGGCCAAAACCAGGCTCTAAGAGAAGTGACTCTGCAGCTCCAGAAATGAATCCAAGGCCAAAAGAGCCAGCAGAGAAGCCAGACGGTAAGGGCCACAGCAGACGCCTCAGAACGGGCAGCGCCCAAGGTTCAACGAGCCGGGCACAGCGGGCGCCTCAGAACGGGCAGCGCCCAAGGTTCAACGAGCCGGGCACAGCGGGCGCCTCAGAACGGGCAGCGCCCAAGGTTCAACGAGCCGGGCACAGCGGGCGCCTCAGAACGGGCAGCGCCCAAGGTTCATCGAGCCGGGCACAGCGGGCGCCTCAGAACGGGCAGCGCCCAAGGTTCATCGAGCCGGGCACAGAGGGCGCCTCAGAACGGGCAGCGCCCAAGGTTCAACGAGCCGGGCACAGAGGGCGCCTCAGAACGGGCAGCGCCCAAGGTTCAACGAGCCGGGCACAGCGGGTGCCTCAGAACGGGCAGCGCCCAAGGTTCAACGAGCCGGGCACAGCGGGCGCCTCAGAATGGGCAGTGCCCAAGGTTCAACGAGCCGGGGCCACTGCCTCCGCCACTGCCCACGGGCACCACACAGCATCCCAGGCACCATCATGGTAGGAGAAGAGTTCAGGCCGGGAGGCCGAGGGTACCCTCGGGTCACCAGGCTTGGCACAGCAGGACTGGAACCACGTCCCTTCCAGCTCCCGTCCAAGACAGGTGGAAGTGGGGGGGCTGCTCCCGGGACGGGGGAGGGATGGCGACGGAGGGCTCTGAGGTTGTGCATCAGGCAGAAGGTTCTAGAGACAAGCAGGCTCCCAAGGGATGTGGCTGCGCTAGGACAGGACAAACAGGAGGGTCACCCAAAGTGGGCTGGCAGGTGCTGTGGACGTGCCGCAGGGAGCAGACACACGTGTCAGGCAGCACTTCCTCCACCCGGGCCTGGAGCTGCTGGCCTGGCTCCCTCTGCCCTGGCCCCACACTCAGCCCTTAGTGCCCGGCCAAGGGCTGCAACGCTGACGGCCGCGGACCTCCACGTCGACGCGGGGATCCTCGGCTCGTCCCGTGCCCGCCAAGGCAGGCTGTGCCCGATGCAGCTCCAAGCACAGGCGGGGCAGGCCGCAGGGAGGAGGCACCGTACACAGCACGTCCTCTGTGAGGCCCTGGGGTTCCTCTGGGCCCTTCCAAGGGCCTCCCCCATCTCAGCCCACCACGTTTGGGGGCAGAGGCGGGGCTGAAGTCCCAACTTAGAGGGTACAGGTCCCAGCGGCCCCGCACCAACAGCCACCCGGACACCCTCACCTTTGAGGAGGGCACCAGCCACTGCAGCGAGCAGTGACTGTCACCAGGACCTTTTCCAGGGAGACTGGCTGAGCAGCTTCCAGTCCCACATCAAGGAGACCCCCACCCTGCCTTTCGCCTTCCAGAGAAGTGGACACTGGGGGCTGGACCAGGCCAGAGCCAAGTCACAGCGTCCCAGAGTCCCCGCACGAAGCAGGGTCAGGCAGAAAAAGGCAAGCACCCCACTCCACACCCCGGCGGTCTGACCTGCCCCAGGGCGGCCAGAGGACACTAGCCGCCCGCCAAGAGCAAGGCTGGGGCCAGGGGGTGAGGGGTGGTAAACAGGGCGCAGGAAGCAGCGAGGCCAGCGGGCCCACACTCCACACCTGACCACACCATGCACCTGGTGTCCACCAGGAGGAGGTGCTTTTCAGGGCAGCAGCTCTGCCGGTGGGGCCCTCGCCATCTGCCTCCTCTCCCGCCAGGTCTCTCAGGGCTAAAGCTGCAGCTCTGTCCTCACAAGCATGAACTTTTCTCTTGAGTTCCTGTTGAAAACCACCCATCACATTGGCATCTCTGTGCTACTGGGCACCGCGGCCTCGTGTGGGTGTAACTGGGGGGTGAGGTGGCACCCGGTCCCCACACCTGGAAGCTGACATCGTGGAGGCAACTGAGGCAGGGCCCGAGGCCTGGGGCCCTCTATGCTGAAGGCAAGAGATGTGTCCGCTGGGACTGGAATTCAGGGTCACCCCCTAGCTGGGCCCACTGTGTGGTGATCTGAGGCCCTCAGTGTCCTCCAGCCCTGCAGGGGTCCACCTGGCCCCTCCTCCCGAGCCCTGTCCCAAGGGCCCTCCCTGCTCACAGTGAAGACCAGGGCCTCCAGCTGCCTCGGATACACCATCCTCTAATGCTTAAAAATAATTAAATTTAAAAGCTCCCTTTGTACAAAAACAGGCCAGCTAAAATCCATGAATAAATTATGTGTGTTCTGTTCACTTCCACGTACAACGTCTTCAAGCTCAATGAATTTATACCTTAAACAAACCCACGGAGCTTCAAGTCCACCTGGCCCCACTGCTCCTTTTAAAATCTAAAAGCTAAGAAAACGAGGGTGGTTTTCCTTTGCCTGAGGCCTATCCTTGCCAGGGCCCACAGGTTGCTCTGAAAAAGGGGGAGGGCGCGGCCGAGTCCCGGGCATTTCAGAGCAGGGGTAGAGCTGCGCACTTTGTCCCAGCCAGGGTGTCCCCGCCCTCTCTGGGCACCCTGAGGCGGGAACGTCGGACTCCGTCCTGCTGAGCTGGGGCTTCTCTTGGGCAGGGTTTCCCTACAAAGCAGCAGGGGCTGCCCTCCTCTTCACACAGAGGGGGCAGGGTTCCCGGCCTCCTCCTCTCATCAAGGATTCGCCTCCCGTAGGAAAACAGGGGGAGGGCGGCGGGGGTGAGGGGACAAAGCCCTGGGAAGGGGCTGGATGGACGGGGCCGGAGCCAAGGGGGCGGCTGGCATGGCCGGAGTATCTAGGGGAGAAGCGCGATGCCTGCCGGTCCCTCCTGTCTCACTCTGCGGCCGCACAGGTGGCAGCAAGGACAGATTCGTCCACCGGCTCCTGGGGACACGGCCATTCTTGCAAGTACCAAGCACTGTCTGGCACGACGCTTTCCATTCTACATGAGTCTTCTCCTTAAATAATTTTTATAAAGATTTTATAAAGATTTGGAAGATACCAAAGAAAGTAAAAGAAAAAGAAACAATTGCCCACAACTCCGTGGCCCCAACACAGGACGCGCATCTGTCCTCCCGCCTGGGGTCAGGGCCCTCGGACGCCCCCTGCTGCTCCCACCTGGTAATCGGTGGGTCCGCATGGAACAAGTGGGATCAGTTCACACGGTGCGTGCAGGTCAACCACCCCACAGGACAACGCAACCACAGAAACGAGGAACTCAATTACAAAACGGGCAAAGGACCTGTGCAGACGTTTCTCCAAAGCCGACACACAAGCGGCCACAGGCGTGAGAGGCTCAACATCACCAACCACCGGGAGAGGCAAACTAGACCCACACTGGGCACTGCCTCGCCCCAAGAGGACGGCCAGGAACAGAAAGTCGGGAGTGTCAGCGAGGACGGCGAGACATCGTAACTCCTGTGTGCTGCAGGTGGGACTGCGGAGGTTCTGTTGTGCAAGATGAAATTCTGGAGATTGGCTGTGCAGCATGAATTTACTTTACTGAACTACACACTTAGAAATGGTTAAAATGGTGAATTTTATGTTATAGGTATTTTACCACAATTAAAAAACAAACAGGCCAGGCGCGGTGGCTCACTTCTATAATCCCAGCACTTTGGGAGGCCAAGACGGGCAGATCACCTGAGGTCAGGAGTTCGAGAGCAGCCTGGCCAACGTGGTAAAACCCCAACCCGTCTCTACTAAAAATACAAAAATTAGCCGGGCATGGTGGCAAGCGCCTGTAATCCCAGCTACTTGGGAAGCTGAGGCAGGAGCACTGCTTGAACCCAGGAGGCGGAGGTCGCAGTGAACCGAGATTGCACCACTGCAGTCCAGCCTGGGCAACAAGAGTGAGACTCCAGCTCAAAAAAACAAACAAGAACTACAGTGGGCCACAGCTCTCTGACCTCTTTATTAAAGCACATCTATATGATGGTACATGTGGCAGTTTGAAAAGATGATATTTAAGACGTGTGTTCAATAATCTGCTTAGATCATAATGTCAAGAAAACTGAGGTCCTACAAATTCCACAGGGAGAGCTAAATTAATATGGATAAACCATTTGTTTGGAAAAAAGTCTGAAAATAAGTAAACCAAATGTTAAAACCAAAAACCCACAACCAGGATCCATGGCCTCCCAGATTGTGGGGTCCCCCCTGCACTGGCTCTCTCCGAGACGCCCCCGGCTGCCGCTCCCAGGGCGCCCACGCCAGGTGCCATGAGCAAAACCACACACGCAGCGCAGGAGGGGCACGCGGCTGTGGGAGGACGAGGGCTTCATTCCTACATGTGCACGGGGCCTCCTTGGAGAAGCACTGGTGTTTCTTCAAAACCAGCCCAGGGTGGGCTCTGACCCCAGGGACCGGGGCAGACTTTAGGGGCCTTAAGCTCCTGGAAGGAGCAGCTGAGGGTGAGGGGGCTGGGGGGCATCCCCTCAGTGGTGAGACGGCCAGCACCATCCTGTGGGGACACAGGGCACGGGCCCTGGCAGTGCTGAGCCCACGCCCCTCGGTCAGCAGGGCCCTCTGAACAGGTGCTCCCTGACGGCTACAAAACCATGGGTGCACGGGCCCCTTCTGCGGGAGGGCTGGGTGCAGCTGACTACAAGGACTGCAGACCGGCCAGGCCATGGGAACCCCTTGCCAAGGTGCAGCCCCCAGGGCCTCTGCATGAGTGCAACTGAATCCCCTCGGAATCCAAGCTGCCGTCCTGACCCCCAGGAGCTCAGAACATGCCCTTATTTACACATAGGACACTGCAGATGTAATCAGTTAAGTGAGTGAGGTCATTACAGCAGACTTAGATCCAAAACAACTGCTGTTCTCATAACAGAGGGTAACGTGGACACGGCCGCACGGGGAGGAAGGGCCCGGGTGAAGAAGAGACGGCTCCACCAGCCAAGGGGACAGGCCTGGCCCGGGCTCCTCACGGCCTCCGGGAACCAGCCCTGCCGAAACCCAGCTCTCAGACGCTGGTCTCCAGACAGAGAATAAAGCTTTTTGTTTGGATTTTTTTTAATGGGATCTCGCTATGTTGCCCTGGCTACATTCAAACTCCTGCACTCAAGAGGTCCTCCCACCGCAGCCTCCGGAGTAGCTGGGATCACCACACAAGCTGAGAGAGAATTGAGTTCTGCCGTGTGAGCCGCCATCTGTGGTACGTTGCTACAGCGGCCCCAGCACTGTGACCTGAGTGTTTACGTCCCACCGAATTCACACGCTGAAATCCTCACCCACAGGCGACGGTGTCAGGAGGCCTTTGAGAGGTGGTAAGGTTGTGGCCTTCCGGAATGGGATTAATAGTGCTTTTCAAAGGGACCCCAGAGTGTTTGTTCGTCCCCTTTATCACGTGAAGAAGACTCTGAGAAGGCTCTGGCTGTGAACCAGTCCTTACCAGGCACCAAATCTGCTGGTACCTTGCCTGGACTTCCCCGCCTTCAGCATCTCGAGCAATCAGGGTCCTTGTTTACAGGCCACCCCTCGTGGTGCCTCCTCACAGAGGCTGAAGCAAATGAACGCAGACCCCGACGGACCAGAGACGGCCCTGCCTCCTGGAAGTCTCTGTCCCCAACCCCGACCCTCAAGTCTTCCCAGCTCTGAGTATCCTCATGCTCACACCGTCACCCCCACGTTTCTACCCATGCAGGCCCCAGAAACAGAGACCTCTGGGTCCTTCCTCATGGCGTCTGCCATCGCCCGGCCGAACTCTGCCCAGGGACCTCGCGAACAGGGAAATGAGTTCTAAAACCAGAGCTGACCCCGGCTAAGGAAAACACTCTACTGCAGTAAGCTCCACCATTTTAAAAAGAAACGATGAGCCCGGAACAGAACTGGCACCATTGTTACTGCTATTATTAGCTGATGACAGGGAGGGATTCTAACCTCGTATCACTAGTATTTTCTATAAAAACTAATAGTATAGAAGACCAGAATGAAATTAAAAACGATATGCTCTCGGAAAACAAAACAAAATAAAACAAAAGTGACAGGCTCACCAGGGAGTACAAGCAAGAGCAATTTGAGCTTTTCTGACATCCTGCCCTATGGGTCAAGTTTTCTGTAGTGAACATGTGTTGCTTTCACAACCAGAAACACTGATTTGTGTTTTTTTCAGATGGGGTCTTGCTATGTTGCGCTGAGCCCCAGCTGGAGTCTGTGAGTGAAGAGACGCCGCCGCCTGGGAGGGGCCTCCAGGCAGCTGAGCTGTGCACACATGACCTGGGTTTGGTCAGGCTCCGAAGCTCCCACAGCCTGACCTAGAAAGGAGAGGTGACATTCCACACAGGATGATGGTGTCTACGGGAAGACTCTGCTGGGCTCATCCTGGAGCCCGGGCTCTGGGACCTCCGGAAGCCGCTCTGGGCGTGGGATGGAGAGGCTGAGTCACGCGGCAATCACTCGCCACAGCCGTCTTCACTCAAGGACTCGAGGACGTTCAGCAAATGTCCAGGGAGCCCTGCTGGGTCCCAGGCACCATTTTCAGCCCTAAGGATGCAACCAGGGCCAAAGCTGAGGGATTTGGTTCCCAGGAAGCCCACGATGGAAAGGGGCAGCCTCCGAGCTGAGACTGCAGGGGAGGAACAGGGAGGCGGAGGGAGGGGCGTGCAGACCCCATGGGGCGCACCATCCAGGCAAGGGGGAGGGAGCAGTGAGGAGGACGAGGGACAGACGGGGGCAGAGCTGTGCCTCTTCTCAGGTGTGCTGGGCGTTATCCAGATGAGGGAGGCGGAGTCTGGGCCAGGTAGGTGAGGACACTGCTGAGTGGCCTCCTTAAAGTTACACGAGTGGGAAACTGTAAAACCAAAACCCCAACTCAGGCAGCATCCGAGCCCGAGGCCCCCACCCACACAGCAGAGAAAGCCGCTATTCAGGATGGGCTCTGCCGCCATCAAAACAAAGACCGTCTTCACTGAGTGTCCAGGCGGCCAGCACGCGCCAGGCACCAGCAGCCTGTCCCTCACGCCGTCCCAGCGTTCCCAGCCTCGAAGCCAGGCCTCCCCGGGTGCAGGCAGTGACCTGCCTGGCTCCCGAGGGCCTGGATGCTGCCCCCGGTGCCCGGACAGGCCAGACGCTGGTCCTCCTCAGGGGCCTCCGGGGACTCCTTTCCAGAGTCGGGCATTTTCTGTTAGTGGGTACCCGGTTAGGGGAGCAGGAAGGTTTTAACCTCCCCCGCCACCCCCACCAAAAGGTCACTTCAGAGCAAAACCACCTGTTATTCATTTACTCTCTTCACGTCTTTCTGCTGGCATCGCACACATATTACTCGGGTATCCTGCTATACTCCTCTCGGTAATCACATCCAGGTGATGGGATACAACCCAATTAATGCAAAAATAAGAGCATCATTAAAAACCCTTGGGAGCGAAGGTTGTAGGAGAGACACAGAAGCCCCAGGGTTCGCCTGGCACCTCGGGATGCCATCCACAGGTGCTGGTGCAGCTCTCTGCGTGGTGGGGCTGCACTGCCAGCTGTTGCCACGGTGAGCCGTGGCGCCTCACCACCCAAAGGTAAGTAAAATAAACAAGAATGGGGGCCGGGCGCAACAGCTCACACCTATAATCTCAGCACTTTGGGAGGCCGAGGTGGGTGGATCCCTTGAGGTCAGGAGTTCGAGACCAGCCTGGCCAACATGGTGACACCCCGTCTCTACTAAAAACACAAAAATTAGCTGGGTGTGGTGGTGGGTGCCTGTAATCCCAGCTACTCAGGAGGCTGAGGTGCGAGAATCAATTGAACCCGGGAGGCAGTGGTTACAGTGAGCTGAGATCGCGCCACTGCACTCCAGCCTGGGTGACAGAGCAAGATTCTGTCTCAAAAAAAATAAATAAAAGAATGGGGAAATACACTAAAATCAAATGCAAACAGAAACAAATAAAGCCAACTGACCATCATACTGACAGCATAACCCCACGAAAGACAACAAATGAATAAACGAATCCAAGTTAACTTCTGGAAACTGCTCTCCAAGGGCATGGGCATGGCAGGAGGCATTCTGAGGACAAAAGAATGCTGAGAAGCCCTGGCCTGGCTGGGTCTGCTGCCCTGGTGACGATGCCGCGGCTCTGAAGCTGTGTCATCCGCATTCGAAGGCAGAGCACACGAGCGAACAGGCTCACGCTGTGCAGATGGAGACCCCACTCAGAAGTGGAGAAGAGAAGAGCCTGCGGCACTGGGAGCTGCCGCGGGAACTGCACATCGAATCCCCATGCAGCCCCTGGCCCACCGCCCACCGGGCACAGCCTCACGGCCCCCAGGAGCAGCAGGCAGGTTAGTTTCTGAAGTCCACCCTCCTCCGAAGGAAGCCAAGTTCCGTGGAGAAACGGCCAGGTCCAGCCTGGAGCAGAAAGGGCCGAGGGGATGCCAGAGCCTGCTGCCCGGATGCGAGCAACACACAAAACCTGATGGAAAAGCGGGTAGCATGGGGGGAGCCGCTCGCCAAGGCCCCTGCCAGCCAAACCTGGGAGGACCAGAGCCTCAAGACGAACAATGACAGAAATCGATGATTCCAGGCCAGGTGCGGAGGCTCACATCTGTAATTCCAGCACTTAGGGAGGCTGAGGCCTGGAGGCTCACACCTGTAATCCCAGCACTTAGGGAGGCTGAGGCAAGAGGATCGCTTGAGGCCAGGAGTTCAAGATCAGCCTGGGCAAAATGGAGAAACCCTGTCTCTATCAAAACACAAAAATTAGCTGGGCGTGGTGGCAGGAGCCTGTAGTCCCAGCTACTTGGGAGGCTGAGGTGGGAGAATCACTTAAACCTGGGAGGCAGAGGTTGCAGTGAGCCAAGATTGCACCACTGCATTCCAGCCTGGGCGACAGAGCAAGACTCCGTCTCAATTTAAAAAAAAAAAAAAAAAAAGGATGATAATAAACCCAGTTTTTAGAAAATCCTTGAGTTCACATTAGGATCAAGATTCCTTTCAACAGGGAGGGGAGAAGACACAGCTCTTACTCCTGGGATGATGCCAACCCAGACAGGAGAAGGGAGCGAGAGAAAGAGAGAAGTGCCTCTCTGCATCAACACAGTAAGACCGGGGCCTCCCAAACCCACCCATGAGTGCAGACCTGCCTGTGAGAGGGGAGCCGGGCCCGGGCCCCCCATATCCTCAGCCCCTCCAGCACGGTGCCTCACGGGCTCTGAGAACAGGGCCCCCCGACGTCCTCAGCCCCTCCAGCACGGTGCCTCACGGGCTCTGAGAACAGGGCCCCCCGACGTCCTCAGCCCCTCCAGCACGGTGCCTCACGGGCTCTGAGAACAGGGCCCCCCGACGTCCTCAGCCCCTCCAGCACGGTGCCTCACGGGCTCTGAGAACAGGGCCCCCCATATCCTCAGCCCCTCCAGCGTGGCGCTGCATGGGCTCTGAGCAGGCATCTTCAGAGGACAAGAGTTGTGAAAAACGCAACCAACAAATGTGAGGTTTGGCAAAAAGCACCGTGCGCAGCAACCAGTCTGGGTTCTGGCCCTAGCCCCGCCAGGAGTAAAGTCAAGCCTGGTATCTGGCGGGCTGCGGACCCAGGTGAGCAGTAAGATGGTCAACAGGCTGGAGGCGCATTCTGAAGATCCGGTAACACAGGGCACAAAGCTGCTGGCTCGGGGCCAGCTCCTGCTCCGGGACCTTCTGTGTGCTACCAGCTTCACGCCCACGCCAGGTAGGGCGGATGGTACAACGTGTCTCGGAAAAGTTGCTGAAGTTTCAGAGAGCCGTACAGTCTACGTCTTTGTCTTCCCTTTAAATAAATACCCACTCAGCTGCCTCTCTACTCCTCACCCAGCTGACAGAGGAATCGCCCCCTACCCGCAGAGCCACAGGGAGGGCAGGGACACAGCACCTTGTCGGTCATGTTGGGGTGGGAGCAGCCTGTCTGGCTTCTGTGCCTGACCTGCATCTTTTTTTTTTTTCTTTTTTTAAGAGGGTCTCACTCTGTCACCCAGGCTGGAGTGAAGTGGCACAATCTCAGCTCACTGCAGCCTCGAACTCCTGGGCTCAGGCGATCCTCCCACCTCAGCCTCCCCGAGGAGCTGGAACGACAGGTGTGCACCACTACACCAGGCTAATTTTTACATTTTTTTGTAGAGATGGGGTTTTGCCATGTTGCCCAGGCTGGTCTTGAAAACTCCTGAGCTCAGGCGATCCACCTGGCTAGGCCTCCCGAAGTGCTGGGATGACAGGCGTGAGCCACTGCGCCCAGCTGACCCCACATCTGACCTCCACTTGCTGACAAGGTGCTGCCACACAGACCCGATGCTGGGCAGGCAGGTGGCTGGCACTGACAGCTGGTGGGTGCAGAACGCCTCCATGCCCCACTCACCCCCATCCACAGTCCAGGCAGAGACCAGGGCAGGGTGAGCACACAGGACCGCAGGCGGGTGGGCCGGACGCAGGTACGCCCATCTGTGAGCCGGCCGGCCGCGCATGTGTTCTGCCATATGGTGAAGCGGCGGGAACTGGCTGAGGCCAGGGAGGTCTGGGGATGCCTGGGGGTCCCAGAGACCAGGCAGGGGAGCCGCGAGTGCAAGCTATGACCATAATCCGAAGCGGACAGCACCTGCCTTCTTCACACTCGCCCTCATGAGCGTGGGGGGAATTTTCCACTGCGCTTAGGAAGACCTGCAGAACCCAGTGGAGCAATATTTCCTAACAGCCAATATGCGATGTTTTTTGTTGTTGCTGTTTGAGACAGAGTTTCGCTCTCTCGCCCAGGCTGGAGTGCAGTGGTGCAATCTTGGCTCACCGCAACCTCCGCCTCCCAGGTCCAAGTGATTCTCGTGCCTCAGCCTCCCGAGTAGCTAGGATTAATTACAGGCATCCGCCACCATGCATGCCCGGCTAATTTTTGTATTTTTAGTAGAGATGGGGTTTCATCACATTGGCCAGGCTGGTCTCGAACTCCTGACCTCAAGTGATCTGCCCGCTTCGGTCTCCCAAAGTGCTGGGACTACAGGCGTGAGCCACCGCGCCCGGCCAACATACGATTTTTAAAACACACGCACGCGTAAGAAACCTATTCGAGCGCAAAAGAGACCAGCGGATTTTTAAGGTAACTGCAGGAAAGTGACACCAATACAGTTTCAGATTCCATGTTTCAACTGACATGTAAGAAATGACCACGTGCCGAGTTTCAGAGAAATATCAAAGAAGAATACCCACGTTTACCAGAGGAAAAGCTGTTAAAACGCCCCAAGCCTCCTGACACACTGGAATTCACCCCAAGCCTCCTGACACACTGGAATTCACCCCAAGCCTCCTCACACACTGGATTTCCTCACAATCTTAACCCAACACTGCAGCAGCCTGAACGCAGAGGCAGGTGTGATGGCTCAACCGTGTTCTGCTCAACCAGATGCAAAAATGTTGCCACTCTCTTGCCGAATATTTTGTTTGGGAAAATAGTCACTTTTCATTAAAATGTTAACAGCCGATGGGTTATTTTAGAATTAATCTAATTAATCATACATTAATTAGAGTTAATGAGGAATAAATATTCCTCGTTCTAAATTTTCAGTACAGTTCACACTGGCAGCTACAGCCCACGTACCCAAAAGCTCTTTGAGGACCACAGTAATTTTCATGAATGTGGTGGGGGTCCTGAGACCACTGGCTGAGCCCGGAGCTGGAATCAGAGACTGGTGAGGAGGGAACAGAGGCTGCAGGGAGGGACAGGCAGTGAGTAATTCCGTCCAGACATGGACGCAGCCACCTCCCCTCGAAGCGACCCCTCCTCCCGTAAAATCCCTGTACCTCCAGGGGCTCAGAGCATGCTCCACCCAGTGAACCGAACACTCTGGGGCCAGCAACAGGGGAAACGCTAACGATACGTGTTTGAAAATTTGGACCAAGGTATTTAAAACTCACTGTACAGCCGCCCTAAATGTAACTTCCTGTTCAGACCTATTAGGACATGAGGAGAGGGAGGACGGGGGCACCCAAGGTGTGGACACCTGTCCTTCACCTGTGCCCGAGGTGGCTTGCTCCCTCATGCCGCCCCTCCACCCTCTCGCGCCCTCACTGCCACCCTCTCCACCCTCTCCCTTGCACCCTCACACCACCCCTCCACCCTCTCCCTCACGCCCTTGGCCGCCCCTCCACCCTCTCCCTGCTACTACATCCGGAGTGCCCCTGTGAAGGAGGACAGGTGTCCTCAAAGCCACCCCCGGACGCTCAGGCAAAAAAACAAATGGAACCAGGTCTCCTGACATCCCATCTCCAGGGGAGGGTTGGGCGGGGGGACCAACTCTCAGAAGCCGACCGTGTACGCCCTTGCCCAACTCCACCTTCACTGAACCCCTCCACTTCGGCAGCCTGAAATCGGCCGTGGTGGGAGCATTTACACCAGGGAAATCGACTGAGTGACAAATCCCACCATCGTTCCTTCCTCACAGAGCATTTACCAGCACGGCACTGCCCACATCACAAAACCGGTCGCTAGGAACGCGGACGTGATCTTACACTCACAGAATGAAATTACAGTCTCCATGCAAACTCAATTCTCTCTGCTGGCCAAGATAAATAAATAAACACAAACTACCAGACTTCACTCTGTCTACGGCAGCCGGGTAGCCGGCAACTTGAAAGAGGTGATTTGCCAAGTCCATCTTGAACAGCCGCTCTGGCAGCCCCCAGCTCCTGCACGTGTGATCGTGCCACGGAGCCTCCCTCTTGCCAAATACACAGCCCTGGAGCAGGGAAAAGGCGCACACAACAGGCGGGACAGAGCGGGCGACGCTGCCAAGGGCTGCAAAGAACCCGTCTGACGCGTCCAGCACCCCTGACCACGTCCGCCCTCGGATGGCCGTGTGGAAAGACACTTAGGCGCCTTCTTGGCACGACTGTGTGGTGTCCTATTCGGAGTCGATCGGAACCACGGCAGCCCGGATCAAGCCTGCTTTAATATGAACAAATTATGCAATGCAAGAGAACTGAACACATTTCCGAAAAAAGAGGACTGCCCACCCAGCAGGGGACAAATGGGCAAGAGGGGCCAGCGATGGTGCCGCTCTCTGCCCATTTCTGCCTTTGTCACCTCTCATCAAACCAACTGAGGAAGTCAGTGCAGCACAGAGGGCAGCAGGAAGGGGATGCTGGGGGGCGGGGCGGCAGTGGTGGGGTGTGGGGGGCGTGCCTGAGCTTGGTGCCAGGTGATGCAGGGACCTGCCGAGTCCCACACGAGCCCCATGCAGAGCCTGGGCTGCTGACCCTACGGCACTGCCAACTCAGCTGGGAGAAGAGTATGCGGGGTCAGTCCCCCAACCGCAGCCCCGACATCACCACGCCACCAAGTCCGGGCACAGTGTGGTGACTTCTCCCCTCCCCGCCTCGACCCAGCACCACCTTGGCATGATGCTGGAGCTCCGGCTGCAGTACCAATCACCTCCCAGGGCCCACACCCCACACCGGGGTCTGCAGCCATGGGACGTCCTGGCCACACAGGCCCCTTCTGGGGGTCCATGCCCACAGCCCAGACTCGCCCGAGACCCACCTCTGGGCCTGGGACCTGCTTCCCCCTGCTCCCTGCAGCCTGCCCCCTCCTGCCAGAGACCCGTCAGCACCCACCCCCAACCCACCCAGTGTCTGGCCTCATCGCTGCCCCAACAGCCAGCCTGCAGGGGCCCCAGTGCCCAAAGCTGGAACAATCTGAGCAATAAGTAAGCGACACGGTATCCGATTCTAACCCAAGTATGAAATTGACACCTGCGAGTCCACATGAACAGAAAGGAATAATTAAATAACCAATGGGAGAACAGACGTACAAGTCCCGTGCAAAACTTGACATCACGTATGTAGCTCCTCACCTCTTAGGTGTGGGCCACGCACGCCTCACTCCGCAGACAGGACAGCACGGGGGAAGAGGCACGGGCAGGTGTGAGCCGACAAACACACCGCGGCCAGGTGACACGCAAGGCCAGCACGGACAGGCTGCGTGGAGGGTGTGGACCTGGACCCAGCGATATAAGGAGGCTTCACCTCCTCCCAAAACACAAGGCCCCAGTCCTTATGAGAAAAACATGAGGCAAACCCCAGCGAAGGGCTGTCCCACAAAACACCTGACCAGCCCTCCTTAAAACTACGAAGGTCGTTGAAAATGAGGCAAGTCTGAGAGACCTGCCACAGTGAGAGGGACCTAAGGAGACGTGACGGCCAAGTGCCACGTGGGGCCCTGGACGGGATCCTGGGACAGAAAGGGGGCAGGAGGGGAGACTGAGGCAAGCGGAATAAAGCCTTAGCTGGAAAGGTGCCGAGACTGGCTGGTGAAGTGTAACTCACGCATTACGCTGACCAGGAGGGAGCAGGGAGGGAATGCTTGTGCTCTACTCCTGTCCTGATTTTTCTGTAAATCCAAAACTGTTCCAAAAACTGGTCTTCCCACCACCCCACTGAACGAGGGGGTGACAGAACTAAACTACCTGGGTCAAGCATTTGAAAACTGCCCCCAGGTCGCACGGGGGGCAGCATCAAGGAAAAACAAACAGAGGGGCCTTTGCCCTCCTTAAAACCCTGCACCACACCCTCCGGCCCCTCAGGATGCAGAGCAGTGGGACGTGCTGGTCCACACCTGCCACGTCCACGCGCACCGCCACGTCCACGCGCACTGCCCCTACCTAAAGACCTTCTCCAACTCTGGTTTTCCTGCATACTTTAGCCTTCAGAAAGCGTCATCACGATGGTTTCCAGGTGGACACAGCAGCTCAAACACATCACTGACTGACTCTCCCTCCCAAGACCAAAGGAAGAAAAACTCCAAAAAACCCGTAACAGCAAAGAGGAGGACAGGCCGGGTAGTGGATGCCCTGGGACCTGGAAGGCAGAGGGCCCCGTGGCCACCAGGAGACTGTACTGGGCCGAACCCCAAAGAAGGGCCCCAAGTCAGAGGCTCCAGGTAGCAGGAAAGTGGGGCACCTGCTGTGCAGGGTCCCAGTCAGTGAGGAGTCGACCCCCAGACCCCCTTCCTCACCCAAAGCAGCCAGGGAACGAGAGGGCTTGCGGGGGCAGCAGACTCCTTACTAGGGGTGAGATGCCCGGCCCTCCCAGGCAGGACACTCCCCTGGGGACTTCCGCCACCACCAGCTCTGTGGTGCCCCACGAGTCAATGTGGGCAGACAAATGCGGGTCACCAGGGGCCCAGGAAGCCGCAAAGGCCAGGACAAACACAAAAAGGGACTCTCGGTGAAAACAGCTGAGTACGAGGCCAAAGAAAACACCAAAAGGAGACGTTATCACCAACCGCTGCCAGCACACATGCTCCCACCATGTGCCGCCATCAGCAGCAGCCGCGGGGCCAGCGTTGTGGCTTAGTTACTGGCTAATCCCATGATAGCCTTGGGAGCCAAGCCTTTTACCATCACGCTCACTTATGAGGGTCCGGGACACGGTGGACAGCGTTGTGGCCGAGGTCACGTGGCTGGTGGGCAGCAGAGCTGGGGCCTGACCACGCAGCTTCAGGCCCTGGGGCACGCGGCAAATAGCGTGGGCTTAAGCCCAGCCCTTGGGGTTTGAGTCCCAGCTCAAACTGTGCGATTCTGGGAAATTTCTTGACCTGTCTGTGCCTCAGTGCTAATCTTTACCCAGAACAAAGAAAACAATGGTGCCCACAAGGAACTGAGAAGATTAAATGAGTTCACACGCGGGAAGCCTCGCAGCCATGAATGTGCTGGGTGCTGCTCAATCACCACATGATACCGCGGTGCTTCTCAGCCGGGACGAATAACCCCAGAGAAAAAGTGCGATATGCCTTTGACACAAGGGCAGGGCACTCTGCCTTAAAAAGGCACCTTCAGGCCGGGCGCAGTGGCTCACGCCTGTAATCCCGGCACTTTGGGAGGCCGAGGCGGGCGGATCACAAGGTCAGAAGATCGAGACCATCCTGGCTAACACGGTGAAACCCCGTCTCTACTAAAACTACAAAAAATTAGCTGGGCGTGGTGGCGGGCGCCTGTAGTCCCAGCTACTCAGGAGGCTGAGGCAGGAGAATGGCCTGAACCCAGGAGGTGGAGGTTGCAGTGAGCCGAAATCACGCCACTGCACTCCAGCCTGGGCGACAGAGCAAGACTCCATCTCAAAAAAAAAAAAAAAAGCCACCTTCAGAGAAAAAAGATCGAAAGACAAGAACGGGAACAAGGCAACAAACTAACAAACTTAACAGATGGTTTGGACAGAGAAACCTGAAGATGTCTCCTAGCATATAACATAAACAAAGAAATGGAAAATAGAGAAGAAAATTAAAGGACCAGCCTGGGAGGGCCAACAAATAATCAGCGTTAACTCTAAAAGAGAGTCAGAGACGGGGAGTCGGCCATGTGATAAATAACTGGGTGTAAAGCTCCTCACATCCAAATGTCGCAAGGTTCCACAGCACGAGTTCCCAGCACAAGAGACAAAGAAGTTTCCACGACAAGGAACATTATCATGAAACTTGAGAACCCTGAAGACAAAAGATTCTACAAGACTTTCAGGAGAAAAACACACAAAATCAAAATGGCACCTGACTTCTCGGTCACACAAGAAGCCAGAAGACAGTAGAGCGATCCCTTCGAAATGCAGAGGGAAAATTCTTTCCAATACAGAATTTCATACCTAGCTAAACTATCCTTAAGTGTGTGGCTGGAGGAAAAGCATTTTCCAACTAGATCCCCCAAACTGGCCTCCCACGCCATCTTTCTCAGACAGCTGCTGGAGGGTCTTAACCGGACATTAAGCCAAGAAAGAGGAAGAGAGGGAGCCAGAGATCAAGACTGTAGGCAGAGGAGAGAGGAGGGGACTGTTCCCAGCTCGGGGCACAGGGAAGCCCCACGGCATGTTGTGTGGGGGGCCAGGTGCACCAGGAGGGAGGTGAGGCAGGCATCGGTGGGAGCTGCCCCTCTTCTGGGAAGAGGAAACTGGAGTAAATTTGAGACAAGACATCTAGGAAACTGATTTAAACAATCACAATGTATTAACTCCAAGGAAACCCAAAAGTTGTGCCAACAAGGGAATGCAATCATGGTAGCTCATGCATATTCACGTCACCCGCAATTAGGTAAACACTCAATGATTAAAAACAATAAACAGTGACATAACTCCATCAGGAGGATGGAACAAGGAAGGAAGAGATGAGCTGATGTGTCCCAGAGAAAGTAGGGAAGTAACATCCTAAATGGAAACGACTAGAAATAGCAGCAGAAATGTGTCATTTAGAAATCTGGAAATAAATGTCAAAAAGAAACTGCTGTGATCCCCTCCAGGGAGTGGAGCTGGGGCAGCAGGGAGGACCAGGGACACCTGTTCTCTCTTTGTGAGTCCCACAGAACTATCAACACCTTACAATAGAAAATATGGAAAACTCAAAATAAAATTTTAAATATAATGTACAATGCAAACTTTATACACAACCATTTAACAAGGGCAACAACACAATTTCCTGACCAGGACAAGACACCAGGCCTGGCCTGTCTACACTTGACACAGCCTCACGGGATTCTTTCAACAATCAAGGTTCGCTGAGGAACAAACAGAAGAAGCCATCTGGGCCCACGATGCGGCTGAGCTGCCAGTGCACCTGGGTCCCCACAGCCCCAACAGACACAGGGCGGCTCCGTCTTGCAGTCGGTTGAATCTTTTCAAACTTCCCACAGAAGAGACGTTCAAAAAGAAAACTTCAGAAAGACCAGACACACTCAAACCCCCTATTTCAAAATAACATCAAGTCAGGGCCCCTTCCACCCACCAGAGCGCGTGTAAACTCTCCTGTGTGCCCGATACGTGAGCGTGGACGAAACGAAGCCCCAGCACCCTCACACCCGTCAGACGTGCTCACAGCACCGCCAGAACAACCGGCAGCAGGGATCTGTTCGTGTCAACTTGGTGTCTCGCCTCTCCTGACTCTGATCCTCTCTCAGGGGGAACAACAGACCTGTGGGCCCACCAAGGCTGCCCCACAACGGTGGAATCACTGGTTCTGCCTGGAGGCCTCACAGAGAAGCAGCCAGTCCCGAGCATGGTGGGTGCCCTCCTTCGCGTGTTCAGGAGAATCCTAGAAATGAGCTGCCGGGCCCCGATGCGTGGAGGGGCTCTGCCACAGCGTCTCCTGTATGAGTGACAAGTGCCACCACTTTATGACCAAAAACAAGCTGAACACTGGACGACCGACTGGTTCAGGTGGCTTCTTTTGAATAAAGCTTTTCCTTTTTTTTTTTTTTTCAAGATGGAGTCTCGCTCTGTTGCCCAGGCTGGAGTGCGGTGGCGCAATCTTGACTCACTGTGACCTCTGCCTCCCGGATTCAAGCGATTCTCCTGCCTCAGCCCCCTGAATGGCTGGGATTACAGGCGCTCACCACCACGCCCAGCTAATTTTTGTATTTTTAGTAGAGCCGGGGTTTCTCCATGTTGGCCAGGCTGGTCTTGAACTCCTGACCTCAGGTGATCCCCCACCTCGGCCTCCCAAAGTGCTGGTAATACAGGCGTGAGCCACTGTGCCTGGCCTGAACAAAGCTTTTTCTGCCCTTTGCATAAAATGACAAACATTTCTGGAGGCCCAGCATCATGCCAACCCCAGGGGCTGGGAGATGGGGATGCCTCAGGGTGCCTGTCCAGCCTGTGCTGTGAGGGACGGTGGGAGCAGTGGCCGCACGTTCCACTTCCCCCTGCCATGTGAGGGAGGTGGGGAGATGGCCAGGGAGTGAGTGGGCGCCAGGAGACCAGACCTGCTGAGCCCACACTCGAGCACCACGACCAGCACAGCAAGGGACCTGCTCCTGGTTTTTCAGATGTCATCACACTTTCCCACAGGCTTCCCCTCGATGGCACTGGGCACCCCCTCAGCCCCGGCCCCAAACAGCCCATTCAGGGGCCTGGCCCTGTGACAGCTCCCTGCCCAGCTCCTGGGAAAAGCTCCACGCCAGCACAAGAAAGGATGGCTACCCCACATTTTGGGATCCTCAGCAGAGGTTGGTGCCTGACCCCATGGATGGTCCTCCCGCCCCCCAACAGTTCAACCTCCATGTGCCCGGCTGAGTCCTCGGCGATCAGAAACGTGTGGCAGATGAGACGCAGCCCCCGCTGCTACACACACGAGAGCAGGTCACAAGCACGGGAACTTCTCAGGATGCTCAGTGGGCCTCTCCACTGGGGCCATTGACAGCCCTGGCAGGTCCCCACCAGACCCCGTGGAAGGTCTGGGGCACCCAGTGTGGATGGGCTGGGCTCTCAGGCACCCTGTGGACACTGGGCTGACAGATCTGATTAACTGGGAGCCTCGGAAACATCGCAGCAGAGCCCGGAGCCCAGAGGTGAGTCTGGGAGGTGGGACCAAGCTCGGAGTTGGGCAGAGGAACACACAACTCCTTACATAACCACCAGTGGCTCTGAAGTCTAGGAAGACGGTCGGAGAAGGGCCCCCACTGATGGCTGATGCAGCTGGGACAGGAACGCGGAAGATGTGTGCCGATCTGGCCGAGACACAGACACAGGTACCACAGCCGGCCCCGGCAGCATCAACACGAAACAGCTTCTGGGGGGCAGCCGGTGGCCCCTCCAATCTGTCCCCATCCCAGCTCTGACTCACCCACCGAGGGCCATCAGACCAAAAGCCAGTAACCGCTCGAATCCTGACCCTGGCCACGGCGCTCCCACCCCAGCAGTGTATTCACACCGCAAGGGATCGTGCCAGCTGTGCATGGCCAGCGTGGGCTCACACGAAAGCAGAGGCCAAGCCGTCCCAGGCACCGAGGAAACTATGACACAGCACGTTTCTCCTCGCAGGCAGGCGCACGTGTGAAAACCACCCCAGCTCCGTCTCTCTCCCACTCACCCCATCAACACAGAATCTTCATCACTCAAGGACCCCTGCGGCCCAAGCTGGCTGTGCGGAGCAGCCCTGCGTCTGCTGAGGTCCCTTCGCACCTGGGGGAGGGGCGCGCTGCCAGCCTCCCCAGCAGCCAGCACCCCCCGAGAGGGAAAGCCGCCTCCCCCAGCAGCCCAGTCCCCACCTTCAGCAGCCCAGTCTCCCCAGGCCCACGGCTCCCCACAAGCCTGACTGGGGAGGCTGGTTGTTGTTTTGGTTTTTTGTTGTTTTTTTTTTTAAAAAAAACACCTTGCAAAATGGTCGTCAGAAAAGCACCCACATTCCCACATCCCTGCCAAACACCATGCAGCCCCCAGACCCCTCCGAGTCTACCTCCAACCATTTCAGAATAGAAAACAGGACGCCGCAGCCCCGCTCCTCGCCACCATCCGAGGACCCCGATGGAGTGAGCCGTGCACATTAACCCTGGCTGTGCCACCCAGACTCCAACCCAACACTGTCAATGCAAAACGGGGGCTCAGACAGGCGGGAGGGCAGGCTCGAGACGGAAAGACCGCAGGCCTGGAACAGGTGCTGGCTGTTACCACTACCAGCCCTGGCACCTGGGGTCTCCAGACTTCACCCGTGGTCTCATCAATCTGCCCACCTGCAGCAATGCAGAATGGAGACGAAGCGGCCATCCGTCCTGGCCCCGACAGACCCACAGACCCACAACCAAAAAGCATCGGCCACAGTGAAACTCCCAACAGCCAGCAACTCCCTGGGGCCAGGCAGGCAGACGAGCCCAAGACGATTTCCCCAAGCCCCCCGGCCCCCAGCCCTCCACAGCCACCGCCACACATCCACCAGGCCTGGGCCACACACCATCCGTCCTCGGGGTGAGCATGTCCCTCCAGCAGCCCCTGCCTCGCTCAGAAGGTCCCTCCACAGCCTTATTTTTCTAAAAATCTGTCACCCGCAAAACAACAGCCTCTCACTGCGTTTCCCCTGACATTGCTGGGAGCTGCTGCAGCCGCACGCCTTCCCCGGGCCGTGGCACCAGCCGTGTTGCTGCCCGGAGCATCTGTGCAGCGCACAGGCAGCGGCAACGCCGGGACTCAGACCCAAAATGCTGACTCGGGCACCGTCCTCCGCACGCACAGGGCCTGCAGCACGGCTGGCCCGGCCCCGGGGGCGCGGAAAATCCACGGGGGAGATGCCCCCGACTCACCGGCTTTCTTCTCCTGCCTCCTCAGCGCAGATTCTTTATGCTCTGTGCGCGGCGGGCGTGCAGGGAGGCATCTTCCTTCCCGTTGACGAGCTGATGCTGCGTCGGCTCGCCTCCGGCCCCGACAATAGGCAGGGAGGCTCGAGCGCGAGGAGCAGATATTTAACGGAAGGCCGGCTGTCCTGTCCCCCGCCCCTCACATCCCTGCCTCCTCATGTCTCCAGGCCCGGGTGGTACCCGGCTCCCCCGGGAAGCTGTAGCCAGCAGCTGAGGCACAAACTAAAACACGGCATGGATGTGCAGGAGCTGACGCTGACGTCACAGGAAAACAAGCATCTCTGCATCAGCACAGTCCAGAGAGCGGGCGGGCAGCAGCCAGACCCAGGCAGGGCTCGGACTCAGCGGACCTTGAAAATGCGACATCAGAACAGAACCCAGCTAAGCCCGGGGTCCTGCAGGTTGGCCTGCCAGGCTGGGAGTGGGGGACAGCGCAGCTGTGGCCGTGGCGAGTGACCTCTGACCTGCGTCCAGAGGCTGTGAATGGGCTCGACACCAATGGCCAAGGGCCCCGAGCACTGTCCCGCAGCCCAGGAACGGAGCGGGAGGAGAGGAGGCATAGGGGCCTTGCGATGTGGTTGTGTCCACCCCACAAACCCCACCAGTGTGTGTGGGGACGGTGGGCACTGGGGGGCAGGAACAGGAAAGGCCAAGCTTCCCCAGGCTGAAAACTGTCCCGGCTGGCCTGGAAACGCACACCCTCAGCCTAAGGCAGGAGACACCCGCATTCCCAAGACCAGACCTCACGGGCTGTGCTGTGCCTGGCTGTGGCCAGCCCGGGCTCCTAGGGAGACCCAGAGCCGCCACCGCCGCTGGGTGGCCTGACCCTCCAACCCCTACCCTGGTACCCTGACAAACCCTGGGACCTGGTCATCACTGGCAAGTGAGACCTGGCATTTTCCTCCAATCATAAAAAACATGGGGGGTCGCGGGGTGCTCAGCTGGGAATTCTGCCCACTTCCCCAAACGCACTCGGCACTCGTGCTGAGCCTACATGGGCCGCTTCGCACTGGGGGTGCAGAGGGACAGAGGGGAGTGTCCTGCAGACCTCTGGCTCTGACCAGTCACACCACACGCTCCCTGCATTCATACGTGCTGTGCCCTCGATGCTCCAGCACCTATGGCCCTGCTGACCCTGGAGGGACGGCCCCGAGAGGCCAACCGATTCCTAGAGACAGCAAAGGACTTGTCCCACAGCGAACCTTTCAAATGCAAACCCACCAACCCAGAACTCTCACCTGGGCCCACCTCCTACACGGGCCCCCAGTCGCCCCAGGGGCCTCCCCAGGTCACAGGGACAGCCCCTGCACCCCAGAGCCTGGCTGAAGTTACTCCACCTGGCCGACCCAATGCCTGCTCCCCACACCTTTCCCATGGAAACCACAGTAAAGGCCCCACCCACACATCCCCCTGCCTCCAACCCACCCGGCGCTTGCCCGCATGGCCCCGCGAGGCAAGAGGAGGTCTCCTCTCAGAAGCTGAGTAATAAACGACCTTCTCAACGGCATCATCTCCTGATGGCTGGCCTCCCACACCTGCCTGAACAGTAATAAAACCTCCATTTAAATCATCAAGCTCATAAACCTGTGTTTATCTGCATTCACGGAGTGGACTCCGGGCCAGAGCCCCGGGTTCAAATTCCAGCTCTGTCAGCAGCTCACCACGAGGCACGGCCACTTCTCCAAAGGGCCAAGCTTCCCTCGTCAGGCGGCTGACCAGCTGCATGAGGGGCATTCCGTAAAATGTGAAACATATAAACCTAACACATGCGTTTCACTCGACTTCCCAAATCTATGGGGAACGAGGGCTGGCAACCTACACTGCCTAGTGCTCCAAATCAGCAAGCTAGGATTTCTACGCTTTTAATTGGCTGAATAAAATGAAAAGGATAATATTTTGAAACACCGGAAGAGTCTATAAAATTCAGATTTCAGCGTGCATAAAGTTTCACTAGGACACGGCCATGCACCTCCTTGGGTGCTGCCCACGCCTGCTCAGAACCCCAGGCTTCAACTACCTGGCCCTGGACAGAAGCAGCTCGCAGACCCCTGGCTAGGCCTATAAAATCATAAGACCACCGAATACCATGGCCACGCTGAGCTCCCACAGGAAATACGCATTTATCCTGGTCCAGTGTAAACTTCACACAGACGGCCGGCTCAGCAGCACGACCACTGTCCTTCAGCCAACTCCTCTCTTCTAATCCATCCCAAAATATCCAGCTTTGCAGAACTCTAGGATATTCAGGCTCAGCAGGCAAATTGCCAATTTTATTAGAAGCCTATTTTAGGGGGAAAACTAGCTTTTCCAGTTTGTTGCAAATAATTTGAGACAAAGCTGAATGAAACTGGATTTTTTAATAAAACAATAGACATACCTATAAATACCAGGGAATCACAGGCATCCGTTGATAGGCTTCCGTGGTAACCCGCCCACCCAGGCCTGGAGGACACCAGCAGCGTCCCCACTGTTCCACAGGCGGTCGCGCAGCCCCACTAGGTTTGGCCGCCTCCTCTCAGACGCCGCCGGGGCCTGGAACACACTCGGTGGGGCCGCTCTCTTCCCACTTGACCCTCCCTGGGTGGGAGAGACGGCAAGACGGCCTTGCTAAGCACTTACTATGTTCCAGGAGCTCCTCTAAACCCTGTCGAGCCTCACAAAGCCCCCTTTTACAGAGGAGGAAACTGAGGCACGGGGCACGGGGAGCCCCACCCACATGCCTGAAGTCACAGCGCAGGCTCCCTGCCGGTGGGGTTTGAACCTGGCAGTGCAGGCGCCCCCCTGAGCAATCGGCCCCCGCATTGCCCAGGTCGCACGCCCAGGTGTACTGGCTGCTCCCAGCAGGCGACTCCATGGTAGCCCCGGGCCCAGCACCCTCCACGTCCCTGTGGGGATGGTGTCCCGGCCAAGGACCCCTCTCTGCCCTAGGCTACAGGGCTATGAGGGCGGGAGGCAGACGGGCCAGGGGATGGATCTGGGGATCCCGCCATTGCTCCAAGTGAGACACTACAGCCAGAAGGCCCCGGAGCCTCAAGAGCCCCTTCCCCTTCCTGGCCCACCCCGGCCCCCGCAGCCGAGGACTGTCCCCCGCCAGCCCCACCCCAGCCCCTGCAGCTGAGGACTGTCCCCCGCCAGCCCCACCCTGGCCCCCACTGTGGGGTCAGGAAGGGCCCCTCCACGGCCCCCATGGCTCCACCCACATGGCTGCAGCCCCTTCCCCTGCTATCTGCCCCAGGACCACCGGCCCGGGAGAGCCCAGGTTCCTCCACTTCCCCTACACAGGCCAAGGCGACTTTGCCACCCTTGCATCCAGAGACCTGCTATTAACATCCCTGGCCATGAAAACCTCCCGCTTGCCAAGTAGAAATGGCCTTGGAGCTGGGTTCAGGGGCTGAGCAGGGAATATACCCAGAGGCAAAGGCAGTAGTCACGGTGTCCTCCCGGCCAAACCCCAGGGGTCCCACCAGACCCAAGGGGTGAGGCTCGGGAGGGTCCCAGCTGCCTGGGGCCTGACCCAAGCGTTCCAGGCTCCAGAAGCCACTACCGGGACCACCCTAAGTGACAAGATGGGCTACAGTGGGGTGGGGCTGCCTGCTACGGGCAGAATGTGGAATGTAGGACACCTTTCCCCAGGGTGCAGGCTGGAGCAGGGTCCCGCTGCCCGGGTATGCCATCTGTGCTGTGGACAGGCAGGAACCAACAACATGAAATGCACAGGGCAGCCAGCACTGGCTCTGATGACCCCGAGGACACCACCAGCTGCTAAGTGGGGTCTGCGGCTGCCCAGCCCAGCGGACTTTGTATTTCCTCCATGGACTCTAAGGACCTCGGAGGCCTGGTCCAGCTGACCATCCAGCGCTGCCCTCAGCAGGGTCTGGGTGCAAAGCCAGGCTACCCCCGGCACCTCCTCCACAGGGCGGGCACCCTGAGTCTTTACCACACACCACAGGGAGGCCAATGGGGCCTGACTGGGGACCACCCTGTCCCATGGACGCTGCCCAGGCCTGAGGCTACCCACTTAGGAGCCCCAGAGCCTCTGGATTGCAGCAGCAGCAGAAATAACCCCACCCAAAGGAAGACTGGGGCTGCTGCCTATAGCATCCACCCCTCCCTCCACATGATGGGCCCGGCCATCTAGAAACAGGAAGCCCCTGGAGCCAACACGGAGGAGCCAGGGTGTCGGGAGGTCCCTCGCTTACTGCCAGGGTTCAGGGGACCGCCCACCACCCACCAGGGGAAGTGGCAGAAAGGGCCCTGGCTGTCGTCTTGACATCTCCCTCCCTGCCACGTCCACCTACTGTCCTTTGAGACAGGTATCAACACTCGCTCCAATGGGGGTCTGGTCCTAAGCACTTTTACACACGATTTTATTTACAATCACCCCGTTTTACAGGTAAAGAAAAGGCACCACTAAACAGGTCGTTTGCTCAAGGTAATGGCAACGTTCTGGTTGGTGGAGCCCCAGGAACTTTCTGGACACCCACTCCCTTTCCACTCCATGCCCCCTTGCCCAGGACCCTCCCTGCCAGGTACAGCAGCCTCCACTCACGGGGGTTCTCCAGCTGCCCATCACCTCCTGGACCACGCCTCCCAAAGGGACCACCATGGCTGGGGCCTGCAGCTGGGGCTGGGTCCGGAGAGGCCAAAGGCTAGAGGATCTCAGTTTCAACAAGCACAGCACGGATGCAGGGGAGGGCTCTCCCGGGCGGGGCTGACGGAGGTGCCGGGGGTCGCATTGGTTGGGGTGTTGCTGGAACACTAAGGACAAGCGACTGCAGAACGGACGCCGTTCAAGATGTGGCTGGCGGGGTGGTGACCAGCAGGAACCAGGCCACGTGTCCCCGTGGCAGCCGGCAGGGTGGTGACTGGCGGGAACTGGGCCACGTTTCCCCAACTCTGAGGGGAGGCTGCCCACCCAGGCCTCCCTTCTTAGAGGGGTCCGAAAGGGGCGTCAGTCTCAGTTCCGCTGAGCACCGGCTGGGCCTGTCCCAGCCAGAAGAACCTACAGAAGAGCCACCTGCTGTCTGTCCTGCCAGGCGCCGGCCCAGCACATGGTCCCAATGACCAGCGCCACTGGCAGCACGAACCTCTCACGGGGCGGGGGCCTGGGCAGAGAGCATTTCCTGGGGACAGAGCCCACCCACAAAGTGCTGGTGGAGACAGACCACCCAGCACTCCCACCAGATCAGAGGCAGACCTTGATGTAGTCAACTGTGGTGCGTTGAGGATGGGCCTCCAAAAAGACAAGTCCATGTCCTACTCCAGAAGCTGTGAGCGTGACCCTCCTTTGGAAAAGGGTTCCTGCACGTGTGATTAAGGCCAGGTCTCAAGGTGAATGTCCTGGACTGCCCTGGTGGGCCCCAAAGCCGACCACCGGTGTTCCAGTGAGAAAAGACACAGACATGGGGGAGGTTCAGGGTGACAGGCCAGAGGCTGGAGTGATGTCTACAAATCAAGAGTTGACAGCAGCCCCAGAGCTGGGTGGCCAGGAAGCAGGATGCTCAAAGCCTCCCAAGAAAGCCAGCCCTGGCCACACCTTGGCCTGGGTCTGCAGCCTCCCAGCTCCAGCTTCCCCTCTGGGGTGGGGGTGGCAAGGAAGGCGGGGGGTCTCTGAGAGTGGCCCTCCCACATGGCCGCATCGAAGCCGGGCCGCCCCACCCCTCCCTAGCGATGCTCTCCCGTTACCAGGGCCGGGCTGTGGCTTGCAGCTGGGGTCTGCCCCGGAGGAGCTGCTCGGAGGTCTTTGGATCCAGCCTTGCTCTCGCTGCTGCCCCAAGGAACGTACTGCTGCCTCTCACAGCAGATGTGGCTCAGGCCGACAGGGCCGCCACACGTCCAGAGTCCCGTGGCCTGAGGGATCTGCTGCATTTCGGGCTGTGAGTCTCATCTGCTCAAGTCCAAGAGAAGGGCCCCGTCCCAGGTCAGCCCAGGTGCCAGCGGATGCCACCCCAGACACAGACAGGCAAAGCAGCTCAAAGACCAAAATGGAAGAAAATATATTTGTATCACTAGGGGAAGCCAGAAGGAAAAATATTAACAGATTTGAGTATTGAAACAAAAATCACACATACCATTTCTGTGTGACCAGATACAGCAAGGAGGGGCAAAGAAGAGGTACCCGGGAATCTACCGGCCACACACTGGCCTCACCCGGCACTGCAGTGAACGGACAGTGAAGATGGAGAAACAAGCGGGAGAGGGGCCCGAGGCACCTGCGGCCCCTCATGCGGACCCCCGTGCCACCACCCTCATGGGCCCTGGGCAGCCCGGCACACGTGGCAGCAGGTGGAGCCCACAGACCCCAGCTCCACCGCCCGATTACTCCACCCCAACACCACTGAGGCCGCCACAGATGCACACAGGGGATCCCCACTCGACCGGGGCGTGACCAGCCCTCACCTCCCCCAAAAAACCAGGCGCTCCTGATCTCATCACACGCTCAGCCCCGAACGACCCAGCCCCCACCAGTGTCCATCAGCAGAGGAACGGACAGACAGGGTGAATCGCATCACAGAATTCATCCAGCCATAAAAAGGAATGAAAAAGCAACTAGGGAGAACACGTAAAGAAACAGAGAACTTGAACAACACAGTAACCCGCATAGCTCTGACAGACACAGCAGAGCGCTGTACCCACAGCGGCTGCACACCCTCAACGCACACGGGACGTTTTCCAGAACAGAACACAAGTGAGCCACAGACTCAGCCGCGGTAGATTTCAAAAAACAGACATTATCCAAAGTATATTCTCCAACCACATCAAGATGAACTTAGAAATCAGTTAACAGAAAGAAAACAGAAGAATTCGCAAATATATGGAAATAACACTACACACTCAACCAATGGATAGAAGATGAAACCACAAAGAAAATCAGAAAAATGCTGAGAGATGAATGAAAACAGAAACACAACATATCAACATTTCAGGGATGCAGGGAAAGCAATGCTAAGGAGAAAATTTATAGTGATGAACTTTTTGTGTGTGTGAAACACAGTTTTGTCATGTGGCCCAAGGCTGGTCTCCAACTCCTGGCCTCAAGTGATCCTCCCTCTTCAGCCTCCCAAAACACTGAGATTACAAGCATGAGCCATGGCGCCTGGCTATGGTGATAAATATTTGAAATAAAAAAACAAGAAAGATCTCAAATTAACAACCGAATTTTACACTTCAAGGAACCAGAAAAAGAACAAACCAAAAGCTGGCAGAAGGATGGGAATAATAAAGATGAGAGCAGGGCCGGGCGCAGCAGCTCATGCCCGAAATCCCTACACGTTGGGAAGCCAAGGTGGGTGGATCATCTGAGGTCAGGAGTTCGGGACCAGCCTGGCCAACATGTGAAACCACATCTCTACTAAAATTACAAAAATCAGCTGGGTGTGATGGCATGTGCCTGTAATGCCAGCTACTCAGGAGGCTGAGGCAGGAGAATCACTTGAACCCAGGAGGCAGAGGTTGACATGAGCTGAGATCGAGCCACTGCACTCTCTCCATCAGAGAGACAGACAGAGAGAGAGAGAAAGAAAGAGAACCTCCCAACAAAGCAAAGCCCAGGGACTGATGTCTTCACAGGCAAATTCTACCAAACACTTGAAGAACTAACACCAGTTTTTCTCAAACTTTTCCAAAAAAATTAAAGAGGAAGGAACACTTCCTCACTCATCCTGTGAGGCCAGCACTACTCTGACACCAAAGCCCAACAAAGTCACGACAAGAAAGCCTCTGACCATTGAGTCTTAAGAACATGGACATAATTATCCTTTATTAACACAGATGTAATTGTCCTTTATAAACACGGATGTAAAAATCCTCAAGAAAATACTAGTAAAATGAATTCGGCAGCATATCAAGAAAATTACACACCAAGAGCAAGAAGGATTTTTTCATGGGATGCAAGGATGGTTCAATGAATGAAAATTAAAGTAATATACCACATTAACAAAATGAAGGTAAAAAAAACACATGATCGTCTCAACTGATGCAGAAGAAGCATGTGACAAAATTCAAAGCCCTTTCCTGATAAAAACAATTGACAAACTTGGAATAGAAGGAAACTATCTCGACATAATAAAAACCATGTATGAAAAACCCACAGCAGACATCACACTCAGTGATGAAAACCTGAAAGCTTTTCTTTGACAATCAGGACAAAGGCAGGGATGATTGACCACACCACTTTTTTTTTTTTTTTTTTTTTTTTGAGACAGAGTCTGGCTCTGTTGCCCAGGCAGGAGTGCAGTGGCACGATCTCCGCTCACTGCAAGCTCTGCCTCCCGGGTTCAGGCTATTCTCCTGGCTCAGCCTCCCGAGTAGCTGGGACTACAGGCGCCTGCAACCACGCCCGGATAATTTTTTGTATTTTTAGTAGAGAACGGGGTTTCACTGTGTTAACCAGGACGATCTCGATCTCCTGACCTCGTGATCCACCCGCCTGGGCCTCCCAAAGTGCTGGGATTACAGGCGTGAGCCACCGCGCCCGGCCGATCACACCACTTTTATTCAACAGAGTAGTGGAATTCTAGCCAGAACAATTAGGCAAGAAAAAGAAATACAAGGCATCCAAATTAGGAAGGAAAAAGTAAAATTATCTCTGTATACAGATGATATGATCTTACATGTAAGAAAGCCCTAAAGTTTCCACAGAAAGTTGTTAGAACTGATAAATTCAGCAAAACAGCAGGCAAAAAAGTCAACACACAAAAATCAACTGCACTTTTATACACTTACAATAAACAACGCAAAAGGGAAATCAAGGAAACAATTCCACTTGCAACAGCATCAAAAAGAATAAAACGTTTAGGAATTAACCAAGGGGGTGAAAGACTTGTACAAGGAAAACTGTAAAACACTGCTGAAAGAAATCAAAGAAAACATAAACAAACAGAAACACACTTCAGTTCATGGATTGGAAGTCTTCATACTGTTAAGATGTCAGCACTACCCAAAGTGATCTACAGAGCCAATGCAATCCCTGCAAAAATCACAATAATGTTTTTTGCAGAAATAGAAAAGCCTGTCCTAAAATTCATCTGGAATCTCAGGGGACCCCAAAACAATCTTGAAAAGGAAGAACAAAGCTGGAGGGCTCACACTTCCTGATTTCAAAACTTCCTACAAAGCTACAGTGATCAAAACAGTGTGGCACTGGCTCAAAGAGAGACACAGAGACCAATGGACTAGAAGAGACTCCACAAATGAACCCTCCCATATATGGTGAAACGATTTTCAACAAGGGTGCCAATGCAGTCCAATGGGGAGTCTTTTCACCAATGGTGCTAAGAAAACTGGACCTCCACATGCAAAGGAATGAAGTTAGATGCTTACCTTACACCACATACAAAAATTAACTCAGGATAATCCATGACCTAAACATAAAACCTAAAATTATAAAATCCTTAGATGAAAGAGAAGGGGAAAAGCTTCACAACATTCGATTTGGCAGTGATTTCTTGGATGTGACACCAAATACACAGGCAACAAAAGAAAAAAACATTAAGCAGGATTTCAGGAAAATTTTAAAACTTTGTCCATCAAAAGGCACTATCAACAAAGTAAAAAAACAACCCACAAAGCAGGAGAAGATATTTGCTAATCATATATCTGCTACGGGATTAACATCCAGGACAGAGAACTAGTAACACTCACCAACAAAAAAACCAAACAACCCATTCAAAAATGGACACAGGACGCGAAAAGACATTTCACCAAAGAAGACACAGAAATGGCCAACAAAGCCGGGCACGGCAGCTCACGCCTATAATCCCAGCATTTTGGGAGGCCGAGGTGGGTGGATCACTTGAGGTCGGGAGTTCAAGACTAACCTGGCCAAGATGGTGAAACCCCCAACTCTACTAAAAATACAAAAACTAGCTGGACATGGTGGCGGGTGCCTGTAATCCCAGCTACTCAGGAGGCTGAGACAGGAGAATCATTTGAATCTGGGAGGCGGAGATTGCAGTGAGCCATGATCGTGCCACTGCACTCCAACCTGGGCAACAGACCAAGACTCCAACTCAAAAAAAAAAAAAAAAAAGAAATGGCCAACAGGCACATGAAAAAATGCTCAACATCACTTATCACCAGGGAAATGAGAACCAAAACCACAATGATATGCCACCTCACGCCCATAAGATACTGTCAAAAAACAGAAAACGACAAGAGCTGGAAAGGATGCGGAGACAGTGGCGCTCGTGCACTATTGCAGGGGGTGGAAAATGCTGCAGGCACCATGGGAAATGGCACGGCGGCTCTTTAAACAGAATTATCGGCCAGGTGCAGTGGCTCACGCCTGTAATCCCAACACTTTGGGAGACCGAGGTGGGCAGACTGCTTGAGCCCAGGAGTTCAAGACCAGTCTGGGCAACATGATGAAACCCTGTCTCTACAAAAAGTACAAAAATTAGCTGGGCGTGGTGGCACATGCCTTTAGTCCCAGCTACTTGGGAGGCTGAGACAGGAGAATCGCTTGAGCCCAGGAGATGGAGGCTGCAGTGAGCCGAGATCGTGCCACTGAACTCCAGCCTAAGCGACAGAGCGAGACGCTATCTCAAAAATAAATGAATAAAAATAGAATGATCAATGATCCAGCAATCTCACTTCCGGGTCTACACCCAGAACTGAAGGCAGGGTCTCCAGAGGTCACTGTGCACCCGTGCTCACAGCAGCATCATTCACGACAGCTAAACTGTGGAAGTCACCCGTGTGTCCACTGACAGAAATGGGTAAACAAAATACATCCATACAGCAGCCTGCGGTTCAGTCTTGAGAAGGAAGGAGACTGTGACACAGGCTACGCATGGCTGCGCCTTGAGGACATGGTGCTGAGTGAAATAAGCTGTCACAAAAGGACAGATCCTGTGCGATTCCACTCACAGGAGGCCCCTAGAGTCACCAAAGTCACAGAAACAGAAAGCGGCGGGTGGGTGATGGGGGCTGGGGGAGGCAGAATGGGGAGTGAGTGTTTCATGGAGACAGAGGCTGAGTCTGGGAAGATGAAGAGAGTTCTGGAGATGGGCGGTGATGATGACTGGACAGCAATGCGAATATCGAATACCAGTGAATTGAACCTTTAAATTTTAATGGCTAAGATGGGGACAGGCTCGGTGGCTCACATCTATAATCCCAGCACTTTGGGAGGCCAAGATGGGTAGGTCACTTGAGCCCAGGAGTTCGAGACTAGCCTGGGCAACATGGTAAAACCCCAACTCTACAAAAAGAAAAACTCGGCCAAGTGTGGTGACACACACCTGTAATCCCAGCTACTCGGGAGGCTGAGGCATGAGGACCGCTTGAGCCTGAGAGGCAGAGTAGTAGTAAGCCAAGATTGTACCATGCACTCCAGCCTGGGTGACAGAACAAAACTCCGTCCCCCCTCTGCCAAAAAAAAAAAAAAAAAAGTTAAGATGGCAAAAATAGATGTTATGTGCATTTTACCAGAATAGAAAAAAGATCTGCAGCGCCAAGAATGCCCCATCATGGATGAACCTTGGAAAGGTCAGGCGGGTGAAAGCCACTAGAGGCAAAAGGACAAACATGCAGGATTCCACGGACACCAAACGTCCAGAATCCGCAGGGCCACAGAGACAGAGGCTGAGCGGAGGTGGGGCTGGGGCAGAACAGGGAGTGACCGATGACGGGCACGGGGTTCCCTTTTTGAATATATTTTGGGTTTGTAACTACATAGAGATGATAGTTGTAAGTATACTTTAGAATTTTTTTAAAAATCTATAAAACCAATTCACTCATATAGACACACATAGAATGTGCCAGAAGGTCCTCTGCTGACGGTGAGACAGGCACGTCCAGCCGTCTGAACCAGGCCCACGGTACAGCCGCAGTCCTGCCCTCGTCTGCCTCTGGCGTGCTCCATCCACTGTACACACCTCCCAGTCCGACCCTTCTCACTGACCCTCAGCCTGGGCAGTGCTGCCTGAGGTCAAAAACACCTGTGAACACCCCCACAGGCGCTAAAACCACAGAGCCCCAGGCGGCGGCCACTGGCAACCAGAGCAGGGTGTCCTGTCTGAGATGAGCACCACAGTCAGAGTGAAAGAAAGCACAGGACATCAGGGAGAGCGCCAGCCCCCTAAGCCCTGGTGGCCTGGGACCCCGAGTGGGCAGTGTGTTCTCACACACTCCTGACACTAGCGCCATGAAACCCAACCCACGTCCGGGTGGACATCAGCACACAGGGCAGGGCAGGGCTCCCCACCCCCAGCACCCGCCTCTGACCTCCTCGGCAAAGGCTGCCCCAGAGGCTCTGGCGGAATGTCCCCAACCAGGCTGAGTGGTCCCCGAAGCCGTGGAGCCACCCCTGGTAAACATCTCAAGGACCTACTCACGTGTCCCAGGAGGTCCTTCCTCGGGGCTTGGCCACATTCTCCGCATTCCCCACGGTGACTCGGCTGCCACCCCCATGACACACTCCCCTTCAGAGCTCAGGCCTCTGGACATCCTGTGACCCCCCAACCTCCCCTTCCTCCACTGCAGTGGCCGAGCAAATGCGGGCCTCCCTTCCCTACGCAAGGCCGGCAGGTTGTCCACACGGGCAGAGAGGCAATGCCGAGGTCGTAGACAGAAAGAGCAGACCCCAGGCCCCCAGGCAGGGTTGAGACAAGAGGCAGACATGTCGGAGAAATACGGTGGGCTTCCCCCGCGCCCAGGGGCTACACTGGCCGCATGTGGATACCTCTGGGAGTGCACAGTCTCAGCACACATGGGACAGAGGAGCACAGTCCTGTCACCAAGTCAAAAAATCACCCAGGTGGCAAATAAACACGGCCCGTGGGTCCCCTCCTATAAAGCAGCAGCATGAGGCTGCAGGGCGCTGTGGAGGGGACAACCATCGTCTCACCCACAGGGAGTATCTGTCCTATTTATGTGTTTATGTATCTATAAAAACGCAGTGAACCGTGCCCTCCCAGGGTGCGTGCTCCAGGGTCCGTGAGGCGTGGGCACCCAGAGGGAGGGTCCCGGGAAAGGTCACCACCAGGGCAGCTGCGTAGGTGATCAGGGCCCTGACGCCCACCGTCTGGCCACCTGCCTCCAAAGCCTCCCCGCCCCCTGCCTCCTCACACTCGCCCTGCGCTGCCAAAACCACCTGGTGGTGTCCGCCTGCCACGGACATACCCCATCTCCTCCTGCCGGCAGGTCCAGCCCCAGACCACCCGCTCCATTCCTGCCAGGGCCCACCTCCGGATGGCTCCTCGGCCTTGCCGGCCACGGTGCAGGGACCCCGGTTGGCTGAGGGCCTGGAACCGGGATGCCACGCCGCCCTCTCCCCGGGCAGATCATGGAAATCCCATGGCTCCTGGGGCCTCCCCTACGCTAAGCGCTGCCAAACCTCTATTCAGCCCCACTTCTCGCTGGAAGCCGAGACTCTCGCCCCCTATGCTAAGCACTGCCAAACCTCTATTCAGCCCCACTTCTCACTGGAAGCCAAGACTCTCGCCCCAACTGCCCACTCACCCTCTTGGCCTGAATCTGCTCCCACCCCCAGTTCCCGCCCAACACAGGGCACTGCCAACACCCAGCATCCAGCCTGAGGCCAGCGAGGTGTGTGCCCTGGCAGCAGGGGTGGGGGAAGCCCTGCCTGAAGGGCACTGAGCCACGTGCCCTGCGCTGGACAGGCAGCGGCCTCGGTCCAGGAGCTCCTGCCCACACAACGAACAAGGCATGGCACGGATGCTGGAGGCCGTGTGGGGTCTGGAGAGTGGGGGTGGAACCCCACCAAGCACAGCCATGGGATGCGCGGCCCGAGAGCAGCGTAGCCACCTGCTCAGGGCCCAACAGTCTCCGGGATGCAGTAGGAAGTGAGGTCAGAAGCTTCCCTCTGAAGCCACAGCCCCCGGGACTCACTCTCCTTCCTCTCCCAACAATGGAGCCAGTGTGGGATGAACGGAGCCCCCACACCAGCTCAGGGGCCAGCAGGGACCAGGAGGAGCAGACGACTGGCCTAGGGGTGGTCGTGAGCTGAGGCAGCCACAAAGGAGCAGTGTCCAGCCTCCCACCTGGCCCCTCCCTCCTAGGGAGACGGCAGGGCACCCCTGGACTTCTCATGCTACCAACCAGCCAAGCGAGTCCCCCGCCATGTGGTGCTGTCAGCCAGAACACGCACAGGCAGCAGCTGCAGTGAAAACCCCACCTGCGGTCACCACGGCTGCTCCTGCCCTGACGCTCCACGAGGGTGAACCTCCGAAAACGGCACCACTGCCACCTCCGTGGCACAACGGATCAACAGTTCAACCCCGTAACATGCGAGACCGGCGTAGGAAACCCCAGTACTCACTGTCTTCTCCCGGACATGGCAGGCCAGGCTGCTCAGGGGTGCTCGGGAAAACTGGACAAGAGAGAGAAAGAGACAGCGTCAAGACCCTGCGGCTGCCACTCAACAGTCTCACGGAGGAAGTCCCGCCTCAGTCAGGCTGAGCACGTGGACTTCACGCAAGGCGCACGTGGCACTGCCAATGAGAGCCCGCTCCTGGGAGACGCAAAACCCCGTGCGTCTACGTAGGCCAGGCTCCGACTTTAAAACCCACGGAAAAACTTAGAGTAAAAGGCAATCAGAGGGACCTGGACAGCAAAGCCATCAGAGGAAGCTACTGATTTGTATTTTTAAACTATATAAAAATGGGAAAGAAATGCAATTACTTTGAACACTGACTTTTAAAAGCACTTTAGATTCCACTTCTTCATACTCAAGACAGAGTTCAAAATTATTTTAACATATATCCTGGGCTTCCACAATAAATTATTAAAATAGGTGCTTAGAAAGTATTAAAACTTGGCTGGACATGATGGCTCACGCCTGCAATCCCAGCACTTTGGGAGGCCGAGATGAGAGGATGGCTTCAGGCCAGGAGTTCAAGACCAGCCTGGCCAACATGACGAAACCCCATCTCTACTTTTTTATGTGTGTGTGTATACACATAAAAGTATTGAAACTTTAAAAAAACAAACATTTTTTGTTTTTTGTTGGTTTTTTTCAGATGGAGTCTCACTCTGTGCCCAGGCTGGAGCTCAGTGGCACAATCTCAGCTCACTGCAACCTCCACCTCTCGGGTTCCAGCAGTTCTCCTGCCTCAGCCTCCCAAGTAGCTGGGATTACAAGTGTACACCACCACGCCCGGCTAATTTTTGTATTTATAGTAGAGATGGGGTTTCACCATGTTGGTCAGGCTGGTCTTGAACTCCTGACCTCAAGTGATCCACCTGCCTCGGCCTCCCAAAGTGCTGGGATTACAAGTGTGTGCCACTGAACCCAGCCCTATTTTTCTTTTATCTAGAAAACAATGTGAATTTTTAAGCCACTGTATCTTTCCACATAGAGAGGCAAAATGTGCTTACTATCACAACCACAATAAAAAGGACTAGATTAGGCACATCTATGAATTTATTTATCTGACACAGGGTTTCGCCCCATCACTCAGGCTAGAGTGCAGTGGAATAATCACAGTTCACTGTAGCCTCTACCTCCTGTGCTCAAGGAATCCTCCCACCTCAGCCTCCCGAGTAACTGGGACTACAGGTGCACCACCACGTCTGAATATCAAAAAAAAAAAAAAAAAAAAAAATTGGGGCCGGGCACCGTGGCTCACGCCTGTAATCCCAACACTTCAGGAAGCTGAGGCAGGCAGATCACCTAAGGTCAGGAGTTTGAGAACAGCCTGGCCAACATGGCGAGACCCCATCTCTACTAAAAATACAAAAATTAGGCCGGGCACCGTGGCTCACGCCTGTAATCCCAGCACTTTGGGAGGCTGAGGCGGGTGGATCACGAGGTCAGGAGATCGAGACCATCTTGGCTAACATGGTGAAACTCCGTCTCTACTAAAAATACAAAACATTAGCCAGGCGTGATGACACATGCCTGTAGTCCCAGCTACTTGGGAGGGTGAGGCAGAAGAATTGCTTGAACCCGGGAGGCGGAGGTTGCATTGAGCTGAGATCGCGTCACTGCACTCCAGCCTGGGCGACAGAGCGAGACTCCAACTAAAAAAAAAAAAAAATTAGCCAAGTGTGGTGGCACATGCCTGTAGTCCCAGCTACTCGGGAGGCTGAGGCAGGACAATCGCTTATATCTGGGAGGTGGAGGTTGCAGTGAACAGAGATAGTGCCACTGCACTCCAGCCTGGGGACAGAGCCAGACTCTGTCTCAAAAAAATAAAACAAGTTTTGGAGAGGGGGGGGTCTCACTATGTTGCCCAGGTTGGTCTTGAACTCCTAGGCTGAAGCGATCCTCCCACCTTGACCTCCCAAAGTGCTGGGATTACAGTTGTGAGCCACCGCACCCGGCCTAGTCTTTAAATTTAGAGCCTCATTGATATAAAGGGCGAAGAAAATTAAGTGTTGTAACCAGGTAGCCCGGTGTCCAGGAGAATGATGGATCTGTCAGAAATCCATGGGTGGTTTCGAGCTTTGGTCCCATCTTGGACTCAATCGTCCATGGCCAGACGCCTGGCAAGGAGCCCAAGCTACGCCAGAAGTGGACACAGAGACAAAGACGTGACCGGCTGGCCACAGCGCTGGAACCACATTCCCAGGCCCCAGACGCCCTGCAGACCCCCAGCAGTACCGGGGAGGAGCCCACGCCCACCTAAAGACAAAGTGGAAATGATCACAATCACATCTCCCATGCGTCAGCTCATCATGGGGCTTTGAACTTAAAGCTGAGGACAGCTGTGAGCCTGGAGCCGGGCCTAGGGAGCACCGGGCAGGTGAGGTGGCTGGTGGGGCTGTCCCCTCTGTCCACATGCGCCGCGGGCCCTACGCTGGCCACTGGAGCCTCTGAGTGGTTTACGGGTTCTTTGTTAAGAGCAGTTTTCATTTGGGTTAATAAAATGTCAAAGAAAAGGCCGGGCGCGGTGGCTCACATCTGTAATCCCAGCACTTTGGGAGGCTGAGGCAGGCAGATCACGAGGTCAGGAGACTGAGACCATCCTGGCTAACACGGTGAAACCCCGTCTCTACAAAAAATACAAAAAATTAGCCGGGCGTGGTGGCGGGCGCCTGTAGTCCCAGCTACTCGGGAGGCTGAGGCAGGAGAATGGCATGAACCCAGGAGGCGGAGCTTGCAGTGAGCTGAGATTGTGCCACTGCACTCCAGCCTGGGCAACAGAGCAAGACTCCGTCTCAAAAAAAAAAAAAAAAAGTCAAAGAAAAAAACCCAAATGGCATTATATTAGACATCCCTAAATTCTCTGGCATCATAGGATTTTAAACCATTTTAAATCCCCCAGCTAGTCGGCAGACACCCACAGCCAGGAACAGCCCCCCAGAGCTGCCCACCACAGACCCCGCCACTAACCATGAATGATGAGGCCTTCATCCCTGCACTGACGGGCCAGGCGGAAAGCCTCTTCCAGCTCCATCTGGGAGGACACCGTGCAAGGGTCACCTGGGTGGGGCAGGAGACGGTGCTGACGTCGCCGAAGGCCCGAGGCAAAGGGGGCTGTGACGAGCCCGCTCAGCACACCAGACAAGGGTCTGGTGGGGGGCAAAGTCCCGATGCTCAGACTGGCCACCTCCTGGCAGGGTCGGGAGGTCCAAGGACGGCCGTCCACACTAGGGAGTCACCTGGCCCCCGGTGCAGCGTCAGAGCCACCCCGGAAGGGAAGTCAGTACACCTGCAGCCCTGGGCACCACTTGGAGGGCTAAGCAGTGAGCGGGGCTGAGGACACTCTCCGGAGGTCAGTCCTGGGCGGAGGGAGAGCTCCTTGCCCTCTATGGCTGGAAAGGGACATGGAGGTGTACAGAACCCAGGCCCTGCAGGGCTGTACCCAACCCAACGGGGGCGCTATCAGGCTCCACCCGCACGGCCGTGTCCTTGGCCAAGAGCTGCCCGCCAGTCCCTGGGAGAAAGGGGTCTCTCTGGACGTCTCCCAATCCCCTTGTTTTTCAGGATGTGTCTAAGAGACAGGAGGTGGACACGGCAGGCCCTGGCTGCTTGTGCCCTCCCCGTGGTCCCTAGAATATGAAGAGCCCATCCTTTCAGAAGCACCTACCGAAAAAGGCCAGGACATGAGAAAGGAGGTCAGAGGAAGAGGTGAGGACCTGCCCAGGGTGGGGCAGGGAGACCCCCTGCAGGCAGTTCAAGACCAGAGCCCTTCCTAGGGGCATCTGGGCCCAGGTCCTTGATAAGCATCTGTGGCCAACCTCTTTCCCACCATCCCCACTGGGGAAAAGTTGGCGCCAACAAGTTTAATTCCACAGCTTTAAGTCTCCCCACAGAATTGGCTGAGCACACTCCGCACACAGAGGCTGCCCTGGCGAAGTCCCCTGAGGCTGAGGATTCTGGCCAACATGGGACAAGGGCTACCTTCGCTGTCCACCCACTTGAGGGTGAGCGGGTGCTGCTGGTGCAGACGACACATGTCTCTCACTTCCTCACAGAGCTCCTCGAAGGTCGTGGCGGCGTCCACGCTGGTGATGAAGATGTCCCTGGGGCAGAGGGGACATGGGCATCTGTTACCGTGGGGCATATTTGAATCAAATTAAAAAATGATTACCAACTAACCAAATCATTGATTAGATAAATGAAACTTTCCCCAAAGACAATATGACAGCCCCACCCCCTCCCCCCTCCCACACACAAAATAGAACCATTAACCATAACCATAGTTTAAAAAATGGCCACCATTGCCAAGCACAGTGCCTGACACCTGTCATCCCAGCACTTTGGGAGGCCGAGGCGGGTGGATCACGAGGTCAGGAGATCGAGACCATCCTGGCTAACACGGTGAAACCCCGTCTCTACTAAAAATACAAAAAATTAGCCAGGCGCGGTGGCGGGCGCCTGTAGTCCCAGCTACTCGGGAGGCTGAGGCAAGAGAATGGCGTGAACCCGGGAGGCGGAGCTTGCAGCGAGCCGAGATCGCGCCACTGCAGTCCAGCCTGGGCGACAGAGAGAGACTCCGTATTAAAAAAAAAAAAAAAAAAATGACCACCATCAACTTCCTTGCACAGAGAAAAAAGCGCGACCTACCTGGCTGGAAAGAATGAGGACAAAATGGGAGAAAAGAAAGTGCCCTCTTGTGGGAGGTCCGGCAACGTTACCTGGTCGGGCACTCGTTCAAGTTCACCCAAATGTGGGTGACCCCGGGATGGGCGCGAGCCGGGTCGGTGCAGGCCGCCGGCTTCACTAAGGTAAAGGAAACCAGTCAGACCTGCCCCCAGACCTCGACGGTGCCAGCGGTGAAGTGGCGGGGATTAAATAATTCCATAATGAAAGGCCACTCTTTAGACCCCGGAGTGGGCACTGGGTCCGTTGCTGCAGCCACGGCAGAAGCCCCGGCAGATTTTTTTTTTTTTAAAACCGAGTCACACAGAGTCAGTGTGTTTTATCTTTTCAGCCCCAGACAGGACCTGAACTCCAGGGGCTGGGGAAGCTCACGGACTCCCAGGCACCCTTTGAAGGCTGGCACTTCCCTGCTGATAGGGACCCGAGGTCCCCCCTCACCTCCTGCACTGAGCAAGAGCTGGTCTCACCCTGCGTGGAGGGGAGGGACCACCACAGGGCCCAGCTGGTGTTTCCTGAAACTCAGAGCGGGAATCACACCCTTGTGAACACACTGAATTTTCAGAAAAATCTACGGCTTTCTGACACCCACAAGAGCGCGGGGCAAGAGCACAGGGCCTATAAAAAGAAGCCTGAAGGGGTGTGAGATGTCCCAACCAGAGATACAGGCTCTGCTCTTCGCTGACACTGCTGGCTCCCCATCAAGGTTATCTGAATTCATCAGACAAGTTTCAAGAAACAAAGTTCTCATCCCAGACAAGAACTCCAGTGCAAACAGAACACAGGATCGGTCCACAGCCGCGGCCCTGACACAGCAGCCCAGGGCCCACCTGCCCCACAGGCCTCACCCAGTCACCCTGGGCCACCTGGGCCTGGGGGACAGACGCCCCAGCTACCCACCCCTTCCTGCTGGAACTGGCCACCCAGCACCTGCCCCCAGTGCCCAAGCACCCCACAGGAACCAACCTGGCTGGTCTTCGCCACAGCCCACAGCATCATGGCAGATTAGGAAAGTAAGGAATGGAGGGGGGTCACACACCCATCACCCTGGGGTCGCCCCAAGCTGACATCCACGCCTGCTGCCTGACCTGGAGTCCAAAAGTCTGACCACCAGGAACTCCAGAGTGGGAGTCGGCCATCACTTCACCTTTGACCTCTTCCTGCCCCACGCCCCTACCCCTACAGTCCTGCCTCCAGTGGAAGCCAGTTTCCGGCCAATCTAGAGGCCAGGTGGGTGGCTCCAGTAAAACCCCAGGGCTTGGGAAGTGTCAGGCCACCACCTCCAACCCTATCCCAATCCTGAATCAAACAGCTGCCCTGTGCCCTTCAGCAGGGGCGTCCAGGACTCAGCACCCAGCAGCCAGCTGGGCCGCCCGGGAGAGACTCCTGCGTCTCTGTTGGCCTCAGCACCAAGCCCTGGGCTTTGCACACAGAAGCTCCCTGAACACAAACGTTGTCTGAGCTGGGCCAGGCGCGGTGACTCACGCCTTTCATCCCAGCGCTTTGGGAGGCCAAGGCGGGCGGATCACGAGGTCAGAAGTTCGAGACCAGCCTGGCCAACAAAGTGAAACCTCATCTCTACTAAAACTACAAAAGTTAACCGGGCGTGGTGGCGGGCGTCTGTAGTCCTAGATACTAGGGAGGCTGAAGCAGGAGAATTGCTTGAACCTCGGAGGTGAAGGATACAGTGGGCCGAGACCACACCACTGCAGCCTGGGCAACACAGCGAGACTCAAAAAAAAAAAAAAGTCTGAGCTGAAAGAGGGAAGAGCCAGCACCAGTGTTTGTGGCCCTAGAAGAGCGGGCATCTGAGACTCAGCGTGGGAGTCTGGCCCAGGCCACCTGGGACTCCCTGAAAACACAGGTGCCTGGGGACCCCTCAGGCCCACAGGGGGCGGGGTGGGGTGGCGAGGATTGGATCTCAAGTGTGCTCAGAGGGCCCTGGGAGGACAGGCAAGGATGACGGGGTGGCCATGCCCCATGGGGGTGACTGAAGTGCTCTTCCTTTTTCTAAAGACTAGTCTTCCACGTGTCCACGCTCAGCTACCCCCACGGACAGCAGCGTCTCACCCCAGGGACAGAGTTTCTAGGGCTTTCAATAACCCAGTACTCATCCTGGCAGCCGCTTTCTGGAACTGTGTCATTGCCCTAAGGCCTGAGTGTCCCACCCCACAGCCAGTCCCCTCAGAGAGGCACCGGGTGCCCAGAGGGACGAGGAGCCAGAACGGGGAGAAGGGTACTTCACACTCTGCAGCAGAGAGGAGGAGGACCTGGGAGGGGAGAGAGGAGAGAAGGAATGGTAGGAGCAGGGAAGAGCCAGAGGGGAGACGTGCCCTAGAAGGGGGAGGAAGGTGAAGGAAGAGGTGTGGCAGGGAAGGGAGAGAGGGGAGAGCGGGAAGAGGAGGGAAAACAACAGGGAAGGAGGGAGGAAGAGGAAGGGGTGGGGAGAGAGGGGAGAGAGTCCGGGAAGGGAGGGAAGAGGAAGGGGTGGGAGCCTGGTCTCTCCAGCCTGGGAAACCAGAGTCACCGGGTGGAATTACACCCGCCCCACCACCAAAGTGCTCCCAGGGGCCAAAGCAAGGCAGAGGGAGGACGGGGCGGCCCAGAACTCCAGTGGCATTGCCTCCGAGCCTTGGTCCCAGGAATTGGACGCCGGAATGCAGGAGGGTCTGGGCCCCTGCAGCCCCTCGGGTGTGGACCTCCCTCTCGCAGGACTCCCCTGAGCTCCGCACCATCACCTGTTGCCCAGTGTGGTGGCTCCAGAATGGCAAGGAGACAGGAAGCCCAGGTCCCTGGACAAGTCCAATAGCCAGAACGTCAACCATACCAAGTTTTAACCTGCTGACCTCCAGGCCAAAAGACATGGCTGCCCTACCTCTTCAGGTAGGGCTGGACGGTCAGTCCCCCAGAAATCCCTTTCTTCTGGTTCTGGCACCAAACCCGGGCCACTGCACCCCGAAGGTTCCAGGTGCTTGCCACAGGGGAGCTGCAGAGGCCCCAACCTTCCCAAAGAAGAGACAATTGAGCCTCCTCAACAAACCCGGGGCCAAGCAGCCCCAGATGGCTGACCCGAGACCCCAAGACAAGGTTCGCAGGAAGCTGAACCCGCTCAGACTCGCAGGGCACCATAGAGACCCCCGGGGCACTGTCCTGAGAGGACGTGGCCCGGGGAAGTTGTCACCCGCCTAACCCTGCCGGCCGTCCCTGCCTCTGGGGCTCAGGTTGCCCACGCTGTAGCTGAGGACGCACCGGGGCAGGAGCAGCTTTTCGAGATCCCAAGGACCAGCCAGTGCAAGTCCGGAGCCCGCATTCTGCTCCCCTCCCTCTCTGCAGCAGCAGCCACCCTCGCGGGAGCGGAGGTCCCAGTTCGGGGCTCCTGGAGACGCGCACAGGTGGAAGAACAAACCCACGGGTCCTCCCCTCCCCACCGCCCACACTTCGGGGGGCAGCGACCCCTCCGCTGTGCCTGTGAGCCCGGCCACCTGGTGCAGCCCCCGCCACCCCCAGCAGCGCTGCCCCGAGGCGGCGGCCAAGAGTCCAGGACCCCTCCGCTCCAGCACCTGACCGCGCCCCCTCCCACAGCCAGGCAAGGGCCTCCGGGGGGCGGGTGCGACGCAAACCCCAGGGTCAGTCTCGGCCCCACCGTCTCCTCCAGAAACCCCTGTCCCCGCCCGACCGCCCCGAGCCCTGCCGGGGGCTGCATTGGAGCCACAGCGCCCGCGCCCCGGGTCTCCGGATTTTGGCTAAAGCGAGACCCCCGACCGGGTAAACGTGGAGAACGTTTAGGAAACGCTGATTTTAAGAAACCCGCCAGGAGTTTTCACAACTTGATGAAAACTTTCAGTCCTTACAGGTTTGCGGCCGGAACGTCCCCGCCCAACTTTCCAGCGAAAACGTCTACCACAATGACCGGGCCGAGGAGCTCGCGGCGCGGGGCCGACCCCAGGGAAACCCGGTCCCGGGGAAGGAGCCCGCGCTGTCCACGACGTGTCCGCGGGTGACGCTCACGGGCGGGGACCGAGGACCTCCCGCGACAGCCCCGGGCCCGCAGCGACCTCGCCGCCCCTTCCCTCTCTCCCTCTCGCGCAGGAGCCCCGACGGCTGAGCCCTCCCCGCCCTCCCTGCCTCACCCGCGCCGCTCCCCGCCCTCTCCGCCGCTCACCCCCCGTAATGCGCCTTGAGGCGGACGCGGCCGCCGCTCCCTTCCATCTTGGGGCCGGTCCTGCTGGGCATGGCGCGCTCCCCCCGCCGCCGTCAGCGCTGCGCCCCGGGAGCTCCGGCCATGGCGCGGGGCGGGGGCTCCAGGTGGGGCCGCGGCGGAACGCGGAAGGCAGCGCTCAGGACCGACGGCGCCGACCCGGTCAACTCCGCGGAACTCCGGCGGCGCGCGGGGCGGGAGCGGGGGGCGCGCGGGGCGGGACCGTCCGGCGGGGGCGGGGGGCGGTGTCCGAACATGGCGGACCGAGGTGGAGCCAGCGGCCAATCCGCGGGGCGGGCGGTCCCGGGGCGGGCGGTGGCACCTGCGGCCAATGAGGGCGAGGCGGGGCCGCCACCTGGGCCAATCCTCGGGGGACACCCGGCCGCGGCCCAATGGCGAGGCGCGGGCGGGGCTACCTGTCGGGCGGGGCTACCTGTTGGGCGGGGCGCGGCGCACCTGCGCCAATGGGACCGCGCGCGGCGCGGCTCTGCCCGGCAACCGGAGGGGCCCCGGCCTCTGGGACGGAGCGGCGCCCCCGGGAACTCGCTGGAAACGCGAGTTCTCGGCCTTCGCCCAGACCCTCCGAATCGAAACTCCTGCGGCGCGCGCTGCCAGCCCGAGGGCCCCGCCGTCCAGGGGTCCCCTGACATCTCACACTTGCGGACTGAAGCTGCGAGGAGCGGAGAACCCGGCCAGGGTCACGGACGGGAGCGTCCGGACTCGGGTTCTCTGGGCCCCAGCCCCCACTCCGCCCCCAGCGAATCCAAGGTCCCCTGTAGGGAAGGGCCGTCCACACTCGTGAGTGCAACCGCTCACTTCGCCCAGGTCAAGGACGCGGCATTGGCCCGAGTCGCCCATGACCTTCATTTCTGAAGCCACAGCCTCTCGGGCCTTACTCGAGGGGCTTGATCTGGACAATCGCCCTCCAGGCCCCTCCACCGCCGCCCAGCTCCCTGCCTCCTGGGCTCCTCCCCTGAAAATACGGTTTTCCCTGATCAGCCCATCCCTTACTGGCTGCATCCACTGAAGCCCAGACCTGCTGCCTGCAGGACCTCACCCAGGCACCAGGTGGACACCCAGACCCAGTTCCTGGCCTCGGCCCCTCTCCCCTGAGAGTGGACCTGCTCAGGCCACGCCCTCACACCCCTCACCCAGACACAGCCACCAGGACTTCAGCCACGTGCTTTCATCCCGCAGGTCGTGCCTGGCGCCTCCTTGATGCCAGGCCCTGGGGAGACCTGTGGCCACAGAACCCATGTTCTCCCTGGAGATGGACAGGAGGCCCCTCTCCTACGCAGAAGCTGTCGTTTTTTCTTCTTAAACACCGTTTGCCCCTCCCTCCACCCACCGAGCCATCTCTGCCCCTCTCTACAGCAAAGCTTCCGCCAAGCCGGCCCTGCTCCCTGTCTACCTCTCCTGCCACCACCCACTCACACGTTTTAAATACAAGCCGTCGGTTCTCAGACGTTTTCTCTTTTTTTCTTTCTTTTTCTTTTTTTTGAGATGGAGTTTCGCTCTTGCTGCCCAGGCTGAGTGCAATGGCATGATGTCGGCTCACTGCAACTTCTGCCTCCTGGGTTCAAACCATTCTCCTGCCTCAGTCTCCCAAGTAGCTGGGATTACAGGTGTCCACCACCATGCCCAGCTGATTTTTGTATTTTTAGTAGAGACGGGGTTTTTCCATATTGGCCAGGCTGGTCTCGAACTCCTGACCTCAGGTGATCCACCTGCCTTGGCTTCCCAAAGTGCTGGGATTACAGGCGTGAGCCACTGTGCCCGGCCTCAGACATTTTCTTAACTTGGCCTTTGGTATCAGACCCCTCCTGGGAAGGCTCACACATCCCTGGCCCCGGGTTCCAGCTCCCTAAATCTCCCATCCCTCGCCCTCCTGGTCTGCAGCTTTTAAAACTGTGGAGCCCCAGCCTCAGCCTTTGGCCCGCTTTGCATCCCCAGCTCAGATGGGCCCCCTGAGCTCCCAACCAACACTCACCCAGCCCCAGGCATCCTCCTAATGAGCCTCTCAGCTGACGTCTTCCCCCACTCCATCTTTCTGGGTCATCGAAGTCCCCCCAGTGGTTCCCATCACTCCTGGAGGGAAGGCCAGCTCCTCTGCCCCGGCCTCGAGGCCTCTTTGCTGCCCCGGCCTCCGTCTTTGCACGGCCACTCCCTCTTTGCACAGCCACTCCCTCTTCCAGGAGCACCTGCCTGCAGAGATCTGCTGGACTGGCACCCACACTTCCTTGAAGTCTCTAGCATACCTAATGCCCATTTCAGCAATCTACTCCTCACCCCCATCTCCATGGGGCAACCCCCTCTATCCCTCGCACAGGCACAAAGCCCCATGCCCATCAGCTGGGCATGAAGGGGGGCAGAGAGTAGAGGGTGAGGGGGCAGCCTGGCAGGGTACAGTGATGAGTGGGAACCTGCACCTGCAGCAGCCCTGGATTCAGGCACCCGTCGGCCCAGCTCCCCCACTCCAGGCCCCATGGCCAGGGCTGTGGCCTTGTCTGGAGTCTGGCCTGGCAACATGGCCTGGGCGCTTCCTGATGGGCAGGAAAGAGCAGGGTTTCACCTTAGTGGGGCGGTGCCTGGAAGGGGCCACTGGGCACCCACAGGACTTCCTGGCTGGCGTTCTGATCCAAGGAGGCAGCAAGGCCCGGTCCTTGATACCACTGCCCACAGCAGGCAGGACGGACCCTCGGTTGTGTCCTTCCCTGTCACTGGACATCTCTCCCTGGGCCTGCCCCACCCAAGGCCCCGGAGGACCCTTTCTAACCAAGGACGCCCCTGCTGGGTCAGGCCCTCGGCACTGGCCTCCCTGGGGAGATCTGTGCTGCCAGGCGGGAGCCTCCGTCCTGGAAGCCAGTCCCAGGGCCGTGGCAGTGCCCCAGTCCCAGCGAGGGAAGGTGGGGGGCGGGGCTCTATTCTCTCTGGGGTTGGGAGGGAGAGGGCAACGTCAGTGGATGGTCAACCCCAGTGTCAGACTTTGTTCAGCCCTGATGCCGCCGGTGGAGGGGGGGTCGGGACAGACACAGGTTCCGAAAGGCTCTAGCAGAGGACTGCGGGCACAGGGGCTGCCCAAAACGTCCCCAAAACCTCCCCCAGTACCTGCTCTGGCCTCCCCTCCAGGAGGCAGAGGTCTCCGCTAATGAGATCTGCAAAACAAAGGCCTGGGAGGCCCTGGACCCGCCTCTGGGCAGGCAGGGCAGGTCACAGGGAGGTTCCTAGGTCCTCTGCCCTGAGCCTGTGCCCCTGAGAGGGCCCTGAGGGCAGAGGGCGCTTCCTGAGACACGGATAGGCTCACTGGCTGGCGGTGGTGTCACTGTGTCGCCCGGCGACAGATACAGGGTGTTTGCTCTGGAATCTGCCAACGACTCCCATCCAGATCCCGGCTGAGGGCTGGGCCCTGTTAGGCCGGGTCCCCACAGCTTCTCCAGGCACCTGGCACACGGGGAATGAGTGAGTGACTCGGGTAAGGACCCCTCAAGAGTGCTGGAGCCAGGCAGCCTCCTAAGACCCCTAGTGGGTGGGGACAGAGTCATGTCCCATCGAGCCCAGCACACCGAGAAGGCACAGCCCTGGAAGCTTCCAAGGACTCACCCTGGGTCCTCCGGGGCGGGTGGGGTGTGGAGGTGACCCTTGGAGTGGGCAGGGCAGGCTCCGAGAGAGGCCTCTGGGTGGCTAAAGGCCAGGCTTTTCCACCTCAGCAGTTTCTGTAGCTCCCAAATTTTTCATAAAGTTCTCATATACTTTCATAATCATAAACACCTATTATTTTTTAAATGAAAAAAACAAGTTATGAAAGTCACACTGACTTTTTATAAAACTCAAGCAACACAGAACGGTATAGGGCAAGGTGAAGCCTTTTCCCAAAACCCCAGCTAAGCAGCAAGAACCCCGGCCGTGAAGCGGACAGCCTTCCCTCTCCCAGTGCAGGCAGCCTTCCCTCTCCCGGTGCCTGGGACCGCAGGTGGAGGTGCTAGGTGACCGCTGGGGCTTGGGGTAGGGTGCTGACCGGCAGAGGGCAGTGTGGCTGCAGGGTCTGGCTGAGGGTGGCCTCCCAGCAGGGCTGGGGCACCTGGGAGCCGCAGCTCCTGACCCCGCCAAGGTGGCTCTGTGTGGCTGCCGGGCCTACCCTGTGATTTTCCTTAGGAAGAGTCCTTTGATGATACTGTCGAGTGATGTTGAGACCTTTTAGAAGAGAGGCAGTTTACACTCAGTGTGATTCATCGGACGTCTGGGAGGGGTTGGCTGTGGCCCGTGGGGTCCCCATCACCACACCCCCAGGAGGAGGCCTCCCTCATCAGCCTCTTAAACTGCATTTGTGCTGGCTTAGTGCTTGGGACTGCCCAGAAAGGTGCCCGACAGGAGCAGGCATCTCACAGAGCCCAAGGGGCCCGGGTGGGTCTTCCTGCCAGATGTGAGGCTGCCCTGTGGGGTCCTGCGAGGACCACCGTCACAGGAAGGGCCAGGCGTTTGCTCACAGGCTCTGGGCACAGCAGCCGTGGGAGGGACTGGCCAGATGTTTCCTTTCTGTGTCAGGGATCATGGGATTTGGAAAAACTGGCTCAAGAGACAATGTCAGCTGCATGGGTTCATTTGATGGACGTTGGTTGAGGGCCTACTGGACGGAGGGCCAGGAGTTGAGCCAGGAATACAGCAGTGAGCTGGCCAGGCGGGGTCTCCTGGTGGGACGCTGCTGGAGACGGGCCACTGTCAGAGAACCACAGGAGTGCAGAATGGCTGAGACGGGCTGACCAGGTCCCCGGGGGAGAGGCTGGCCCCGGGACTGATGATGTGTGCAGTGGGGCAGCTCTGTGGCCCCAGGGAGCAAGGGCTCTGTGAGTGAAGGGTGCAGGGAGTGTGAAGAGGCCAGGCTGCCCCAGCGAGGAGGGTCAGGGGAGCCTCAGACAGGGTGTGGGGTGTGAGTGCCTGTGTGCTTATCTGAGTCTATATGTGTTTGTGTCTGTGTGTATTGTGTGAATGCATACATGTGTCTGTGTATGTGTGTCCACGTGTGTGTATAGATATGTCTGTGCTTGTGTGTCTGTGTTGACGTATGTGTGTCTATGCATGCATAGATGTCTGTGCGTGTGTCTTTTTTTCCTGCTTTTTTTTTTTTTTTAGGCAGGGTGTCACTGTGTCACCCAGGCTGGAGTGCAGTGGTGCCATATCTCGGCTCGCTGCAGCCTGGACCTCCTGGGCTCAGGTGATCCTCCCACCTCAGCCTCTTGAGTAGCTGGGACCACGGGCCCGTACCACCGCGCCCAGCTAATTTTTGTATTTTTTTGTAGACATGGACTACGTTTCCCAGGCTGACCTTAAAACTCCTGGGCTCAAGCCATCCTGGTGCCTCAGCCTCCCAAAGTGCAGAGATTACAGGCATGAGCCACCGGCCCAGCCTGCGTGCCTTTCTGTGCCCACGTGTCTGTGTGTGCCCGCCTCTGTGTGCATGTGCCGGCGCACGTGTGTCTGTCGCTAACTGCCTCCACGCGCCCGTGTGCCCCTCACTCCACAGCCGCCCTCCAGCGCCCGAGCTTCTGGGTACCATTCCTCCGGCGGCGTTTCAGGCCTGGCACTTCCCTGCTGGCTGTCCTGGCCTCGGGGAGCTGCGCGGGTCCCGGGCTGCTGGCGGCCGCGCGCAATGCGGAGCTTGCCCAGGAGGGGGCGCAGGAGGGACGCGCGGGGAGACGGGGCTCGGGCTGGCGGCGCGTGGGGGCCCGGGGAGCTCGTCCCGCACGTGGGTCCCTCGGCGACCGCGCAGCGCCGGCCCTGCCCGCTCTGGCTCCGGGGCCTCCGGGCCTCCCGCCCCACCCCGGGGCGCTTCCTGCTTGGCGCGGCTGCCCCCTTTTCAGCCCCGCCTCGGAGTCCATCCTTCCGGGCCGCCCTCAGCCCCGGGGGCCGCGTGTCCTTCCCCTTGCAGCCCCCCTCGTCGCAGCTCAGCAATCCTGTTTTTAAGTCGTCCCCGCTTAAAATCTGCGGATTGGGCCGGGCGCGGTGGCTCACGCCTGCATTCCCAGCACTTGGGAAGACCGAGGCGGGCGCATCGCTTGAGGCCTGGAGTTGGAGACAAGCCTGGGCAACATGGTGAAACCCCGTCTCTACAACAAGTTTAAGAATTAGCTGGGTGCGGTGGTGTGTGCTTGTGGTCCCAGCTGCTCAGGAGGCTGAGGTGAGAGGATCACCTGAGCCCAGGAGGTGGAGGCTGCAGTGAGCTGAGATGTGGCACCACTGCACTCTAGCCTGGGCGACAGAGTGAAGCCCAGCCTCTAAAAAAATAATAATAATAACTTAAAAATTAAATATTCAGATGGGACCTCACGAATGCAGTCTCTGCATATATGTGTGTAGTTCTCCACAGGTACCCATGTGTGGGGGGCCGTGTGTATGTGTGTGTGTGTGTGTGTGTATAGCTTTCTGTGTGTATCTGTGTGTGTGTCTGTAGTTCTGTGTGTACCTGTGTGTGTTTGTAGTTCTGTGTGTACCTGTGTGTGTGTGTAGCTCTGTGTACCTGTGTGTGTGTGGAGCTCTCTGTGTGTACCTGTGTGTGTGTCTGTAGTTCTGTGTGTACCAGTGTGTGGAGCTCTCTGTGTGTACCTGTGTGTAACTCTCTATGTGTACCTGTGTGTCTGTAGCTCTGTGTGTACCTGTGTGTGTGTGGAGCTCTCTGAGTGTGTGTGTGTGCGCGCGCACATACTGTCAGAGGGGCTGGGCACTGCCACTCCCAGCAGAGCCAACACAGTGAGGAGGAGGTGGGGTTGCTGTGTCCAGGGTCTGGAGAGGCCAGGGGAGGAAAGAGGAGGCTGGCCTGGAAGATAGAGCAGCTGGGAGGGCACCCAGGGGAGGCAGGGAAGGGCTGGACACTGCCAGGCTGAGCTCTGCACACAGCTTCCCTGGCTGAGTCTCACCAGAAGGCACAGCCTCCCTTCAGGCCCCCACCCCGCTCAATGGTGCCTTCCCCTGGAGGACCGTCTGTGTCCGACATCGCCTCTGGGACCCTCAGCCCATCCCTAGGACGTGAGAATCATGACCCTATTCTGTGGATGAGACACCAGGGCCGGGGTCGCTCCATGCCTGGTCCAGGGACACACACCAGCAGGGGGCAGGGCCTGGGCAGGGCAGGGATGGGGCGGGACCCCAGGGTCCAGACCACTGGGGAACACGCCGCGCGTCCCCTTCTCTGGACTGGACACGCCCTCAGAGTGGAGAACCTCTCCCGAGACCTGTGCGGGGACACAGCGCCAGGGCCCAAGACCAACCGGTCAGCACCGCGGACACGCCCTGCCACTCCTGCACTGCAGACGGGCCCTGCCACTCCTGCGCTGCGGGGTCCAACAGTTGCTGCTGGGTGGTGGGCCCCCACCTCCACCGCCCTCGGCTCCCTGGGGTTATTTCAGACGCGGCGCGAGGCTGGTGCGTCTGAGGAGGCAGCACCAGAACCACGGTCACCATGGCAATGCTGGGAACTGTTCATGGGACTGCTCCACACGCTATTTTAGCCTCGTGAAAACAGACAAAATCTCGGTTCACTCAAACCATCACGGGGAGATGCTGAAGCAGGGGCCAGGAAAGGCCTCTGAACCCTCCCCTGAGCTCCTCCCCGTCCTGCCACTCCCGTCCACACCAGGCTGGAGGACCTGTCAGCCAAGGTCCCTGTGAGCCCCGCCCTCCCCAGTTGTCTTTGCCTTTTATTCAAAGACTGAGTGCCAGGGCCCCTGGAGCCCTGAGGCCTGGTGTTTATGAACCGCTCAAAGGCCAGACTGCCCTGGGAAGACACAGCCAAGGGCTCGTCCTTTGGATCTCCCGGCCTGGCAAGGATGTGAGAGAAGGGGACTCGGATGCCACCCACCGTGGGAGCTGCGTCTGGGACCATCTTCTTTTTTTTTTTTTTTTTTTTTTTGAGATGGAGTCTCGCTCTGTCGCCCAGGCTGGAGTGCAGTGGGGCGATCTCGGCTCACTGCAAGCTCCGCCTCCCGGGTTCATGCCATTCTCCTGTCTCAGCCTCCCGAGTAGCTGGGACTACAGGCGCCCGCCACCACACCCAGCTAATTTTTTGTATTTTTAGTAGAGACGGGGTTTCACCATGTTAGCCAGGATGGTCTCGATCTCCTGATCTTGTGATCTGCCCGCGTCAGCCTCCCAAAGTGCTGGGATTACAGGCGTGAGCCACCGTGCCCGGCCCTGGGACCGTCTTCTAGAAAGCAGGCTGACAGAAGGCACTCAGAGCCTCAAAGATGTCCACGTCATCTGGTCTCACAGCTTCACTTCTGGGATCTATCTCAAGGAAAGACGTGGAAATGCAAGCACCACTGTGAACCAGAAGCCTTCCTCCACATCAGCTGCCAGGGCCAAGGTGGGGGGCTGTGGCCAGCAGCAGAATGGGGTCCACTGTGAACTCTGCTTGGCTGGTGGCTCTGTGGCCTTTGAGATTGAGAGTCTCACATACACACACACACAAACACACACACACACGCAGATGGCACACATCCACACACATGCAGATGGCACACATGCACACATGCAGACACAGCATACACGCACACACCCACACACAGGCACACTTATGCACACGCCCACACACATGCACACACAGCATGCATGCACACACATGCACACACACAGCACACACATGCACAGACAGCATGCATGCACACGTGCAGGCACACACTGTAGTGCTCCCCAGGCAAAAGCAGCTCTGCTAGGACAGAAGGAGCCATGCCCCCTCCCAGGTGGCACTGGCCCCAACAAGCCAGCAGCTGGATGGACAGGGCCCTGCCCAGCAGGGAGGCTCCAGACCCAAGTCCTTGCAGCTGCACCGTGTACCAGCGTCTCTGTCTTTGGAAAGTGTCCCAGCCCCTTGTGCAGGGAGCAGACCCCGGGGACCTTGTCACCAGGTCAGGAGTGCCCTGCAGGGGCAATGGGGTGGGGCTCTCCTGGTGCAGAGGCTTCTGCTGACCAGGGCGTGGACTGGCCTGGGGGGCGCTAGGGGAAGCTCCCTAATGCAGGGCTGAGGATGTAGGGGGGTATCTGAGCCAGCTAGACTGGAACCCTTCCCACTCTGTGGTCAGGAGCTCGTCCCCTCACTTTGCTGGGCCTCGGGCTCCTCCTGTGTGAGGTGGGAACTGTACCACAAGTGGGTGGGGGCGATTCACGGGCTCGAGCTGTCAGACCCAACGCCCGGCTTGTTGCAACACTGTCTCAGCGTGGCAGAGCTGTGTTTGCTCGTGGCCGAGCTGTGTCCTTGTGGATCTTCTGACCTGAGCATCGCTTGGATACCCAGGGTGTATCTGCTACCACTGGGTCCCAGGCCCACTTGGGGCTGTGAGCCGGCTCCAGCCAGCCCAGTCTCTGCTTCACGGCTGGGAAAGTGGGGAACCCCAAGGCCAGAACAAGTCCCACGGGATCCAGTTCAGGCCCCCAGCAGGGCAGTCCTCAGCCCTTCCCAGGGACGCTTGGGGTGGGGAGCATGGTTAGAGGCCATGGAACTGGGAGGGGAAGAGAGTGTCGCCGTTTACCTCTCCTCCATCTCTTATCCCTTCTCGAGCCCCCATGTACCAGGCAGCAGGAAAAGCAATAGCTCAAGTCATCTGAACCCAACATTCGAATGAGTGCTTAAGTTCTCCTCAGTCTTCGGCAGTCGCTAATCTGTCTTATGTCCCCCACGAGATGACAGCTGGGTGTGGAGGGAAAGGGGCTCCTGTGAAGTCAAAGACGAGGCTTGCGGGGCTCCTCAGATCCCAAAGTGCCCCAGACCCTCGCTGTGCCTGGCTATAGAGTGGCTGCCCTGAGGCTTGCTAGGTGAGGTTGGGCAGCTGGGATGTGGGCATTCTGTTTGCACCCACAGCTGACATTGTCGTGGAGGAACTGTCTAGAGCTGTGAAGGACCTGAGCTTGGACAAATTAGCTGGCCCCAGTCTCACAGATGCTGTCAGAAGACACAAGACTCCTGGGTCAGAGACAAAAGATTTTTGTTTTGTTTTGTTCTATTTTGAGACAGAGTCTTGCTCTGTCGCCCAGGCTGGAGTGCAGTGGTGTGATCTCGGCTCACTGCAAGCTCTGCCTCCCGGGTTCACACCATTCTCCCACCTAAACCTCCCGAGTAGCTGGGACTACAGGCGGCCGCCACCATGCCCGGCTAATTTTTTATTTTTAGTAGAGACAGAGTTTCACTGTGTTAGCCAGGATGGTCTCGATCTCCTAACCTCATGATCCGCCCACCTCAGCCTCCCAAAGAGCTAGGATTACAGGCGTGAGCCACCACACCTGGCCTCCATTTCAGAGTTTTAAGCAATTCTCCAGCCTCAGCCTCCTGAGTAGCTGGGATTACAGGCGCATGCCACTATACCTGCCTAATTTTTGTATTTTTAGTAGAGACAGGGTTTCGCCATGTTGGCCAGGCTGGTCTCAAACTCCTGACCTCAGGTGATCCACCTGCCTCGGCCTCCCAAAGTGCGGGGATTACAGGCATGAGCCAGTGTGCCCGGCCAGAAACAAAAGATTTGATCTGGTGACAGCAAGTGCCCGACCAGGCCCCTTGCCCCCAACTTGCCATTCAGCTCCTTGGCCTCGGTGGAGCCCCCAGCTTCTCTCCTAGGGTGTCTCCCTCAGCCTCAGTGGATGCAAGCCAGCCACTCTAGAAGCTCAAGATGGCAGACCAGACAACCCACCCCGTGTGGCCACAGTGGCCAGTGAAGTTACTGAGTGTCGGGAGCCAGCAGGAGTCCTCTTCCTCCACCCTGCGCCTGCCTCCTCCTTCCAACTCTCCCGGGCCTGGAGAGGTGGGTTTTCCCCATTTCTTAGGTCAAATCCTTCTCTGCAGGGCAGAAAGCCTGATTCACAGCACGCTGAGGAGCAGGCCGATGACCGAATCTCCTCTGATCGCCCTGGGGGTGTAGTAACTGGGAGCTGAGAGAGGTTAGGAAGTGGGGTTTCACTGCAACCTCCACCTCCTGGGTTCAAGTGATTCTCGTGCCTCAGCCTCTGGAGTAGCTGGGATTACAGGTGCCTGCCACCATACCTAGCTAATTTTTGTATTTTCAGTAGATACAGTGTTTCATTATGTTGGCCAGGCTGGTCTCAAACTCCTGACCTCAGGTGATCCCCCCGCCTCAGCTTCCAAAGTGTTGGGATTACAGACTTGAGCCACCGCGCCCAGCCAGTGAGGGAATTTTTAACACAATAGTCCAGATTGCAAGGCTATTGTCTTGCTACAAATCCTATTTCCAGTGTCTAAACCTAAATAGTAACGAGTGTTCTTTTTGCATTTCTTCTCTGACAAGGCTAATCTCCGCCCAAGCCAGGCAGACGGCTGCCTTGGACTAACTAATAAAAGCAAATGACTGAGCCGTAGGACTGCCAGGCACTGGCCTAGCTGCGTCTGGCTAATGATACCTGTTGAGGTTCAAAATAACCCAGTAAGGGGAGGATCGTCCCCGTCCCCATTTAAGGGATGAAGATGTTGGGGCTCAGGGGGGTAAATGCCTTGCCCAGGGTTACATATCCGGTCGGCATAGCTGGCTCACTTCAGAGCCCGCACTCCTAGTCACTGACACCAGAGAAGCCCCGTACTCAGCAAGGCAAGAGAGAAAAGCGCATTCATTTCCCCCAAAATGGTTAGGTTTATTTTGTGGGAAATCCCCGGCTCTTGGCCGTAGATGTTTTTGGTGGCCTGGGCCATATGCCCTCTGCTTGCCTGTAGTTTCAGAGCAGCCGGGATGGGCCGTTGCCAGGCAAGTCTCATCCGAAAGGTCCTCCTGTCTCTGCGGCTGTTCTGCCTTGGGACTTTCTCTGACTCCACAGCAAACTGCTCAGCCCAAGTGCAGGGCAGCCTGAAAGGTGGGGAGTTCTCCCCAGGGACACACCTCAGGCAACGGGGCTGGGAATTGGCTCCTCCACGCCCCAGCATCCTGTGCTTAGAAGGACAACTCTGAGGTGCATTCCTGTGGCTCCTCAGAAGGTCCCAGGGACTTGGGGACAGTAGAGCTGACCCCCAATGCAGCTTCTGCAATAACACAGGCGTTTCCTCCTCCCTGTCTCACCCCACCTCTAACTCCTACCTCCTGGGATCACCTCCCTAAATAACTACATGCACTGAAGTCTCATATCAGGCTCTCCTTTGGGGATCACCCAAGCTAAGACGGTTGGTCCTGGAGGTGGCCAATTCCAGGGTGGGGTTGTGGCATTGAGTCTCTCACCAGGACAGTGACAACGAGGTGGAAGGTGGGGAGCTGAAAGCCAGCCTGCAGAGCCCTCACCAGGGCTGCGTCTGGAAGCAACTATGGCTTCGGGGAATGCTGCAGAAGCCAGAAAGTTCTCTACGGTGGCATTGAAAGAAACCCTCTTCTCCTATAGCGAGAAAGCAGACGGTGCTGAAAATCAGGCCCAATAGCTGAGCAGAAGAGCGACAGATCCCAGAGAAGACCTCTGTGCAGCCATGGAGGTCGGCTATGCCAAGCACAGGGCCCTGGCAGGGAAGGCATCAGAACTGAGGCCTGGTTTGGGGTCATTGTGGGTGAATTCACCTGTGAATACTGTGCTCCCAAATTCCACCTCACTTGTTAGAGGACAGCAGAGGAGGCTTCTGTCTGGAGTCCCTGAAAATATCTCATCTGGGGCACTTATCTTGCAAGATGATGGTTGTATCAGTTTCCTGGGGCTGCCATGACAAATGGCCACAAACTGGGTGACTTCAGGCAACAGAAATGTATCATCTCATGGCTCTGGAGGCCCGAAGTCCAAAACCAAGGTGTGGGCAGTGCTGGTGTTTCTGCGGCTGTGTGGGAAGGTCTGTCTCAGGCCTCTACCCTGGTGCTGGCAATCCTTGGCTTGTAGGCATGTCACCTCGATCTCTGTCTGTCCCCACCCAGCCCTCTTCCCCCTGCCTCTGTGTTCTCCTCCTCTAGAGGGACACAGTGTTCGGATTTAGGGCTCACCCTAATCTAATAGGACTCCATCTAACTTACGTCTTCAAAGGCCCTATTTCCAAGTAAGGTCCCACTCACAGGTGCCAGGGGCTAGGACTTCAGTGTCTCCTGGGGGACATTACTCGTGACACTTGTCCCCTTCAGGGTCTGCCCTGCCTTCTCTCCCTGCAGCCAGGATGAAAGCTGGAGCCTCTGCACGGTCCAAGCAGGGAGGCGATGGCTCGCGTCACAGTCCAAGCAGCCAGGCGACGGTCCTGGCTGACGGGCTCTGGTGAGAATGGGCGGTCGCGGCTGGGATGGTGTGGAGGATGCTAGATCAGGGGGGACATGGAAGCACCCATTTATGATGGTGGATTTCACGTCCCAGCAAGGCAGAGCTAGTCTTGATTCACTTGGAGGAGTGTGAGGAAGGGGTCTGCCGTGGGCTGAATGTCTCTGTTGCCCCAAAATTCCTAAGTTGAAATCCTGCCCCCAGGGGTGATGGTATTAGGAGGTGGGGCCTCTGGGAGGTGATGAGGTGAGGGGGGTGGAGCCTCCTGGTGGGATTAGTGCCCCTGTAAGAGGCCTGAGAAGGCTTTGTCCGCTTTCTGCCACATAAGGACACAACGAGAAGTTGGCGTCTACACCCGGAAGAGGGCCCTCATCAGGCCCCAACACGCCGGCACCCTCATCTCAGACCTGTGGCCTCCAAAACAGTGAGAAATCAACCCTGCTGTTGATCAGCCACGCGTCTATGGCAGCCAAACAGACTCAGGCAGGGTCTGGGGCCTGGGGGTGGGTTTAATGTTTATTTATTGATTTATTTATTTTTAATTTTTTTTTGAGACAGGTCTCATTCTATTGCCCAGGCTGAGTGCAGTGGTGCAGTCACAGCTCACTACAGCCTTGAATTCCTGGGCTCAAGCAATCCTCCCACCTCAGCCTCCCAAGTAGCTGGGACCACAGGTGCACACCACCACACCTGGCTATTTTTCTTTTGCAGAGATGGGGTTTCCTTATGTCTCCTGGGCTGGTGTTGAAGTCCTGAGCTCAAGAAATCCTCCCATCTCAACCTCCCAAAGTGCTGGGCAGTGCCCAGCTGAGCGGGTGGGTCCACTGGATGAGACCACAGGGACTACCACCTGCCTCGGTCCCAGGAGGGCCCGGAGGACACAGCCATAGTGGAGCGGCCAGCATGGTGCTAGCACAAAGCAGAGCTGCTGAGAAGCTCCTGGAGAGCTGAGCTGCGTGGACGATGTTAGCAGGAGGAAGTGCTGCCCCGGGTCCTGCCATGGGAGCCGTGTGGCTGCGCCAACCGCTGGAGGCAAGGTGGGTGTCGGTGCAGCAATGGGGGCAGCCGGGGTGCCTGACCCTCACGATCTGTGGCTCATAGGCCACCATGTCCCTGGAGTGGGCGATGAACAACCAACTGAGGTAGGCACTGGACTTGAATAACCAGAAATAAACAAGCACCGGGAGGAGAAGGCTGGGACCTGCAGGCACAGTGGGAAACTGTGACTCCTGCTCTCATTTCCAGAACTCAACCATGACCATTGGTTGGAGGAGAGCCTTGGTCTCCTCGGAGAAGGGCCCTGCAGCACCACACACAGGTGTGATGGACCCCACACAGGTGGGATGAACCCCACACAGGCGTGATGGACCGCGCAGGCATGATGGACTGCGTGCAGGTGTGATGGACCACACAGGTGTGATGGACCGCGTGCAGGTGTGATGAAGACTCCCCCAGAGCCACTGTGGCTGCATCTTCAGAGTAGCTCTGTCCTGGAGAAAGGACGCCCGCAACAGGAAGGGCTTTGGGATCTCGGGTCTGATGCCACCCAGGGACCCAACATGTCATGGCAGCCCCCAGTCAGCATGGGGGCCTGGGGATGCCAAGTGACCGATGGGGTCCCCCCAGTCAGCGTGGGGGCCTGGGGATGCCAAGTGACCGATGGGGTCCCCCCAGTCAGCGTGGGGGCCTGGGGATGCCAAGTGACCGATGGGGTCCCGGCCTGTGGCCATCCAGTGGGTTTATGGACCCAACCTATGGTGACGCCCTGGTCTGCAGGTCCATGGCAGGTTGCAGGCCCTGAGCAGCTGCCAGGATCCTCTGTTTCCCTGACCTGTGGAGTGAGGACCACCATGGTGGAGAAGGCAAAGCCAGAGCCTCTGAAACCACCCTCAACCCCGGCAAGGACAGAGGCTTGGAAGTCAGGCTCCCTCTGGAGCCCCCCAGCTGGTGGGCTGTGGGCACAGGCGGGGGTCACCACACCTGGTTAGCACAAGAGAGCACTTGTAGGGCCAGGGAGGAGAATGCCTGGAGCTCAGAGGATTCACCCCTGTGGCTTCCATGCCGGGGGCACAGAGTGGGCGATGACACTGACATCCACCTGACAAGCCGGTGACCGAGGCTCACTCCTCGGATGGGGTCTGGGTCGCCGCATCAGATGTAACCTCTGCCAGCAGGACTGCGGGCCAGGGTGGAGGAGGAGGAGGGCCTCCTGCCGTGGAGATGCCTGCAGACTGGCTCGTCACCAGCCCCCTACGACTTCCATGGCTGTCTCTCTTGCTTTGGCTGCCACCACCTTGAAGAATCAGCCGCAGACAAGCTTAACATGGCATCCGCCGGAACAGATGCAAGCAGTGCCAGGGCTCCCAGCTGCTCTGGGGCCTGGGCTGCGCCCTTCGGGCTACATCTGGTTTAAGCAGCAGCTGTGGGGGCGGATAAAACTCACTCATGGCCGGGTGCGGTGGCTCACGCCTGTAATCCCAGCACTTTGGGAGGCCGAGGCGGGCAGATCATGAGGTCAGGAGATTGACACCTTCTTGGCCACCATAGTGAAACCCCGTCTCTACTAAAATACAAAAATTAGCCATGCATGGTGGCCCGTGACTGTAATCCCAGCTACTTGGGAGGCTGAGGCAGGGGAATCACTTGAACCCGGGAGGTGGAGGTTGCAGTGACCTGAGATCGCACCACTGCACTCCAGCCTGGCAACAGAGCAAGGCTCCGTCTCAAAAAACAAACAAACAAATAAACAAAAACTCGCTCATGGCCGAGCACGGTGGCTCATGCCTATAATCCTAGCACTTTTGGAGACCAAGGCGGGCAGATCATGAGGTCAAGAGATCAAGACCATCCTGGCCAATGTGGTGAAACCCCGTCTCTACTAAAAATATAAAAATTAGCTGGGTGTGGTGGCACGTGCCTGTAGTCCCAGCTACTTGGGAGGCTGAGGCAGGAGAATCACTTGAACCCAGGAGGCAGAGGTTGCAGTGAGCTGAGATCACGCCACTGCACTCCAGCCTGGGCAACAGAGCAAGACTCCATCTCAAAAAAAAACAAAAAACAAAAAACAAAAAAAAACTCACTCACGGTCAGTGCCGCCTCTAGTGCCCTCCATAGCGCTACAGGGCGCTTGCCCAGCTTGCTTGCAGGACTGACCTGGGGGATGTGAGCTGGGTGGGGGTTGGTGGATAAATGCGCAGCCCCTCATTCTTCAAAAGGACAATTCAGGCTGGGCAGGGTGGCTCACGTCTGTAACCCCAGTGCTTTCGGAGGCTGAGGCAGGAGGATCGTTTGAGCCCCAGGAGTTCGAGACCAGCCTGGGCAACATATTGAGACCCTATCTATACTAAAAATTTTGTTTTAAATTAAAAAAGAAATTTAAAAGGACAATATGGAGGCACATTCCCCTTGGCTCTGGGCAGAGGGTCGCCAGTGGGGTTGGGACCTGGCCGTCCCAGATTGTAAAGCCCATTCCTGTTTTTCCTCCTTCCTCATCCCTCCCTGCTCCCTGCTCTAGCTCCTGCCTCTGTGGATCACCCTCTCTATGGAGCCAAATGGCTCCCAAAGTCACTCGGGACCTCAGAATGTTGACCTTGTTTCAAATTAGGGTCTTTGAAGATGCAGTTAAGACAAGGCCGCACTGAAGTAGGGTGGACCCTAAATCCGACGGCAGGTGCCTGAGAAGAAGAGGAGAGACAGAGACAGCAGAATGACTCAGAGACGGAGGCAGAGACTGGGGCAGTGCACCTGCCAGGCCAGGAGGGCCAGAGGTTCCTGGCAACTCCAGAAGCAGGAGGGAGGCCGGGGGAGGGTCCTCCCTGGAGCTGCCAGAGGGAACCAGCCCTGCAGCGTCTTGATTTTGGACATTCGGCTCCAGAGAGAACAGATTCTGTCACTCTAAGGCACCTGGTTTGTGGTACTTTGTTTAGGCAGCGGAGACCCCCAGCCCCAAATAAACTCCCAGCACCCAAGTCCTTGTCTCAGGCTCTGTTTGTAGGGGAACCCACATGAGGACGCCCCTAGGTGTGAGCTCCGCTTGGCCTATGCACCCGCCTGCCTCGCTGGAGGGGAGGGGCAGGGTAACGGCCGGTGCCTGCCCCAACTCTGCCACGGGACGGAGAAGCTGGATGCTGTCCCCAACGTCCTGGCCCCTCTTGCTCCACCTGCGGCCTCCAGCCTCAGGGAAGAGTGGGCCCAACTCTCAGAGGGCACTCAGGGGTCACTGCTCATGGTACACAGTCCAGCCTTCCACGGAGACCAGGAAGCCACCAGCCCCCAAAGACTTGTCTCTGCTGGGATGGGGGTGTACGGAGCCCTGGCAGCCTCTCTGCCCACCAATCTCTGCTGCAGGTGCCCCCTGTTGCGGGCAACACTGGCATCCCCTCCCCAAACAGGTTCCTCTCAGCTGCAAACTCTGACCCACCCCCGCCTTCATCTGCTCCTGCCCTCACTACCAGAATAGAAGTCGCGTTTGAAAGCATGCGCCCTCCCGTCCCTCCTGGCCCTGTAAATATGTGGGCAGAAACAGCAGCCTGCTTGTGGGGGGGGTGATTGCTGGTTGCAGAATCAGGCACGGCTGCTGCCCGGGCGGGCCTGGCTGCGTGGGTGCCCGAGGCAGTTGCAAAGGCTGGCTTTAAATAGCTCCTGGTGGGTACAAGCCTGGGAAAGAGGGCACCCTGCGGCCGCAAGGAGGACAAGGCAGAGATGGGGCCAGGGTCCTCACAGCAGAGAGCGGGGTGGGGGGTGGCTCAACAGCCTCCAGGTCCAGGAGATGCCCCCAAATAGTTCCCAGAATCTTGAACCAACCCCCTTCCCCCAAAGGCCCAGGAGTTGGAGCCAACCCTCCCTGGCTGCCCTGGGTGGAAGGCCCGCCCTTGGGGCAGGAGCCTGGGGGCCTGGGGTGGGTAGTGGTGGCAGCCTGGGACCCAGCCCATAGCTATAGCGTGCGCCATCTGCGGCCTGGGCCCCTATCCCCAGAGCAAGGTGAGCTCCAGGGAGGAGGGAGCGGTAACCCTGCAGGGAGGCCCAGGAAGCAGAGGGTAGGAGGCGGGACAGTGAGAGCCGGCCCTGCAGGGGTGTCTCTGTCCTTGGACAGGGAGCTGGCAGGCTCAGCCGCCTCGCCTTGGTGTCGGGAGGTGGCCTGGAGCCCCAGCTGACCCAGATCCGGCTCTGCTGCTCCCCGGCCACCTGCTCTCTGCTTGCCCCAGGGCTCACTTCTGTTCTGTGTGCCGCTTGTGGCCACAACAGAGCCTGGTCCGTCCCACCCCCTCCATCCCCAGCCTGTCCCACCCCCAGGACGACCCTGCCAAGCCTCACAGCCTTGTCCTGCAGAGCAGGGGCGCAAAAGGGCAGCCTGGAAATGAGGAGTGGTTGTTAGGAAGTGGCGTGGGGGACCTTCCAGCAGGGGCCAGAGGTGGAACACGGGGCTGTGGTCTGGGCCATGGTGGGCAGTGCCCTCATCTGCTCTCGGGCACAGCCTGGCCCTTGGGGAAGCAGCTTGGCCTGTGTCCATCCCCAGGTGCAATGCCTGGGCCCCAGTGATGACTTGATTTCTCGGCTTGCTCAGCCTGCCAGGGCTGCCACAGGCCGTGCTGAGGACAGGTGATTCACACAGTCATCCCCGGGTCCCCAGTGGTATGGAGATGGGGGCCACCCAGGGCTAGCGGCCACCCTGATTCCACAGGGCACTGGCCTGGACGACTTTGCCACCTTGCGAGCTGCCGTGTGATGGCTCTGGATGCCTGGGTCCCGCAGCGGATGGCAGTGCCCCGGATGCCTGGGTCCCGCAGAGGATGGCAGCGCCCCAGATGCCTGGGTCCTGCAGAGGATGGTAGCGCCCCAGACACCTGGGTCCTGCAGCGGATGGCAGAGCCCCAGCAGCTGTTCCAACTGCTCCCTTCAGATTCTTCCACGAGTAATGACCCAGTGCCCTGTGAAACCTGGACCCCTCATTAAGAGCTGCCTGTCAGCTGCTCTGACGGCCGGGGGGGTCCTTGGGCTGCAGGGTGGTCTCCCCATGTCCGTGGCAGTGGCAGCAGGTGGGAAAGGGCTGTGGTGTTTGTGAGGCCTCGGTGGCCTCCATGTGTCTATCCTCACATCCAAGAGGGGACCATGGTGGCACCTAGCCCTGGACACCCACTGGACCAAAGGCCTCAGGGACCAAGGGAGTGGCAGCTCCTCTAGCCCCCTCCAGGCCTCTGCACCTCAGCCCTCCCTCAGTACCCCAGACATGGCTCATCTGGGATCCAGCCCCTGAGCCCCTGTGTCCCCAAGTCTCTGTTCCCAAGTCTAGTGTTGAGCCCCAGGATCTCAGGAAGACACTTCAAAAGCTCCCGGCTTTGGGACAGTGACCCTGAGCTCACTCCCTCACACTGTCGGCGCAGGATCTTGCCTCACGCCCCTGGAGAAAATGGCCTCATCACAGCGCGGGGACATAGATGAGGAGACCCAGTGCCTGAAGCCAGCATCACAAAAACTGGTTCATCACTTCCTGAAGCTCTTCCCTCGAAGCCTGCCCTGCTGACAAGGACAGCCTCCTTCCCAGGACCTCGACCCACTGTTTCCCCTGGGCAAGGTGTATGTTCAACCCTGAGTGTTCTCTGCACTTTCACAATCAGCTCCCACCCAAACACCGCCCAGGGAGCCTGCAGCTGGAGAAGGGTGTTCCGGGCAGCTGGGGTGGGCTCCAGGCACCCCAGGAGTGAAGCGCAGCACAGTGAGGGAGAATGAAGCGGCCCCCAGGCCAAGGCTTTATTTCATGCTGGGACCAGAAAGACCTCACAAACGCCTTCACTGTTCACCGGATGGACGTCCACCCCCACCTCCTCCCACGCTCTGATCCCGATCCTGCAGAGCAAAGACCTAGAAACCAGGATCACTTTCTGAACATAAAAATCCGCGGCTCCCTGAAGGGCCCAGACCCCGGCCTGGCTCAGCCTCTCGGTCAGAACCTCTGCTCCTTCATCTGTGCAGGTCTCGGGCTGCCTGCCGGAGAGCCCCAGGCTGGCCTTTCGGGTGAGGCTGGGGTCAGAGCTCAGGGAGGCCGAGGCTTCCTCTTGTTTTCCGTGGCCGACTGTCATCCCACTTCGAAACACGCAGAGGGGAAGGCAGCCCGAGGGCTCTTTCTCCCAGGAAGTTTCTGGGCAGCTGCCGCCGGGCGCCAGGACAAGCGAGGGTGGCCTGAGTCCTGTGCTCACATGGCGTATGCCGCCCAGTAGATGACATTGACGGCCGCAAACGCCGCAGGGAACACAGCGCGGGCGTAAATGTCAATGGTGTCTGCGTCGATGGGCCTGAGCCGGGCACGGATGCCCCCCTGGCCTCCTGAGCGGGCTGCCCCCTCCTTCTTCGTCTCCCCTGTCTCCACCCCCACCGACCTGTAGGAGCCCATCAGGTTCCCCGGGACGCGGCGCTGCCGGCGGGAGATGGCCAGCTCCTGCGTGACGCCGGCAGCAGAGAGGGAGAAGAGGACAATGGCGTTCCTCACGTCCATCTGCACGAAGGCCGGTGGGGGAGACAGGGCTGAGCACTGGGGTGCAGCTCCCAGGGCCCTGGACCACAGGTGTTCCCATGCGGGGGCCCCGCCTGGACCAGCAGCTCCAGCCCCCCACGCTCAGGGAGCACAGCTGGGACCCACAGTGGGCTGGGGCAGCTGAAGGGTCCTGGTTGGGGCCCCCAGCAGTGCTGTCCCTGGCTCGGCCCCAGGCCCTCACCTCTGCCCTCGGCCTGGAGACCTTGACCTTGGCCTTCTGCTTCTTCCTGTAGTCGGCGTTGAAATGAGCAAAGGCGTACTCCACCAGGGCGGCAAACACGAAGACATAGCAGATCCAGAAGTAGACGTCCAGTGCCTTGATGGCTGATGCCCGTGGCAGGGAGGAGCGGGCACTGACCATGAGCGTGGTCATCGTCAGCACCGTGGTGATGCCTGCCGGGCACAGGTGGTGCCATTGTCGTAGCCCTGCCCTCACGCCGCCCCATCCCAGCCTTGATGCCTGTGACCCACGGATGAGGGTCCGCTGCCCCCCACCCCCATGCCCACCCCAGGGAGCAGGTCCTGTTTCCCTGACCTGGCCTGGCCCGGCTGGCCACTGCCCCAGGACAGCTGGCATGGTCCAGAGGCCAGTGCTGAGCCCCCAGCCGAGGGATGGGGAGTCCTGTTCCCCAGGGCCGCCCTTCCAGCTCCCTCGGAGCAGCGGCGAGGCCCCGTACCTAGAGACACCCTGGCGGGCACCGCCGCCTGGCTGATCCAGAAGGAGACCCAGGACATGGCGACCAGCAGGACGGAGGGCATGTAGGATTGGATGATGTACACGCCGCGGTTCCTCCGCAGGTGGAAGTGCAGGCTGAGCCGTGGGAACTGGCCAGCTGCCAGGACAGCCACCGTCAGTGCCCCCATCCCTGCCCAGCCCAGCCCAACCATGGGACTCAGGGGCTGCAGGGCTTGGCAGCTACGGGGCCCACCAGGGCTCAGAAGAGAGACTTAGACCCCTGCCCTCCCCACCAACCACATGGCCTGAAATGTCAGGGGGCCTCCGGCCCTAGGTCTGGCCACAGGACAGGCTGGTCCTGAGCAGTGTCACCCAGAGGAGAGGGAGAGAGGCTGAGGTTACTGCTGGCCTCATGTTTGCTGGACTGGCCCTGAGGGACCCTCGCAACCAATGGGGAGGGCTCACCCCTTTCTCTCCTAACACTCCTGCGGGCACAGCCAGGCTCTGGAAGGAGCCAGCACTGGGCTCACTGGCTCTGGATGACCGGGGACGGGGTGCGTAGGGGTGGGAAAGTGGGGCTGGGAGACAAGGTAGCCAAGGAAAGCTTGGCTCCTGAGCCCTGCAGACCTGGGGCTAAGAGAGCTCCCCACACCCTCTGGTTTCCCATAAATCTGGAGTGCTGGGAAGAGAGAAAGGACCAAGGAGTGAGATGGGAAGGCCTGACCCACGCCCACACAATGGCAGGCCTGGAAGCCCTGGTTCAGGTGCAGCTGGTGCCAATGAGCAAGTTCCTAAGGCAGCAGCGTCCCAGCTGCATCCCCAGAGGCCCTGGGGGCCTGCGGGCGCTTGACTAAAAAGCATGAAAACCACAGGCGGGCGCACGCGGAAGGGGCGGTGGGCGCGCGCGGAAGGGGCGGTGGGCGCGCGCGGAAGGGGCGGCGGGCACATGCGGAAGGGGCGGCGGGCATATGTTACCGGACTTGAAGTTCATCAGCTCCGTGGTGAAGCGGTAGCTGGTGATGGTGAACTGCGCCAGCTGCAGCTTGTCCAGCCCGTGGATGTGCTCCTGGCTCTCCGACCAGTAGTAGACGATGTCCTCCGATGAGTAACCGTCTGGAGGAAAAGCACACAGGTGGGCGGCAGAGCCCGGCCCTGCCCCGGGAGCCCTGGCAGGAGCGCTCCGTCCACACAGGAAGCCTGCAGGGGGCCGACGCCATCGTGATGGGGACCGAGCAGGACCCCAGCCAGGAGCGAGGAGACCTTCGGCTCTGGGACCACGTCGGGCTCCTCCGGGCAGGTGGATGGGACACAGATGGGGTCACCGTTGTCAGGTGACACACAGGGGCTGCTGCACTGGCTCAACAATATCAATCCGTGCCATGTCTGGGCTCCATGGCCCGGCTCCCCAGGCAGGGCACAGACCCACAAGCCAGACTGCTCCAGGCTTTCTGGCCCCTTCTCCTCCTGCCCAGGCTTCTTGCATGCAGAAGCTGGTTTGGTGCTTTCCTGCATCCTGAGCCGGGCCAGCCTTGTCCAGGCCCCGGGCTGACAGTCTGAGCCCCCATCCACTGCTGGAGAAGCCCCTACCCGCCTTGCACACCCACTCACAGCTCTCCAGGTCCAGCATGCACTCCTGCTCGTCCATGGGGTATTTGGCCAGGTCCATGTCGCAGGCCACAGTGGAGGTGATTCTGCCAAGACAAGCATGGCAGTGAGGCCTTGGGGGTGAGGCCAGCCCTCCCGAAAGCCTGGCAGTTCCCCTGCAGAGATGCCCCCTGAGCACCTGCCTGGAGCCCCAGCTACTTCTCAGACTGTGTTTGCCCAGAATCCAGGTAAACCTGGAAACTGCTCAACTTCATAGACGTCAAGTATTCCTTTAGGACCGTCAAGAACTGGATTTCATTCATTCTCTTCAAAACGCTTGACTATTGAACTAGGCTGGGGGCCTACGGGGCAGGGGACAGCCTTCACACCCAGGCCCTGGCCCGAGCGATGGCTGAGGAACACACGGGAATAGGCCCAGAGTTGCCACGCACTTGATTTTCTAGGAGAGGTCAAATATTTAAATTCCTATGTAAAATATCCCGATGTTTTTGTTTGTTTATGAGACAGGGTCTCACTCTGTCACCCAAGCTGGAGTGCAGTGGTGCAATCTTGACTCACTACAGCCTCAACCCCCCGGGGCTTGAGGTGGGTAATCCTCCCACCTCAGCCTCCCGAGTAGCTGAGACCACAGGTGCACACCACCAAGCCCAGCTAATGTTTTTTATTATTTTTGTAGAGGCAGGATCTCCCTATGTTGCCCAGGCTGGTCTCAAACTCCCAGGCTCAAGTATACTCTCACCTCAGCCTCCAAAAAGTGTTGGGGTTACAAGCGTGAGCCACTGCACCCGGCTGCCTCCTGATTTCTTTTTTTTGTTTGTTTTTTTTTTTTGAGATGGAGTCTCGCTCAGTCCCCAGGCTGGAGTGCAGTGGCGCAATCTCGGCTCACTGCAAGCTCTGCCTCCCGGGTTCACACCATTCTCCTGCCTCAGCCTCTTGAGTAGCTGGGACTACAGGCCCCCACCACCACGCCCAGCGAATCTTTTGTATTTTTAGTAGAGACGGGGTTTCACCATGTTGGCCAGGATGGTCTCGATCTCTTGACCTCGTGATCCACCCACCTCGGCCTCCCAAAGTGCTGGGATTACAGGCGTGAGCCACCGCATCCGGCCACATGCCTCCTGATTTTTTAAGTGTCATGAACTAATTCCATCTTTAAGAGGCATGTGTCTGAAAACAGGTTTTCAAACAAATGCGCGCACACACATTCATAGCAGTGTTTTCACATTCGCCAACGCCGGAAGCCACCCAAGCGCCCCTCGGCAGAGGGATGGGAGGCAGGTGTGGCGCGCCCCTGCCGTGGGCCATCGCCTAGGCCATGAAGAAGAAGGCGCCCCTGACTCCGGCTTCCACTGGGATGAACCGTGAGGACGTGATGCTGAGTAACGAAGCCGGAGTCATAAAGGGTCCCACACACAGCATGTGATTCCCTTTCGATGAAATGTTTCTGTCTCTGGGCAGACCCACAGAGACAGAAAGCAAGCGGGTGGCTGCTGGAGCTCCAGGGAGGGCGGAGTGGAGAGCACCTGCTCAGTGGCTGGGTCTCCTTTTGGGGTCTTGAAATGTTTTGGACCAGACAGAGGTGGGGTTGCACAACGTGGCGAATCTGCCAAATGCCACTGAATTGTTCACTTTAAAAAGGTTAATTTTATGTTATGTGAATTCCACCCCATTTTAAAAACCAAAAGGCACTGTGTTGGCCAAAAAGCCACATCTGCCGGCTTCCTGTCGGCGACCTTGGAGCGGATGTTTCCCCAGCAGCTGCGGGGGATATAAATAACCGCGCAGCTTCTGCCCCCCCCTCCGCCCGCCCGCCAGCTCCCGGCAGCAGAAGCCGCTCGAGCTTTTCCAAGCCTTGGAGCGTCCAGGCGCCGACGCTTGGCCCGGGCAGGCTCTCCCCCGGAGTCCGGGTGGGCAGCCCGCTCACCGGATGCTGTACAGGATCACGCCGTCGGGCTGCAGCCGGATGAGCTTGTTCTCCACCGTCACGTCGTGGAACCAGGCCGACTTGGCGTTCACGATGAAGGTGTCGGGCAGCCACAGCTTGTCCACGAAGCGGCTGTCCAGACCCAGGGTCTCGTTGGTGTGGTTGTAGGAGAGCCTGCTGTCCCGCCAGCTCTGGTGCAGGAACACCGTCATGGTGTACTCCTGTGGAGGTGGCACAGGGGCCGGGGGTCAGCCTTGCTCCACCCCCAGGGGCATGCAGCCCAGGGCAGAGGCTGTGGGCACCCACCGTGCCTGAGGCAGAGGCTGGTGGCACCTACCATGTTGGCCTCTGAGATGTGGTCGATGCTGGCCACCTCCAGGGCAAGGGCCACATTCACGGGGGGGCCTGCAAGGAAAGAGCAGAACTAAGAAGGACTGAGGCCGGCCCAGCATGGGAGCCACGATGGGACCCTGCCGGGGTCCCAGTCACAGGCAGTCGGCCATCATGGCCTGAGAAGCTGCACCTCCCTGGCTGTCTCTGTGGGGGCCTGGCTCTGATGGAGCCCCCCAGGGGAGAGCCAGGCTTCCTTGCCTAGAGGCCAGCCTACAGCCCAGTGGGCCACACAGCCACGGCCTAGCCTGGGCTCCAGCGGCTCCTGCCTGCCGGGCCTGGACCGCCCCTCACCTCCGATGCCAGGCCGGAAGTTGCGGGCGTAGCCGGCTATCAGCCCGTCCAGGTTGGGGAGCCAGGAGATCTCCAGGTTGGAGCCCACGTAGTCGCCGATGTCATTCATCGCTCTGGGGATGCAAAGCCACCGGTCAGACAGGCCAGGACTTAATTTAATTCCACTGAGCCTGGGTCCCTTCCTGGGGATGCAGCACTGTTCTGGGCACCTGGGCCAGGGCATGGGGGGCCACTGTGGGAGCCCTTGCAGGTGGGGGCCTGGCCAGTCCCCAAGCCTCTGGCTGGACACAGGGAACCCCGGGAGGTCCTCAGCCTCTTCCACTGGCCCTGACCTGGCTTCCTCCTCCGGCCTCAGTGCCCACTTAGCCCTCCTGGCTTTGAGGGAGGTGGCCCTGGGTTGGACAGAGCCCCCCAGCGTGGGCCAAGCTCCCAGGCTAACAGCCTCCCTCCTCAACCAGCCCGCGGAGGCCGGCCTCGGGTCTCCACCCCTGGGGTCCCTCACCAAAGAGGTCTCCCTGTCGGCTTCTGAGGGCGAAGCTTCCCCCATTAGACGGTTTGGAGAAGAGGAATGTGAGGAGGAGGCAAGGGGCAGGGACAGGAAGAGGACAGGGCCCCAAAACCCGGGCCCACAGCCTCCTACTCTCTGTCTCCTCCCAGGAAGGCCCAGGGTGGGCTCCAGATCCCCAAATGGCCATGTGCTTCTGTGGTTTAGCTCAACCTCGGAGCAGCTCGGGGTAGACAGCAGGGCCATGGGGACGCCCAGGCTTGAGGGAGGCATCTCCTCCCCATACACACCATGCTGCCAGAGCCCAGAGCACCCCAGCACCCCCCCGGCCCCCATCTGCTCACCTGCACTGGGTTGAACAGCGTCCCCCAAAATGCACATCCACCCAGAGCCTCAGAATGTGAGCTTATTTGGGAATAAGGTCTTTGCAGAGGTAATTAGTTAAGATGAGGCCATACTGGATTGGGTGGGCCCTAAACCCAAGGACTGGTGTCCTTAGAAGAGAAGAGGGAAGAAGCCTGGGGACAGAGGAGGCAGAGATTGGGGTGAGGCGTCCACAGGCCAGGGGAGGCCAGGGTTTCCAGCCACCGCCGGAGCTGGAGACAGGCCAGGGACGGAGGTTCCCTCAGAGCCTCCAGGGGAACGAGCCCCACCCACACCTTGATTTCAGGCTCCTGGCCTCCCGAGCTGCGAGAGAATAGGCGTCTGTTGTTTCAAGCCGTCCAGTTTGTGGTGATTGTCATACCTGTCCTCCTGCACACAGGATGGGGATTGGTCCCAGGGGTGGGGCCTTGAGATTAACCCCCCTGTATTCTCAGAATCATTTCTATCCAAGGGGGTGGCTTCAGACATGTCCTCCAGGTCGCCAGGCCCGAGCCTGGCCCGAGCCCTCCAGGAGAGTTGAGGGGCCGGGACCTGAGTCAGTGGCCTCCCCCACAGCAAGCCTAGAGACAGATTTGACCCCAGTTCAGATACAGCCTCAAGCGGGTGCCCTATGCTGGGCTACTCCACAGGCCACCAAGAGAAGAGCACAGTCCCAGGCCTCCTCCACGCCTGGCTCCCCAGGACGCAACTGACTGCCCCTCCCCTCCTCACGGTGGGGGCCACAGCCCTTGGCCTCCTGCTCCCTCAGAGACTGCGACCTGGGCTCGAGGCACCCCTCCACACTGCCTGTCTGGCACAGTCAAGCTGAGGCCGGGCCACCAGCCCCACCCCGTGCAGCACCCTCCCAGTGCCCCACACAGATCACCTGCAGCCTACTCTGCTTGTCTGTCTCTCCGGCTCCAGCCCTCTTGAGTCCTTGGATTCCCAAGGGAGAGGCAAGGGGCAGGGCACAGAGGTCTGGTGCCTCAGGCTAAGTCCAGCCGGGGAGCTGCATGAGCAGGTCCAAATCTTAAACCCGCAATTCCAGAGAAACACTGGGAAGGATGCTGGGAGGTGGACACTCTCCCTGCCTCTCCCTGCATCCAGCCTTGACTCTGCTCCATACACTTTATCCTCAGGTGCGTCCTGGGCCCCCTGAGGACCACCGGGGTTTGGGAGGCAGCAGCAGCGGGGTCGGGGGCTGAGGCCCTCTCCCTTTCCATCAGAACCACTTTTCTTCTTGTTTTACACACTGGCCTTTCAAAGATTTGGACTTTGAACCAAACGTTCCTTAGCTAACCAGATTCTGCCAACCCCAATCTGTCCTGGACGACTGTGGTGGCCCAACTCTGGCAGGAGCCAGCTGGAGGCAGCATCCAGGGCTGCTGTCCATCCAGACCCAGGACCCCGCGCCCACGGGACCCCCAGGAGTGGCCCGGCACAGGGCTAAGGAGGAGCAGGCACTTTGGTAACAAAGTATAAGATGGAATCAAATTAAGTCCCGGCCAATTAAAAATGCAAATGGCAGTTGCCTTGAAGGTCGGACGCAAAGGGCTCTAGTGAGGCTTTATTTTTGGACCAGCCCAGCTGCCATCTAGCCTGCCTGGAATGAGGCCACAGGAGACACCGTCCTTCCTGGGCCACATCTCTTGCCCATCTCAGGGTGGTGGCACATGTGGGGGGGCACGAAGGCAAGGCCAGGAGCAGCCCCCGCCACGAAGCTCACCTGGAGGCACCTTTGCCATCTCCTGGGGGCGAGAAGGAAGCAGGCTCCCACCCCCACGCCATTTCTCACCTAGGAGAGCCCCCGGTCGTTTTCCCACCGTGAACAGATGGGAAGGGCCAGAGTGCGGGGGCGTGCGCTTCATGCCAGACTCTGGGGTCTGGAGGGCCCCTCACTTCCTCAGGTCAGGATGTACAAGGGAGGCAGATCTAGCGGGGGCTGGGGGAACACAGCCTGCACCAGCGGAGATAGGCACAGGGTGGGGCTGTCCTGACTCTGGTATGTCACGGAGACCTCGGGAGAGGGCTGCTGCCTCACCTGGTGGCCCTGGGGCCCAGTGGTGGCCTGAGCTTGGGGTTTCCTGTGGGTGGATGGACAGAGAGGCTCAGGGCTACACACCAGGCTCCAAGTCTACACTCAGATTTAGGACTCCAAACTCAGGGGGCAGAGTGGGCACCATGAAGACATGGCAGCTTCCCCCTCGGGTGGCTCTCCATGGGTCACCTGGCCTCCTGCCCTCCTGGCCCCACTGAAAAACAAACCCATCCCTGTCACTTGTCTGCGCCCTGGGGACAGACAGGGAAGGTAGATGTAGCTGGGATCCTCCCCCTGCAGGCTTCTCCACGGCGCACACCCAGCCCACATATCCCACAGCCCTGCTTTTAGAGCAGCTCAAGCCTCCCAGCATTGCAGTTACCAAGGCGAAGAGGAGCACCGCCACCAGCGCACCGCGAGCTGGCACGGTAGGAGCCGCAGCACAGCTTCTCCAGGGAGACGGAGGTGCCGGCAGCCCGGGAGGGCCACCCACGCGGGCATGCAGTCGGCAAGCTCGGTGCCTGCCGCGTGCACGGGTCTTCACACTCCGGGCCGACCCACGGCCGCCACGCAGCACACTCCCTTCCTATCCCACCCAGCCTTTCCCATGAGGAGCTGCTGCAATGGGGACCTGGGGTAATGGCCAGAATGGGTCCCACTGACGTCCAATACAGCTCCAGGACAAGGACCCCGAGACTGAGGGAAGGGAGGGCGGCTGTCCTGGTTTCTGGAGTGTAGGGGCACAGATACAGAGAGGCCCTTCATGGACAGCACCCCGCTAAGTCTGAAGGTGGCCCCTAGGGCTGAGTTGGCAGGTGCTTCCACCCTGGGGAGACCCTCCAGGCCTGCCCCTAGACGCCAAGAGCAGGAGGTTGAGCCCAGCACATGTGTGTGGACAGGATGACCTCAAAGGAGAGGCTGCAGCATGCAGCCAGGTGGTAACTGTTTTTAACTAGAGAGCGAAAGGGGAGCTGAGCAAAGCAGTGCACCTCTCACCAGGCAAGGTGTCCTCCCCAACGGCACCCCTCTTCCAGGGATGGGAGTGACTGCAGGCCCAGAGGCCCCCCACTCCTGGCTGGGCCGTGGCCTTCCAGCTTTCCTGCCCAAGGAAACAGGCACAGAATCCCTTCCCCGTCAGCCCAGGAGCCAGATGCAGGCCAGGATTAAGGATCTTCAGATTTTAGAGCAGGGAAATGGTGGACACAGAGGCTGTGGCTGGGGGCGGCCTGAAGAATTTCCCAGCAGGAAGTGTATATAAATAATCCCAGAAGTAGGATTAATAAAGATGAGAAGAGTCTCACGTCCATGCGGGACGGGACTTGCTGCCAACTGAATTCTGGTGTCGAACTTGGGCTAAAACTTTGGGGTTTCAGAGCCGTCTGGATTTCAGCCTCTTGGCTAAGTGGCCGTGGGCCTGGGCTGGCAGCTGTCCCCATGGCTCCAGCACAGCATCCACAACTGTGCCCCGAGCTTCGTCCTTCCTCTCACCTTGAAGGAGGGGAAGGACAAAGGGAGAAAGGCCCACTGGGATTGATGGAAGAACAAAGCTCTTCCCAGGACACGGGCTGCTTAGAGCCAGGGGCAGTGCCGACCCCGCGGTCTCCTGATGGGCACACGGCTGCAGCTGGACCCAGGCCTTCTGGGCTCTGTCCCCCGCACCTCCAATGGGAAAACTCTGACACACCGCCCCGTGTTGGGTGCTGCCATCTCTACTACGGTCAGCCACCTCTATATCTACATCTTCACGGTCTCTGAGATCCTGAATGCTGGGGGATGGCTCTTTGCTGTTTCTTCTGCAGTCTTTGCACTGAGGTGATTTTCAAAGACGCCCCTAAATGTCCTCTCGTGACTCCTAGGGAAGGCGGCCAGCCAGGCCCCGTGGTGGGGCCAAGTTGCCTGGGTGGCTGAGGAGCCCATTTCAGATCCCCAGAGAGGAGATGGGGGGGCACTGTAGGCCAGAGGGGGCTCCAGCCCCGGGGGGCCTCCTTCTCAGCCTCTTCCTTCTCTGGGGAGTCCCTCCCAAAATAGTTAAGAAATCCACCATCTCTTTTCTGTGGCCAGGGGCACCTGGCCGCCGTCCACCTGCACACACTCAGGAGTTCTGCCCACGCCATTTGAAACGGACTCTGAAAGGAGACCCCGGAGGCCGGGCCCACCCTCCACAGCGAGACAGCCTCCTCCGTCCGTCCCAGACCCTCCGGCTGGGGAAGCTCACTGGGGGAACGGGGAACGGCTCCCCCGCAAAGGGAGCAGCCTCCCCGCACCGAGTTCTCAGGTCTTTCCTCTCCTCAAGGCACCCGCCGGGCAGGGACCCGCGAGTGCCGCGGACCCGGGGACCCTCCACGCGCGCCGCGGAGCAGGGGAACCGGGAGGCTCCGACGCCCTCGCCCAGCCCAGGTTCAGCACCAGGACGGCGGACAGCACCGGGCGGGGGCGGCCAGCGCGGGGGTCGCCGCGTCCCGAGCCCAAGGGCAGCGTCCGGGCGAGTCCAACGAGGGGCCCGCGGGGCAAGACCCCGGGGAGGGAGGACGCGGGGCTCTCAGACTTGGGGTCCGGGGCCCGGGGCTCGCGCCGGCCGCTCTCCCAGCCGCTATCTCGGGCCGACGCGGGCCCCCCACCGCCCCCGACCCCGCGCCGCGCGGACCCCGCCCGCTCACCTGGTGCCGCGGAGCTGCTGCGCGCAGAGGAGCAGGAGCGGGGCCAGCAGCCGGGCGGGCGCGTCCATGGCCGCGGCGGGCTCGGGACGGGGTCCGCGCAAACTTGGCTCCCGGCGGCCGCACAGGCGGCACAGGCGGGCGGGAGCTGAGCGAGCGCGGCGCGGGCGCGAGGGGGCGGACGGAGCGCGGAGCCCGCCCCGAGCCCGCCCCAGCCCGCCGCTCCCTGCAGCCCGGCCCCGCCCGCCGCTCCCCTCTCCTCCCCCCGCCCCCCGCCCCATCCCGCCCCCCTCCGCCAGCCGCGCCCCCTCCCTCGCGGGCAGCTCTCCCTGGCCGGGGTCTGGCTCTCCGGGACCGCTGCCCTCACGCGCCGCAGACGGGACCCTCCGGGTGTCTTCATGGGAGGCGACACCGGCACAAGCCCCGCGTGGACACTGTGGCCCACGGGCGCGGCAGAACCTCGTCCCGAGGCGGTTTGTGGGGGGTCGCACGTCTGCGTGGCTGCTTCTGGCTGCGCCGGCGGTGGGTGGGGAGGGGGCCAGTCCCTGCAGCTGTCAGGAGAGAGACCCCCACCAGCGGCTGCTTCCAAAACCCTCCTGCCTTCGCGGGAGCTGGGGCCAGGCGACTTTGGGAGCAAGTCCTGATCCCTGGGGACCCTCGACGGGGGCGGGGAGAGGAAAAGCAGGTGGGGGCTGCGCCGCAGGCCGCAGTTCTGACTCTCCACACCTCTCATGGCCCCAGGCCCGCCCTCCACACCCCTAGGATCTGGGAAAGGGAAGGCCTCACACTCTCCTGCCTTGGATCTTTTGAACATAAAGTTGCGCTGCCATTTCCTGAAGCTGCTCACAAACTTTAATCATTGTTGTGTCAGTTATTCACTTCTGGGCTCGCGATGTCGCTGACAGCACAGTGTCAACCCCTCGTGAAAACACTTAAAAATGGCGAAGCTGTCCCCGAGGCTGCGTGCTTCTGGATGAAGGGCCCTGGCCGCACAGGGGCAGGTGGAGGAAAGTGCAGAGAGGGATTTGCTTCGGAATTTCCAGCCCAATCCCTACTGTGGGAAGTGGAAGAATGAGGCTGGTTCCAGTTTGCTTGCTTTATTTATGTTATGTTATGTTATGTTATGTTATGTTATGTTATGTTATGTTATGTTATGTTATTTTTCGAGATGGAATCTGGCTCTGTTACCCAGGCTGGAGCACAATCTCGGCTCACTGCAACTTCTGCCTCCCAGGTTCAAGCAAGTCTCCTGCCACAGCTTCCCGAGTAGGTGGGATTACAGGCACCTGCCACCACGCTCGGTTATTTTTTTGTATCTTTAGTACAGACGGAATTTCACCATGTTGGCCAGGCTGGTCTCGAACTCCTGACCCCGTGATCCGCCCGCCTCGGCCTCCCAAAGTGCTGGGATTACAGGCGTGAGCCACTGCACCCAGCCCTAGCCTGCTTTCTTAAATCAAGGAACGGGGCTCTAACAAGCCCAACAGGTCTCAACTCCAAGGCCCCCTTCCCGGCTGCTCACTGGCCCCTGCCGAGAGGGGTCCTTTGGGTACAGAAGCACTGACCTCCCTGTGTTCCCGGGGTTCCTGTCCGAGCCTGTGCTCTGCACACGTGCCCCTTCCCACGTGTCCCTTCCATGGATTAATTTAGGAGTTAATTCATGAAGAGGTGCCCAGAGCTTGGCCCGGCCCCCGGTGAGAGGCATTATTTTTATTCTTCCCCCTCCAGAACAGGGGTCTTGTCCGTCTTCTCCTTGGTGGTGTATTGGATGAAGTAGGTGCTCAGCAAATGTAGGAGGAGGTGCAGACTCCACATCTGCAAAGTCCATGCACCCACTGCGGCCAGCACGCCATCACTGCCTCCGGACAGTGCCCCGCCCTCCCTGTCTTTCCTTCCTGAGCTTTGGAACTAAGCAGTGAGAGTGGTTCATGGTCGCAATCCCTTCAATATCTGCGAAGAGCTTATCTGAGGATATCTTGGTGCTGATCACCTCTGAGAAGCAGCGTTGATCTTGACTCACTGGATCCGATTCATTCAGGATAAGCCACACCCTATTGCCATTTTCTTCACGCTCCTCTATTATCTGGGGCATAAAATTAACATTCAATTTTCTTCTTTTTCTTTTAAGAGACAAGGTCTTGCTCTGTGGCCCAGGCTGGAGTGCAGTGGCACGATCTCAGCTCACTGTAGCCTCCACCTCCCGGGTTCAAGGGATCCTTGCACCTCAGCTTCTGGAGGAGCTGGGACCACAGAGGCATGTCACTGCACCCAGATAATTTTCTATTTTTTGTAGAGATGGGGTCTCACTATGTTTCCCAGGCTGGTCTCAAACTCCTGGCCTCAAGGGATCCTCCCCCGTGGCCTCCCAAAGTGCTGAGATTGCAGGCATGAGCCTCCGTGCCCAGCCAATGTTGAACTTTTGCTGGAAAGTCGTGCTGTTGTGTGTATGTCAGTTGAAGCTGGGCGGGCATCTTAGCCAAATATCTGGTGGTTTGGTGGCATCAAATTGTCTCCTCTTCCTTCAGTCCTAGAGGCAAATGCATGTCCCATCCATCATTCACAGGTTTCTGCAAGGTTTGAAGTCTGCACACTTCATTTCCATTCTTTATTGTTCCTAACTGGTCTTTCTTTCTTTCTTTCTTTTTCTTTCTTTCTTTCTTTTTTGTTTTTGAGATGGAGTTTCGCTCTTGTTGCCTAGGCCGGAGGGCAGTGGCACTATCTCAGCTCATTGCAACCTCCACCTCCTGGGTTCAAGCAATTCTCCTGCCTCAGCCTCCCAAGTGGCTGGGATTACAGGCGCCTGCGACCATGCCCAGCTAATTTTTGTATTTTTAGTAGAGACAGGGTTTCACCATGTTGGCCAGGCTGGTCTCGAACTCCTGACCTCAAGTGATCGGCCCACATCGGCCTCCCAAAGTGCTGGGATTACAGGCGTGAGCCACCACACCCGGCCTCCTAACTGATGTTTCAGTTTGGATCTGAAGAACGGGAATTTTCATAATTTCTTTTTCAAGGTTTTTGAGAATTAGTTTGTTGCCATTTCCGAACTTCCATCCCATTGTGATGTGCATAACCAGTCGGCTTCCTTAGCCTCATCCTCCACCCAGGGAAGCTCCGACCACGCCAGCACCAGGAAGGCCAGCCGGGGAGCAGCCTGGCCCAGGGGTCAGGAGCCGGGGCCTGTGTGACTGGGGCCTGTGTGGCTGGCACCTGGTGGATGTGAGCCCCAGGACAGGGAGTTTCTGTGCCCATGAGATGGAAGCAGCTCACTTCTTGGCCCCTTTCAAGAATCTGGGAAGAGCTCCAGGAGTCAGAGGTCTGGGTGCCAGTCCCAGCTCTGCTCCAAACTGGCCGTGTGACCTCAGCGAAGTTATTTCCCAGTTTTGTTTTCTTCTTTTACAAAATGACAGGGTGAGAGTCGTGATTGGTTTTCTTAGTGTCAGAAGTGCTGAACTCTGTTAGAAAGCGTCTCAGGTTGTTTTGTTTGACAGTGACTACCCACTTTGCAGAGACCTGGGCTGCCCGCTCTCTGGGGAATACTGGAGGTTATGCCCCATCTCCTGTCCTGTGGGAGAACCCACCCTCCGAACGAGGCTCTGGTGAGGTTTTCACAATCAGTAACAAGGCCGATCTCCATCAATGGAAGTCTCCCCGTTTGAGATGGGGTGTGTGCTCCTTACCCAGGCTCCTGAACAAAACCCACCTCCTTGTCTTGGCACCACTGAGAGTGCACACCGAGGGGGCTCCAGCACCAGATTGTGGGAACAGTCACGAGAAAGCAGCTCAGACTTCACACCCAGAGCCCTTGATCCCTACACACCCAGTATTCCTTCACAGCGCTCTTCCTGCTTCCTGGACACGTGGAACTGCTTCTCCATCGGGGAGGATCCATCCAGAGCCCTTTGGGTGGGTGCTCAGGGCAATAGCTGCTGCCTCTTCCTTCTGCTCAGTGCTGGGAGGCGTTACACTTTCCCCATATGGCACGGAGCAGAACGTGCACCTTTGGCTCTGGAAGGAATGAACATCCTACCCGTTAGTTAGCCCTGGGAGTCACTGACTCGGTTCTTCCCTGGACACCAATGTCCTATGGAGCACACAGAAAGCCACGGAAGTGTGGTCTGCGGGTTGAGGTGGGTATTCAGATGCCAGCCTGCAGCCCACTTACATTGTTTCTTTTGGACTGACACCTTGCCGGATGCTCAGATGCCCACAGCGCAGGGGAAGGGACGGCCTAGAGTCCGAGGCGTGGGCAGGGAGCTGGCCCCCGTCCATTGCTGCAGCTCCGCAGCAGCAGGACAGCCCTGGGAGGTGGAGGTGAGTCACCGGGACCTGGGAGAGGAAACGGCGCTCGCTAAATTTAAACCTCCTTCCTGATGTATTTGTGAGGTTGTTCTGTTACTTTCCTGGGGAAATGCACCAAACAGAGAAAATGGCAGGGACACAGAGAAGAACGTTATCGAGTTAGGTGGTAATTATTAATCCTGTGATTTTCAGACGGACTCCGTTCATGTGGATAAGCAGAGGAAATTTGGCAGAAACGACCAAATGCAAAATACGTGTAGCAGCCTGAGACCGGCCGTCTACTGAAACAAAGGATGCAGTTCAGTCGGAAACCACGCTTAGCTGAGTAGCTGTCTTTAGCCATCCAGGCCCTGAGAACCAATGAACAACCCAGCTTGGCCGCTTAGAACATTTTTTCTATACTTGAGTTAAATAGATATCCAAGAACCATTACTCGTTTTTAATGTGGAGAAGTCGGTATTCTATTCTCGTGTTCTATGTTTTTTAAAGTGGCAATTTGAATTATTTCGTGCGATAGAAAACCTTAAACACAAAGTAACGTTTCTAACAAAAGGGCTGTCGATCAAGTGACAAACACGTCCTACTTTTAGATACAAGCACGACTGAGGCAACGGCACGAAGACGCCTAAAGTGGGCTGCTGGGGAGACAAGATCTGGCCGCGAATGGAACTCGCGGCAGCTCATTAACGGGACCGTCCAGCAGGAAGGTGGGTTGGCAGCCTTCTCCCAGGGCTCCCCACGATCCCTACCCCTGGTGTGGCGTGGCCTTCCTCCTCACATGTCGTCTGGACCAAGCAGTGTGTTGTTCTCATCCATAAAGAGTGATGGGCCGGGCACGATGGCCACACCTGTGATCCCAGCACTGTGGGAGGCTGAGGCGGGAGGATCTCCTGAGCCCAGGAGTTTGACACCAGCCTGGGTAGCATAGGGAGACCCTGTCTCTACAGAAAAAAAGTTAGCCAGGTATTCCAGAGGCTGAGGTGGGAGGATCGCTTGAACCCAGGAGGTGGAGACTGCAGTGAGCCGTGATCGCACCACTGCACTCCAACCTGGGCAACAGACTGAGACCCAGTTTCTAAAACAAATAATAAAAAGGCAGGGTGCAGTGGCTCATACCTGTAATCCCAGCACGTTGGGAGGCCAAGGTGGGCGGATCACTTGAGGTCAGGAGTTCGAGACCAGCTGGCCCACATGGTAAAACCCCATCTCTACTAAAATGCAAAAATCAACCGGGCACAGTGGCACACGCCTGTAATCCCAGCTCTTCAGGAGGCCGAGGCAGGAGAACTGGGAGGCAGAGATTGCAGTGAGCTGAGATCGTGCCACTGCACTCCAGGCTGGGTGACAGAGCTAGACACCATCTTGAAAAAAAATAAAAGTTAAATAAAAAGAGTGATGAGGCATCCTGAGATTCATTTATAAAATGCCGTGATTCAGGTCTCAGGGCACTGTCGCCCCTACTCACTTTGATGAAGCCAGTGCTGGGTTGCTGCTGAGGTGGGGAGGTTCATGGGCCAGGAACTGAAGGCAGCCATGAGAGCCAGACCCCTCCACCACCCCCAAGACAGCAGGGAACTCACTCCAACAGCCACCCTGGGATGCTGCCACAGCTGAGCCTGGAGGTGACCGTGACCCTGGCTGACGTCGGACTGCAGCTTTGTAAGGGAGACTGAGCCGGGACCCAGACCTACAAAAGCTGAGATGATAAACACTGTTTTAAGCTGCTGTGTGTCGCAGTGACTCGTGTGGTAGTGGATTTCTAGCAGAGCCGTCGTTCGTGTCTGCCTTCTCTCAGCTCAACACTCTGTAGGGCCACCCATGCCGTTGTGCATGTCAACGGTGGATTTTTTATTGCGAGTAATATTTCATTCCATTGCATGCTCACACCTCGGTTTGTTTAACTGTCTACCTGTTGATGAGCTCTGGGACATATGCAGTTCTGGGCTATTATGAGTAAAGCTGCTTTTAACATTTAAATACAAGTCTGTGTATGGACACATGTTTTCGTTTCTTTTGAATAAATATGTGTGGGATTACTGGGTTTCAAGGGGACTGTATGTTTAAGTTGGTAAGAAGCTGCCAATCTGCTTTCTTTTCTTTCTTTCTTTTTATCTTTTTGAGATGGAGTCTCACTCTGTCACCCAGGCTGGAGTGCAGTGGCGTGATCTCGGCTCACTGCAACCTCCGCCTCCCGGGTTCAAGAGATTCTCCTGCCTCAGCCTCCCGAGTAGCTGGGATTACAGGCGCACACCACCACACCCGCCTAATTTCTGTATTTTTAGTAGAGATGGGGTTTCACCATGTTGGACCAGGCTGGTCTCGAACTCCTGACCTCAGGTGATCCGCCCACTTCAGCCTCCCAAAGTGCTAGGATTACAGGCATGAGCCACCGCACCTGGCCTCCAATCTGCTTTCCAAAGTGGCTGTACTTTGTACTCCCTGCAGTAGTATGTGAGAGTTTAAGTTGCTCCAATGCTGATCAACACTTGACATTGGAAGTCTTTAAGTTTGACCATTTTATGACTGTGTGGAGGTATGTCATTGTGGGTTTAACATGCACTTTCTTTTCTTTAATTTTTTTTTTTTTTGAGACAGAGTCTCACTGTGTCATCCAGGATAGAGTGCAGTGGCGAGACCTTGGCTCGCTGCAACCTCCACCTCCCAGGTTCAAATGATTCTCCTGCCTCAGCCTCCTGAGTAGCTGGGATTACAGGCTGGCACCACCACGCCCGGCTAATTTTGTATTTTTAGTAGAGACGGGGTTTTGCCATGTTGGCCAGGCTGGTCTTGAACTCCTGACCTCAAGTGATCCACCCGCCTCAGCCTCCCAAAGTGCCGGGATTACAGGAGTGAGCCACCATGCCCAGCTTTTTAAAAATTTTTATTTTATTTTATTTTATTTTATTTTATTTTGTTAAATAGAGATAGCATCTCACTACGTTGCCCAGGCTGGCCTCAAACTCCTGGGTTCAAGCAACCCTCCTGCCTCAGCCTCCCAAAGTGCTGGGATTAGCGGAGTGAGCCACCTCGTCTGGCCAGCACGCATTTGCTGAATGGCTAATAGGCATCTTTTTATGTGCTTATTTATTTGAGTAGCTTTTGGTGACGTACGTGTCTGTTCAAATCTTTTAAAAGCCTAATGTTTTTAAAAATGAAGTTGTCAATCTCTCTTATTATTAAGAGTTTTTTCTATATTTTAGGTGCATGTCTGTTGTTGGATATATGTTTCGCAAACACCTTCTCCCAGTCTAAGGCCTGCTGATGCATTTTCACAACAGTATCTTTTGAAGAAACAAAGTTTGCAATGCTGGCGATATGGCCCTGTTTCTGTATGGGCCGCGCCCCACCCTGGCTCCCCTTCCACCCTGGCTCCCCTTTCCTGTGTGGTGGCCAGGACGCCTTCCTAGGCAAGTAGCTGGTGTCCTCGGAGGGCGCACCTCACCCATTTCCCCGCTGTCAGGATCTTGCCCTTGGCTCCCTCATGTCCCATCACTTGGGGGCTGTTGTCTCAAATATTTTGCTGAGTCTTTCAGTTGTTTCAGGCGTGAGGCAAACCTGTCCCTGTTACTCCATCTTGGCTGGAAGTAGAAACTTACCTTCATTTAAAGAACAAAATTAAATTAAGCCAGGCGAAGTGGCTCACACCTGTAATCCCAGCACTTTGGGAGGCAGAGGCGGGCAGATCACTTGAGGCCAGGCATTCGAGATCAGCCTGGCCAACATGGTGAAACCCCGTCTCTACTAAAAATACAAGAAGAAATTAGCCAGGTGTGTGGGAGCACGCCTGTAATCCCAGCTACTCAGGAGGCTGAGGCGGGAGAATCGCTTGAACCTGGGAGGCGGAGGTTGCAGTGAGCTGAGATCCCGTCGCTGCACTCCAGCCTGGACGACAAGAGTGAGACTCGGTCTCAAAAAAAAAAACGCAAAAAACAAACCAGCTGTACTGAGATAGGATTCACACAGCATCAACTTGCCTTCGCTTTGGAAAGTCATTTTCTCCCTGGGCGCGGTCGCTGGGGTCCTGGCACTGGGGCTCGTCTGGCCATTTCTTCTCCCAGCACTTCCAAGTCGCTTCTTGTCTTCTGGCTTCATGGTTTCTCGCAGGAAGTTTGCTGCCGTTTCTTTGCTGCACTTTATGAAATGTGTGTCTTTACACTCATGGTTGTAAAGAGTTTTTCCTTCTCGTTTTCATCAGTTTGGCTGCTGGCCATCTTGGTATGATTTTCTTTTTCTTTTTTTGAATAAATTGTATTCAACCTAGGTTATGTTGCAGCTCACCCCTCGTTACCAGTCTGGCAGCCAAGGAGGGTGGGGACAGGCCCTGAAGGGAGCCCTGTTGTCTTTCTGGGAAGACTCTGCAGTCTTCCTATACTTAGGGGGTGGGGGGCACAGGGTGCCAGCTCTTCCTCGGGAGGCATGAGTCTCCTCTGCAGGCTCTGAGGTTTCAGAAGAATCTGGGCAGCCAAAGCATTCAGGAGCATCCACCCAGATATCCCTGCCCCACGTATCAAGGCACCAGCTCATCTCAACCCAGACCTGGGCGTTGACACAGCAACCTGGCTTTGACTGAGAGTTGGTCGTCTTTGAAATTCAACTACGGGAACTCTCCAGGCCTCGTCGTGGTTTCCAGCATTTCCTTTTCTGCCACGGAGGGGACAAGGACCTCTCTGGCTTTCATGCTTAGTGTCGATGGCTGTTTGACCGTCTGAAACTTTTCATGATGCCTCTCTAGAGTGGGTTTTTGTTTGTTTGTTTGTTTGTTGTTGTTGTTGCTGTTGTTTTGAGACGGAGTCTCGCATTGTCACCCAGGCTGGAGTGCAGTGGCACAATCTCGGCTCACTGCAAGCTCCGCCTCCTGGGTTCACGCTATTCTCCTACCTCAGCCTCCCGAGTAGCTGGGACTACAGGCGCCGGCCACCACGCCCAGCTAATTTCTTTTTGTATTTTTAGTAGAGATGGGGTTTCACTGTGTTGGCCAGAATGGTCTCGATCTCCTGACCTCGTGATCCGCCCACCTCAGCCTCCCACAGTGCTGGGATTACAGGCGTGAGACACCGCGCCCGGCCTAGAGTGTTAATGCAACTTAATATCAGCCAGACCCCTGTACTGTTCTTAATATTGGCCAGAACGCCGTACTTGTACGCACCCTGGGCACCCTCCCAAGCACACATCTTTCTCAAATGCCTGAACCACTGCACCAGCCGCCGTCCTCCCAGGGCACTACAGGGAGAGCTTTACCTCGTGCAGGGCATCCATGTGCCACCCAGGATGGGATCCCATTGCCAGCTGGGCAGTGAGTGATCCAGCTCCAAACCCCATCGTGCCATCTGCCTTCTCAGACCATTCCTGGCACCACCTGTGCCTCTTTGTGCCCTCCAGTAAGCAGACCATGCAATGAAATCAGGAATGCAAAAGACTTGTTGAGAGCTCACACCTATGAAAGATCAAGGCAGAGTTGGGGAACCAGGCTGAGAAAGCCTTCAGGCCACAATACCCGTCCAACGTCTGTGAAAGAAAATTGGGAGGAAACAGAATCGGGCTGGGAGAGCCCGACCGCAATGCAAATCTCTCAACATTTTGGCCAACCCAGTGGAGGGGCATGGCAGGGCTCTGCAGCAGAGAATGCCCAGTGTCCACCAGGAGTCCCGTCTCAGGGGCCAGGGCTGCCCAGTGCCCCTGCGTGCTCAGTCATGGGCCAGGGGCCACCCAGAGAGTGTGCTCTGCTCAAACGCTGTTGCCGGTCCCTGCGGCACGGCTGAAAGCTGGAGGCTCCCTGCACGCCTCACAGCTGAACGCAAATCCATGCTCCAGTGAAGATGGAAGTGGCGCCCCTAAGGCTGCCACAACATTTCGGAATGGTAACTTAGTATCCAGCACCCTCCAAAGGTGGCCGGTGAGGGTTTTATTTTATTTTTAGAGGCAGGGTCTCGCTCTGTTGCTCGGCTGCAATGCAGTGGCATGATCACAGCTCACTGCAGCCTTGACCTCCGGAGCTCAAGCGACCCTCCTGCCTCAGCCTCAGGAGTAGCTGAGACTACAGGCACATGCCACCACACCCAGTTTTTTTTTGTTTTTGAGACGGAGTCTCGCTCTGTCACCAGGCTGGAGTGCAGCGGTGCGATCTCAGCTCACTGCAAGCTCCTCCTCCCGAGTTCAAGCGATTCTCCTGCCTCAGCTTCCTATGTAGCTGGGAATACAGGTACGCACCACCACACCCAGCTAATTTTCGTGTTTTTAGTAGAGACGGTTTCACCATGTTGTCCAGGATGGTCTCGATCTCTTGACCTCATGATCTGCCTGCCTCGGCCTCTCAAAGTGCTGGGATTACAGGCGTGAGCCACCGTGCCCAGCATTTTTTTTTTTTCTTTGAGACAAAGTCTCACTCTGTCACCCAGGCTGGAGTGTAATGGCACAATCTCAGCTCACTGCAACCTCCACCTCCCGGGTTCAAGTGATTCTCCTGCCTCAGCCTCCTGGGTCCCTGGGACTACAGGCACCTGTCACCATGCCTGGCTAATTTTTGTATTTTTAGTAGAGATGGGGTTTCACCATGTCAGCCAGGCTGGTCTGGAACTCCCAACCTTGTCATCTGCCCGCCCCAACCTCCCAAAGTGCTGGGATTACCGGCGTGAGCCACTTCACCCGGCTCCAGATAATTTTTTTAAATTATTTTTTATAGAGCCGGGGTCTCACTATGTCGCCCAGGCTGAATGAACTCGTGGACACTAATATATTTGAAGTGCTTCAATCCACTGCAATTTACTTTTCCTTTTGATACTCAGTTGATGCTTACTTTCGCCAGTGAGAGCCCCTTCAAACTGGCAAATGGATCCTCCGAGACAAACTAGAATCTGTGTTAATTTTCCTGCTTGCTGTTATGATGAGATGTTCTGGGGTCATCTTGTATGTTTTCTGCCTCATGTCTGAAATCCGTCATTTTTCCAAGAAGCCATGGTTTCTTTTCAAGGGAAATGGCAGGAAGAAACAATGGTCTGTGTGCTCCTCGCACCGGGACTGGTGACCGTTTGTAGTCCAGCACAATCCCAGGAATGAGGGTCCTTGTTTCATGTCTGTGCTGTCCACTGGGGTAGCCACCGGCCACAGAGGACTACTCAGCACCTGCAATGTGGCTACTGCCACTGAGGAATGCAATTTTACATTTTATTTGATTTAATTTTTTTTTTGGACAGAGTTTTTGCACTGTTGCCCAGGCTAGAGTACAGTGGTACAATCTAGGCTCACTGCAACCTCCGCCTCCCGGGTTCAAGTGATTTTCCTGCCTCAGCCTCCCGAGTAGCTGGGATTACAGGTGCCCACCACCACGCCCAGCTAATTTTTGTATTTTTAGTAGAGACGGGGTTTTACCATGTTGGTCAGGTTGGTCTCGATCTCCTGACCTCAAGTGATCCATCCACCTTGGCCCTGCAAAGTGCTGGGATTACAGGTGTGAGCCACTGCGCATGGCCTGATTAAAACTTTTTAATGTGGTAAAATATACACAAAACTTAACCACCTTCCCTGTATTACTTATTTGTTTTTTCTTTTTCTTTTTTTTTTTTTTTTGAGATGGAGTCTTGTTCTGTCGCCCAGGCTGAAGTGCAGTTGCACATCTCAGCTCACTGCAACTCAAGGATTTCTTGAGGCCAGGAGTTCTACACCAGCCTGGAAAAGATAGTGAGACCTCATCTCTGCAAAAATAAAAATAAAAATGACCAGCTACACGGGAGGCTGAGGCAGGAGAATGGCATGAACCTGGGAGGTGGAGCTTGCAGTAAGCTGACATTGCGCCACTGCACTCCAGCCTGGGCGACAGAGCGAGACTCTGTCTCAAAAAATAATAATAATAAAATAAAATAGAAATGAATTAGCTGGGCATGGTGGTATACACATGTAGTCCCCGCTGCTTGGGAGGCTGAGGTGGGAGGCTCTCTTGAGCGCAGGAGGTGGAGGCTGCGGGGAGCCATGATGGAGTCGCCGCACTCCAGTCTGGGGAACAGAGCCAGACATTGTCTCTTTGAAAAAGTTACTTTCTGAGGCCAAGGCGGGCAGATCACTTGAGCTCAGGAGTTCGAGACCAGCCTGGCCAACATGGTGAAACCCCATCTCTACTAAAAATACAAAAAACTAGCCAGGCATTGAGGCTCATGCCTGTAATCTCAGCTACTTGGGAGGCTGAGGCAGGAGAATTGCTTGGATCCAGGAGGTGGAAGTTGCAGTGAGCCAAGATCACTCCATTGCACTCCAGCCTGGGTGACACAGCGAGACTCTGTCTAAAAATAAAAATAAAAAGTCACTCAAAATTATCCTTTTTTGTATGGCTAACCCCCCCACATGCCATACAATTAGGTTCATTTGTTTCATTCTGTCTCCAAGTTTTAGATGCTTTTCTATTTTGATTTATTTTTGGTTTTCTAATTACACAGTTCTATAACTGAATGTAAGCACATTTAAAGAGATCTACTTTCTATTCCTGTGTCCTTCTGCCCCAGATAGTAACCTTTTTAATGTAAAAATATATATATATTCTTATTGCCACTGCTCCTTCTTACATAAATACTATACACACTTTTCTGCATCTTGATTTTTTTTTTTTTTTGAGACAGGATCTCACTTGTCACCCAAGCTGGAGTGCAGTGACACAGTCACAGCTCAGGGCAGCATCAATCTCCCAGGCTCAAGAGGTCCTCCCACCTCAGCCTCCCGAGTAGCTGGGGCTACAGGTGTGCACCGCCATGGCCGGCTAATTTTTTTTGTATTTTTTTAGAGTCAGAGTTTCACCATGTTGCCCAGGCTGGTCTCAAACTCCTGGACTCAAGCGATCCTCCCACCTTGCCCCCCAAAGTGCTGGGATTAGAAGCGTGAGCCGCTGCACCTGGCTGGATTTTTTTTTTCTTTTTTGAGATGGGGTTCACTATGTTGCCAGGGCTGGAGTACAGTGGTACAATCATAGCTCACTGTAGCCTCAAACTCCTGGGCTTGAGCAATCCATCCTGCAGCTTCCCAAGTAGCTGGGACTACAGGCTCAAGCCACCATGCCTGGCTCAATTTTTTTTACTTAACAATATGTTCTGGAGTCACTCCACAGCAGAACATAGAAATAAATGGTCCTTATACCTTCTTTACAGCTGACCTCCATCGTGTAGCTGTTCCACAGCTTCCTTAACCAACCAGTTCCATGGACACGGGGCTGTTCTCAGGCTGTCACTGTCCTTTCCTTCTTTCCTAGACAGTATATATATATATATAGAGAGAGAGAGAGAGAGAACGAGAGAGAGAGAGAGAGAGAGAGTTGGAGTCTCGCTCTGTTGCCCAGGCTGGAGTGCAGTAGTGTGATCTTGGCTCACTGCAAACTCTGCTTCCTAGGTTCAAGTGATTCTCCTGTGTCAGCCTCTCGAGTAGCTGGGATTACAGGCATGCGCCACCACGCCCAGCTAGTTTTTGTATTTTAGTAGACAGGGGTTTCACCATGTTGGCCAGGCGGGTCTCGAACTCCTGACCTCAGGTGATCCACCTGCCTTGGCCTCCCAAAGTGCTGGGATTATAGGCGTGAGCCACTGTGCCCGGCCCTTTCCTAGAAAGTATATTAACAGTTCATTGGGAAAGGTCCAGGGAGGCAAAGTTGATAAGGAAGAAGCCCTATCATTTCCGTGGAGTCGGGAAGAAGTATAATCTCTCTTATAAAAGCGAACCTGGGCTGGTAATGGTGGCTTGGTTCTATTCCTCAGATTCTGAGGAGGAAAGCGATCTGGCACTGCGGAAGGTGGGTGAGTGCAGAGGTGCTGTGGTGTCACCCAGCTACTTTCCACAGCCATTCTCACGGGTGCTGGGCATTCTGCAAGGTGTCTTGCCTCTGATGGATCAGGTTATGGGCCAGGATAAAACCAAAGGACCTCCCAGGCCTCACTGTGGCATCAGGAGCCGGCCACCCTGCAAGCCCTACACATGGCGGGCTGAAAGACTGCCAGGGTAGGGGACGCGTCCAATTCACTCGTGAGCCCAGTTCTTGGCATAGAGTGGCCCGGTGAGAGACCACTCCCTTTCCTCACACTCCCATGTCTCCATTGCAAACGGCCCCCACGGACCAGCGGTGCGAGAAGAGGCTCCGGTGTAACAGGATGCACAGTGAGATGGGCTGGGCAGCGGGGGATGGGGACTGTGGGAAAGGCAATGGGGAACGTCGGAACCGGCTTGGCATGTTGGGCCCATCTTCCGTTTTGTTTTTTGTTTGTTTGTTTGTCTTGAGACAGAGTCTCGCTCTGTCGTTCAGGCTGGAGTGCAGTGGCGCAATCTTGGCTCGCTGCAACCTCCACCTCCCGGGTTCAAACGATTCTCCTGCCTCAGCCTCTGGGGTAGCTGGGACTGCAGGTGTGCGCCACCACACCCGGCTAATTTTTGTATTTTTAGTAGAGACAGGGTTTCACCATGTTGACCAGGATAGTCTCGAACTCCTGACCTCAAGTGATCTGCCCAACTCAGCCTCCCAAAGTGCTGGGATTACAGGCATGAGCCACTGTGCCCAACCGGGTTTTTGCTGTTTTTAATTTTGAAACAGGGTCTTGATTTCGCTCAGGCCAGAGTGTGATGGCACCATCATAGCTCACTGACTTTGCTATTTACTTTTACAATTTTTCAGTTGGAGCCTTTGCTGGAACATAACATTCAGAAGTCTTTTTTTTTTTTTTTTTTTTTTTGAGCCGGAGTCTCACTCTGTCATCCAGGCTGGAGTGCAGTGGTACGATCTTGGCTCACTGCAACCTCCTCCTCCTGGATTCAAGCGATTCTCCTGCCTCAGCCTCCTGAGTAGCTGGGATTACAGGCAGCTGCCACCATGCCCTGCTAATTTTTGTATATTTAGAAGAGACGGGGTTTCACCATGTTGGCGAAGCTGGTCTCGAACTCCTGACCTCAAGTGATCCGTCCACCTCGGCCTCCTAAATTGTTGGGATGACAGGTGTGAGCCACCGCGCCCAGCCCGATCTTCCATTTGCAAGAGAAGAGGAAAATCCCCATTTTCACGGGAAACCTCCTAGTTTTTTAGGTTGACAAACGACTCCAAACCATCATGCACCCGCCCCGGTCCTCTGGGCCAACGCGCCGGTGCTGAGCTCCTCCAGGCCCCCCAAGTCTGTCTGTCACCTCCAAGCCTTGGCCCTGGGCCAGGCCTGGCTGTCTGGGACCCCGGAGACGTCCCCGCCCCGCGGCCTGTGGCCTGGCCCTTCAGCCGCGCCTCGGGGCCCGCGACCTCCTTGCCCCGGCCCCGGCCCGCGCGGTCGGTGGTGGGTCGGACCAAACCACCCGCTCCAGCCGGGGAGCAGAACGGGCGAGGCTCCCCCTCCGGCCACGATGGAGTCTTCCGTTGCCATGGAGCTGCCCGCCCCAAACCACGCCGCCGGCGCCGCGGAGGGCAATCGCCAAGGACCGCCGCCTGCCTGAGCAGCCCGGGGTGTCTGTGCCTCCGGAGCCCGAGAACCTGGGACCCAGGCCAGCCAGAGGTGGGTGTGGGGGCGGATGCGTTTGACCCTGGGGCTGAGCTGGAAGGGTTTGACCCCCGCCCCCCAGGCAGAACTCCGTCCCATATGAAACGCCTTTCCCGGAAAGCTGTGCCAGAAAAATGACTTTGTTAATAGTTCTAGTCCCTGGTTCGTTTCAGGGAACCCCGGCGCTGGCACAGCCTCTGTTGAGGGACCCGCCCCTGACTTTGCAGCAGATGTTATAATAAAGTATTATTATAACACATTTACAAAAACATTAAACAAAAATCAAGGGCCAGCCTGTCTGGTGAACAGTTAAGACTCGTGAGTGTCTGCCTAGCTAAAAAGGAGAGCATGGTCCATAGCCCCAAAGTCATTTAGTTTTAGTATGTATAACCTAGTTTTGGAAGCTGATTTGCCTCTAGTATTTTGTTTTTCTTAAAGGAATACTCCTTTTATCTGCATAAGCCAGGTACTGAGGTAGTAAGCAGGCCTGCTGTAGGGCCCACAGTTGAAAAGAAATGGACTGATATTCTCTGCATAACGATGGTGCATAAATGCGCATGTGCGACTTAGAGATTGGTTATAAATCGAACATCAGTAGCCACTACCCAAGTTAAGAAATAGAACCTCATCAGCACCCCAAAGTCTCTCCCCCATGCCACTCACAGACCCGCTCTTCTTGACCATGGCTGACTTTTTCTTTAGTTTTACTACCTATGCATGCGTCCCTAAACAATATAGTTAACTTTCACTTATTTTAAACTTTATATAAACTTTATATTTATATAAAATTTTAAAGATGATATATAAATTTCTTTAGTTTTACTACCTATGCATGTGTCCCTAAACAATATAGTTAACTTTCACTTATTTTAAACTTTATATAAACTTTATATAAAATTTTAAAGAATATATGTGGTGTTATATAAACAATATATAATATAAATATATAGACTATATATAATGCCACATATAGTTTTATGTAAGTTTAATAATATATATTAAACTTCATATAATACTACATATATTCTTTAAATTTTTGTTTTTTTGAGACAGAGTCTCACTGTGTTGCCCAGGTTGGAATGCAGCAGGGCGATCTCGGCTCACTGCAACCTCCACCTCCTGGGTTCAAGCGATTCTCCTGCCTCAGCCTCCCAAGTAGCTGGGATTATAGCATGCCTGGCTAATTTTTGTATTTTTAGTATAGACGGGGTTTCCGCGTGTTGGCCAGGATGGTCTTGAACTCCTGATCTCAAATGATCCACCCACCTCCGCCTCCCAAAGTGCTGGAATTACAGGCGGTGAGCCACCACACCCAGCCAACTTTCATTTATTTTAAATTTTATATAAATTTATTTATATAAAATTTTAAAGAATATGTGTGGTATTATATAAGGTTTATATAAGTTTAATAATATATATAAACTTTATGTAATACCACATACATTCTTTAACATTTTTTGAAACAATCCCAAACTTGTATAAAAGTTGCAAGCTCAGCACAAAAAAACTTCTCGTGAAGGATTTGAGAGTAAGTTGCCTTCATGATGCTCTGTCGCCCCCCACCCTTGTAGAGTGTATTTTCCACAAACGAGGACATTCTCCAACACAGCCACACATGGCCCGAGTCAGGAGAGGACACAGGCCTGTTGCCGTGTTTACCCCTCAGCCTGTCAAACACGCTTTGCCAGTTGATTGCATCAGGGCCCCAGCGTGGAAGGATCCAGCCTAGAGTCACTTTGCACTGAATTCTCACATACCTCTTTATTCCCCTTCAGTCCAGAACATTCCTTGGCCTTGCTTTGGCTGTCATGACCCTGACACCTCTGAAGGTCATGGGCCAATTACTTTGGAGAAAGTCCCTCCATTTGGTTTCGTCTGCTGTGTCCTCGTGATTAGATTCCCACTGCACGTCTCGGACAGGAAAGTCGCAGAGGTGACACCGTGGCCTGTTCATTCCATCCAGTCAGTGGCTCACAGTGGTCACGTTGTCACGTTACTGATGATGTTCACTTTGAGCTCTTGATTAAGGTGGTATCTGCCAACATCTCCACTGGGAAGTTCTTTTTTCCTTCGTAATTAACAAGCATTTTGGCCGGGTGCAGTGGCTCACGCCTGTAATCCCAGCACTTTGGGAGGCTGAGGAGGGCGGATCACGAGGTCAGTAGATCGAGACCATCCTGGCTAACACGGTGAAACCGTCTCTACTAAAAATACAAAAATTAGCCAGGTGTGGTGGCGGTTGCCTGTAGTCCCAGCTACTCGGGAGGCTGAGGCAGGAGAATGGCGTGAACCCAGGAGGCGGAGTTTGCAGTGAGCCGACCCTGCGCCACTGCACTCCAGCCTGGGCGACAGAGCGAGACTCCGTCTCAAAAAAAAAAAAACAAAATGAAAAACAAAACAAAACAAAAACACAAGCATTTTGTAGGAGGTATTTGGAAGCTATGCAAATATGTCATCACTCCCAGGCTTGGCCTGGGAGGCTCTCATGGTGGACACCTTCTTCTCCTGCCTGGGCTCTGATACCCTCTGCTGGACCACACCTGGGGCCGCCCTCTTTCTTCTCAGGCTCTGACATCCAGCTCTGAGCCTCAGCCACGCACACCGGCACCCTCCTCACCCAGCCAGGCACCTGCAAACAGCTCTGAGCCTCAGCCACATACCCTCACCCTCCTCACCCAGCCAGGCTCCGACAGCCCAGCCTGGGCCACTGTGGATCCTGCTCCACCTGCCCTACCCAGGGAACCTACTGTGACAGTGAAGGGAAGGGGGAGAGGAAGAGCATCAGGCGGGCCTCTGTCTTTTTCTCCTCGGGGTTGTGCGAGAGATTCATCCACACAGTGGCACCGTGGCCATCGGGGCTGTCTCTAAGCCTCAGGACCTGAGAATATGACCTTATTTGGACTTACAGTGATGCCTGTAAGTAGCTAAGAGGAGGACATACTAGAATAGGGTGAGTGCCTCATCTGGTATGACCGGTGTCCTTATAAAAAGGAGAAATTTGGACATACAAATGCACACAGAGAGAATGTCCTATGAAGATTGGAATTTTGCTGCCACAAGCCACAGAACTAGCAGAAGCTAAAAGAGAGGCCTGAAACAGGCCCTTCCCTCGTGCCTTCAGAGGAAGCATGGCCCTGCCATCAACTCGGTTTTAGACGATGGCTTCCAGAACCGTGAGACAACTCTGTTGTTGAAGCCACCTAGGTTGTGGTACTTTGTTATGGCGACCCCGGGAAGCTAACACAACAGGTGGGATTTTCTGTAGGGTGTGCTCCTGGGAGAGGAATCGCAGAGCCAGAGGGTGCCATAGGCAGGATGATCTCCCCCTTCCCCAAAAAACCCATGTCCTGGTCCTCCGAACCCATGCGCGTGTTAGGGGACGTGGCACGTCCTTAACTGTGAAGTGCCTGTTGACGTCTTTTGCCCATTTTGCTGTGGGGCTGTCTGTCTTTATCCATTCATGGATATTCCTTACATGGTCTTGACAGTAAAATTCTGGGTTATGTGCTGTGATTGTCTTCTACTTTGTAGGTTTTCTTTTTTCTTTTTTTTGAGATGGAGTCTCGCTCTGTCGCCCAGGCTGGAGTGCAGTGGCACGATCTCAGCTCACTGCAACCTCCACCTCACCAGTTCAAGCAACTCTCCTGCTTCAACCTCCTGAGGAGCTGGGACTCCAGGCGCCTGCACCACACCTGGCTAATTTTTTGTATTTTTAGTAGAGACGGGGTTTCACCGTGTTAGCCAGGATGGTCTTGATCTCCTGACCTCATGATCCGCCCGCCTCAGCCTCCCAAAGTGCTGGGATTACAGGCGTGAGCCACCGCGCCCGGCCTGTAGGTTTTCTTTAACTTTCCCTAGGATGTCATCTGAACAAAAGATTTGGTTTTGTTTATTTGTTTGAGACAGAGTCTTGCTCTGTCGCCTAAGCTGTAGTGCAGTGGCACAATCTTGGCTCACTGCAACCTCCTCCTCCCAGGTTCAAAGGAGTCTCTTGCCTCAGCCTCCCGAGTAGCTGGGGTTACAGCCGCACGCCACCGCGCCTGGCTAATTTTTGTATTTTTTGTAGAGACGGGGTTTCACCATGTTGGCCAGGCTGGTCTCGAACTCCTGACCTCAAGTGACCCACCTGCCTCGGCCTCCCAAAGTGCTGGGATTACAGGTGTGAGCCACTGCACCTGGCCTGAATGAAAATTTTTAATTGAAATGTGGGCGACTCTACCCAATTTTCCCTTTGTGCCTAATGTCTTTAGCGTTTTATTTGAGAAATTCTGAAGTAACAAGGCTCCATTCCCACCCCCCATCGACTCCCCGCTAACACACACTGTAGCTGAATTTTGATTTTTCCCATACGAGTCTTTAATCCACGTGAGACTGATCTTTGGGTGGGTGCCGACAAAGATGTCCATTCCGTGGCTGCTGTTCAGCAACCCTGCTTCTATCCTGCATAGCGCTAGTACGTGGGGGCCTGTTTCTGGCCTCTCTGATCTGTTCCATTGGTCTGTTTGTCTTGTCCAAAGCACTCTACTGTCTTAGTTTTACAGCTTTAGAATCAATCTTGATATCTGGTGGGGCACCCCTTCCCCCTTCAAAACTATTGTTCCATTGTTCTTCCATATACATTTTAAAATTCACCAGACGAGTTTCTCATTCTCTTGCTCTTGCATGTAGACACACACACACATTTCTGTTGGGATTTGGATAGGGGTTTTAGGGAATCTATAGAGCAATCTGGAAGGAACTGACTTCCTGACAACATTGAGTTTGTAGTGCTTGAACATGAGCTATTTATTTATTTATTTTATTTTTTAATTTTAATTTTATTTTATTATTACTTTTTTCGAGACGGAGTCTCACTCTGTCGCCTAGGCTAGAGTGCAGTGGCAAGATCTCAGCTCACTGCAAGCTCCGCCTCCTGGCTTCACGCCATTCTCCTACCTCAGCCTCCCGAGTAGCTGGGACTACAGGTGCCCGCCACCACGCCCGGCTAATTTTTTTTTGTATTTTTAGTAGAGATGAGGTTTCACCCTGTTAGCCAGGATGGTCTTGATCTCCTGACCTCACGATCTGCCCACCTCGGCCTCCCAAAGTGCTGGGATTACAGGCGTGAGCCACCGCGCCCAGGCTATTTATTTAGACTTTCTTTTAGAAAAAACTTTTATTATGGAAAATTGCAAAGTCAAAAAAGTAAAGAGAATGATAATACGAAGCCCCAGGTGCCCGTCCCTGCCTCAGCAACTATCAGCCTCACAGCATTCCTCTCCCATTACCCCTCCCTACGTGTAGATCTGGACTAGCATGTTTCAAAGAAAATCCCAGGCGATATATCATTTCACCTGTAAAAACCTTTGCAGATGCCTCTGACAGATAGAAACTCATTTTTAGCATAACCACAAAATCATCATCAACCCCAATACAATTAATAATTTCTTGTTTTTTTTGAGATGAAGTCTCGCTCTGTCACCCAGGCTGGAGTGCAATGGCACGATCTTGGCTCACTGCAACCTCTGCCTCCCAGATTCAAGTGATTCTTCTGCCTCAGCCTCCGAAGTAGCTGGGATTACAGGTGCCCGCCACCACACTCGGCTAATTTTTGTATTTTTAGTAGAGATGAGGTTTTACCATATTGGCCAGGCAGGTCTCGAACTCCTGACCTCAGGTGATCCACCCGCCTCAGCCTCCCAAAGTGCTGGGATTATAGGCATGAGCCACCACGCCCGGCCCACATTGATAATTTCTTAATGGAAACTAATGCCAGTTTGTGCTCACTTTCAGGAATTGTCTCAAAAATGTCTTTTACAGCTGGTTTGCTTGAATCGAGATTTGAACAAGATCCCCAGGTTGCATGTGGCCGACTTGTCTCTTGAGGCTCTTTTCACTTAAAGACCTCCCCTTCCTTATTTTCCTCCAGGCCATTTATTTGTTGAAGAAATGGGTCGTTTGTTCCATTTATTTTTATGTCTGTCTCCTTTCATGCTGCCCGAGGGGGTTCCTCGCATTCTCTGTAGAGGTCTGTGTGTCTTTTGTTGTATTTCTTCTTGAGTACTTCATGGTTTTTGATGTGATTATAAACGGTAGCTTTTCTAAATCTCATTTTCTCATTATTTCTTCTGATAAATAGAAATATACTTGCTTTTCATTATTGAAGTTGTACCAAGCAACATTACTAAGTTGTTTTAATTAAATAACTTATCTGTATATTTGTTTGGATTTTCTATGTAGAGTCATTTTATCTGAAATAATGACCATTTTTCCCTTCCATTCCTTATGCCTTTTATTTCCTTTTTTTTTTTTTTGAGACGGAGTTTCGCTCTTGTCGCCCAGGCTGGAGTGCAGTGGCTCAATCTCAGCTCACTGCAACCTCCGCCTCCTGGGTTCAAACGTTTCTCCTGCCTCAGCCTCCCAAGTAGCTGGGATTACAGGCGTGCGCCACCACGCCTGGCTAATTTTGTATTTTTGGTAGAGGCGGGGTTTCCCCACATTGGTCAGGCTGGTCTCGAACTCCTGACCTCAGGTGATCCACCAACCTTAGCCT